>NC_000023.11:143027116-143726361 GCF_000001405.40 Homo sapiens
GTTGTAGCTTATGGTGGCAAGTCATGAGAAGATGGGGGTTGAATTCTGCACAAACCCTTTGTTTTAACTTTTATGCTTTTCCAAGTTGAATAGCTGCCAGCAAGGGTAGGCCCTGTGAGGGCATGACAGAAAATGCTGGTGGGGGAGGAGTTGAAGGCTGTTTGGTTTTGGAGAGAGAGAGATAAATGGGTTTTTGTAACTAATAGTCATTGCGGTCCTGATATGGCAGAAGGATATAGGTTGCAGTTGAGGGAATTGTTTGTGCATTTTTTCCAGGGAGCGCTGTTGAGTTGGATACATGAAGAGCGGCTCTGGCAGAGAGGGGAGGGGTTGGTAAGAGGTGTTTTATGGGATCCAGCTTGTATCGTGTTCAGTTAAGAGGCTGGCTATGAGGCGAAGGAGGGTGACAGCCCTGTGTGTGACAGTGTGGGTGGATCTGATAGACTGGGGAGAAAGGTGTTTAGCTGAGCAAGATTATAAACAGGTTTTGAGAATGAATTGGCCAAGTAGGTGAGATGCAGGTTTATTTTGGACTGGGTTTACGTGGCCAGTTTGAAAGGAAGGGCTGTGAACTGCTGGATTTGTGTGGACAAACAAATTTAACAGTTGGAAGAAAGACGGGAGGGAGTGTGACTGATTTAAGAGGCAATGTGTTAGGCTGATGAAGGGGGCTCAACTGTTAGAGGTTGGGGGTGGGGACTTAGAATATTCCACAGACAAAAAGGGCAAAAGGAGAAAAAGGAGATTTGAGTAGGAGTGAAATTTTGGAAGGCGCCCTGCAGTCATACCTCCTGCATTACTGTGGGAAATTGGCATGGGCTATCCAGGGACATGGGGAAGGGACACCAGGAAAGATCTGAAATAAAGTAGGAGATAAAAGATTGGAAATTGGAGATGGAGACTGTTATGCACTAGGGCATTCTGGATTGGCAACTTCTGGAATTCTTGTTAAGTGCAGTGAGGTTGGTCCTGTGAGGGAGAGAGAGTAATTTGGGGGTGAGGAAATTTCTAGATGTGGATCTGGTGCTCTTTTTAGTTTGGAATGGTGTATTCAGTGTGGGAAGGATGTTAGCTTTGCCACTGTGTGAGTAGTTAGGATAACCTGCTGAGGACCCGTCCACTTAGGTTGGAGAGGGGAGGAGGAGGAGTCTGCGATTCAGACCCAGTCCCCTGGTTGTAGGGACAGGGAGGAGTGTTTTGAGGATGGACTTTTGGGCTGGGGATAATAGGGCTTAGGCTGAGGGGATTTGAGGAAATGGCTCATAAATGCATGAGGACCAGTAAGAGAAGTGAAGCCTGGGCCGTTTTAACCTCTAGGGAGTTTTTGTTTGTTTGTTTGTTTTTTAATTACATGAAGATTAGGGGAGGTAAGGAATATGGAAGGCCCACTTAATGTTTAGAGCCTTTGCCAGCTGTTGGTTAGCCTGTGAAACAAATGTTGGCCCATTGTCTGACTGAATCCAAGAGGGGAGTTTAAACCTGTGGATAATATGAGTGAAGAGAATAGAAGTGATGGGGTGTGCCTTTTCGGTGGTGGTAGGAAAAGCTTTTATCCATCCAGAGAATGTATCTACTATTAGCAGAAGGTATAGGAATCATTTGTTGGGAGGCATGTGGGTGAAGCTGATTTGTTAGTCCTGCCCTGGTGTGTGTCCTCAGGCCTGGTGTGTGGGAAAGGAGATGGTTTGATAGCTTCCTGAGGGGAAGTTTAAGTGCAAAGGGAACATGTCTTAGTAATATCTTTCAGATTGGCAGCCATGGTCGAAGAATGTATTTAAGCTTTTAAAAGCTGGAGTAGGGGCAGTAACTGGCATGGAAATGGTTGCGCACGTATAAAAGTACAGAAGGTTTTTAATACTTGGACAAGACACTTTCATCATTGAGGTAGAACTATTTTTTCCTGAATGGTGCCAGCCCGGGCAAGTGGGGTTTGTTCCGCGTGGGTATATACAGGTTGTATGCTGGGAAAAATGGGTAATAATGATGAAATTTTAAGGGCTGCCTGCCAGGCTGCTGAACGTGTTTAGAAGTTTCCCTTTGTTATGGCATCTGTAGCCTTTTGGTGTCCCTTTCAATGGATAATGGTGGCCTGCGGTGGTAGGTTAGCCACCTCCAGCAGCTTGTGTGCAAGTTTCCTATTTCTTATGAGGGTTCCTTTTGTAGTTAGAAAACCCCTTTCCTGCCAGATTAAGGTGTGAGAGTGTAGGATGTACCACGCATATTTGGAATTGGTGTGAATGTTAACTCTCTTTCCGTTTGCTAGGGTGAGATCCTGGGTTAGGGCTACTAGCTTTGCCTGTTGAAAGGTAGTATGGAGTGGGAGAGCATTGGATTCTAGGAGCTCAGTTTTGGTAATGGTGACGTGGACAGCTGCTGGACATGGCTCCCTTAAAGAGCTTCCATTAATGAACCATGTAGGCGTTCCCCGCAAAGGAGCTTTTGAAATATGTTGGAAGCGGGAGGAGAGGAAGTTTAAGAGGTCCAGGCAGGAGTGAGAGAGCTTAGAGTTAGAGATATTAACAGGGAGGAGGGTGTTCAGGTTGAGAGTTTTATATCTCTGGAAGGTGATTAGAGGGTTACCTATGAGTAAGGCATGTACCTGCTATAAGTGGGATGATGGGAGGGATGGAAGGGATTCACAGTTTATGAGGTCCTGTAGGTAATGGGAAGATGCACTAGTAATGTGTTGGTAAAGAGGGAGTTTCTGTACCTCTAAGGCCAGCAATGTGGACACACCCAAGATTTTTAGTCAGAGTGACCAGCCTTGGATGACAGAGTCCAGTTGTTTTGAGAGGTATGCAACGGCTTCTGGGGCGTCGCCGTATATTTGGCAGAGTAGTCCAAGAGCAAGGCCTTGGTCAGAATGTACATACAAAGTAAAGGGCTTAGTGGGGTTAGGCAGTCCCACTGACAGGGCCCTTAAAAGGGCATTTTTTAGTTTGTTTTTTTTTTAAGTGGGAGTTGATGGGGCAAGCTGGGTTCAGGTGTTTTAAGATGGGCCCATGTGAGGCCGTGTAAAGCAGCTTGGCCAGCAAGTCAAAGGTGGGAATGCACAGCTGGAAGTATCCCACAAGGCTCAAGAAGGAGAAGAGGTCCTTTTTGGTGTAGGGAAGGGGCATGTCCTGAATTAGCTCATTTTGTTGGGTTGGGATGGCCCAAGAATTAGGGGGTAGGAGAAACGCAAGGTAAGTAACCTGGGTTTGGGCTATCTGAGCTTTTGTGGGTGACACCCGACATCCTCAATTATGGAGGAAGTTTAAAACCTTAGTGATGTGTTGGACTGACAGGTTATGGGAGGGACTACAGAGAAGGAGGTCATTGACATATTGGAGGAGGGTGCTAAAATGAAGGGGAAGTTCAGCTAGGTCCTCGATGAGGGCCTGTCTGAATAGGTGGGGGCTATCCTGGAACCCCTGTGGGAGTATGGTCCATGTCAGTTGGGTGAAAGTGTGAGTATTAGGATTTGACTACATGAAAGCAAAAAAAAAAAAACTTTGGGAAGCCAGATTTAAGGGAATAGTGAAAAAGGCATCTTTTAGATCCAATTCAGAGAAGTGTATGGTAGATGGGGCAATATGGGAGAGTAAAGTATATGGGTTGGGGACCACCTAATGAATTGGTACCATCACCTGGTTAACAACTCCAAGATCTTGGACCAACAGGCAAGATCCATCTGTCTTTTGGACAGCCAGGATAGGCATGTTGTAGCGAAAGTTGACAGACTTGAGAATCTGAGCTTGTTAAACTTTACAGATAATAGGCTTGAGGGCCCTGAGGCCAGCTGGGTTAAGGGGATATTGAGACTGATGAAGGAAAGTGGAGGAGATTGAAGGGTTATTTTAACTGGGATGTTGTGTGTGGCTATTGTGGGTTTAGAAACGTTCCAAACTTTAGAATTAACAGAAGGTAACGGTGGATAATGAAGATGAGGGGGAGGAGAGGGAAGCATTTTGGTGGCAGAGTAAAATAAAAGTAGAATTGTAGGAGCCGCATTGCATGGAGTTCTGGAATTTACTTAACTTTCCCACCCCAAGATAGGGGTAGGGCACTGAGGGATAACCAGGAAGGAGTGGTGAAGGAGGGTGTTGAATAGATTGTATAATAAAGGACCAGTCTGATTGTGCCTAGAGGGGATTTCATTGACTTTCACGATAGAGACAGAGGAACTGAGGAGAGGTCCAGAATATTCTGGTAAAACTGAATAACTATCCCCTGTATCCAATAGGAAAGACACGGGCTTACTAGAGACTGACAGTGTTATCCTGGGTTCTGAGGTGGTGATGGTGGTAGGGGGGTGGGGGCAGACTCCAGGCCCTGTCAGTCTTCAGTTAGAGGTTATGAAGCAAGCGGGATGAAAAGTTTTCCTGAGCACAGTCTGACTTTCAGTGTTCCTTGATAACACAGATGGGGCGAGGTTTCCTGGGTGTCCTGGGATTAGGGCAGGCTTTTGCCCAATGTCCCTGTTGGTTGCACTTATAACAGGCTCCTGGCAGTGACTGTTGTAACACTGAGGACTTCTGTATGAATTGGGAACCCTGTTGAATGGCAGCTGCCAGCATTTGGTATTTAGCCTGGTCCTTTTTTGTGTTTTTAGTTCTTCTTCTCTATTATTAAAGACCTCAAATGCCACTTCAATTAAGTGTCTTTGGGAGGTTTGAGGGCCATCCTCCAGTTTTTTTAAGTTTCTTTTGGATGTCGGGGGCTGACTGGGAGATAAAGTGTAAATGAAGGTGGATTTTGCCCTTATTGGTATCAGGGCTTTTGAAAGGCAGTAGAGGAAAAGAGCATGGGCAGCTTTATTTATGCCAGCTAGAAGGCATGATATCGTATGGCCTTGTTTTTGTCTGTCTGCAGAAGTTGCCTGATAATTCCAATTGGTGTAAGTCCTGGGGACAGCTAGGGTCCCTATTGGGTTATGGGCAGCATGTTGTTGGTGGAGGGTGTTTGCATTGGCATAGACAGCCATCCAGATGCATTCCCTGTCTTCTGGGGAGAGGGTGGAGGAGAGCATGACATACGTGTCTTGCCAGGTAAGGTCGTAAGATTGAGTGGCATACAAAAATTCCTTGTGGAAAGAGATGGGATCCTTGGATAAAGGAGCCAAGTCTCTTTTAAAATGGGAGAGGCTGGCTAGAGAGATGGGAACATGATCTCAGATTATGCTTTTGTCCCTCATGATCTCCTGCAAGGGAAGGGCTTTGGAAGGCCTTTGGGTGTGTGCCTGGTTTTCAGCACTAGGGGGGTGGGTGTGAGACCTGGTTTGTGGTGGAGAACGAAGAGGGGATGGAGGGCGACAGTAAAGGGGTGGAGGAGCCAGAGCCAAAGGAGAAGAAGGAGGAAATGATGTTGGGAGGGGGACTGAGATAGGGGTTTTTTTAACCAGGCTGAAATTAGAGGAGAAAGGCTTGTCCTGAGGAGGAGGCATTTTTGCGGGTTTTTCATTGAGGAGGAGGATTTGAAAAGGGGAAAAAGATTGGCAGAGAGAGAGAGCAATCCATGAACGGAGATAAGCAAAGCACTTTTGATCCTTTACCATTGCATTAGAGAAAGTTTTTAGATTATGTTCAATTTGGAAGTTGAAAGTTTTGTTGTTTGGAGGAGGGGAGTGCATACCCCTGAAGGGAATGAGTATCTCCAGAGGGTAGTGAATACCCCAGAGGGAAGCAAGTACCTCAGAAGGGAGTTAATATCCCAGAAAAGAGTGAGTGCCCAGAAGGGGAGTGAATACCCCGGAGAAAAGTGACTACCCAATTCCTCCCAGGAGAATGGACGTAGGAGAGCTGGGATGTACCAAAGAGCTGTGGCAGCTCTTCACAGTCCCCTAGAGGCCAGAGTGGCTGGAGTGGTGAGCGTTCTGAAGGTGTCCCCTGAGAAGGCAGGCTGCGGTCACCTGGTGACCAGGGAGACCTCCAACTCAGTGCTAGGATTTTCTGGAGAACCAGCAGAAATAGAGAAAAATCTGGAAAGGAGGAAAAGGGAGATTCACCCACTAACTGGAGACTGGTGTTGGATGTAAGATCCAGCAATGGGGGTGATCCTTACTGGAGCCACCCAGAAAGGGTAAGGAAGCAGAGGATGGAGAGTTTGATCAGGACCTAGAGGTCAGCCCAGGACTGGAGAAAATGAGAGAATAAGGAGAACGGGGCTGGGAACAGGTAGTCCACTCAGGATATGGAAGCAGGCTCAGGTCTAGTTTTTGCTGCTTGCTGCCTTCCAGGATGCAAAGAAGACTTACCTGGTAGAACTCAATCCCCATCCTGGGTTTTGGCACCAAAATGTTAGGTTTTGAAGGGAAGGCAAGGGTTAAAGACACACAAAGAGGGGACCACTCAAACAGCAACACAGGTATATTGCCGACAGCTGCAGAAGTGGGGGACCAGCTTAATGCCAGAGCCCACTACCACTTACAGGCTGGGGTACTTACAGGTATTGGTGGGAGGCAGCTGGGCAGTATGGGATGCTGCCTGGCAGGATATTGATAAGATATTCTTATGATCAGGTGGTTTGACCCTTTTTCCTGTGGGATGTCATTGTGGTGTTTCTTGGACCTTTGCCCAGAAAGATATGATAGCAATGTTTCTTAGTTGGGCCTTTGTCCACCTTGTAGTCAAGTGGTTAGACAGGATGTTTCTCATGGCCTGAACCCCCATGGAATGTTTCACTTTGACCGAGGTCTGCATAATAGCAGGGAGCTTACAAAGTCATGCAGTTTGGAGTAACACAGATGACCCTACCCATGCTCCTCTTCTTCCCCATAGATCCCTACCCTATGATTCCACCTTGCTCTTCTCTGGCACAAGCCCCTTCCTCAACCTGCATTCCTTCTTATAAAGCCCCCCTTGCTATCTATTCTCTACCCTCTTCATCCAAAATAACACCATTCTGGCCTCTCCCTGTTTTTTTACCAGAAGAAGAAGAATCTGCACAGAGCCTCAGCCCCTGAACAGAGTTTGAAAGAGACAGAAAAAGCAAAATATCCAACATTAGTGTTTTACTGCAGGAAGAATAAGAAAAGAAATTCAAATCAACTGGAGAATAACCAGCCTACAGAGAGCTCCACTGATCCAATCAAAGAGAAAGGAGACCTAGACATATCTGCAGGATCTCCACAGGATGGTGGGCAGAATTAGTCCAAATTGGACAAATCATCACCACTGATGGCGATGATTACAATAAAATCAGTTTGAGGAGCTGATGACTGTGTATACCTCTGCCTTTTTTTCTGATGGTGGGGAGGAAGGGAAGGGAAAAGATAGGCATTTGAGAACGGAGGGATATGAGATCCTGTAGCATTGGCGGACAGATCCACAGGTTAGCCAGACATTGTAAATAAAGACTGGGGGAGGACTGATTCCTGGAGACAAATTTTCTTCTTAAAATTTTATCTCACAGGAGAGGAAGAAAAGGATTTGGTGTTCCTTGGAGCACGTGCATGTTTAGAAGAGCACATAAGAAGATCTGTATTGTATGTAGGTGACAGTGACACTCTTTCCAAAATGAAGACATCAGAATCACCACCTTCAGGCCACATACCTCAGAGTGGTGTGTTTTGTAACTCACCCAATGCTGTGAGCAACTGAAGGTCCTCAAAAGGAACAAGAACCTCACCCTACAGAAAGTAAGACAGCATGCCACACACAATAAAATAATGGTGTTTGGAGGACATGCTTCCAATACTAGGGCGCTTGTTAAGAAACTCTAGGTGGAGCAGTCACCTACCAAGTGTGGGGCACTGGGAGTGGCCTGTGTCTACTGCAGGCAACAAACAGAAGCATTGTCTACAGGGAATTTTAACACAAGAATACAAGTAAAATCTGGTATTTTTATCACCACTTCCATACACCAGCATTTCTGTAGAATGTCAATGATTAAGAATTCTTCCCCTAGAGACAGAGCTTGCAGTGAACCGAGATGGCACCACTGCACTCCAGCATGGACGACAGAGTGAGACTCTGTCTCAAAAAAAAAAAAAAAAAAAAAACTTCCCCTAAAAGAAAATATCGTTTTTATTGGAGGAAATACAATAGAATGGTTTTGGCATCAATGTAGAGGGCTGAGTTATATTCCTTGAGTTAATTGCTCAAGACCCTCTCCTGTTTATTTACTCATTCACTCTCCTTTATTTCCATGGCCCAGTTTTATTCCCCTTGTCTTCATTGGCAATCATTGTAATGCATTTGATGTGTATCCTTTTCTTTGTATGAGTGTCAATACATGTTTTTTTTATTGTTTGTGGACATTTGTTTTCAATGTATATATCCATTGTCAATACTTAATGTTCCACTCAGGCCTGTTTTTAAGATGCATCTATGTATGTCTAATCTGTTCCTCCCTTGTCAGATATATTTTTATATTATATAAATTTAAGAAAGATATTTGGATTTTTAATTTTTGTACCCACCTTCTGGTCCATGTTTTGTTTAATTTATACCTTAGGATTACATTTTCTTTCAAGTGACTGTAAATAGTATCATGTGTTTAATTTTTATTTCCACATGTTCAATGTTAGTATACAGAAGTGTGATGGATTTTTAATGTTTATTTTAAAGAAATTTTATTTTGTATATTTGAGGTTTACAACATGTCATTATGGGATATATATATAAAGTAAAATGGTTACAATGGTAAAAATGATTAGCATACCTCTCTTCTCACTTTTTTAAGTGTGTGACAATAGCAGCTAAAATCTACTTATTTAAAAAAATTCATGATATAATTTCATTAGCTTTAGTCCCCCTGTACATTAGATCACTAGACTTGTTCATCCTACATATCTGGTATTTTGTATCCTTTGACTTACATCTCCCCATTTCTTCTCCCACCCCCAATGTTTCATTCTCCACCTCTGTCTATTGGACCCCTTATTTATATAGTCCACATACGAGATCAGGTAATCTTTTTCTTTCTGTCTGGATTATTTAACTTAGTGTGATGTCCTCCTGGTCCATCCATGTTCTGGAAAATGCCAAGATCTTTTTTTTTCAAGTGGAGGAAGGATATTAAAGAGCAGATGGATGGTAACCAAAAGAAGGGAGAATGAAAATCTTTCTTCTGGCTCTTTTCTAACATTGTCTTCAGGACCTAGGCATACTCTGATATCCACAATTTCTCTGCCAAAATCTGTTGTCACTACAGGTGTCCATCTTGGAAAAAGCCTAACATGATATAGACATGGCCCTTGATGTCTACAGAAAAATCTCACAGATCCTCACACCGAATCTCACAGATCCTCACACAGAATTGGGGAGTATGAGAAGCCCTATTAAATCTCTTTTCCTTTAGTTCACCAATCATTGGTGAATATTTTTCTGTTCTAGATAGAACTTCCATAATTCCCAAGTATACTCTGGCATTTATATTCATTTATTTGCATGTGGATGTCCAGTTGTCCAAGCACCATTTGTTGAAAATACGATTCATTGAATTATCGCGACATCCTTTTCTATGATCAATTGACCATAGCTTTATCAGTTTATTCCTGTTCTCTAAATTTTATTCTATCAATTAGTACATGTAAAAGTATCTAAGCAGTATGCTTTCTTGAATGCTATGGCTTTGTGGTAAGTTTTGAAATACAAAAGGGAGAATCATTCAAGTTTGCTTTTCTTTTACAATATTGGTTTGGCTGTTCTAGGCCCTTTAAATTTACGTGAGTTTTAAGATAAGCTTGTCAATATCTGCAAAAAATGCAGGTGGGATCTTGATTGGGAGTACATTGAATCTGTACCTCGATTTGGGGAATATTGAACACAGACTTTATCTCTAAGATCTTTCAATGCTAGGGTGCTCCAGAGTTCAGTCCTTAGACATACCCTTTTATCCTTCTGCACTCTTTTAGCTTTAAATGACATCTATACGCATATGACAACCAAAATTATATCTTCCCCCTAAATCTCTCCCTGAAGCCCAAACTGACTAGTTTATGCATTCATTTGAGTACCGAATAAACATTCCAAAATTAATATAGTCAATGATAATTTTACAAGAAACAATAACATTGTGCTTATCACATTCAAGGTACTCTTTTTAAGACCATAAGTAACCTGATGAGGCGATTATCATTTTTCCCTTCAAAAAAACCGAGGTAAACACTAGATACATAAATGACTAAGTTCATATAGAAAGTGTCAGAATCCAAGATTTGAACCCAGTCATGCTGATCCCAGAACCTACACACTTCACAATACCTCATATCATTTCTTCTAATTAGAGCATATGCTTTCTCTATCTGCATACTTATCTTCTCCCTTTTCTTGGAAGATAAATTTCTTGGGGCGAATTCTTCCGTGAGCCATTTCTATAATAACATAAATTATATGAATAAAAGACCATAATAACGAATGCCTGCAGTTTCTCACTCCCCCAGCTTGACTATGTACTCAGACTATACTGTTGAGTTGCCTTAATGGAGTCAGTACAAGGAAGTTAGGGTTTATAGTCTATCAGTAGAAACTGCTGTTTATCAATTCCTAACCATTTCCTGGATATTTTCTCTATTGCTATGGTTAGGCTTTGTGTCCCCATTCAAATCTCGTCTTGAATTATAATTCCTATAATCCCCATAATTTCCATGTGTCAAGAAAGAGACCACGTGGTGGTAATTGGATCATGGGGGCAGTTTCCTCCATGTTGCTCTCATGATAGTGAGTGAGTTCTCAGGAGATCTGATGATTTTATAAGTACTTGGTAGTTCCTCCTGCATTCGTTCTCCTTTCTGCCACCTTGTGAAGAAGGTGCCTTGCTTCCCCTTCTCCTTCCATCATAATTCTAAGTTTCCTTGAGGCCTGCAAAGCCATGCTGAATGTAAGTCAATTAAACCTCTTATTTTTTTAATAAATTACCCAGTCTCAAGCAGTTCTTTATAGCAGTGTGTAAATGGACTGATACATCTATAGAATCTATAACAATCTTAAAGTAAACAGAAGAAAATAATAGACTTTCGATAGCAGTTCAACACATAATGAATCCCAGTTGATTCTGATGTGAAGTGCTATAACTCAGGTCTTTACGTGATATCTGTAACTACTTACACTCTGATCTCTTTTTTCTTTCTTTGAAAGCACTTGCACTAGTGACATTTGAATCACTTCATCATTCTTTTTTAAAGAATTGTAGAATCATATAACTGTTGGCTTTCTGTCTTTCAGTTTCCTATATATGCCAAGGTCTTTTCTACATGAAAACTGTTTCTCATTTTCTTCTCTTTGCCTAGAATTATTTTCTCCTTTCTACACACAGTGCCAAATCTCACTGAAATTATCATTGGTTACATTAATTAATAACTTTAGGTCTTTAGCTGATGGCTACCTCCACACTTGAGTTCCTCTCTGGCCACTTTATGTAAAGTTTTAATCCAACACCTCCTATCCCCATAGCTAACATTTTATATGCCTTCCTGGCATTATTGTTTTCTTGTTAATAATTATCATTCTCAAACATATTTTGCTTTCTTCTTGTTTTCAGTTTGCTTTCTCCAGTATATTGTAAACTCCATGACAACAATTATCTCAGCCTGTTTTGTTCGCTACTGTATTCTTATGACTTCAAAAAGTGTCTAGCATGTAATAAGTACTTAATAAATATTTGTTGCATTGAATCTTCAATATACATCATTTATTCAACAAACACTTTTTAAGCACTTGTTATGTCCCAGGCACTATGCTGTGTACTGAGGATATGATGCAGAACAAGACTGACATTACCACTGAACTTAAACCTGTGAAAAGCAGGTAAGTAAATGAGTATTTACAATATAAAGTGTTAAGGAAGTAAGATAGGAGTCAGCAAACTGTGGAGGCATATTAGAGGAGCATCTTGCCTAGTCTGTGGCATCAGAGGATACTTCCAAAACCTGAGGAATTGAGACCTGAAGTTATTGGGGGAGCTCATGTAGATTTCTGTAGTATATTGTCTGAACCAGGGGTCAGCAAATTTTTATCTGTCAGCTTTTCTCTATCAAGAGCCAGTTAACAAATATTATAGGTTTGTGGGTCACATATGGTCCCCATTACAATTAACCAATTTTACCCTTGTCACAAAAGCAGTCATAGATGATGCATAAACTAATGGCATGGCTCTTTGCCAATACAACTTTAATTGCAAAGACAGGTGGCAGCACAAACTGTCTTTTCATAACTCCTAATATAGCCCCATGGAATTCAAATTTTTTTTTTTAAGTAACAGAACCCTTTATTCAAAGAAACTTTATGTGGAATACCAGTATCTAATGAGACAAAAGTCCTTGGTTAAAACTGTGGTGGAAGTCTGGAGACCCTTACCTCTCTTTCCCAGTGATTAGAGGAATAAGTAGGTAAGCTTCCTTCTTCCAGCATAAGACTTACCCACTTTTCCTTTCTCTTTCTTCTTATATGGCTTCCCCCTCATCCCTTATAATAAGAGCTGAGGCCAATAAGGTTGTTCTAACTAAGAAAATCAAACTAGAAAAGTTGATATTCAAAAACAGAATCAGCCAAATTTTTTTGGGAAATTCTCAAAGATACTCCATTTATTGAATTGTGCATTACTGTCCCCACCCCACCCACCAAATTCATATGTTGAAGCAATAATTTTCATTGTGATTGTATTGGTCCAGTCTCATACTGCTATAAAGAAATACCTGAAACTAGGTAATTTATAAAGAAAAGAGGTTTAATTGACTCACAGTTCCACAGGCTGTACATGAAGCATGGCTGGGAAGGCCTCAGGAAACTTACAATCATGGAAGAAGGCAAAGGGGAAGCAGGCACATCTTCACATGGTGGCAGGAGAGAGATAGTGAAGGGGGAGATGCTACACATTTTTAAACAACCAAATCTCATGAGAAGTCACTTGCTATCATGAGAACAGCAAGAGGGATGTCTCCCCCGTGATCCAAACACCTCCCACCAGACCTGTCCTCTAATATTGAGGACTACAATTGGATATGAATGAGATTTAGGTGGGGACACAGATACAAAGCATATCAGTGACTGTATTTGGAGACAGGGCTTGTAAGGAGGTAATTAAGGTTAAATTAGATCATAAGAGTATGGCCCTAATCTAATAAGATTATTATCCTTGCAAGAAGAAACAGAACATCCCCCTCTCCTTATTCCCTTCTCCCTCATCACATGGACTACAGGAAGGCTACATGAGGAAACAAAGAGAAGGCAGCCATCCACAACCCAGAAGCCAGGAAGAGAAGTCTCACCAGATACCAACTCTGAGGGCACCCTGATCTTACACCTCCAGCCTCCAGAACTGTGAGAAAATGAATTTCTATTGTTTTACACCATCCAGTTTATAGTATTTTGTTATGATTATGACAGCTGGAGCAGACTAAGGCAGACACTCTTCAAAAAAAGCCGAGCTATAGTTTTATGTCCTAATTTAATATCACAGTTGATCTTTGACCTTTTATAAATCTTTTACCAAGCTGCTTCCTGGAGCCCACGAATTATCTTTGAGGTGGCATTTACTGTTTTAAATTTCTTGCTGAGTCACTCAATTACTTCTTATGGTTTCTGACTACTTAAAGATGCCCTAGCTTTTGAGGGGAACTTGTTACCAACTGTGTATAAAGCAGGAGATGCTACCTAAGAAGTCAGGATTAGTTGTTCTGACATAGTTGGACATATTTTTCATCAAGGAAGTAACACTTAAACTGCTGCTTGTCCAACGTATCTTTATTTTCTAGGCCTGTGCTATTCGTTAGGAAAGATGACATAATGAATAGACCAGGCACATGTGTGACTACTGACTCTCAAAAACTAGCCAAGCTGAATGCTAAGTAAATGAATGTAGCAAAAGAGCTTATTAATAGCCCAGAAGTCACACAGAGAATGCTGTCAAATCTTTCAGAGACAGATCGGTAAGTATACATAGCATCTTGCTTATCTTCACATTAGAGCTGCTGTGAATGAGCCACTTAATAATAATCTTGGAGAGTCTTGAATAAACAGCCTGGGCACTTTAAGGGTTGCCTACATTACAACTATAGAAACATTCTGCTAGAACGCAGAAAGCAGAAGTTGTGTTTTCTCCGTGGTCTGAAAAGTACTTAGTAGAAAGTCATTGCACGCTAAGTCTCTCATTGCACACTGTTTCCTCACTTGAAGGATGGGATATTGGCACTTGTTTTGATTATAACATAGAAATCCAGATTTTTTTGTCTATACTTTATACTTCTCAGGGTTGGACTTGGAGATCAATTGCCCTAGCTAATGCTAAGCATTGACTATAGGATGATATTTGGAAAAAATAACTGTGACCTCAACTGAATGGTTTTGTCCTAGAACTCCTGAGGGACTCAATGTGGAAAGTGATATGGAAGGCCTGACAATAAAGTAATAATGTAGAGTGCTTTTCAGAAAGATGAGAAATTACTTGAGCCAGTGAGGTGTTTTCTCTTGAAAAGCAGTCCTCTCAAAAGTTCAGAATTCTTTTACCAATGTTAGCATTGCATAAACCATTTCTGAAACCCATTTTGAAAATTAAATTTCTACCTAATATTCTTCAGGTCAGCCATATGTCATTCCTTACTGGTAATTAGATTATTTGCAGCATCCAAAATATACTCAGAGCCTGTTTTTAACTAATTAAATTTTCAGTTAAGCTAGTTAATAATAATTTAGGACTCAAAATTATGTGAGATTATATAGTAATGAAACTTACTTTTTAAATGGCTAAAGAAGTAGCTCTGGTAAGACTTTTAAAGGGGATGCTCCAAAAAGGTTTTGGGAAAATGGAGTATGAATTTAATAGGTGTGAGGCTTTCCGGCGGAGGGGGGGCGGGGAGCGGGGGTGGCACTCACAAAGAGAGGACACGCACTTTGAGAGATATGTTCAGAGAGCCTTGCTAAGAATTTGATCATATTTTTTCATAGTCAAAATATATTTGATCTTGGTGGTTTTGTTCACATAGTAGGTGATGTTAGGGAGATCAGAAGGAGCAAGAAACAGAGCTTTTGGGGTCATGGGAGGAAATTTAGATACTTCTAAATATAAGAGTACATTATTGGTGATTTTTAAGAAGAGAAGTGACATACTTAGAATTACATTTATTCTGCGGTCAGAATGGACTAGAGGGTGGGAAGCTAAGTGAATCTGAGTCATGCAGCTGTTGCTGTCACCCAGATCAAAGATTATGGTAGCTGGGGCAGTGGCTCTAGACATTTAGGAAAGTGACCAGAACTAAAAGATATTTAAAAAGTAAAACATAATAGTTACCATAGCTTAACATTTATAGGGCTGTCTCTTATATGTCCTTTCATATATGCTGATAGTATCACACTAAAATGAACATACTATTTGCTGATAACATTTGTTCCTGGTTTAAGAGAAGGGCAAACCCGAGAGAACAATTGAGCTGAATAAACTGTAGGTTTATATAATAAATATACTCATTTATACATAGCAGTGAGCAACTCGTGATTTTAAAACAGTGATTCATAAAACAAAATAATATGATTGGGGATAGTCTTTTTGAACATTGAAGTTATATTTGAATACATTTGGCCTGTCATTCCCTATAATTTATATATATGCAATCAAATTCAAAGTGAGCTTCAGCTTTCATTTGAGCGGAGTGTTTTTTACAGTAATTGCGAATTTGGCAGGATTCGCTTTTGGTGGGAGTTCTTGATAATTGTTTCTTTGAATGGAAATGGTCCCAATTATTTTTTTATGTGTGAATTATTCTTCCCTAGTATCAGCTGTTGATGTAGCATGAAACAAGTGAAACAGCACGGTGGCACTGATTCCTTCTCGTTTTGACAAACTGACCTGTCATTAATGATTTCTACTGGGAAATGCTGACAATAACTTTTGGAACTTCGTCCCGGAGGTGGGATCCTTATTTGAAATAGAAAGAAGCCCAGATGAAACTACCATCTGCACAGGAGCCAGCTTCGGAGTCCTAGCAGCACGGGCCTGACTGTCTAGTGGGCAAACACCTGTGGTCTGTCTATACCAAGCAATTGCAGCACCAAACTGAATACTTTACACCTGTAAAGCCTCATTTATCCAGGTCGAGCTGCTGATTGGAATGGCATACTTAGAGATTTCAGTTCAACAGATAGGATATTCAAAAGGGAAAAACAATTGTAAAACTTCAGCTGAGGCTGGGCGCGGTGGCTGACGCCTGTAATCCCAGCACTTTGGGAGGCCGAGGTGGGCGGATCACGAGGTCTGGAGATCGAGACCAGCCTGGCTAACATGGTGAAACCCCGTCTCTCCTAAAAATACAAAACAATTAGCCAGGCATGGTGGTGGCTGCCTGTAGTCCCAGCTACTGGGGAGGCTGAGGCAGGAGAATGGCATGAACTCGGAAGGCGGAGCTTGCAGTGAGCTGAGATCGCCCACTGCACTTCAGCCTGGGCGACAGAGTGAGACTCTGCCCCCCACCCACCCCCAAAAAAAAAACTTTAGCTAAGTGCCATCTTTAAAATGACAAAACAATCACTAGATCCAACGGAGAAGGGAAATCAGATAAGATAGATACTTGGAATCACAAAACAAAGTAATTGGCTGTTGTTGCTCTGGTAAAGATATTTATTTGTTATCAATATAGGAAAAATATATGTGGCAGATAAAATTATTTTGAGCCCACTATTGCCTCTCCCTGGGCATGCAGTGAGAGCACATTTCTCAGTATCTAGTGTAGTTGGGTGGGGGTAATGTGACTGAGTTCCAGTTAGTGGAAATGTGAGCAAAAGTGATGTGATATTTCTACTGTCATGCAAATAAGAGTAAATGACTCTTTTGTCAGCTGACTTTCTCAGAACTCTGGGTACAGATAGAAACAAAGCACTCTGTTATGGTAATAGTGCAAAATAGTAATAACCTAGATTTCTGAGTCTCTTACTGAAGTTGACCATTGGACTACAGAGTGAGAAATGCATCTGATCTGTCTTCAGTCCCTGAAATTTAGGGGGCTACTTTTTTGTCTCTCCATAGCCTGGATAACCTTTAAATACTAATCCTAATCCTAATCCTAATCCTAATCCTAATACTAATACTAATACATAAGGATAGCAGCAACAGCTACTGTATGTGGGTCACATAATATGAGCTAGGTGTTGTGCTAAGCCTTTCACAAAAGATATTTCATGCTATCCTCACAAACAAAATCTGCCAGGTAAATACTACAATTCTTATTTCACGAAATTAAGAAACAAACTCAGAGTAGGAAAGTGATTGACCTAAGGTCTCACAGTTAGTAATCACGTCACAATCCAACTGCCTGGTTTTAAATGTGTTTTTTTCTCTATATACGGCAGCCACTGAGTGCTCATACGTCAAACAGTTGTTTCCATATTTCACATGCAAGTTTTCACTATTCAAATTTCTTTTTTTTCTTTACCTATATGACATGGTTTGACTGTGTCCCCACCAAATCTCAACTTGAATTGTATCTCCCAGAATTCCCACGTGTTGTGGGAGGGACCCAGGCGGAGGCAATTGAATCATGGGGGCTGGTCTTTCCCATGCTATTCTCGTGATAGTAAATAAGTCTCATGAGATCTGATGGGTTTATCAGGGGTTTCTGCTTTTGCTTCCTCTTCATTTTCTCTTGCCGCCACCATGTAAGAAGTGCCTTTCACCCTCTGCCATGATTATGAGACCTCCCCAGCCATGTGGAACTGGAAGTCAAATTAAACCTCCTTTTCTTCCCAGTCTCAGGTATGTCTTTATCAGCAACATAAAAACGAACTAATACACTATAACACTGACAAAAAGTAACACATTTTATTGGCCACAGTATGAGAAAACAAGCACACCCACACATTGAGTGGTAGAAGTATAAATGTTCTTTGTATGAAGTTTCACATGCCTTTTCACTGAACAGATCTAGTTTTAGAAATTTATTATACAAATATACTTGTATGTGTGTGATTTACACACTAAGTTGGTCCTTACATTACTTGTTATAACAGTAAAATATTAGAAGAAAACTAAATATAAATCAGTAAGTGGCTGTTTAAATAAATGATGCTAAGTATACACCATACTATGTTGCATGGACACAGGAAGGGGAACATCACACACCGGGGCCTGTTGTGGGGTGGGGGGAGGGGGGAGGGATAGCATTAGGAGATATACCTAATGTTAAACGATGATTTAATGGATGCAGCACACCAACATGGCACATGTATACATATGTAACAAACCTGCACGTTGTGCACATGTACCCTAAAACTTAAAGCACAATAAAAAAAAATGAGCAAATACTTTACATACTAGGGACAGGGAAAATGGCAGATTTTTTTTTTTTACATTTTGTACGTTATTGTTACACTTTGAAATTTTACAATATGATGCATTACCCTTACAAAAATAATTTAAAATTTTTAAATGTGTGCTTATATCTTGTTTCTTAAGGATGGCTACTTCAGAGTTCTATTGTCATTCTTTATACCTATTCTATACCTTTCTTTGTATATACTTGGTAGTCAATAAAATCTATTTTAAAAAGCCTATTTTGAAGGTAAGAGGTTTTTTTTCATTTTTGGTTTTTTAAAATTTTTATATTTTTAATTTTTATGGCTGCATAGTAGGTATACATATTGATGTGTTACATGAAATGTTTTGAAATGGGAATCCAATGTGAAATGATCCCATTGTGGAGAATGGGGTATCCATCTCCTTGTGTTACAGACAATTCAATTACATTCCTTTAGTTATTTTGAAATGTATAATTAAGTCATTATTGACTACAGACACCCCATTATGGTATCAAATAGTAGGTCTTACTCATTCCTTCCGACTAGTTTTTTGTACCCATTTACCATTCCCACATACCCCCACCCCATCCTCACTATCCTTCCGAGCCTCTAGTAACCATCCTTCTACTCTATATGTGCATGAGTTCAATTCTTCTAATTTTTAGATCCCACAGATAAGTGAGAACATGTGATGTTTGTCTTTCCATGCCTGGTTCATTTCACTTAATGTAATGATCTCCAGTTCCATTCATGTTGCTACCAACAACTGGATCTCATTTTTTTATGGCTGAATAGTACATCATTGTGTATATGTACCACATTTTCTTTATCCATTCATCTGTTGATGGACATATAGGTTGCTTCTACATCCTGGTTATTGTGAACAGTGCTGCAACAAACAGGGGAGTGCAGATGACTCTTTGATATACTGATTTCCTTTCTTTTGGGTACATGCACATCAGTGGAATTGCTGGATCACACGGTAGCTCAACTTATAGTGTTTTGAGGAACCTCTAAACTGTCCTTCATAGGGGTTGTACTAATTTACATTCCTACCAACAGTGTACAAGGGTTTCCTTTTCTCTACATCTTCGCCATCATTTGTTATTGCCTGTCTTTGGGATAAAAGCCATCTTAATGGGGTGAGAGAATATTTCATTGTAGTTTTGATTTGCATTTCTCTGATGATTGATGATGTTGAGAAACTTTTCATATATCTGTTTGTCATTTGAACGTCTTCTTTTGAGAAATGTCTATTCAAATCAATTACCCATTTCTTAGTTGGATTATTAGTTTTTTCTCCCTATAGAGTTGCTTGAGTTATTTTCTGATTATTAATCCTCTATCAGGTAGGTAGTTTGCAAATAATTTCTCCTTATTTTGAAGGTCGTCTATTCACTTTCTTGACTGTTTCCCTTGTGCAGAAGTTTTTTAACTGGACCCCATTTGTCCATTTTTGCTTTAATTGCCTGTGCTAATGAGGTATTGCTCAATAAATTTTTGCCCACACAAATGTCCTGGAGATTTTCCCCAATGTTTTGTTGTAGTAGTTTCATAGTTTCATGTATTAGGTCTAAGTCTTTAATCCACTTTGATTTGATTTTTGTATAAGGCAAGATATAGGTGTCTAGTTTCATTCTTCTGCATATGGAAATCTAGTTTTCATAGCAGCATTTACTGGAGACTGTCTTTTCTCCAGTGTATGTTTTTGGCACCTTTGTCAAAAATGAGTTCACTGAAGATGTATGGATATTTTTCTGGATTCTTTATTCTGTTCTATTGGTCTATGCATCTGTTTTTGTGACATTATCATGCTGTTTTGGTTACTATAGCTCTGTAGTATAATTTGAAGTAAGGTACCATGATTATTCCTGTTATCTTATTTTTGCTTAGGATAGCTTTCGCTATTCTGTGTCTTTTGCAGTTCCATATAAATTTTAGGATTATGTTTTCTATTTCTATGAAGACTGTCCTTGGTATTTTTATAGATATTTCATTGAATGTGCAGATTGCTTTGGGTAGTATGGACATTGTAACAATACAGATTCTTCCAGTCTGTGAACATGGAATATTTTCCTACTTTTTGGTGTCCCCTTCTATTTATTTCATCAGTGTTTTATCGTTTTTATTACATAGATCTTTCACTTTCTTGGTTAATTCCTGGGTAATTAATTTTATTTGTGGCTATTATGAATGAGATTATTTTTTGATTAGTGTTTCAGATTGTTCATTGTTGGGATATAGAAACGCTACTGATGTGTTTGTTGATTTTGTTTCATGATACTTTATTGAATTTGTTTATCAGCTCTAAAAGCTTTTTGATGGAATCTTTATGTTTTCCCAAATGTAAGACTATATGATCTGCAAATAAAGATAATTTGACTTCTTCATTCCAAATTGGATGCCTTTTATTTCTTTCTCTTTTCTGCATGCTCCAGCTAGGCATTCCAGTACTATGTTGAATAACAGCGGAAACAGTGGGCATCTTTGTTGTGTTCCAGATTTTAGAGAAAAGGCTTTCAGTCATTCACCATTCAGCATGATACTAGCTGTGAGTCTATCACAAATTACTTTTATTATGTTCTTTCAATACCAAATTTTTGGAGGGTTTTTATCATGAAAGGATGTAGAAATTTACAAATGCATTTCAGCTTCAACTGAAATGATTATATAATTTTTATTCTTCATTCTGTTAGGGAAAAATAACGCTTCGACATGATGAATGATCTTTCTAATATATTGTTGAATTCAGTTTCCTAGTATTTTGTTGAGGATTTTTACATCAATATTCATCAGAGGTATTGGCCTGCAGTTTTCATTTTTTGACATGTCTTTGTCTGCTTTTGGTAGTAGGGTAACACTGGCCTCAGAAAAATGAGATTAGAAGCATTTATTCCTCCTCTATTTTTTGAAGTAATTTGACTAGAATTGATATTAGTTGTTCTTTAAACGTTTGGAATAATTCAGCAGTGGAGCCATTGGGTCCTAGGCTTTTCTTTACTGGGAAAATTTTTGCTATGGCTTTAGTTTCATTACCTGTTATTGGTCTGTGATGGTTTTGGAGTTCTTTCTGGTTCTACCTTGGTCGGTTGTATGTGTCTAGGAATTTTCCCATTTAGTCTAGATTCTCCAATATATTGGTATATAGTTGCTCATAGTAGCCACTAACAATGCTTTCAATTTCTTTGGTGTCAGTCGTAATGTCTTTTTTTTCTCATTTATGATTTTATTTAATGCATCTTTTCTCTTTCTTTCTTTATCTGGCTAAAAGTTTGTCAATTTTAACTTTTCAAAAAAAAGACACTTTTTGTTTCATTGATCTTTTGTATGTTTTTCATTTCAATTACATTTATTTATGCTCTGATGTTTATAATTTCTTTTCTTCTATCAATTTTGAGTCTGGTTTGCTCTTGCACTTCTAGTTCTTTAAGACACAACTTTAGATTGTTCATTTGAAGTTTTTACTTTTTTTATGTAGGCACTTGTAGCAATATATACTTGCATCTTAGTACTGCTTTTACTGTATCTCGTATGTTTGGTATGTTGTATTTTCATTATCATTTGTTTCAGTAATTTTTTTAATTTCCTTATTAATTTCTTTATGGATGCATAGGTCACTCAGAAGCATATTTTCAAAATTTCTATATATTTGTATGGTTTCAAAAATTCTTCTTGTTATTAATCACTAGTTTCATTCCATGGTGGTCAGAGAAGATGACTGATATTATTTCATCTTTTTGTATGTTTGAAGACGTGTCTTTTGTCCTAATAAGTGGTCAATATTTGAGAATGATCCATGTTCTGAGAGAGAAAATGTGCATTCTGTAGGCATTGGATGAAATGTTGTGTAAATATCTACTAGATTCATTTGTTCTGTAGTGCAGATGAAGTTTGATGTCTCTGTGTTGATTTTCTCTAAAGAAGATCTGTTCAGTTCTGAAAGTGGGGTGTTGAAGTCTCCAACTATTATTGTATTGGGGCCTATTTCTCTCTTTAGCTCTAATAGTATTTACTTTATTTATCTTGGTGCTTCAGTGTTTGGTGAATATATATTTAAAATTGTTAAAACCTATTGCAGAATTGGCCCTTTTATTACTATATAGTGACCTTAATTGTCTCTTCTCACAGTTTTTGTCTTGAAATCTGTTCTGTCTGATATAAGTATAGCGGCTCCTGCTTTTTCTTTTGGTTTCTCTTGGCATGGAACATTTTTTTCCATCCCTTTATTTTCAGTCTATGTGTGTCTTTAGAAGTGAAATGTGTTTCTTGCATGCAACAGATCAATGAATCTTTTTTTTTTCACGTATTCAGCAAGTTTATGTCATTTGATTGGAGAGTTTAGTTTGTTTACATTCAATGTTATTATTAATAAGTAAGGACTTACTCTGCTATTTTGCTATTTTTTACTGGTTGTTTTGTGGCCTTTTCTACCTTCTTTCTTTTCTTCCTGTTTTCCTTTAGTGAAAGCCATTTTCTCTAGTGATATAATTTACTTTCTTGCATTTTATTTTTTGTTTATCCATTGTATGTTTTTTGGTTTGAGGTTACCATGAGGCTTGCAAATACTATCTTAATACCATTATTTTGACATAACTTGTTAACATTGCTTACATAAATAAACAAGCAAAATGAAAACTGACAAAAACTCTAAGTTTATCCTCCCGCTTTTAACATTTTATCATTTCTATTTATATATTATTTCTATCAATAGTTTCTATTTCTTGAGGAGTTGTTTTTTTTTCCTTATTTTTAATTATTATTTTTAGTTCTGGGGTACATCTGCAGGATGCGCAGGTTTGTTACATAGATAAATGTATGCCATAGTGGTTTACTGCACATGTCAACCTTCCTTCTAGGGGTACCTCTCAGGGTTATCAGTGTTCTACCCATAAACCCCTGGCTGGGGATGCTGAGATTCCCACAGGGAGGCCCTGTCCAGTGAGAAGGAGTGGATCCAGGTCTTCATCTCACTGGTGCCTGTGGCAAGGGAAAGCCTCTGACAGTGATGGCAGCCACCCCTTCCCTCAGAAAACTCTGTCTTCTTAGGCAGTTTCTTGCTGGCTGTGCTGGCTTTGGATGGGGGCTGATTCCAAGCCAGTGGGTTCTGGCGTGTAGAGTTCTGTGGGAGCGAGGCCACTTGGCTCCATGGCTTCAGCCCTCTCTTTACAAGATTGGACGGATCTCCTGCCTCACGGGATTTCCCAGAGCTGGAGT
Source organism: Homo sapiens (assembly GCF_000001405.40). Classification (NCBI taxonomy): domain Eukaryota; kingdom Metazoa; phylum Chordata; class Mammalia; order Primates; family Hominidae; genus Homo; species Homo sapiens. The sequence continues at coordinate 143,050,534 of NC_000023.11, forward strand.
ATGCTAATACTCCTGTGTCTCAGTGCCTGCTCAAAGTGGCCACCCATCCAAGCAGCTGCCCTGATTCTCCACAGCTTTATTCTTGGGACTGAAGACTCTGGTAGGGTGGGCTCAGGAGGGGACTTCCGGATTCAGAGGTTGCAAGGATCCGTGGGAAAAGCCTGGTTTTCAGAGAGGAGAAGCTAGGTCCCTCACCATCTTCCTGCTTGGGGGATGGAGCTCCCTTTGCCATGTGCAGCACCTGGGTAGGGTCTTGCTCCACCCTGCTTATGTTCACTCTCCGTGGGTCATGCCTGCCACCTAGTCAGTCTCAATAAGAGAACTTTGGTACCTCAATTGAAGATGCAGAGTTGACTTGCAGTTTTCAACCTTCTTGGTGGGAACTACAGAGCAGAGCTGCCTCTATTCAGCCATCTTGGCTCCACCTTGTTATTATTTTTTATTGATTTATTGTTTAGTCTTTCTCTTTAGGATAAGAGTAGTTTACACTCCAGGATTACAGTGTTATGATATTCTGTGTTTTTCTGTGTACTCTGTATTACCAGTGAGTTTTGTACCTTCCATTTATTATTTATTGCTCATTAACGTTCTTTTCTTTATGACTGATATACTTCCTTTAGCATTTCTTGTAGGATAAGTCTGATGTTGATGAAATTCCTCAGATTTTGGGTCTGGAAGTCTTTATTTCTCCTTCATGGTTGAAGGATATTTTCACCAGATGTACTAATCTAGGGCAAAAAAAAAAAAAAACAAAAAACTTTTCCCATCAATATTTCAAATATGCCTTATCAGTCTCTCCTGGGCTCTATGATATCCACTTGAAACTACTGTTCCCAGATGCATTGGAGCTCCATTGTATGTTATTTATTTCTTTTCTCTTGCTACCTTAATGATCCTTTCTTAGTCCTTGATCTTTGGGAGTTTGATTATCAAATTCCTTGAAGTTGTCTTCTTTGGGTTAAATCTGCCTCGTGTTGTATAATCTTCTTGTATGTGGATATTGATACATTTTCTTTAAGTTTGGAAAGTTCTCTGTTATCCCTTTAAATAAACTTTCTATCCCCATCTCTTTGTCTACCTCCTATGTAAGGCCAATAATTCTTACATTTGTCCTTTTTGAGCCTTTTTTTTTTTTTTTGAGATATAGTCTCTCTCTGTCTCCCAGGATGGAATACACTGCAACCTCCACCTCCCAGGTTCAAACTATTCTCCTACCTCAGCCTCCTGCATAGCTAGGATTATAGGCATGTGTCACCACGCCCTGCTAATTTTTGTATTTTTAGTAGAGACAGGGTTTTGCCATGATGGCCAGGCTGGTCTTGAACTCCTGACCTCAGGTGACCCACCCACCTCGGCCTCCCAAAGTGCTGGGATTACAGGCATGAGCCACCACACCCAGCCTTTTGGAGCTATTTTCTAGATCCTGTAGCTGTGCTACATTTTTTAAATTCTTTTTTCTTTTGTCTCCTCTGACTGTGTATTTTCAAATAACCTGTCTTCAAGCTAACTGATTTTTTCTGCTTGACCAATTCTGCTATTAAAAGACTTTGATGCATTCTTCAGTATGCCAATTACATTTTTAACTCCACACTTCCTGCTTGATTATTTTTAATTATTTAAATCTCTTTATTACATTTTTCTGATAAAATTCGGAGTTTCTTTTCTGTGTTATCTTGAATTTCTTTTAGGTTTCCTCAACATAGCTGTTTTGAATTATCTGTCTAAAAAGTCATATATCTCTGCTTCTCAAAAATTGTTCCCTGGTGTATTATTTAATTCATTTGATGAGGTCATGTTTTTCTGGATGTTGTTGATACTAGTAGATGTTTTTCAGTGTCTGGGCATTGAAGAGTTAGGTATTTATTGTAGTCTTCACTTTCTAGGTTTATTTGTAGCCATTCTCCTTGGAGAGGCTTTCCAGATATTTGAAAAGACTCGGATGGTGTTATCAAAACTGTTTCTGCTTAGAGGGCATGCCAAGCCCAGTAACACTATGTTTCTTGCAGACTCATTGATGGTCTTGGACAATATCAGGGAGAAATCTATGGATTACAAAGTGGAGACTCTTGTTCTCTTTTCTTACTCTCCCTCAAACGTACAGAGTCTCTTTCTCTGTTCTGAGTCACCTAAAGCTGGTAGTAGAGTAATACAAGTTCCCTTGTGGCCACTACCACCATGACTGTGCTGGGTCAGACCTGAAGGGAGCATAGCACTGGGTCTCACCCATGACCTACTGTAACCATTCCCTGGCTATGGCCATGTTTCCTCAAGGGTCTGAGGCTCTGCAGTCAGCACATGCCAAAGCCCATTAGGCTAATTTTCTCCCTTCAGGGCAATGAGTTTCTCTCTGCGTAGCTGGTTCCAGAAATGTTATCCAGGAGTCACGGAGTAGGGTAATAAACCTTAGAAGTCTAGTTGATGTTCTATTTTATAGTACCTGGGTGGGGAGACACAGTGCTTTCCCCTCTTCCTTCCCCTTTCCAAAGGCAAGGAACTTCACCCTGTAGCCACCACTACCACAGGCCACAGTGAGTGCTGCCAGACTACTGCTGGTATTTCCTTAAGGCCCAAGGACTTTGAAGTCAGCTTGTGGTGAATGCTGCCTAGCTGGAACTCACGCTGCCAGACAGTGGGCTCCCTTCTGGCCCAGGGCTGGTCCAAAGATGCCATCCAAGAGACAACTCGTGGAATAGGGGACTCCAAGAGCCTGGTTGGTGCTCTACTCTTCTGTGGCCATGCTGGTACATAAGGTGCAAGACAATGTCTCCTTTAATTTTCCCTCTGCTTTTGTCAAGCAGTAGAAGTTTCATCTTATAGCCACCACAGCCAGTAACATACTGAGTCTCACCTGAAGACAGCAATTCTCAGAGGCTCACACAAGGCCATCAGTGTAGTACCTGTGTATCACTACTGGTAATTAAAGGCCCAAAAGCTCTTTATTTAATAGATGATGAATCCTGTCAGGATTGGGTTGTTCCCTTAAAAGCAGTGGACTCTCTTCTGCTCCAAGGTATGTCTAGAAATGTTGTCTGGGTTCTGGGGCCTGGAAAGGCAGCCTCATGACTCTGCCCAGTGCCTTATCCTGCTGTGGCTGAGCCGATATCCAAGATGCAAGAAAAAATCCTTCCCACTCTTCCCTCTCCTCTCCTCAAGCAGAAAAAAGGGGTCTGTTTGGAGCCATGAACTGTGAAGCCTGGGTCTGGGTGGTGGGATTGATGCCAGCACTCTCTTAGCCATGCCAGCTGGTGTCTCAGTGGGTTTCATGCCCTCCCCCAACGCCTAACCTTATCCCCTGTCTCTAAGCCCAGCTCAGCACTAGGGCTTGCCTAGGAGTTGCAGCCCTTATTACCTAGACTGCCTTTAAAGTTTAATTAGAGCACAGCGCATTTTATCATGTGTTCTTTAGGTTATTAGAACTCAAGATCAGATTGCTAGGATTGACAATTCCCCTCTGGTTAGGGCTGGTTTAAATGCTCCCTGCATGGGTGGGTGATAGCTGAGTTTGGTCTGGTTCTCCTTTCTGCTCTAACAGGACAGCAATGAGTTCAATGCCTCACAGTTGGCTGTGCTCTCCCTCCCCTAGCACCCAGAGACACTCTCAGCACCATGCAGCCACTGGTGGGTGTTGGGGAAGTTGGTGTTATTGATCCTGTTTCTTTTCCCTCTTCAGTGCCTATTTCAGCTATATGGAGTTAAAACCAGGCACTATGAAGGCTCACATGATTTTTGATTCTTGTGATGTTGTTTTTTCCTGCGTAGTCATTAAATTGGTGTCCTTTCACGGGGGACGATTGGTGGATCTTTCTATTCTGCCATCTTGCCACTGTTCAAATTTTTGATGCTAAAGATTCTTTACATCTTAGCAAAGTGCCTGCAACTATCCGAAATAAATAAATGAATTAAAAATTACTGAATCAAATATATAAAGTAATTTTGCACCATATCCTGTCAATACAGATGCCCCTGAAATTTATTTCAAAAAGTATAATCACGATCAAAATTCTTGATGCTTCCTTCAGATATTTTTATCTTAAAAACACAGAAACCAAAACCAGCTGTTCTCAATAGATTGGAAGAGCACAGCAGAGCCGTTTAATTTCTAGGCAGCCATCTTAAAGGCACATGGCTCTTGAAGTGGTGTCTGTTGTTCTCATCGCATATTTGATAATGCTTACAGGAACCACAACAAGTTCAATAAGATTAAAGAAATTAAATTGTGTCCAAAATAGGCACTCCTCATTTACATAATATGTAGCACTTCTGACAGAAGTTACCACCTATGAAATCTATTAATTTTTCAGCATATTTTTATTATTAAAAGAAAATTCAGGATGTGTCTTTAAAGAAATGCCAAACTAAAACTCTATCTGACATTCTGTAGTGTTGTATGTCCAAAAGGATTGATTTTTATATCAAAAGTGAACACAAACTAATAAAGTAAAATTTCTGTGTGATTTTTCCACTGAATCCAATGATCTGACTCTGACATCGTTTCCCATAGAAGAGTTCTAAAGGCATTTTGAGCAACGACACCATTATAAGGCTATGTGTATATTCTACCAGGGGGACTGCTTGGAAGAATAACACTCATTTAGATGTATAAATCCTGTTTTGTTTTCTTTTAAAATGTCCAATTATTTCTATTGCTGCCTCATCCATACTCTCATATATCTTTTTAATGCCTATCTGCAGATTTTCCTTAAAATAAATGTACTGTTGGGAAAAATGCCTTTGAAATTTCAGGTTCAAGATAGTCCTTTCCAATTAATAAAGTTAAGCTAGTATTAAAAGTCCCTACTTGTTAGAGTTATGTAAATAAGATTCATGCTGAGTGTTGGCAGGCAGCTATAATGGAAAAAAAAAAAAAAGGCCTACACTAGGCCTCAGACACCTTAATTCTAGAATTGGTTTTACTTTGTATTATCAAGAAAATGTGGATAAATCACTTAATAATTACATTCACTCATTCTTCCGTCGCTCATTTGTTCATTCACTTACCTCCACTGCATTTTTTAAAACATGAAATGCTCACTAAATTGTTGTCATTCTGGTGATTAAAAAAATTGGTAAAATATGGTCTCTTCTCAAAAATTGTTTGCAAGTAAGTGAATAAAATTACAAACTTTTTCAACATTAAAATGAAAAACTCTTACCTGCCGTACGTACCTTATTAATGCATTGTATCTAATGAAAGGGTGCTATGGCTTAAATACAATTTGTCCCCATCCAAACTCATGTTGAAGCTTGGTCCCCAATGTAGCAGTGTTGGGATCTGATGCCTTTAAGAGGTGTTTAGCTTGTTAAGATAGATAAATGTCCTCTCAAACTGGATTAGCGCTTGTGGGAATTGACTATTCCCAGGAGCGCAGGTTGTTCTAAAGGGAGGTTGTGTCGTCTGTTGGCCTCTTTGTGTGTGTGCACTTTCCCTTCTCTTCTATATTATGACACAGCATAATATTCTATATTACGCTTCTATATTATTAACCAGAAGCCTACCAGATGCATCTGCCCAGTCTTGGGCCTCCCAGCCTCCAGAATTGTGAGCTAAAAAGACCTCTTTCTTTTTTAAAGTATCCGGTCTCAGGTTTTCTGTTAGAGCAACAGAACAGTGACTAAGACAAAGGCCTTATGTGAAACTGCTTTATGAAGTATAAGTTACTGTCCACATATTCAGGAATTAATATAAGATGCTATCTTAGTCTGTTCAGGCTGCTAGAATAAACTACCACGAATTGGGTGGCTTATAAACAAAAGCCAATTTCATTAAATCTGGTGTATTAATACAGGATTTTTTTTAAAGTAGTTGTTTTGTTAGTTTCATTTGAAGAGCTTGAGAACATGGAGATGGGACAAAAAAGAGAAGAGGGATAAGGATTTAGAATAACAGATAACGAGGGTGAAAATGTAAAAAAAGGAGTAGGGAAGAAGTTATGTTGAGGTCTAGAAGAGGAGTGTTGTGAAAAGCATGAGGCTTTGAAAACATGAGAGGTGCCCTCAAAGCAAGAGTACAAGAATCCCAGGGGGAAGGGGAGTGAAAGAAAGGGAAGATGGAGTGGAGTATAAGAATGTGAGTGACATAGTTTTGTTCTGAGTGGTTTCTCAAAAATATATGGAAATTTTTCTTAGTGTAAAGCAGCAGACTTCAGTTCCTATCTAGCTCAATTATTTTTTTAGTTGCAAGAAAGTAGTGACAAAAGTACACCCCAAGAAGATCAACATTAAGGAAAAAGTAGATTTCTGATAAGAACACAGGAGAATCACACAGAAATCTTTGCAGGAAATAAAGCTAGAATTTACAGAAAATAGGAAATGATCAGGCTATTTTTCTCCTTACTTTTTCTTGACTGTCTCCCTCTCTCGGTCCTCTCATTCTCTCTCTGTGTTTCTCTCTCTCTGTCTCTCTCTATCTCTGTCTCTCCCTCCCTGCCTTCCCCCTTTTCTCTTTTCTTTTCTTCCTGCCATGTTCTTTTACTCTGAGGCCACATAGGATCTCTTCTCAGCTTCTTTCTCTATATCAGCCATGTTCCTTCCTCTCTATAGACTATTTTAACTGTTTGCGTGTGGGCTACCACATGCCTGCTCCCAACTCTACGGGGCTTTTCTCAGTGGATTCAGGAGGCCTGGGTTCAAATCCTGAATCCACTTTATCTGTGTCACTTTGGCCAAGTCGCTCAGGAACCTCTATGTTCCTCCATTTCCATATCTGTAAAATGGAGGTGATAAAAACACCAACTTTTTACTGGATTACGGTGAAGATGAAGTATGTTAATTTATGTAAAATGCTTTAGGAAGTGCTTGACCCATAATAAGTACTTCACAAATTATTTTACATCATAATTATGTCATTTAGGCTCTCCAGAGAAAATCAACTCAGGCTTTTTAGCCAATTCCAATTTTCTAAAGGAGAGACTATTGGTTCAGATCGGACACTAACTTGCTGTCCAGCCTTGACCAGCACTCTTCCATACTAGGCATTTCAGTTTCTTCAAAAATAAAATCAGAGGGTGGAATTTGATGTATCCAAAGATACGTGTTAGAGTTAAGATTCTGTGATTCTATTACATGGTTTCCCTTTAACTGAACAAATTCAGACATGCATTAAATCTTATTTACTATGTAGTTCCTAGGATCCTTTATAAATAATACACATTAAGCAATTAAGTTCCAAAATTAAAGGTAAATGTAAATCATAACAGATATAAATATATTCTCAAGTTCCCCACGATCTGTACCCAACTCCTGGGGGAAGGAGATTAAATTTAGCTGCATTTCTGTAAGACTTTAAAACATAAAGCATTGATTTGGCATACCAAATACACCCCATAATAAATATGCATTTGCTTAGAAACTGAAGCAGTTTTGATAGAGACTGGCTGGAAGAATTAAAATGGAAAAGAAAATTAGCAAGAAGAAGTGAGTGGAGGAATGAAGAATTAGCAATCTGCATAGTTTCCGTTAGTACCTATTAGGAAAACAGAATCTGGCCATGTGGTGCCATTATTCCACAGGCTGATGAGATGAGCAGAGAGGGCGTAAGTGTAAATAAATGTAACTGTATTTTTCACTTTGCATTGTGCTATATGTTTCCAAAGGGAAAGCATCCCTTTTGACTATGTAATTTTCTTGCTATGCACACAACACCAGAGGACATTACCAGCCTTGGAAAACTGAGACGCAGCATACCGATTAATAAACTAGTTTAGTGCAAGGCCCTCCTGGTGGGATTTTCAGAGCTGCCAGATTGAAAGCGCTGCCAGTTTACAAAAGGAGACGCTTCATTAGCTAAAGCCAATAGAGGCTCCTTTCTCCAGCCAAAGCTCCTAGCTTCACAGGGAAATGAAAGCTGCTCATCTGTGGGTTGGGAGGGTGTGTGTGTGGGTGGTGGTGGGCTGTTATATATTCAGAGTGTTCTCTAAAGCACTTTAGACTAGAAATCTCAAAAAATATTTGGATTATCCATAATGCTTTAACTGTAAAAAACTAAGTGCTTAAATGTGTTATTCTTTTTCCTTTAGTTACTCACTGATTAGTTCTAGCGATCGATAACACTGAACTCTAAATATCTGTGTATAGGAGTTCATAAAAAGGTCATGGTTAATGGAAATAGTAAAAGGGACATTGCTGCAACCATTTCAAAAATGTCAATCTAATTGTGACTCCTTGTAAATCTAATTTGTACCCATCACATATTTAAAATTATATTAAAATGTGGGTAATAAAGATGTTTTGAAACTAGATAGAGGTGGTAGTTGCACAACATCGTGAATGTATTAAATGTTACTGAATTGCTATCTTTAAAATGGTTCATTTATGTTATGTGAACTTCACATTAATAAAAATAAAGAACAAAAAATGTGCAAATGGGTGTTTTTAATAAGTTTATAATTTCTGTTTTCTTTTGAGTATGATGAAGTTAATATTTTGCAGTTTGTAATGAAATGTAAAACTCTCATTCTTTTGGTCCCTTTGGAAGCTACATCTGGTCTGTGTTGAATGCCCATCTACAAAAAGCACAATTTGAAATGAATCTGGTATGATGTTGCTGAAGTGATATTGCCACTTCTTTGAAAGTGACATCTACATTGCATAAAATATTTCTCTTTTTTGTTCCTCCTGAACTCTTAATATTTCTTTTGGTGATGGAGGCTGATTTAACCCAGAGATGTTGGAGCAACTTGAAGGTAGTATGTTAAAATAGGCTGGGTGCACTTGATCTGTGGCCCACAAGTGGTAAAACCTAGGGCAAGTCCTATGTCCTTTCTAATAACCAGTTGCCTAATCTGTATAATAAAGAAGTGAAGTAGATGCTAAGAGCCCTTCCTTTTCTAAAATGAAGACGCTCTGTTGTCTCTGTAAGCAACTTTCCAATAACCAGTGTTAGTGTATTTACTGTGAATATCAACTAGATGCCTTGTGTGGGGCTTTGGTTCTACAAATAATTGAAAGGTATGTTGCATACCCTTGTTTACTTTATAGTATGTTATCTCAGTTCTAAAGCAAAATTAAGTTCTGAGTTGTTTGATACAAGGTTCAGTGTTTCAAGCAATCAAAAAAGATAAAGATAAATGATGACTGGAGGTATGGATTCTGGATGAGTTGGAACTTCAGTTGGACATGGAATAAAGCATAGGAATTAAATAGGCTGCAAAGGAAAGGTCAATTTCCTCTGTTCTATAAATAAGGAAATAGAGGTTCAAAGTTAAAAGGACTTCACGGTGATAAACAGCTAGTAAACAATGGAAAGATTTTAACCTTGGCTTTTGTGGTGCCAAAGACTCTCCACTTAACACCTTCCTACTTGTATTATTTCAGTCAATATTTCATTCATTTTACAAGTACATTTAGATTCTACTATGCGTCAGACACTAAGCCAAGCTCTGAAGTAGAAAAGTATATGGGACATAAGTGGTTCTTCCCTGATGGAACTCACAGTCTGGTGGAAGAGACAGAAAATAAACAAATAATTATAGAAATTTAAAGTTAAAAACTGTGATTAAGAGTGATGAAGTAACAGGAGAAGGTGTTAGGAGAGAATAACAGGACTTCCCTAATTCAGACTGGGAGCTCTTGAGGACTTTCTTAAAGAAATGATATTGGCCCGGCGCGGTGGATCACGCCTGTAATCCCAGCACTTTGGGAGGCCGGGGCGGGTGGATAACGAGGTCAAGAGAGCGAGACCATCCTGGCTAACACACGGTGAAACCCCATCTCTATTAAAAATACAAAAAATTAGCCGGACGTGGTGACGGGCGCCTGTAGTCCCAGCTACTCAGGAGGCTGAGGCAGAGGAGAATGGCATGAATCCGGGAGGCGGAGCTTGCAGTGAGCCGAGATCGCGCCCCTGCACTCCAGCCTGGGTGACAGAGCGAGACTCCGTCTCAAAAAAAAAAAAAAAAAAAAAAAAAGAAAAGAAAAGATATTTACTCTGAGAGATGAAGTCAGGTAGAAAGAAGTACGCAGGGAAAAAGTAGTGGGAAAAAGTACTCTTCTTTTCTATGCAAAAAGAAGAGCATGTGTGAAGGACTTGTAGCAGATAAAAGCTTCACTTCTTTCAGAAAAAGAAAGAAAAGCAGTGCAGCTCATGTGCAGACACGAGGAAGCAAATAACCAAGAATAAATGTGAAGAGGTTCACATTATCTTAACAAGGTTGCTTGACATCCTGTGACGTGTAGTGATTTCAGTTAACCCAACAGTGGTCCCTGGATATTAGCAGACACCACACAGAATCAGAAAATACTTTCATTATGTATTCTTTTCTGTCTGGCTTCCTTTGCTCAACATGCTGTTATATGTTTTTGTAGTTTGTTCATTTTCATTGCTGTATACTGTTTCATTTTGTTATTACCCTACAACATATATATGTATTTTTTCTTGTTGTTGTTGATGATGAACATTTGGGGAGTTTCAACATTTGGCCTCTTAAGAAGAATGCTGCCATGGATATGTCTGTACATGTCTTTTGGTAAAAATATACACTCATTTTGTTGGGTCTAGGAGCAGGATTGCTAGATCATAGAATTTTCATATATTCAGCCTTAGCACGTAGTCCTAACACTGTTCCAACGTCATAGAATTTGCACATCTGCAAGCAATGCATATAAATCCTGTTTTTTCCTTCTCACCAATAGGTGGAATTCCCTCAGTTTGTTTGTTTGTATTTTAATTTTAGCCACTCTGATGTATAGAATTATCACACTGAGGTTTTAATATACACTTCTCTGAATAAAAATTAGTTTAGGCATCAAGATTAAACATTACATTTTTATTGGCTATTTGGTTATACTCTTTGGTGACTTGCCTTTTTAAATTGTATTCATTTTTCTATTAGATTTTTTGACTTCTTATTATTTGTAGTTCCTGAAATATTTTGGATTCAGGTCCTTTGAGATATATATATATATATAAAATTTTCTCCCACTTTGTAACTTACTACTTCACTCTTTTAAGCATACATTTTGTAGATTATACATTTTTAACTTTAATAAGATACAGTGAATCAACTTTTTTTTCTCTATGGAAAATGCTATTTATGTCCTGTTGAAGAAATCTTTGCCTACTCCAGATCACAAAGACTTTTTTTTAATTTTTTTTTTATTTTAGTTATATTTTATTTTTATTTTTATTTTATTTATTTATTTATTATTATATTATCCTATAGCTTCTCTCAAATGCTTTATTGTTTTAGCTTTCATTTTCAGATTTTTGAGACATCTGGAAATAATTTTTGCGTATCAGATGAGATAGTTTTCATATAAAAATTTCCAATTTCCAAGCACCATTTACTTAAAATAGCAACCTTTTCCTACTATACTGTAGGGGCACCTTTGTCATAAGTTACCTTAACATATATATGTGGGCTACTTTCTGGGCTCATCATTGGGTTATTTTTCTATTATTACACAAATACTACTCTGTCCAAATTACAGTGGATTTATAATTGTTGCTGTCTAGTAATTATACTGCATGTTAGATATTTCGATATTCTTGAGTAATTTTGCCCCATTGAATTTCCATGTAAGTTGTAGAATTATCACACAAACACACATACGCAACTTGCAAAGATTTTTATTAACATTTTATTGATGATTGAGAGAATTTACAACATAGAGTTTTTAATGAGTGAAAATGGTACACCTTTTCGTTTACTTGATGTTTTTCAATTTATCTCAGTAGTGATTTGTAATTTTCAGTGTATAAGACTTACATATTTTCATTAAATTCATCGGTAGATATTTAAGATTTTAAATTTTATTTTATACTTAATCACATTTTTATTTTTTTCTAATTATTTGATGCTAATGCATAGAAATAGAATTGTTTTACTATCAATATTAAGCTTAATGCTAGTATCATTTCCACATTCTCTTACTGATTTTAAAAGTTTGTCTGAAGATAGGATTCTTTTTCTTTTTCAATATACATAATTATATCATCTGCAAAAACTGAGTTTTATTTCTTGGCTTTCAATACTTATGACAAATATTTCTTTTCATTGCATTTTACACTAATGAAGAACATCAATAAAATTTTAAATAAAACTGATGAGTCCTAATGACATGGTGAAATCTTTAAACATGTCACAATTAAGTATGAAATTTGTTGCGTGTGTGTGTGTGTTTCTAGATACTCTTTTTAAATTAAGAACATTCCCTTCAATTTCTATCTTTATAAAAAAGTTAATCATAAATTATTTGAAATCTTATCAAGTAGTTTCTGCATTTACAGAGATTTTTTTCCTCATGTCATTCTTTTAATAGTGTGAATTAAAGTGATAGAATTTTCAAAGGTAAACAATCCTTGTACTTCTGAAATAAAATCCATAGGTTGGCAGAGAAAGATGGTGCAATAGAAGTCTATACCATTCATTCCCCTCCCACCCCACAGGAACACCAAATTTTAATGACTATCTGCACACAGAAAAGCATCACCACAAGAAAAATAAATCAGGTGAGCAATCACAATACCTGGTTTTAAACTCATGTTGCTAAAAGAAGCATTGAAGAGGGTCAGAGGGACATTCTTGAATCACTGATCCCCCATCATCTGACAGCAGCCCTGTGGCAAGGAGAGTATATGCACCTAGAAAAGGGAGTGTGCAGTGACTGGGAGACTTTACATTGAACTTAGTGCTACCCTATCATAGTAGAGAGGAAAATTCTGTTTGGCTCAGCCAGCACCGATGTATAGAGGGAGCATTTGGACCAGATCTAGCCAGAGGGGAATCACCCATCCCAGTGGTCAAAACTTGAATTTCTCATCAAGCCTCATAACCGTGGGCTGAAGCACTCTGCAGTCCTACATAAACTTGAAAGGCAGTCTAGGACACAAGGACTGCAATTTCTAGGCAACTCGTAGTGCTACGGTGGGCTTAGAGCCAGTAAACTAGTGTGGCACATGACCTAGGGAGAGATGTGGCTAAGGGAGGGCTTTCATCATCCCTCCACAATCCCAGGCAGTGCAGCTCACAACAACAAAAGTTACTCCTTCCTTTGGCTTAATGAGAGAAAAGCAAACAGTAAAGGGGACTTTGTTTTGTATGTTGGTTACTAGCTCAGCCACAATAGGATAATGGCACAGAGCAGAGTCATGAGGCCCAGAATCCAGGCCCTAGCTCCTGGATGACATTTCTAGACACACCCTAGGCCAAAAGAGAACCTACTACCTTGAAAGGAAGGACTCAGTCCTGACAAGATTTATCACCTGCTGACTAAAGAGGCCTTGGACCCCAAATAACCAGCAGCAATACCCAGAGGGTACACCATGGGCCTTGGACTCTGAGGCAAGCTGGCTCCTGGGGGAGACCCATCACATATCCAGATATGGTAGCTACAGTGAAAGACTCCTTCTGTTTGAGAAAAGCAAAGGGAAACGTAAAGGGGGGAACTTTGTTTTGCACCTTAGGTACCAGCTCAGCCACAGTGAGGTACAGCAACAAGTGGGCCTTGGGGTCTCCAGCTGGAGGCCGAGGCCCTTGGACAGCATTTCCAGACCTGGCCTGTACCAGATGGGACCCCACTGCCCTGAAGTGTGAGTCCCAGGCCTGGCAGCATTCACTGCAATTTGGCTAAAGAGCTCTTGGGTGTTAGGTGGATACTGGTGATGGCTTGGCAGAAACCCACCATGGGCTGGTGGTGGTGTTGGCCATAGGGAGAGTCTCCTTTGACTGCAGAAAGGGGAGGAAAAGGCTTGTATTGTGGTTTGAGTGCCAGCTCAGCTGAAGTAGAATAGACCATCAGGCCAAATTCTAAGGTGTTTGCTCCAATCCATGGCTCCCAAAGAGCATCTCTGGACTGGGCCAGGGCCTAGTCCTGAAGGGAAGGACACAAAGCTGGTTGGCTTCACTACCTGCTAATCATAGAGCCCTAGGGCCTTGAATGAACATCATAAGTATTCATAGTTACAGAGAACCTTGGGTGAGCTCCAGTGCTGTGCTGGCTTCAGGTCTGACCCAGCACAGTCCCAGTAGTGGTGGCCACTGGGGTACCTGCATCACCACACCCCAAGTTCCTGGTGGCCCAGCACAGAGAGAGATACTCCATTTGTCGGGAGAAAGTAGTGAAAAGAAAAAAATAAATCTCTGTCTGGTAACCCAGAAAATTCTTCCAGATCTTATTCAAGACCACCAAGTCAGTACCTCAATGAGTCTGCAAAAAACAATAATGATATTAGGCTTGAAGCCTAGGTCTCTTTGAATACCTAGAAAGACTTCTCAAGAAGGATGGGCACAAACAAGCACAGACTGCCAAGAGTACAAAAAATAACTAACTCTTCCATGTCAAGTTACCAAAGAAGATCTACAAGCATCAAGATCATTCAGAAAAACATGACCTCAACAAACTAACAAATAAGGCACCAAGAACCAAGGCTTAAGTAACAGAGATTTGTGACCTTTCAGAGAATCCAAAATAGTTGTTTTTAGGAAACTAAAAGAAATTCAAGATAGCACAGAGAAATAATTTAGAATTCTATCAGACAAATTAAAAGATTGAAATAATTAAGAAATATCAATTGTAGACTTGAAGAATACAACTGACATATGAGGAATGCATCGGAGTCCTTTTATAGCAGAATTGATCAAGCAGAAGAAAGAATTAGTGAGCTTGAAGAGAGGTTATTTGAAAATACACAGCCAGAAGAGACAAAAGGAAAAAAAAACAATGAAGCACGCCTATGAGATATAGGAAGTAGTCTCAAAAGGGAAAATGTAAGAGTTATTGACTTAAAGAGGAGGTAGAGAAAGAGATTGGTAGAAAGACTATTCAAAGTGATAACAACAGAGAACTTCCCAAACCTGGAGAAAGATAACAACATTCAAGCACAAGAAGGTTATAGAATACCAAGCAGACTTAACCCAAAGATCGCCTCAAGGCATCCAATAGTCAACCGCCCCAAGTTCAAGGCTAAGAAACAATTCTAAAAGCAGGAAGAGAAAAAAAAATAACATGCAATAGAGTTTCAATACGTCTGGCAACAGAATTTTCAGTAAAAACCTCACAGGCCAGGAGAGAATGGCATGACATATTGGAAGTGCTGAAAAAGAAAAAAAAAAAGTTTGCTTAGGATAATAAAGCCAAAAAAATAAACTTTACGTAAGAAGGAAAAATAAGGATCTTCCCAGCCAAACAAAAGCTGAGGAATGTCATGAGCACCAGATTTGTCCAAAAAGAAATGCTAAAGGGAAGTTCTTCAATCTGAAAGAAAAGGATCTCAATGAGCAAGAAGAAATCATCTGAAGATGCAAAACTCACTGGTAATAGTGATTACACAGAAAAACATAGAATATTATATAACACTGTAATTGCAGTGTGTAAACTAGTCTTATCCTAATTAGAAAGAGTAAATGATGAACCAATCAAAAATTATAACTAAAACAAATTTTCAAGGCATACACAGTACAATAAGGCATAAAGAGAAACAACAAAAAATTGAAGTGTGGATATAACATGTAGAGTTTTTATTAGTTTTCTGTTGTGTCTTTGTTTATGCAATCCGTGTTGTCATCAGTTTAAAATAATGGGATATAAGATAGTATTTGAAAGCCTCATGGTGACATCAAATCAAAAAATATACAATAGAAATATGAATAAAAAAGCAAGAAATTAAATTATACCACAAAAGAAAATCACCTTCACTTAAAGAAAAATACGAAGGAAAGAAAGAAGGAAGAGAAGTTCACAAAACATCCAGAAAACAAGTAAAAAATGTTATTATTGATAAGTCCTTACTTATCAACTTATTTGGGAGAAGACGCAAATAAATAAAATTACTCATTAGTAATTACATTGAAGGCAAATATATTAAACTGTCCAATCAAAAGGCATAAAGTGGCTGAATGAATTTTTTTAAATGTCCCAATAATCTGTTGCCTACAAGAAACACATATTGCCTATAAAGGTACACACAGACTACAAATAAAGGGATAGAAAAAGATAGTCCATGCTAATGGAAACAAAAAAAGAGCAGGAACTTATATCAGACAAAATAGACTTTAAGAGAAAAAGTGTACAAAGAGACAAAGAAGATCATTGATAACAAAGGAATCAATCCAGCAATAGAATATAATGATTGTTAATATATGCACCCAATATTAGAGCACTCAGATATAAAGCAAGTACTCTTAGAGTTAAAGAGAGAGATGGGCCCCAATACAATAATAGTGGGAGACTTCAACACCCCACTTTCATAATTGTACACATCTTCTAAATAGAAAATCAACAAAGAACCTTCAGACTTAATCCGCACTATAGAATAAATGAACCTCACAGATATTTACAGAACATTGCATCCAAAGTCTGCAGACTGCATATTCTTTTCCTCAACACAAAAATCATTTTCAAGGACAGACCATATGATATGTTAGGTCACAAAACAAATCTTAAAACATTATTTGAAACTATCCAAACACATGGAAATTAAACAATATGCTCCTGAATGGCCAGTGGGTCAATGAAAAAATTAAGAAAATTTATATTTTTTTGAAATAAATGATAATGAAGATACAACATATCAAAACCCATGGGATACAGTGAAAGCAGTATTAAAAGTGAAATTTATAGCTGTAAGTGCCTATACCAAAAAGGAAAAAAAAAATAAACTAATGATTCATCTAAAAGAACTAGAAAAGCAAGACCAAATGTAACCCCAAATAAGTAGAATATATATAATAAAGATCAGAGCAGAAATCAATGATTTTGAAATGAAGAAAACAATAACAATTTAAATAAAATAAAAAGTTGTATTTTTAAAAATATACAAAATTTACAAACCTTTCCCAGGCTAATGAAGAAAAAAAGGGAGAAGACCCAAATAAATTAAATTAGAGATAAAAAAGGAGACATTACAATTGATATCGCAGAAATTAAAAGGATAATTAGTGGCTACTATAAGAAATTATATGCCAATGAATTAAAAAATCTAGAAGAAATGTATAAATTCCTAAGTACATACCACATACCAAGATTGAACCATGAAGAAACCCAAAATATGAATAGATCAAAAACAAATAAAGAGATTGAAGGTATATTAAAAAGTCTCCCAGTAAATGAAAGCCTGTGACTCCATGACTTCACCACTGAATTCTACTAAACATTTAAAAAATCAATATGAATCCTACTCCATGTATCCTAAAATAGAGAGGAAGAGGAAACACATTCACACTTATTCTATGAGAAGTGTTACTGTGATACCAAAAACTAATTAAAGACACATCAAAACAAGAAAACTATAGGCCAATACCACTAATGAATATTGGTGCAAAAATTCTTAAAATACTAGCAAACCAAATTCAACAATAAATTAATAAGATAATTCATCATAACAAAGTGAGATTTATCCCAGGGATGCAAGGATGGTTCAACATATGCATATCAATCAATGTGATATATCATACCAATAGAATGAAGGACAAAAATCTTAGGGTAATTTCAATTTATTCAGAAACAACATTTGGTAAAGTTCAACATCACTTCATGATAAAAATCCTCAAAAAAGTGGAGATAGAAGGAACGTAATAAAAACATATATGACAGACCCACTGCTAGTATCATACTTAATGGGGAGAGAGAGAGAGAGAGAGAGAGAGAGAGAGAGAGAGAGAGAGAGAGAGAGAGAGAGAGAGAAAGGTCCATCTGGGTCTGTTAATAAACATGTTATTTTTTGCCACATTGAAATATGGTGGTACAAGGAAGAGAATGAAAATTCCCTATTCTCTCTGGGCTCTTAAAAATCCTAACCTGGTTTATTCAGACATTCTAAAATGCTGCAAGCAAATTATTAATTTGCTTATCGTCAACAAGGTGAGGATGCTTTTCCTCCCGTCTGTCCATCCAAACCACTCCACAACCTAAAATTTGGAGACAGTGTTCTGGAGGCAACTTTACCAGGAGGCTAATTTTGATCTTCATTTTAAGGGCCCACTTCATGCTCATTACAATTAACACTGCTGCCAAATTCCAGGAAGTCCAACGCTGGGCTTTTGTCTCTCAACTCAAGAAGTACAAGAGACATTTTGAATGTAATCCATTCCAATTGAGGACCTGAAACAAAGGCTCTCTTGAGTTCCCAGAGGAAGAGAGTGCACTGAGGTAGACAGATTTCCCATGAACTTTGGGCATCCAGGTAAATGATGTCATGAGGTATTCAGCTTCCATTGAAGATATTGTCAGAACAAGATCGATTAGGATTCCTTTGTCTCCATTTTGTCCTTTTAACTTTCATTTTTCTTCTTTGCTGTATCTTTCTTCTTCTCCCTCTCCACCAGTGTTATCTTTGCTATACACATACTTTCCAACTTGCAACCTAAACCATATGATTTTCTAATATTTTATTAAGACAAATTCTTAGGTATGAAATTACTGTGTCAAGTGATATGAGTGTTTTTTCACTCTTAATAAAGTTTTTTTTAGACATGTGGATTCTAAACTTGTTACATGCTTATTATAACAACTTAAATAATAGATATGTGCCTGAAATAACATTAAAATATATAGTAATATCCAATTGAGTAAGGTTGTGGGGAAATGATACTCTTTTATGCATTTTATTTGACTGTAAGATATTATTATACCATGCTGGAGAGCCAGTTAGCCATTAGTACCTTGAAGAGCTATAGTTATCCACATAATATAACTCAGAAATTTGTCATGAGAGGCCCTCTCCCACACAGGGTGAGGAAACAGACAGCACTATGCATTTTACAATTGTTTCCTACAGTTAAAATGGAAAATAAACTGAATGCCCATCAATATGGAACTAGATAATTTGCTGCATTGTCATACAATAGAACATTGTGCAGCTGTGAAAATAAATTATGATGTATTTCAACACAGATGAATGTCACAAACACATTAATGAGTTTTTTAAAGTAAGTTGAAAAAGCATTTATGAAGCATGCTATTCATATAAAACTTTTTCAGAAAACCAAACAGTATTATATGTTTTCTATGGGTATTTATGTAAACAAATGGAAAAATATCTTTCAAATTCACACTAGTGTTTATAGGGAATAGGAGAAAAAAATAAGAATGGAAGTAGAAGTTAAGCAAAATAATAGTTTAATTTGTAATATTTTAATGGAAAAGAATATAGTTATTATGCTTCCCGTGGAACTCCAAACTACATGCGTGTGTATGCTTATGCACCCACATATACACACACACACACACAGAGACTTACAAACACACTCAGAGAGAGAGAGAAAGGCCACAGTATTCACAATACTATATTCTGGATTGTAAATGTATGATTGGTTATTTTCTTATATATATTGATATGTGTTTTTTTTAAGATAAAGAGGAGGCAGAACTGTGATTAATGCTAGGAAAGCTATTATTTTCTCTAGTGGCTTTCTGTCCTTTTAATCACTCATTCACACATATAAGCACGCTCACACATAAAGCCATTTCCGTAGGTGGAGCAGTATTTAACCAGTGTGGCTGATAAAGGATCACTTGTTAGAACTAAGACAGTCCACGTGATCGAACCACCTTAAGTATCTAAAAATATTCTGAGTGGTTTTCCATGACGGAGGGCATGTGCAACTGTCTATTAACTGCTTTGCGCAGCTTCCAATCAAGGGAAAGATGATTTATGTGACCTCATATTTTGCAATATTAGAATATTATATATATATACATAACCTATATAACATATATACAATCAACCTGCATATAACCTATATATATACACATATAGTGCATATATATATATAACCTACATGTATATATAACCAAAAGTCTATCATAGTGGTTACAGTTATACTGAAAATTCCCTTTTCAGCTCTGAATGTGAATAAGCCTTAACTTATCACCTAGAAAACAGAGGGAATGCTATGCTGTCACAGGTTAATTGCATTGTAATCTAAATGGCCTTACCTTATTAACTCATGATTAATCACTGATGATATGGGCATGTAATTTGAAACTGCACTTGTAGACTTTATTGCTTGCTCTTGTGCAAATAAAAATTGTGAAAATTTTAGTGACTTCTAAATAAGAAAACAGTTCCAATTCTGTGTAACAAAATAAAAATTGAAGTTAATGACCACAGAACCAAAGAAAAATTAGGAATGAACCCACTCTGTGTCTTTTTAAGTAAGGCCTTCTGCCTTAATTAGGTTTATCAGAACATGGAGCTACTCTTGCTCAGCTAGGTTTTCTGATCTTGGAATGCAAGTGCTTTCTGTTAAGACTTGAAACCCATTCAAGCACCCTAATTCAGATACATTCAATCAAACTCCCCAAAGGAGTATTCACATGTGAACACAAATTTTTATCAGCGATATTTGAAGATGTGGGTAGAGTAAGAAGAATGCCAGAAGACTGGATGCAACTTTAAGCGGACCTGTGCACTCATGAGATTATGATACCCACTGTCCCCATTTGTAAGAAAAAAAGCATAATAAACAGCAAAGTAATTGTTAAAGAAATAAAACAAATGTGTGAGGATTTCTTGATATCCCTCTGATGATGTGTTTTCTTTTGAAATATCAATTTTTTTGTGTAAAAATTTTTTGTTATCTCTGCTTTGCTGGTGCCTTATATCTTGCTTGGCCTAATAGATAAACCAGCATAAACTGACAGAAGAGAAAAAACAGGCATATTTATGTTTCTTTTCCAAAGATGGTGAAACTAGAAGTTCCAGACCTATGATCTTGATATTAATGCACAGCAAAATTCAAGAACAGACTGGCAACTAGGTAACTTATTAGAATTAATAAAGTAGAGATTAGTAGTTGCCAGAATAGATTTAGCAATACTAAGTCATGTTAATAATTGTGGATTACCAGACTGGTTAATTTGGTAGAAAGGGGTGTGTCTGTGTGTGTGAGTGTGTATCTGTACAGGCACTATTTTTCCTTAGTTTAAAAAAGAATTTGGATAGTATTTCCTCATACATATAAAGACAAGAAAATAAAACTAAATGACAGTACAAACAAATGGATTTTTAAGTCCTTGAATAAACTGATCAACACTCATTTCCTACAATCAAAAACCCACTAAGAGATATCATCTCACACCAGTCAGAATGGTCGTTATTAAAAAGTCAAAAAACAACAGATGGTGGCAAGGCTAGGGAGAAAGGGGAATGCTCCTACGCTGTTAGTGGGAATGTAAATTAGTGCAGCCACTGTAGAAGGCAGTTTGGAGATTCCTTAAACAACTTAAACACAACTGCCATTACTGAGTATATGTCCAAAAAAAAATGAATTGTTCCACCAAAAAGATACATACATTTGCATGCTCTTCACAACACTATTCGCAATAGCAAAGACATGGAATCAACCTAATTGCTCATCAGTGGTGGATTGAATAAAGGAAACATGGTACATATGCACCATGGAATACTATGCAGCCATAAAAATAAATGGAATCATGTCTTTGCAGCAACATGGATGCAGCTGGAGGTCATTACCCTAAGAGAATTAATGCAGGGACAGAAAACTGAATATCACATGTTCTCACTTACAAGTGGGAGCTAAATGTTGGGTACTCATGGACATAAAGATGGCAACAATGGACACTGAGGACTATCAGAGGGGGATGGAAGATGGTTCAAGGTTTGAAAACCTAACTATTGAGTACTGTGCTCAGTAATTGTGTGATGGGATCAATTGTATCCTAAACTTCAGCATTACACAGTATACCCAAGTAACAAACCTGCACATGTATTTCCTGAATCTAAGATAGAAGGTGAAATTATAAGGACAGAAAATAAAAAAAAACTCATTTCCTCATTCATTCGATCACTATTCATTGACTAATCGTGAGCACTGAAATTCAGAAGTGAATAAAACATAGGCCCTGGTCTTAAAGAGCTTACTTTTCTACTTTTTCCCACCACCCTCTCTCTGCGCGTGTGTGTGCGCACGTGTGTGTGTGTGTGTGTGTGTGTTTGTTGGTTACAGTAGTGGTAATAGTGATGTGTGTGGACTCTGGAGTAGGTAAACTGGATTGGATTGCCAGGTCAACTATTTAATAGTCATGCAACTTTAGACATGTTCCCTAAATTCTTTGTGTCTTAATTCCTTAAGATGAGAATGATAATAGTATTGGATCATAATGTTGCATGTGGATGAAAAGAGAGAGAACATGTATGGCACAGCCTGATAGCTGTCCATCAAAACCCACCCATCCCTTCTTTAACACCTCAGTTAGACTACATTTTCCCAGCTGCCCATCCAGTTAGCTGTGACCATGGGACTAGGGCGTTTATTGCTACATGAATAGAAGTAGATGGACATGATATATAAAACTTCCAGATCAGTCTGCATAAACTTCCTCTGTGCTCTTTTCCCCTCTGGATGATTGTATTGTCAGTAACCATGGGAACTTTGGAAGCTACTTATGTCATGTTTATTAAAGGTAGAACCTCTGACAGCCTGGGTTTCTAAAAGCGCGTGTGCGGGGGTGTGTGTGTGTGTGTGTGTGTGTGTGTGTGTGTGTGTGAGATTAGGGAGTATGAATACACATATAAACAGATTCTTTCAGTGCAGTGTAGTATGTTCTGTAATGGAACCATGGGATCACGGAGGGAAGTTAAGTAAATTAGTAGTGACCTGAAAAAAAGTTGCAAAAGAAAGGCATAGAAATATTTCTAGAAAAAATGAACTTAAACTAAGATTTTAAGTACAAGGAGAGATCGATCAGGTAAAAAGGAAAATAAACAACATCCTAGACAGAGTGAAAGGCATTCTTAAAGGAACAGGGACATGAAATGGCATTTCACATTCTGAGAACTTCTAGTATTTTCAATCCAGAATATAAAATGGAATCCAAGTAATATGGGGATATAGAGCTGGAGATGAGAAAACTTCCCAGATTACAGGAGGCTTCCTATACAAGGGCAAGAATGCTTGACATTATTCTGCAGTCCAGCTGAGACTATGTAGCTCATTTATAAATATCTGTCCACTTCTACACAAAAGCATGGCCCTCATCTTGTTCAGGAGTTTTATCATTGACTTGGATGACACAGCAAAAACATGATGATAAGCAAATTGACCAAAGGCTGGAGTAATAGCTAAGGCACTGATGATCGAAGGAAGAGTCAAAATGATCTTTATCAGTCCGTAAGTGTGAGGTCTGTATTACAATCTAAAGAGTTATCTTCTAAACCCATGTTTAGAATAATTCATGTAAAAACAATCCAGATATAACATTTTATCACAAGCATACTATAAGACGATGATATAACACAGTTTATAAAACATTCAAATGATAAAAGTTTAGGCCGGGAGCAGTGGCTCACGCCTGTAATCCCAGCACTTAGGGAGGCCCAGGTAGGTGGATCACCTGAGGTTGGGAGTTTGAGACCAGCCTGACCAACATGGAGAAACCCCATCTCAATGAAAAATACAAAATTAGCTGGGCGTGGTGGCACATGTCTGTAATCCCAGCTACTTGGGAGGCTGAGGCAGGAGAATCGCTGGAACCCAGGAGACGGAGGTTGTGGTGAGCCGAGATCGCGCCATTGCACTTTTGCTTAACTGAGTGGAATTATAAAATATTAAAAGTTTAAAAAGTTGAAAAGTTAAGCATTATAGCTGTTTTCAAATATTACAAAGCCTATCATGATGCTAAGAAATGATTTTTGTGAAGTATTCAAGAAAATAGAAGTCAAACTAATAGACGGAAATAAGAAGGTGTGGGTGTATTAGTTTGCTAGGGCTTCTGTGACACAGGTTATCAGGCTGGGTGACTTAAACAACAGAAATTTATTTTCTCACAGGTCTGAACCCCAGAAATCTGAGATGAAGGTGTTGGCAGAATTGGGTTCATTCTGAGGCCTCTCTCCTTGGATTGTAGATGGCTATCTTCTCTCTATGAGTTCACATGGTCATTCCTCTGTGTGTGTGTATTGTTTCTTCTTATAAAGACACTAGTCATATTGGAATAGGGCCCAATTTAATGATCTCATTTTATCTTAATTACCTCTTTAGGGTCTATCTCAAAATAGAGTAACATTTGTAGATAGTAGGAGTTAGGACTTCATCATATAAGTTTTGAGGGGACATATTTTAGACAATAAGAGTGAGCAATCACTAATCAGCAAGTAAAAAGCTTTCTAACAATTAGAGGTGCAAAAAGCTGTCTTGATATGTTGTGAGTTCCATGTTACTAGAAATGATTAAGGAGATGGCGTAATTCATGTTGCAAAGGGAATTCTTTTAGTTGGGAGAAAGATTAGGCTAAATTACATTCCCACTTTTCTTTATATGGTGATAAATAACCAGTAAGGCATAATTTGAAATTATCTACGTGCATTTTTCTCTGTTCACACTTAAGTTGTGTTTCCTTAAACAACCAAATAATTAATAACCCAACTATTAATCAAATACAACTGTCTGGGTAAGTTGATTAGTACAAATAATAAATGATTAAAATCATAGTGCTCTGGATATTTTTATAGTACTTTATAATTTACATAAGACTTTTAGTGTACATTATTTTAAAATTTCACCGTAACATGAAAATAATGGTAAAGAAATTATTAGTATCTCCAATTTATAGACGTGGGTATTAAGACAGAGAGATCAGAAGAAAACGACTTCTTCATGTGAGACAGATTGATGTGGAAAAAGCTCCAAGACACCCCAAGTTTATGGTACTCATTGATACTTCTATGCTATTAGGAAGCTTCATTGGAAAAGTTTAAGTAATTCTGCCACACAATTCGGTCACTTTGCTATAGAGGAACATTAGTCTTACGTGAAGAAGTGGTTTTTGTATGCAACCGATTATATATCTAAGAGAAACTGCTTATGAAAATACCTTGTACTTCAAGGAGTTGCTTCATTCACAGCTAATTAATCCATCAGAGAAAGCCTCAAGTAATCACTTTCACTCCTATTCCATCAATCTGGACCAGATATAAAACCCTGACCCTTAGAGAAGTCACTAACCTCAAACCTCTGTGTATGTCTTTTATAATATCTTCTGGCATGTTCAGAATAATAATAACCAATTAATGAATGATATTCTTTTACTTTTAATCTAGCCCTAGAAAACACAAACTGGGTTATGTTGCCAAAGGGGTTCGGTTTAATTATGTTGAAAAGTCTTTTACTTTTATTCTTATAATGAGTCAATTTTATACTTCTGAAGTGAATAGTATTTGCCGGATCCTGAGATTTTGCTTCTGAAGCAGGATGTTTTGAAATTGCCAATTTGACATGAACATTTTTATGTTGGTGATGTTTTGATATGCCCGAGTCAAAATAGCTATGGTGCGTTATAAAACATTGTTTAAAATTATCAAGTAATGTGAGCAATGTACATCCCTAACTCTCATCTCTTTCCAGAGTTTTACTTATACTAAGATTTCTGACATTTGTGAGGATCAGAATGGGGTAAGACACAAAGGATGCATGCGTATTACTTGGGTGTAAAAGAAAAAAGATACATAGATAAGACAGACAGACAGACAGACAGACAGACAGACAGATAGATAGATAAAGTATGACTATTTTGGCTCAGGTATACTAAAATTTTCTCCATGTCTAATCAGCCATATCAATTTAATCTTTTTACTATCCTTTTGCAGAACCTGGACCTAGCCAGGCCAGGCATAGGGTCCTCAGCTGCCTTCTATAAGGTCTCTCAACAGTGTCCCTCCTATCTCTAGATTCAGTGAGGTCTTTGTGAGGGCAGGTGGGGAGATATATGAGGGATTTTTTTTCCAAGGAAAACCTACATTTTAATGGATTCATAAATTTTCTAGAGCAGTGGGGTTTCACACTTGAGCATGCATCAAAATGACCTGGAGAACTTGCTAACACACAGACTCCTGAATCCCACGCTAAGAGTTTCGAATTCAGTAGGTCTTTATGGGGGGTGGGAACTAATAATTTGCATTTGTAACAAGTTCCTGGGTGCTCCTGATGCAGCATATCCAGAAGATTAGACTTTGAGGAACACTACCCTAACATTGGTCACTACCTCAATCTCAGTCTGAATGCTCTAAGATCTTCTTATGCACATAGAAGTTCTGACTTTAGAGAGTATGGAGATATCTTGCAATAGAAATTCTATTTAACTTCTCTTCTAATTAATCAAAAAGCTCTGTCAGTACTTTTCTATCCATTGTTAATAAGTGTTCTCAGTCCTACAAGATTCTGTCCTTGAAACTCTGTACAATGAAACCTTTTATTTCTGCTTTACCTGGAAACCAAGACACTCACTCTGTTTGCTTTGTGTTTCTTCTTAGAAATCCCTCTGCAGCTCCATTTTCCCAGATATAACAACAACATCCAACTCTAAAAATGAACCTTGCACACAAATCACTGTAGCATTAAGATGTATGCACCCTTTTTACTACTCTCATCCCCACAGGATCCTGCTTCTCTTAATCTTTTACCAACAATCCTATTGTCTCTGTGTATGGTATTCCCAGTGTCAGACCCTCTTCTTTATTATCCTTGTAGTTCATGTTAACCATACTGGAGAGGCAGTGTGGTCTGATGGTTACAGCTTCCATTTATAATGCTTAAATTACTTACATTCAAATCATATTCTTACCACTTAAACTGTGTTCCCTTGGGAACGTTATTGAATCTCCGTGTCTCATTTTGTCACCTGTAAAAATGTGGATGGTAATAATGCCTAGTTTCACATGGTGGTTATGAGGTATGAGGATTAAAATAGTTATTATTTGTATATAACTTTATGTGATGCTTAGTACACAGAAGGTAAGTAAATGTATGGTGGAAAAGCTATAAATTATTTTAGTTCTCCCTAGACCTAAAATACTCTATCCTTCAATATTTCAGGAAAGGCGATTTTATCCTCAATGTTGCTCAGTTGAAATACTTTTTTCTTACTTCCTGCTCCTTAATCTACCGCAGTATTGCTTCTACCACTAAGCTCCCCACTTTTTCAAGGTCACCGTCAAATGTCAAAACTATCGTCCTCTTTTCTGTGACCATTTTCTTTCAATGCATTTTTAAACAGGTTGAACACTCTATCTTTGCAAATGCTGTACAAGCTTAGATTCATCTTTTCTTTATCAATTTACAATATTCCATTTCCTTAAACAGTATTTATTCTCCTTGAAAAATGAGCTTGTGCCAAACACCAAAGAAAAACACCTGAAAGGCAAAATAAAATACCTTGAAAGTATTTGTGTTAGGCCTTTTTTGTGTTGCTATAATTACCTGCGTTTGAGTCATTTATAAAGAAAAGAGGGTTAATTCATTCATGGCTCTGCAGGCTGTACAGGAAGCATGGCACCGGCATCTGTTCAACTTCTGTGGAGGCCTCAGGGAGCTTACAATCATGGCAAAAGACAGAAGAGGGATCACTGTATCACATGGTGAGAGCAGGAGCAAGGTGGGAGGTGCTACACATCTTTAAACAACCGTATCTCATGAGAATCCACTCATTATCAATATTAAAGCACTAAGCCATGAGGGATCTGCCTCCAATGACCCAAACACCTCCCACCAAGCTCACTTCCAACATTGGGGATTACATTTGAACATGAGATTTGTGTGGGACAAATACCCAAACCATATCATTCTGCCTCTGGCCCCTCAAATCTCATGTTCTTCTCACATTTCAAAATACAATCATCCTTTCTCAATAGTCCCCCAAAGTCTTAACTCATTCCAGCATTAACTCAAAAGTCCCAAGTCCAAAGTCCAAGTCAAAAGTCTCATCAGGAGATAAGTTTACTCCACCTATGAATCTGTAAAATCAGAATAAATTATTTACCTCCAAGGTACAATGGGGGTACCTGCCTTGGGTAAACATTCCCATTCAAAGATGAAAGAAATTGGCCAAAAAAAAAGCAAAAATCCCCAAGCAAGTTTGAAACACACCAGGGCCATCAGTAAGTATTAAAGCTGCAAAATAATCTTCTGACTCCATATCTCATATCCAGGACACACTAGTGTAAGGGGTGATGTCCCAAGGCCTTGGGCAGCTCCACTCCTGTGGCTTTGCAGGCTACAGCCCCCACAGCTGCTTTCAGGGGTTCGAATTGAGTGGCGCTGCAGCATTTCCAGGCTCGGGGTACAAGTTGCTAGTGGATCTACCATTCTGGATTCTGGAGGATGGTGTCCCATTTCCCTCAGTAGGCAGTGCCCCAGTGGGAAGTCTATGTGGGGGCCTTCAACACCAACATTTCCCCTCTGCACTGCCCTAGCAGAGTTTCTTTGTGAGGGCTCCACCTTTGCAGCAAACTTCTGCCTGGGCACATAAGCATTCTCATACATCCTCTAAAATGTAGGTGAGGCTGCCAAGCCTCCTTCAGTCTTGCACACTGCATGCCTACAAGTTTAACACGACATGGAATCTACCAAGACTTACAGCTTGCACACTCTGAAGCAGCAGCCATAGCAGTATCTGGGGCCCTTTGAGAGAAAGTTATATCCAGCATGGCCAGGGTGAGAGGAACAGCCTCCTGGAGTGGCACAAAGCAGTAATGCCCTAGCCCTGGCCAGGAAACCATTTTTTTCCTCCTAAGCTTCCAGGTCTGTGATAGGAGGAATAGCTTGGAAGTCTTCTGAAATGCCTTTCAGGCCTTTTGTCCACTACCTTGGTTATCAGCACATTTTTCCTTTTAGTCATACAAATCTAACAAGTGGTTGCTCCACAGCCTGCTTGGATTATTCTCCTGAAAATGGGCTGTCCTTTTTTCCCACATGGCCAGGCTGCAAGTTTTTCAAACTCTTACACTCTGCTTTCCCTTTAAATATAAGTTCCAACTTTAAGTCATTTTTTGCTCCCATGTGTTAGTATAGGTGGTTAGAAGCAGCCAGGCCAACTCTTGAATGCTTTGATGCTTAGAAAATTCTTCTGCCATATACCTTAAGTCATCACTCTGAAGTTCAAACATCCATAGATCCTTAGGGCATGAACACAATACAGCCAAGTTCTTTGCTAAGGCATAACAAGAGTGATCTTTGCTCTGGTTCCAAATAAGTTCCTCCTTTCCACCTGAAACCTTATCAGCCTGGACTTCCCTGTCCGTGTCCCTATCAGCATTTTGGATACAACCATTTAACCACTCTCTAAGAAGTTCTAAACTCTCCCTCATTTTCCTGTCTTCTTCTCAGCCCTCTAAACTATTCCAGCCTCTGCCTGTTACCCAATTGCAAAGTCACTTCCACATTTTCAGTTATCTTTATAGCAAGGCTCTAATCTTCTGTACTAATATTCTGTTTTACACTGTTCTTGCATTGCCATTAAGAAATACATGAGGCTGGGTAATTTATCAAGATGTTTAATTATCTCACAGTTCTGCAGGCCGTATAGGAATCACGTCACTGGCATCTGCTCTGCTTCTGGGAAGGGCCTTAGGAGGCTTACAATCATGGCAGAAGGCAAAGCAAGAGCCAATATATCACATGGTGAGACTAGGACAAGAGTAGGAGGAGGTGCCACACACTTTTAAACAACCAAGCCATGAGGGATCCATCCCATGACCCAAACACCTCCCACGAAGCCCAACTGCCAACAATGGGGATTACATTTTCACATGAGATTTGGGCACAATGAATATCCAAATGATATCAGTCTTATAATCCTAAAATAAATAATATATCAAATAACATAAAGACTACTGAAATACATATGTGCCCCAGGAAATCTAATCATTTTGCATTTCTTCACACTAGTATTTCTTCAGAAGGGAAGGTCTAGGTATTAGGTGAAAGATCAGACAAGGCTCTTCATGGCATGGATTAAGCTTCGTCTACTCTGGCTCCAAACTTGTATACCTCCCAGATCCAAGCAAAAGTCATACAGTTAATTGGGTCAATTCTACTTAAAAGGAAGTTTTGTGGCCATGTTTTAGTATCGGAGCATGATCTTTGGGGGGCTCACCATTCTAGATCCAACCTAATTGCCACAGTGAAATATCTATTTCCTCAAAATTGCACTCTTCCTGAAAGATACTTAGATAAATATTATGTCCTAAGCTTCATTATATTCCTACTGATATTCTAAAATACCATATATATTGGCAGCTAGGGAGGTACCTAGATGGTTTACCCTATTTGTTTGGCTCAGATATATTTTAGTCATTTTATTAAATGGTTAACAATTTGGAATATTTCTCATAGGAACAAATATTGTTTTACAATATAATTTTCAATGGATGAAAAGTAGCCGGTGGTATCAAGGTGTCATAATGTACTTAAAGAAACCCGTAATATTAGCATTTACACATTTTCTATATCTTGATAGTATTCACAAATACATTCTACTACTTATATATCACTGTCAATAAGTATTTGCACACTGGATTATTTCATTTGGAGGAATCCTTAGAAGTAAACTTGATAATTCAGTTAATATGAATATTTCAAGGCATCTCGTAGATACTATCCTCCCCTGAAAATGTTTGGGGGAAGACTTTCACTGGAAAATAGAGCCTGAGACCATGGTGCAAGTGTGTATTTGGTGTATTCCAGGAAGGACGAGGTGGCTACTGTGGCTGCAACTGAGTGAGCGAAAGAGAAGAGGAGAAAGTGAAGTTATAAAGATAGCATGTCACCAGATGGTTGGGGCGAGGTGGGGAGGAGGGGTCTGTTGCAGGCCATTTTAAGAACTTTGACTCCGAATGAGACAGAGAGCCAATGGAATGTTTGAGCAGAGAATAGATGCAATATAACATCTTTAACAAGGCTCATTAGGATGAGAAGAGCCATTGCCAAGCTCAAAACCAAGAAGAAATGGTGGATACTTGGAGCACAGTGATAGCAATAGGTGAAAAACCTAAAATTTATTTGTATTTAAATGTATTTTAAGGGTGGAACTGAAAAGAATTGTTAGTTGAGTGAATATAGGGTGCAAAAGAAAGAGAAGAGTCAGAGATGACTAAGCACGATAGCCTGATGAGCAGAAAGGATGTCATAGTCACTGAGTGAGATTGGGGAGACTAGAAGAGAAGAAAATATTTTGAGATGGAAATTGAAACTAGCTTAAATCCAAGACACGAAAGTAAAGAAAAGGTCATACACTGATAACTGAGCACTGGGTCACTCAACTGAATAACTGTGTTAAAGGAGATGACATGCATAACAACCTGTGTTAATTATTTTCTCAACATATCGGACATATTATTCTTTGTGATATAAAAATGTGCATGCTATCCTGGCTATATCAGGTAGTAAAAATTTAATCTGAGACGTCATTTTATGTCTTTGAGCCTCAGTTTTCTCAGCTATAAAATAGAGAAAACAAAACCAATGTTATTCAGTTGCAAAGATCAAATAAAGTGATGCATGAAAGGTGCCTAGC
Organism: Homo sapiens; assembly: GCF_000001405.40. Classification (NCBI taxonomy): domain Eukaryota; kingdom Metazoa; phylum Chordata; class Mammalia; order Primates; family Hominidae; genus Homo; species Homo sapiens. Next base: position 143,081,779 of record NC_000023.11, read on the forward strand.
ACAATGTGTGCCACACTGTTAAGTTCCAACAAATGTTAGTTCCTTCATTTTTCTTTCTAAATTGTAAATCCCTTTTGAATAGAAACTTTGTCTCTGTAGCCATCACAGCATGTATTATGTTACCTTATATACGATATGTGTAGAATATTTATTAATTTAAATGAAATAACTACTTAATAAGCACTTGTTTTTAACCCCCATGAATGGTGATTCCAAATCATATGTGTAATTGTCAGGTAAGGTTAATTACATATATAATTATTTGTACCTATTATTGATATCATTTATCTCTAGCCAACTGGTGCTTTACAGATAAAGTCTATTTTGCTGAAAACTAGTTTCAATGCCTGTATTTTTTATTTTTAATTTCTAGTATGAATGCATTTATATATTGCATTTTCTACATACCCCTTTCAATTCCTCCATCGAAACCGAGGGACTCATTGTCCTTTTTTTCACCAGGCCTAGGAAGAATTAATTAAATTTTGTTTCTCCTCAGAAAAGGGGACTATGTCTGAGAAATCTGCTCTGCAATTTGGGTAGTAGTTACAGGAGTGTGCATGCCTTCTAACCTCCTACCTTCGAGATAAGAAACTTCTGCTGAATGCCATGACTCTCAGGTACAGTTGCTTGGACTGAACTGCAATATTCAACATTGGCATAGGGATGGTTGGTGTCAGAAGGGCTAGCTGTGAACACGTGAACTCAGCTCTTTTCTAACTCCAGGAGCCTCTATTGCTCTATCGCCCATAAAGGAGAAGCAGCTTGAGGTTTTTCATGAACTCTCCAAAGTTTTCCAGGCAATTGCCTAATTCTTACTTTCCATTGAGTGAGAGAGTCAGAAGAAATTGATTTTCATCCGATTGGAAACAGTCAAGATAATAGGATTCATGTTCCATACATCACCAGTCTAAGTTGCCAAAATATGCAAGTTTCAGACTGCTGTGTGAAACTGAAACTCATCATAAACATAGTTCAGATTGGGCTCCCTGATTGCAGTTGAAACATCCTAAATGATAGCAGTTTCCTCTTGTTTACCTTTTAGCAATTGCGCCCAATCACAAGGAGACATCTAATCAGCTAATTGACCAAATTCAGAAATAGATCATGGAAATATTTCCAAATAAATTAGTACTTATCTTTTCTTTTAAGATCTTCAGAGAAGAAAATTCTCGACCTTCTTCACCTTACGGTAGAACTGAGTGAACTTCATCATCAATAAATGCTTCCTTATTTCCAACTTAACTCTCAGTTGGTGGTTTCTGGTTTTTTGTTCTCTTCTTTTTGGACCACACAAACCTTTATTTTGCAAAGACTTAAAAGTTCCACATTAAATTAATCATAGTTGAAACTTAGGTATAGAACTGTGCTTACAAAAATATTATCAATGTCTTGTAAGCAAATAATTTTTTTATATTAACCAAATATAACAAGCAAAAACCTCAAAATGATTACTTTTGTATATCTAAATTCAGTTATAAACCTCAGTATAAAATAAAGCAACTTTCTTTTTATTTGAATTAATGAATTGAACATTAAATGTATTTATATATTTATTTATTTAGATTTTCTCTTTTTCTAAAAATAATTTTAGGTGGCTAGGAATTAAATTTAGGCTGTTGCTATTTAAAATGTAATACAAATAAAGTCAGAATCTAGTGTAAGTGTATGTCAAATAGATTACATAAAATTAATAAAGAGCAAATAATATAGTACAATCTGAAAAAAGTAAAACATAAAATAATTGATTTGACAAGCAAAATATTACAGATGGGGCCACTGATTAAACACGGGTGAAATAGCCAAACAGATGAGCATGGATACCAAAGGGTCACAATTAAATTGGATAATAAAGTACATATTAGAATTCTCTTGGCTTGTCTCAATTTTGAGGCATATTTATTAAATTATAAGAGACTACAGTTTAAGACATTTGCAATTTAGTGTTAAGCATTTTTTTTAGTATATCATTTTGGTCAACCTTTAAGTCAGTGTGGCCATGTGAAGATACAAATCTAAAATGCCTGGCTTTAAATTATCACCTAGGGAATGTGAAGTTCATGGAAATGAGCAGGGTGCCATTCATTAGCATGTCAAAGATGCTTCTTCAACAGGATGCCATTAAATTATTGTGGTGATAATTGAGACACTAAAAAGAGACAGATGCTGGGTCTGTAGTTCCTAAGATCTTATAACCCATTAGCAATTAAATTTCAATGAGCTAACATAATTTCAGTCTCACTAAATTAACAACTGGGGATATTTTTTTTGAAGCTGTATTTTTCCAGACCAGTTTTGGCTGAGTTGTAAAGGAAATCAAGACACCAGTGTAGTATAGGAATCAGGACACAGAGCACGCAGGTATAGGGATGTGGCCTACTCTCAGGCCTGGAGTTTGGGTGGCAGCCAACCAAGGCAGGACTGGAAGTGGCAGTCCAATTATATCAGAGTGTCCTGATGGTCATTGCAGTTGTGAAGAACAAAAATGTATGGGCAGAAGGTCAGATTCTTCCAGGAAGACATATAACTGTTTTCTCTCTCTAGGTGAGGAAGATAACCTCAGAGACTCTGGGGATCAGTGATTCACCGGAAAACAGGAAGGCAACACAATTCCAATATGACTGGTCTATATTAGGATAGATGAGTCTATGCTGTGGTAACAAATTAATCCAAAAATAGTACTAGTTTAATGCCACAGCGTTATATTTTTTGGTCTCTCTAATCTTAATGGAGGAAAGGTAAATTAAAGCAGTTGTCCTCCATGCAGTGACTCAAGTATCCAGACATATTTGATCTCAATAATGTTATAATCTCAACATGTAGATTAAAGTCTCCAGAGCAGGGGAAGAGAAAGTAAAGTGAGAGCTTGCAATAAAGATTCTTAATAGGCATGGAAAGGATCACACATTATTTCTACTGATATCCTAGAGCCTAGAAAGACCTACATGGCCCCTGCCTAACTACAATAAAGCTAGAATATATGGAGGAGCACATGTGTATTCGTAAGCAGTAGATATCTCTGACAGCAGATCCAATCTGAAATAGGGGGAGATCAGCACAAGCACGATAATGTTGGTAAAAATTGAAGATATGATCAGATACACAAAGTCAGATTTTCGTGGGTTCAGAAAATCTAGTGGAAGGCTTAGGGACCAGTGGGGCTAAACCATTTCTGTGAAGAGAAAGTGGTGGGGAATAAGGAACAGAATCCAAATTCAGTAGTTTGGTAACAGGAGTTTGGAAAGGCAATAGAGTAGAAAGAATGCGAACTCCAGAATTACGTAGGTATTAGGTTATATCCTAGTTCTACCATTTACTTACTAGAATAACTTGGCATGTTACACAATGTCTCTGAGGCTGAATTTTCTTTTGTATTATCATGAGCTGACTTGTGTCCCTTTAAAATTCATATGTCGAAGTCATAACCCCTATTATTTTCAAATATGACTCTATTTGGAGACAGGACTTTCAAAGAGATAATTAAGGTAAAATGAGTTCATAAGGATGGGCCCTAATCCAATATGACTGATAGAAGAGAAGATCAGAAGACAGACGCAAATAGAGGAAAGACCATGTGAAGACACTGGAAGAAGCTAGCCATCTACAAGCCAAGGGGAGAGGCCTTAATAAGAAACCAACTATGCTCACACCTTGATCTTGGCCTTCTAGCCTCCAGAACTGTTAAGAAATAAAGTTTTGTTGTTTAGGCCACCCAGTCTGTGGTATCTTGTTATGGCAACTCTAGCAAACTAATTCATGTGTCAAAATGTAACAACACTAATACTTGTCCAATATATTTACTTTTTTGTAAAAGCAGGAATATGCTGTACAATGTTGTATTCAAGCTAATCATTTTGTTGTGTTTTTTTTAAGATGTATTGCTCTTTAAAGATGGCAATGTTATATCATTTCTCACTGAATTTGCAGTGTTTCACGTAAGGCTTAGGCATTTATAGGTGTTATGATATAGTCTGTGGAAAGAAGAAAGGGAAGAAGGAAGGAAGGAGGGAAGGGAAGGGAAGGGAAGGAAGGGAAGGGAAGGGGAGGGGAGGGGAGGGGAGGGGAAAGAAAGGGAACAAACAAACTCATGATACCCAGAAAATCTTATTAACTGAGATGCAGAGAGAATAAGTAACGAAGGTTAAAACTCAGGTAGAGTCTTGGCAGAAAATTTAAGACATCAACCAAAATGGCTATGAACACTAAGCCATCTTTACCAAAGCAAATGTTTCTAATATGCTTCATGCTAAGAGCTGGAATCAGAGTTAAGGTAAGAGACAGTCATCATATCTGTCTACAGTAGAGGCATGCAGGTGTGGGAATTCAGACAAGTACCGAAAACACCAAAAAACATTTACTTTACTGTCTAAAGACCTTGTGAAATATTCAATAACCTCATCATGAAATTTTATTGTGTTTCAAATGATGACAATGCACTTAGCATCTTAGATGATGGATTTCAATGTGCGGGAGCCTCTTCTCTGAGGACATCTGAGGCATAAATAATGATTCAATATAGCCAATATTTACTCAGCACCTTCCTGTACAAGGCACTCTGCTCAAATATAAACGCAATAGAAAGGTGACTAAAACCCAGTTCTGGTCCCCAGAGCTTGCAAAACTGTGCTATTTTGGAAATGACTCCTATTTTCACATCCAAATAAGCAATATATCGGCAAATACACACCTGTGTTTGTAGAGTTACATAAAAATAAATAGCAGCACAGCCAGGCAGGAAAATAACAATTACATCTCAAATAATCCCCCTGAAGCCTAAAATAATTTATTTGCATTTTTTTCAGAGAAGGAAATTGAAGTTAAAATGCACACAAGCACTTAGCAAATGTCTATTGACTGGAAGAGAATCAATTCTTGTTACGACCGACAGCAAATACCTTCAGGTTAGCTAGTAGAGGAGGGTCAACAATGCAGCCTCTGATAGAAAACAAAACAAAACAAAAATTTTTTTTTAGATTTTCAACATGCCTAAGGTCAGATTATGACCTAAGGATCTGTGACTTTTTCTTACAGAAGTGATTAACTATGTAAATCTGTAATTCCAAACCTTCCCAAGAGAACCTTCAGAATGTTTGAAAATATGCCGCTTCAATGTATTTGAAGTGCCTTATCTGTCATTGCTCCTTATTGTATATTTCCATTGAAAGAACTAGTGTGCGTGTTTGTGTGGGCACGGTGAGGTCAGCATAAAATCGTGAGGCAGTAATCTAATGTTGTTTCTCACCCTAAAATTACTTTCATTCCTACCCTTATCCCTCGTTCTGGACTGCAGGGAAGCAGAATGTTTTCCAGGTATCTGAGAGCATGTGGACAGCACTTTGAGCCAGCAGTCCTAGAGAAGCTCTACAGTCACAATGAAGAGGGCACAGGGTAAACTGTGCCAGCTGATGCAGGAAAGCAAGGGAAACAATGAGGACATCTATGCAGAAATCTAGAAATTACAACCTAGTTTAGGCTTGAGCAGACATGACTGCTACTAGAGTTGAGATGAGAATGATAATAGTAGTGAGCACACATGTAAGTGCCTGGCACGTGCCAGGTACCATGTAACATAATTTACATAAGCTATCTACAATTCCCACACATTCTTCATAGGAATTCATGTTGTTATGCACATTTTATATTGTTAAACTGAATCTCAAAATAAATTCCAAAAGATCACAAAGCCAGGAAGTGCAAACCACAGAATTTGTATCGAGGTTGGTGTGATTCTTAATCTTCTACAGCACTCCATTCCAAAAGCAAGAACGAAACAACAGACAACAGTGAAACCACATTCTCAGCCTCAGTTGTTATAGCAAATCATTGTGTCACAATTAATTCTGACGTTCATCTCAAACAGCGCTGACAAATGTTTTAAAATGTCCTCATGTGCATCATTTGCTTATTTCTGTTGTGCAGATACTCTTCCCATGATCAATTATGGGCTACTTATGTGAAGCTTCTGAAGGTGCAGCTCGGAAGAGACGTTTACAACTGGCTCTGCTGAGTTGTACAGGCCAATTTCAGCACACTCCGAAAAGCACTAGTTTTTGAAGCTGCAGCATTGAAGTTTGGAGAATGGCTTCCACTTTTACGTTCATTAGAATGGACTCAGGATTATCCCTAAAATATCAGCACGATTATTGCACTTGCAGTTGAACTTGTTTCCTTCACTAGGAGCATCTGTCTTCTATGCAAGTATCATTTTAATCTGTTTGTATATAAAATATGCATGTGTATAATGTGCCTATATATGTGTGTGTGTATAATATAAAACAAAAAGCCCGAAACTGAACTTAATTCTGTAAATCACCAAAAGCTGGCATTCTTATGAAACAGATTGTTGAAACCTTCATGTTTTCATGTGCTGCTCAGTAATCTAACTGCATTTGAATCAACTGGGGTTTTGTTGAAACATAGGGTCCCATCCACAAGAAAATGATCTGAAAATGAGAACATGAGAATGCAGTAAAGCAGCATTATGCAACTGTCCAGGAGGGGAGTTAAATGAGAGGTTTGATCAGCCTACTGCCCCATTATCAAGAGCTGTGCCAGATAACTATCAGTTCAGTCACACAGGAACTTGGCTTAGTATGGACTTAGCATCCTCAAGAGCCAATCTCCTATAAGAGTTTACACCACCCTGTTCTAAGAGACTCAGCACATATCCAGCTCTGCTGTAAAGGTATCTCAAGCAAATGCTTCTGAGACACTTGCAAGCTCACAAAGAAATTGTGGATATCTAGAATTACAATGGCAAAGGATTCTCACACTTACATTAGCATAACTAGGGATGAATGAGGCCTGTTAGAGTACCCTGAAGTGGAACAATGAAAATATATTTTCCAGTTACACACATAGATATAAGCATACATTAACATGTAAATAAAAATGGTCCATGAAAAATGGAATTTGGAGATGCTGCATTAAGTCTTCAAAATGAATTATGAAAGAACTTATCAGATCATTTATTATTATAATAAGTTCTGAATCTCCAAAAATAGGACAGGATGTGTGGTATTCCTGAAACATATTTCACCAGATAATCTTTTGTGTGTGTGTGCAGCTAAGATTAAATTTAGTGGTTTGGGATATGCTGGAATAAGGACATCTCCAGATATTTAATTTTTTGTTATAATTACTTTAAGTGGAGAAGTTAAGGGTTTAGTACCCCATGTTGATCTACCTTCTCGGAGGGGAGAAACATATTTCTTTATCCGTGTCTGTATATCCTATCAGACAATGTAGCAGAATTTAAACTTCTTCTTTTTGTTAGTTATTTTATGTGTTTTGATAGATTATGACAAGATTGGCAATTGTTTTAGGGTCACCTAGCAAATATTTTAGACTTTGTAGGCTACATATCGTCTTTGTTGCATCTATCTATCTATCTATCATCTACGTATCTTCTATCTACTTATTTTATAGCTCTTTAAAACTATCAAAAAATATTTTTAGCTCAACGACCAAACAAAAACAGTCTTTAGGCCATAGTTGACCCACAGGATGTAGCTTTTTGATCCCTGATCTAAGGTGACAGTTTCAAAGCACACTGAAGAATCAACATCAAACTGAAGTACAAGATCCAAGTGTTCTCAAAGAGGCTTTCCCCTCCTACTCACCCAAGATTTCCTGATATAAGAATATTACTCTCTCTAATGCCAGACCTATTTTTTTCTGTGCTTCTTAGAGTACACGGCACCTTGTGATTGCCAGCTTCCAAAATAGGCCCAATGATCCTCCGCCTTCGTGTATTTACAGCTTTGGGCTACTCACTCCCATTGTAACAACATTGTTTTAAGTGTGGAAGAAATTTGTGGCATCCAAATCTAGATTATAAAATATTAAAAGATGTGATGTCCGCCTTACTTATACCCTCTTGCTTGGATCATGTGTTCTGAGGAAAGGCAGCCACCATATTGCGAGACACTCAACTGGCTCTATGGAGAGGTCCTCCTAATAAGAAACAGAGACCTTCTGCCTAGATCAAGCAAGGAACTGAGGCCTTCTGCTAACAGCCATTTGAGTAAGCCATCAATCATGCCTTCAGAGGATTGCATTCCATAGGACAGCTTGATTGCCAGAACTACTCAGCTAAGGCATTTGCAAATTCTGTACCCACAGAAACTGTGAGAAAATAAATATTTGTTGTGTCTAAGATGTTAAGTTTTGGGGTAATTTGTTACATAGTAACAAATAACTAACACAATCTTTTAGCTCACCATTTTGACATAGTCAATTTGATGTCAATAATTTTTTTTTGCAATCTACTATTTCTCATAGGCATTTTTATGTAGGTTCATTTTGACAAGTCTGTTTTGTTTCACATTCTAAAAAAATAACCAAATAATACATGAACTACACAATTCAAACACTCCTATTGCCAGCTCTTATCTAAATGGTCAGGGTTGGATGAGATAAGGGGTAGGCTGATGACAAGAGTTGATGTGAGGCTCAGGAATAACTAGAGAGTAGAGTGAGGCTTAGGGATGGACAAGGGATGAGATATAGGTCAGAGATTGATAAGAAACTGGGATAAGTCTATGTACATTCTCTAATAAGTTTTAAGAATGTGAGAACAATTTGGCTATGACATCTGTCACCTCATTGATCACCAGGGCTGATTTGGCTGATCTAGCTGGCTAAGCAGGTGTCCCTTTCCTCCCTCGCTGCTTGATGTGTGTCCCTGCTGAAGCCACAGACTCATTCAGAAAGGACTACCTTTCCCAGTAGAGAAGGATAGCTCTTAGGTCAAGGGTGTAGGTGTGTCCGTGCTCTCCTGCTACAACCTCCAAAGAAGTTCTCAAGGTCCATCTGTAGTAGAACATAGGGTAGTCAAGCATCTAAGACTTCAGACACATCTAAATGAGGCATTGCAGATGTCAATCTGCCTTTCTAAAATAAATAAATAATTGCAAATGACCTTATTTTTGGCCAAACCCACCTTGATTCATCCTGCTTTATTTCTAAAGAAGCAAATTATTACTCAAGGTGTACATATGCAGGTTAAGAAGATTTAAGCAGGTCTATTAAAATTAGTTGGATAATTTTCTCTATATCCTTACCGACCCAATATTTTCTACCCACAATCACTGACCTACATATTCATAAACACTAATCATTTGAATATATTTTATCAAATGAACCAAATACAAGGGCAAGTGTCTTTCACTCTCAAACTTTGTATTCTTCCCAGTGCTTAACACAAAACAAGCTACATAGTATGAAGTAAAACAGAGCAGACCAGAATAAAAATTAAACAGGATTACAAGGTATAATGCATCACTTCCAGGCTCAGTTAGTATCTTAGAAGGATCATTTTGATCCTTTGAGTCCCATTGACCTCATTGGAAAATGGGAGTAATATTACTTTCTCACAGGGTTATTTTGAGGTTCAAATGGAATGATAAATGTGAGAAAGATTTGGCAATTTTGTTATTGAAACAAAGCACCATAAATATGCACTGAGTTAAATTATTCAAATGCTTTAAGGACTCGGAATTTTCTCTTCTAAAGCTATGAGTCAAGTTTCTTTAAATGTATCAGTTAACAGCTGTTTCCCTATTAAAGGCAAAAGTCTGGTCTGCGTTTGAAAGAAAAAATAAAACATATGGAAATTCTGATATAATATACCAATATTAGCATAAATATATAAAGAGTAAAATCCAACATTTTATGTATCATTTCTTTTGTTTTTTTGTTGTTGTTTTTCAGTCTATAAGAGCTAGTATACATCCCCACCTATAGTTAAAATGCATGCCTAAAATTTAAAAATCTGTTTTAGTCTCTTCAAGTATGTGATGTTAAATATATTATCTTTCAATCATATGGTGAGTTGTCTGAGATGTTATTTTCTTTCATCCCAATTCAGTTATCTTGCTCCAAATTCCTTTTTGTTTCAATTTCTTAAACTGTGAAATCAGGGCATGCTGCTTAGTAATGGATTTGTTATTTTCTGACACAGTAGTAGCTAAACTAAATCATTGACAGTCTATCAGTCTAAAGGAAATCTACCTCCAGCACCTCCACAGGGTGTCAGGATGTTATTAATTTAGAAATTATACAGATTCTTATATATAACTCCAAGTGCTTTGACTCCAGTGAGAGAAAGAGAGAGCCTTTGTTATTGAAAAGAAATTTGATCTTGCAGTAAAATTTAGCCAGAAGCTTCATTCTCAGATTAGACAGACAAAGGATTCACACAATTGAATAGATTTTTGTCATCAATGTGTGCATAAAAGAACGTTCATGTTTTCAAATAGAGTTGAAAATCTTACATGTTTTCTGAATAAAGTAACAAATATGTATTGTGTTCATTCTATGTACCAATCATTTTTCTATGTGTTATGAGGGTCTGGAGTTTATTCTCGGCCTCTTGGGGCTTCAACTCTAGCAGAAAGCATATAGGAAAATACTTTATATTACATGAGCCATAATGAAATGAGTGTTCAAACTAGATATAAAGATTGTTCTCTGGATGTAGAACAGCAAATGACTGATTCTGACTAGAGAGACCATCGCAGCAAATCTGAGCCTGAGGGAAGAAAAAGATTCCAGTAAACAGAAATCAAATGAATGTGTATGGCCATCCAGGCAGAGGAAAGTATGAGCAGAAATACTGAGACAGAAGAGTGTTTAGGGTCTGTGGGGAGTAAGTATCCTGCTAAAGTTGAGTTTAATATTCCAGGAAGAGTGAACTGAAATTTGAAACTGAAAAAGTAGTTTGAGGTGCAATTGTGAATACCATGCTAAGAAGTTTGGAGTTTATTTTGAAGAAAATCAGGGGCTGTTTACAGATTTTGAGAAGCAGAATTTGAGATATCACCTGTTTTGTAAAGAAAATGCTAGAAGCGGTATGAAAATTGGGCTAAAGAGACACTAGACTGAAGACGAGGAAGCTGGTTAGTCCTAAAGAGAGATGTGTGCCTGAACCAAGGTAGTGGCGATGTGAATAGAAAGGACGGAAACAGCTAAGACTGACATGGAAGACATTCCAAAGAGGATCAACAAGATTTAGCTGATTGGATGGAGAGAAGGAAGTGGTGAGTAGGGATATGAAAATAAAAAAAAATCTAGAAGAGTCTGAAGTTTCTACTATGGGTGATTACGTAGTATACTGTGCTGGGGAACAGAAAACTCAAAAATACAGTTGTAACAATGGTGTTGTAGAGATATTTTCATACATAAGAAATGGCTTGCGGATTAAAAAAAAGAAGCCTGATAATGAACATTCCCATTCCTCTTTATATAAAAGAAACAGAGTAACACACTCTCAAGTTTGGTGTGAAAGTAAGTAAAAGGTGATGACTTCTAGGACAAGAAAATTAGTCCATCTCCATTTGGAGAAATAAGAAAGTGTTCAATCCCCAACATATGGGTCATTATTTCAATTTAGGGGAGTCAGGCTCTCAGCTGGGATGGCTGTAGGCTTCTATGTGATCTTTGAGACCTAGATGGGTAGAATGTGGAATAACCCTGAAGGAATGGTGGGGTGAAAGTCAAGAGAGCCCATGAAGGCATGGAGGCCAGGCTGAATCAGTTCAAACATTCCTAAAATTAGAACAGCGTCACCATGGTGGCAAAGTTGGTATCAGTAGCTTTATATACCAACCACAGAGTTAATATTGTTTTATTTTAATTAAATATATTAACATCACCACAGAAAAATAACTTGTTTCTTATATTTCAGATATTTCCAGTAGGGCTGGTGAGTAGAGATGGGGATATTTGCCAATAAGGCAATATCCTATGAAACTAATCTTTTAAAACTAGCAGAGAATTTAATAACTGCGGCATGACACAAGAAGCAGATACTGAGTGATGTTTCGGCTAAAATAAAATGAGAGCTAGTTGTTTAAACACTGATATAAATCATGTAATCACTTTTCACAGTTCATGCATCTCGGCATCCATTTATTCTGTAAATATTCACTATGCATTTGCTATGTCATAGATGCTATACTGGGTATTTGTGATACAAAATACGACTTTTGTGCTCCCAGGCATATTATTACCTAATTAAAGATATGTCAATCCAGAAGGTTAGAACTGAGCAGTTTAGCAATTAAGTTTACTATCCACTTCTAAAGACTGGATACATGCAATAACAAAATGGATACATGCAATAACAAAATAACAACAAAAGCTGTAGATGGTCTTGACTGAACACCTACTATGTGCCACATACTGAGTTAGGTAATTTAGATCCATCATTTCATTTAATTCTTACAACAATCATATGAGATAGAGATCGTTACCCGAAAATTTTAGGTGAGTAGGTAGAATATGAATTTAAGACATCTTCTCAAGATCACAAAATGTCGTTATTGCAGCTAGAAATGGAAAGTGAGTCTCTTTCATTTCAAAGTCCACATTCTGCTTTGACCTCAGGTTATCAGTCAGGAAGCTTCTATGTAAGACAGACTAAGGAAAGAAAGTTGGGCATCATAGATGGTAGTCTGAGAAATGGAAAGTGAGTCTCTTTCATTTCAAAGTCCACATTCTGCTTTGACCTCAGGTTATCAGTCAGGAAGCTTCTATGTAAGACAGACTAAGGAAAGAAAGTTGGGCATCATAGATGGTAGTCTGAGAAAGTTTCTGGGAAAGGGCGGACCAGAAGTGTGGAAGAAAACAGGAAACATGAATTGGCAGAAGCCATTCCAGGTGGACGGATGTTGAGTTGGAACAAGTAAAAGAAAGAGAAAGGGAGAGGCTGCAGAGAGTGTCAGCAAAAGCCCTGGATTAGGAAACAGCAAACAGTAAAGCAGGCCAGAGAGACCTGGTCATTTGGAACCCACCACCATAATGAAGACACACAGGCCTTTTCATTACTAGAATAGTGACTCAACTTCAATCAATGAACCTCCGGCAATCTTAGCTGGCTTGTGTTATCGTCGTGTAGTTGATTTATTTCTTTCACTCTGAACTTCCATCTCTGCCCAAGTTTTAATTAGCTGAATGCTCCTAGAAATCTGTGAACCTGTTAACAGGCTGAAGCATAATATATGTAAAAGCAGCTTCCTGCTGTGAAAAGGTTACTCAGTGGACAACTTGTTTTCAGCTTGTTGATAAGGACAGTGCAATTTGGAAGCACTGCTGGAATGCTGCTGCCGCAGATATGTGCGTCAGCAAACAACTGTGGCATCTCGTGTCAGGAGGCTACCTGAATCACAGTGCCCACTGGGAGAAGGGCAGTCCTAGGACTGAGCTTCATAGGGATCTGCTTGGATTCTAAGGCTCTCACTTTATGTCGCTATTTTCTATTTCATGGCATGCCTTAATGAGTTGATTCAGGACCAGAATTATTGGGGAAAATGTTATTAATATCAACTGGTTCCTATAAATATTTTTTGTTTAATCCTAATTCTTCATATTAGGAGACAAAGAATATGACATTCATTCATTTATTCTTGCATTCATGAAACATTTTATGCATCTCTACATTTCAAAAACTGTGGTAATCAGTGAAAGCAAGATATAAAGATTAATAGGATAGCATCTATGTTCATCACAAATTACAGCTTATAAAGAAAAATAGTATATCTTGGTGTCATAGTATAATGCTTTACTTCTCAAACTAGGGTTTGGGGACGTAGTCTCAAGCTTCTGAGCTTACTCTATGAGACTGTGAGTATTCATATTTGTGTTATTTTTTCCAGGACTTAATAAATACTGTCAGTCTACTGTGGGTCATCTAGAGGATTACCATATTCATAACATATGTTGCAATGTTGTAACTTGACATTTCAGAGCCCAGATTTCTGTTTCTGTTTTGAAGGATGTCGGTGCCAGGTTTGTGCTTGTGTTTTTAGTAGGTTGATGCCAATTAGTACATCTTTTATTGTTTAATACAAATGAAAGGGACAGGTTTATGATATATATAATGAGTGCACGCTCTGTGAAGGCCAAATGATAATGTGATGTGCTGCGTGAACGGAAGTGTGAAAGGAAGAAAGTAGCGGGAGAATTGAGCCATTGCCAAGCTCAAAAATTTGTCAAGACATTTTATGTAATTATATTCAAGTTCTGAGCTCTAATTTGACTTCAGTAAATCATCACATTAATTTGTTTAAATGTTATATTTATGTGTTTAATTTATACTTTTTGGAAATTGCCCATGATTTTAGGTTTGTAAATATTTAAGTAACATGATCAAAATTATTTAAGTCACATGATATTTTTTCCTTTTAAAATGGTCCACATATTACCCAAGAGTGAGAATCACTGTTATAAATGTCATATGCTGTGATTCATCCTGCCTCTCCCCTTAGCTGCTCTGAGAAAGATCATTAGTGGTGTTGGTCTCTCAGTGTTCCAGATTTATGGCTTCTTACAAGTCCTCAGCTTAATTGACTCTTCTGATGTGTTTGAAGCTGTTTTTCATTTCTTTCTTTTTGAAACTTTTTTCTTCTGACTACTAAAAAACATTTTTACCTTTTCTTCTGCCTCTCTGGCCATTCTTTCTTAGTCTTCTTGTGGAATTATTAGTCCTCTGCCTGTCCAAAATATATTTATGCTTCTAAGAGTTTTCCCCTAGTTTCTCTTCATTTTATTACTCCTTGCACTTGCTGTGGGTAAATTCATCTGCTCCTAATGCTTCACTTATGACCTATACGGTAATGACACAATCTAAATTATGTTGCCAAATCTCTCACCTAAGTTCCACATCCGTATCTACAACTGTATACTTGGAATCTCCATCTGGATGGCCCATAGCCTTCTCAAAGTCAACAGGTATAAAACTGAACTCATCAGCAACACACACACACACACACACACACACACACACACACTTGAAAACATTCCTCAACTCTACAGCTTTTTAGGCTCTTGTCCCCTGTATTGTGAATAGCAGCCATTCTGAATTCCTTCTCTGTTTTTACCATGTATCTAAGTCAGAAATCTAGACCTTTATTCAAGGAGGTAGACTTCACAGGGTGCAAGCAGATAAAAGCTGCATTATTTGTTGTCACTTTACACCTACTCTTGTAACTCTTTTTTCACATTTATGAAAGCAATAGTGAGAAGGTCCAATTTTTTTTTTCAATCACTTTCAAACTCTAGTAAAGAAAGGATGATTCTTTTGTTTTGTTTATTTTGTTCGCCTCTGTGTCCCAGAACCTAAAAATGAAGAGATATTGGAGGATTAAGTGACCAAATGTTGTTATTCCAAGTCTTTCCTTCTCATCTGTGAGTTATAGTTGGGGAGAAGGGAAGGCAGCGAGAGACAAAGCTATACTTGTTTTATGTGTAGCCTTGTGTTTTTATTCTGTAGAGATGCAGATGAATTTGAATTTAAGTCATAGATATTTTACATTCAACTTTTTCAAATGCGTGTCAGATAACAGTCCTTGCATCTCTTAAAACTGACGGGAACACATGTCAAACTCATCTTGAAGCATCCCCTCACTTGATTTGAGGTAGGTAGAAGACTGATCTTCTCCTCACTCATGGGATGCGAGCACATTCACATCTCTCTCTAAATAAATCTGAATCCCTGGCTTCTTCAACCTCAAGTAAATTCTTAACCTTTTCTTCAGAATCCCATATATGGTTGACGGACTATTGCTTACAGAATCGGTTTGTGGTCATCCTTCTGTCAAGCGCTGTAACAATGAACTAGCATATTTCTTTAAAATTTAGTTAGTTTGTTTGTTTATTTATGTATTTATTTATTTAGAGAGGGAGTCTCACTCTGTTGCCCAGGATTAAGTGAAGTGGCACGATCTCGGCTCACTGCAACCTCTGCCTCCTGGGTTCAAGTTATTCTCCTGCCTCAGCCTCCTGAGTAGCTGGAATTATAGGCACCTGCCACCACACCTGGCTAATTTTTGTATTTTTAGTAGAGATGAGGTTTTGCCATGTTGACCAGGATGCTCTTGAACTCCTGACCTCAGGTGATCTGCCCGCCTCAGCCTCCCAAAGTGCTGGGATTACAGGCGTGAGCCACCGTGCCCAGTCCTAGTTTGATTTTTATTGATAATGATTGAACTCAAACTATGGTGACTCTTCTGAAACTTGATAACATTAAGATAATTCAAATATAGCATCTTGTCTTGTAATGCATTCTTGACGTTCCCTTTTCTTTATTCCCAAAGATGATATCTTATATATCTTCTGCTGACCAACTCTTCTTTCCCTTCACTGCTTTTTATTTCAGATCTTCATTCTCTCTATCTGACGGAGTGGTAGTCCTCAATTGCTGTTTTTGTCATATTGAATAACTCCTAGTTTCTTACATGTTATACAAAAATTTCTGAGAATAATATATGAAGCTATGCATGATTTTACCTATGCCACCTCTTATGCCTTCTTTCTTATCCTAAACTTTGCTTTCACCACAAATTCTGATGTCAGCCATACAGAAATGCCTGCACTTTTTTATCTGTTGGAAATCTCATAGTACAGTGAAACCTCCTATAAAATAGTATTTTTCTGTAACGTTTCTCCTTCCCTTACCAACCCTTCCCATCCCCAATCTGATTGAAAAACTCCCAGTCATCCTACACAACTCAACTCAAAGATAACCTACCCTATGGAATCTTTCTTGATCTTTCTAGTGGCATATTAATTCATCTGTCATTATTAGAGCAACCCCCCACCCCGCCGTGTTATTATGTAAGGGCTGTCACTAAACTTAAGTTGTCCTCAACAGTATTTTATCTCCAATAAAGCACCTGATTTAATCTGTTTATTCCCATTCTCAGTCTAACTATAGCTTCATATATCAAGTGTCATGGATACTTGAGTTAGGAAACTTGGAGAAATACTTATCTTACTTTGCTTGGCATGATACCCAGTTGTGTTCGTCCAATTATTTTGCAAATTCAAATGGTAATATGCCTTAGTTTCTTCCTTAAATATCCTGCTAAAGTGTAGCAGAGCTCTCTGACCTAGTTTTCTCAGCCCTCTTACTCACTGTTTATTTCCCACCAGTGTAACAGCGTAATGTGAATCCTCAATATTTTTCTAAGCTATATTAGAACATCAACTCTAGACCCACATCTATTTATCTCTCTTTCCTTTATCAATCACTAATTTATATTTTTAAAATAATTATCACCAGCAAATTCAAAGATGTAAGATATTTAAATGAAATGGATGAGGCAGATATAGTACCCATATGAATCAACTGCACCGACTGAAAGCCCATAAGTGAGGCCCTCCCTAGTTTCTGTTACTATTACCAGGCACAGCCTGACCTCCAATTTGCTCTGCTACTAGCCGTCAACGATTATACAACCAGAGGGTTGTGTGCGACACTATAAAAACAAAAACTAATATGTAGGTTTTCAATGCATCACTACGTCTGCTACAGTTAAACTGCAGCAACTGCTGACAAGTGTGACAAAGGTTGACAAAATATCTAAAGCCTAAGAAGGATGTCAGCAGTTATTGCTGAACACAAGGTGTGTCGTCGTTACATTTTTTTTTTTGCGCCAGCAGTGTTTCAGGTAAGATTGAAAATGTCTGGGTATATTTTGTTAGTGTATCTTGTAATTGTACATGAAGAACATGATGTTGTCAATGGAATCATTTTCCTTGATTTAATTTTTTGTAATTTTAATACATCCCTGTATTAGTCTGTACAAGCTGCCACAACAAAATATCATAGAGTAGGTAGCTCAAACAACAGATATTTATTTCTCACAGTTCTGGAGGCTGGGAAGTCTGATTAAGTTGTTATCCAACTAAATCCCTGGTAAGAGCCCTCTTCCTGGTTTTGCACATAGTCACCTGTGTCCTCACATAGCAGATAAAAAAAAAAAGATATTTTACTCTTTCTCTCCCTATAAAGCCATTAAGCTCAACATGAAGATGCCACCCTCATAATCTCATCTAACTCTAATGACCTCCCAAAAGCCCCATCTCCAAATATCATTGTATTGCAGGTTAAGGCTTCAACATGTGAATTTTGCAAGGATATACTTCAGTTTATAGCAATCCCCATGGTTCAAAATTCGAAAAATTTAAAAGGCTGTACAGTAAAATGTTTCTATATCTCACAGTTATTTACGCTGCCTGTGATATGAGCACTATTATTAGTTCTTTATGTATCATACAAAAGTATTCTATGCACACATAACTATGTATGAATATATATCTTATTTTTACACAAATGGTGAATTCTTTATACACTATTATCCACTTTTTTTACTCAGTATATATTGGCAACCACTGTATTTTGGACTACAAAGAACTACCTTTTTTTTTATAGCATCATCACATTTTATTGTTGGATGTATCACAAAATATTTAACGGATCCCCTATTGATTAGCATTCAGTTTGTTTCAAATGTGTTACTATTGGAAACAATGCTATATTAAGTAGCCTCATACAGACTTCATTAGCATATGTGAAAGCACGTTTGTAGTATAAATCTTTGAAAGGGGAATTGACGGGAGGAGGGCATTGATAGGGGATGTGTATATGTATATTTGTAATTTTAATGGAAATTCTAAAAGTGTCATTCACAGGAGTTGTGCCAATTTAAATTTATATTCCCTTCAATCTTGACAACATAATGCATTTTCAGACTTACATATTTGCCAGTCTGGTCAGAGAAAAATAATATTTTAATATAGTTTAATGCACATTTTCCTTACTAGGAGTGAAGTATATCATTTTTCCTATGTTTAAGATCTATTTCTATTTTCTTGTTAACTGTCTAGTCATATAGTTTGGTCAATCTAATGTATTGGTCATCTTTCCTTTATAAATTAATAGTTTCTAGTTTGATGTTTTTATTTAGGATTTGTTTATGGTATGTTTTGAAACATATTTCCTATTAGTATTACATATTACAATATACTAACTATTTCTTTGATGGCTTACGGGTTTGTGTGAATATTAGGAAGGACTCTTCCACTCCATAGGAATAAAATATTTATCCTAGAATTTATTCTAGAATTTTTTTAAGGTGAAAATTTAATCTATTTAGTAGTGAACTGCCCTAAGATGGTTCCTAGTAATTCCTATTTCCTAGTATTCAAATTATTGTTTAGTCTCTTCCCACATTGTTCCAGAGTTGGCGTGTGTGAGTAGTAGGAATCAGCACCACTGAAAATACGTCACTGCCAAGATTCAGTTATAAAAGATATTGCAACTTCTGCCTTGATGTCTTGCTTTTTTTCAGATCATTTTTTTCAGGGGGAGGTGAGATGCTGTGTTATAAGCACCTCTCAATGTCTTCCTTTTCAAGGAAGCAATTACTTCCCCATTCCTATTAAAAGAGATATTATAAGATCATTAGTTACATTTTGTTGCTTTAGTATATTTTCTGACTAGGTGGACTTTCAGATCCCTTACAACCCGGACTTTTTATAATCCTCTGATATGTAATGTTAATTATTATAATGGCTAGAAAGTATAATGATATTAGGATTACCAAAGCTCGAGACCCTGAACTTTATGTCTGTCCTGCCATCCACTTCTACTCTACTCTAACACCTAACCATTCCAACTACACACATTCGTTTGTTTGCATGTGTGTGTATGTGTGTGTGTTGTTTGTTGTTAAGAATGAAGCTTATGTCTCAAAATCCAGTTAGGAGTTTCTGCTCCAGCTTAGAATGCAGAAATTTACAAGACAATATTGTTCTACCCAAACAAAGTGAACAAACAACTTACAAAGTCATGTTAAAACATTTTTGGAGAATTTAAGAAGTAATAAAGAAACCTTAAAATCTAAAATTGAAAATGTGACGTTCCAGTCTAAAGGAAAGAAGGAGTGAGTGAGAGAGAGAGAGAGAGAGAGATAGAGACAGAGAAACTGAAACTCATGGCTCCTTTTATTCTTGGCAGTTTATTGGAAGAGGAAGAAAGTTATCATCATAAATGCTGGTAAGAGGAAAACAGTTAACTATTCACAAATATTTAAAAGCAGAGTGACTTCTATTTGTCTAATGGAACTTTTTATGTTGATGGAAATGTTCCTCACTGTCTAATGTAGTTGCTACTGACACTAGCTGTACATGACTTTTGCGAATATGAAATGTGCCTCACTTACTGAGCAACCAAATTATAAACATTATTTAATTTATATATCCAAATTAATTGAATTTATATCATATCTGACAACATGGATTTAGAAACTCTCAGATTCCCAGACACAAAGAATATCTGCAGTCACAAAAACTTGTTTCCCATGGGCTCTTCCAAGTGTTACCAAAAAAGACTGGGGGTCAGGCCAATAGATTTGATAGATCTCCCGCTGAGAGAAACTTCATTGGTTGTTGATATATGATAGAGGGACAAGAGAGCTGAGAAGCCCTCCCCAAGGGATAGGCAGGTGGGTCCTGCTGAAGTCTGAAAACTGGACAGGTATCTAGGACAAACCCACCATGTCCTCCATCACAAGTATTGCCAAAAGGAAGATTCTGACCCTTGTATTAAATACTTTTAAGTTTGTAGTAAACTGAATACCAGTAAAGTCGAAACAAAGGCCCAGCTCAAGTCGAAGTTAGACATATTCAAAACTCAACATTAATGTCTTGACTGAAGAAGGTGCGTACAATTTCTTTGTGTAAATAGCATTTGTCTTACTGTGCACTAATGTTTCAGAAATAGTCACATTTAAGAAAAAAATACAATTTTTCTCCAAGCAGCAATGCAAACTTGTCCATCACCAAGAAAAGGAAAATAGTCAATAGAACCTGATCAAGGAAAGAAAAACAAACAATAGAGTCCAGGAAACAATAAAACAAGAATATTTCTTGAATATCTGTTATGAAATTATCAAAAGATACTTTTTTTTTTGAGTTGGAGTCTCACTCTGTTCCCCAGGCCGGAGTGCAGTGGCGCGATCTCGGCTCACTGCAACCTCTGCCTCCAGGGTTCAAACAATTCTACTGCGTCAGCCTCCCGAGTAGCTGGGATAACAGGCGCCCACCACCACTCCCAGCTAGTTCTTGTATTTTTAATAGAGACAGGGTTTCACCATGTTGGCCAGACGGGTCTTCAACTCCTGACCTCAGGTGATCCGCCCACCTTGGCCTCCCAAACTTCTGGGATTATAGGCGTGAGCTACTGTGCCTGGCCTCAAAAGATACTTTATAATAACTAAGATAAATATGTTTAAAGTACCAAGTGGATAGGGTAGACAAGATGTTCAAATAGCTAAAGCTTTTTTTTTTTTTTTTTTTTTTTTGCAAAAGGCAAGAAATTATGAAAAGGATCCCAATGAAAATATTACAAAAAGGTGTTATTGGACGTAAAGAATTATTGCAATTGGCTTATTGACTGACTGATACCAAAAAGGAAAACTTACCAAAATTGAAGAAAAGT
This sequence comes from Homo sapiens, assembly GCF_000001405.40. NCBI lineage: Eukaryota > Metazoa > Chordata > Mammalia > Primates > Hominidae > Homo > Homo sapiens. The sequence continues at coordinate 143,103,065 of NC_000023.11, forward strand.
CAATAATTTTTTTTTCCCAAAGTGAAAAATAAGAAGAAACATATTTACTATGGCAGGAATATCATATGGGATAATATTAAACAGTCTAGCACAGGTATAACTGGAATAGCAGAAGGAAAAAAAAGAGTAAAAATAGAGTAGAAAAAAAATTGAAAATATAATGGCCAACGATTTATCCAAATTTAAGTAACATATCAATCTGTAGATACAAGAAGTTCAGAGAAAGCCGAGAGTGATTAATACAAGTAAATAACACTTAGCACCTCATTGCCAGAGAGCTGAAAATTTAAGATGAAGAAAAATATTTTGAAGGCAGCCAGAAAAAAAGATGTCTTTAATAAAGACAAACAATAGCACAAATAAGGTAATTTGTTATCACAAAAAATGGAGTCTGGAAAACAATTAAACAGAATCATTTAAGTGATACAAAACTAATAAAACATCAGCCTAGAATTATATCTCCAGAAAAATATTTTTTAAATGATGGGAAAATCAATACCTTCTTTTCCAAGCAAACAAAAGCTGAAATAAATAATTTGCAGCAGAGCTCAGCTGTAAGAAATCTTAAAAGAGGCTCTTTAGGCTAAAGAAAGTGATGCCACTTTTTCAGGAAGGAACAAAGATAGTATGAAGGAGCACATATGTCAGTAAGTATATACTATTCTTGTTACATACACTCATCCATATGTTTAAAAAGATGTTTACACCATGGTATTAGTTTTTAAATATAAAACAGTATGAATATATTTTGTGAATAAAGGCATACCTAAAAGTTAAATATATAACAAATAGGGCACAAAGACTAGGAGAGTGGTAATTGAATATATACAGTTGTAAGGTGTTAATATTGTTTGTAAAGTAGTAGAATGCTGCTTGAAGATAAGCTGTGAAATTACAGATACATGTTATAATCTTTATACAATAAACATACAACACTCCAAACACAAGCACATCTAAAACACTAACACGAGAAATGGAATGGGATGCTACAAAATACTTGATTTATTCCCACTTTTTAAAAGTAATAAAGGAGAAACAGGCACAAACAGCAGGCGGCACCAATGGAAAACAAACGCTAAGAGGGTAGACTTCAATCCAAATAAATCAATCACTATATCAAATATAATTAAACTAAATATCTTAAGGAAAAAATCAGAAATGGTCTGACTGTACATAAAAGGAAAAATCAAGTATATGTTTATTATAAAAACACATTAAATCTAAAGGTACATTCAGGTTAAAAATAAAAGCATATATCATGGAAATATTAAGCATAAGAAAGCTAGCATGAGTATAACAGACACATAGACTGTAAAATGAAGAGTATTACCAAAGATAAAGGAAGAATTTCATAATTTAGAAAGGATAAAGGAATAATTTCATAACTTTATAAAGGATAAATTTCATAATTTTAAAAGGATCAATTTATGAAGAAGATAATTATCTTAGTATATTTACCTAATAACAAAGCTTCAAGATCCATAGAGTAAAATGACAAAAGTAGAAGAAAAAAGTAAACAAATTATGATTATAGTTGAAGATATCAATAATTTCCTCTCAGTAACTGATAAATCAATTAGATGCCAAATCACCAAAGATATAGAAGACTAAAAATATTATTTTTCTCAGCATATGGATTATTCTCAATGATAGACAATATGTTAAGTAACAAAAGAAGTAATAACACTTTCGAGAAATTGAAACAACATCAAGCATCTTCTCTGACCACAGTGGAATAAAACTAGAGATTTATATCAAGAGAAAATTTGGAAACTCATACAAATATATGGAAATTAAACAATATGCTTCTTAATGACCAATAGGTCAAGAAAGAGATTAAGAAGGAAATTGAACAATTTCTTCAAATAGGTGATAATGGACACACAACATACCAAAATCTATGGGATACAGCAAAAGCAGTACTAAGAAAGAATTTTATAGCTGTAAGTGCCTACACTGAAAACAGAAAACACTTAAAACAAACATTCTAAGGATGAATTTTAAAGAACTAGAAAAGCAAGAGCAAATCAAACTCAAAATTATTAGGAGAAAATAAACAACAAAAATAAGAGCACAAATAAAATGGACATAAAAAAGCAATACAAATGATCATTGAAACAAATAGTCGGGTTTTTGAAAAGTTAAACAAAAACTGAGAAAACTTTAGCCAGACTAAGAAAACAGAAGAGATCTAAAAAAATAAAATCAGAAATAAAAAGGAGACGTTACTACTGCTACAGCAAAAAGTCAAACAATCATTAGTGGCTACTATGAGCATCTTTATACCAATAAATTAGAAAATCTAGAAGAAATAGACAAATTTCTAGATACATGCAACCTTCCAAAATTGAACCAAAAAAAGTCCATACTTGAACACACCAATAATAAGTAACAAAAATAATGCCGTAATAAAAACTTTTCCAGTAATGAAAAGCCTGGAACCTGATGGCTTTCCTGTTGAATTCTACCAAATATTTAAAGAAGAAATAATATCAATTTTACTCAAACTAGTTCAAAAAATAAAGCAGTAGAGATTACTTCCAAACAAATTCTATAAGGCCAGTGTTACTCTGATACCAAAACCAGAAAAAGATACATTAAAAAAAAAAAAAACACAGGCCAATATTTCTGATGAATATTGATGCAAAAATCCTCATCAAAATACTACTAGCAAATTGAATTCAACAATACATTAAAAAGATCATTCATCATGACCAAATAGGATTTATCCCTGGGATGGAAGGATGGTTCAACATACACAAATCAATCAATGTGATATGTCATATCGACAGAATGAAGAATAAATCCATATGATAATTTTAATTGATGATAAAATATGTTTGATAAAATTCAACATCCTTTCATAATAAAAACCCTGAAAACTTGGGTATAGAAAGTACAAAATAAAAGCCATATACAACAGATCTAGAGTTAGTATTATACTGAATGGGGAAAAACTGAAAGCCTTTCCTCTAATTTCTGGAACACGACAAGGATGCCCACTGTCACCACTGTTATTCAACATAGTACTGGAAGTTCTAGCTAGAGCAATCGGACAAAAGAAAGAAATAAAGGGCACTTAAATTGGAAAGAAAGAAGTTAAATTATTGTTATTTTCAGATAATATTCTGTACTTTAAAAAACCTAAAGATTTCATAAGAAAACTATTAGAACTGATAAACTACTAGAACTGATATCCTGCAAACTTGCAGGATATGTAATCAATATACAAAAATCAGTAGCATTTCTATAGCCAACAGTGAACAATGTGAAAAAAACTAAAACGTAATTCCATTTACAATATCACACATAAAATTAAAGACCTAAGAATTAATTTAACCAAAGAAATGAAACATGTTTATAATGAAAACTATAAAGTGCTGATGAAAGAAATTAAAAGGACACCAAAAAAATGAAAAGACATTCATGTTCATGGATTGGAAGATTTAATATTGTTAAAATGTCCGTGCTACCCAAAGCAATCCATAGTTTAAATGCAATCCCTATCAAAACGCCAAAGACATTTTTCACAGAAATAGACAAAACAATCCTAAAATTTATTGGGAACCACAAATGGGCCAGAATAGTCAAACATATCCTAAGCAAAAAGAAGATTCTCATTACTGTACTTCAAATTACACTACAGAGCTACAATAACCAAAACAGCGTAGTACTGCCATGGAAGCAGACAAATAGACCCGTGGAATAGAATATAGAGCCAAGAAACAAACCCACATACCTAGAGTGAATTCATTTTTGTCAAAGGTGCCAAGAACATGCACTGGGGAAAAGGCAGTCACTTCAATAAATGATGCTAGGAAAATGGAATATCCGTATGCAGAAGAATGAAACTAAACCCCTGTCTCTAGCTATATACAAAAATCAAATCAAAATGGATTGAAGAGTTAAATCTAAGACTTTCAATTATGAAACTACTACAAGAAAACTTTGGGGAAAATCACCAGGACATTGGTCTAGGTACAAATTTCTTGAGCAATATCCCATAAGCATGGGCAAACAAACAAAAATGGACAAACGGAATCATATCAAGTTAAAAAGCTTATGCACAGCAAAGGATACAATCAACAAAGTGAAAAGACAATCAAGAGAATGGGAGAAAATATTTCCAAACTACCCATTTGAAAAGAGATTAATCACCAGAATCTATAAGGACCTCAAATATCGCTACAGGAAAAAAAAATCAGTATATCAAAGAGATATCTGCACTCATATGTTGGTTGTAACATCATTTACAACAGCTGAGATTTGGAAGCAACCTAAGTGTCCATCAACAGATGAATGGATAAAGAAAATGTGGCAAATATACACACTGAAATACTATTCAGCCATAAAAAAGAATGAGATGCTGTCATTTGCAACAACATGGACAGAACTAGAGATCATTAAGTTCAATAAGCCAGGCACAGAAAGGCAAACTTCACATGTTCTCACTAATTTGTAGGATCTGAAAATCAAAAAAATTGAACTCATGGAGATAGAGAGTAGAATGATGGTTACCAGAAGATGTGAAATATAACTGGGCAGCTGGGAAGGAGATGGGGATGGTTAATGGGTATTTAAAAAAATAGAATAAATAAGACCTAGTATTTGATAGCACAATAGGGTGACTACAGCCAATAATTACTTCACTAAGCATTTTAAAATAACTTAAAGAGTATATTTGGATTGTTTGTAACACAAAGGATAAATGCTTAAGGGGATAGATACCCATTGTCCATGATGTGCTTATTTCACATTGTATCCCTGTATCAAAACATTTCACATACCCCATAAATATATGTACCTATTATGTACCCACCCACAAAATTAGAAATAAATATATAAATAAATTTTTAAAAAGAAAAAAAGGATTTGGGAACTATTCTGATAAAAACATAATCAGTTTTTTCCAGAAGGAAATGTTTCTAACAATCATTGAAAATAAATCAATACTCATATTATGATTAGACATAAGTGACTTTTAATTATTATTCTACTTAGCAATGATGATCAGTCCTTAATACTGAAGACCTAAACTCTGGTTTCCATAAATGTGTCTGCATTGGAGTATTGGCTCCTTGCAGATACAATTCAGTTAAAATGAACTCATTAGTGTAAGCCCTAATCTTATATGATTCGTGTGCTTCTAAGAAGGGAAGAAGAGACGCAAACACAGATACATACAGGGAGTTATGTTTTCACAAGCCAACAAACACCTGGAGCAATAAGAAGCTAGAAGAAGCAAGGAAGGAGTCTCCACAGAGGCTTCAGAGAGAGAGAGTAACCATGCAAGGACACTGATTTTGTACTTCAAAACTTATAACTATGACAGAGTAAATTTCTGTGTTTAGTTCAAGCATTTAAGTTTTGGATACATTTTTTACAGCAGCCTTAAGAAACCAATACACATAGTAAAGTCTCTTTACGCCTCAATAAAGTTTAAATTAGACCTCTTTATCATATTATATGAATCTCCTCTACCATACACGAGACTGCTTCTTTCTCTTCTTTCGTAAGATATCTCCTGAGGCTCCATGTCTTTAGGGCTGCTAATAGGATATCAGGATTTTCTTCCTGAACTTACAAACTTACTGACCACTGGGAATGAGGATAGTGACTATAAGATAAAGAATAAATATTCCAATATTTCAAGAATGAATAAGTGATGTAGTGGAGTTTTCTGTAATTGAAATCTTCCAAGAATATTATTCCATCTTGACTGACTCTTTCTTACCAATTTATTGTCTAGTGAGAGCACCAGTGACTAGAATAAGTCTATACCTTCCAGAGTTTGCAACTTCTAGCTAGATTTTCCACCCCATTGATTAGAATCTCATATTATCAACATGGTGACCAAAATTAACTAAAATTCAAATATGGTTACTTTACTTCCTCATAAAACATCTGGAATCCAGTTTCTTCGTTGGTTTGTTTCCTGGAGTTAATTAGAACTTTTGTGGATTTGTAAGGGCTAGTTTCCAACTGCACTATTCACCTTTCTTAACAATTGCTTAAACATGGTTTCCCACTGCTGAATTTGCCAACTTTCTTCTTTATTGTGGCTAGAATCCAGACTTTTCTTGACCTCATTTCTTTCCTTTCACTTGCTTTCTGTGCTGGCCTATGTTCCTATTTTTGTACCTTTTCTTGCACACATGAAGACAGAGAACACACCAAATGACTTGACCTCTGATCATGACCCTCTCCACCTCCTCTACCTTACAGGTGTGTCTGTGTTCATGACACTAACCACTTTCATTGTGTTGGTTTTCTTGTTCTGAAGAGAGATGAAAATACCCACCATAATTTCTACATAATATCTGAAATATTTTATGAAACAGAGAAAATTGGGCATTCACTCTACTAACATCCAGTTACTAGACAACACAATAATCAGGCTATTTTTACATTCTTATTATAATTATGGACACATATTTTTTCTATTTCTTTATATATAATAGCTGGTTGCACTTGACAGTCTTGATAATTCTTTAGAGATATTGCTTTTTAACTTAGTAAAAAATCTTTTAATTGACGAAGAATTTAATTGCACATATTCTGGGGGTTCAGTATGATGTTTTGACACTTTTTTCAGATGATAATCATTGTCACTGTAAGAAACAAATAAAAGCTATTAATAGAAAGCTATCATAGAATTTTACACAACACATATAATGTATAGTTTTCATATATAGGAAAGAAATGTTAAATTTATTTTTACCAAATGGTTTTACTTTTGATAGGCATAGTATATTTTATATAGTAGTATCCCTTAATTTGAAGTAATTTTTAAATAATTAGGTAAGCGTTGCCCCTATATTGCTAAAATCACTATTGTGGTTTACATTGTAATTTTCAAAACTGAAATTAAAAATTTCATTACAGATTAGCACAGTTCCCTGAGATATTATTTAAACTATATATTACCTTAAATCATATATACATGACATCACTCTTCTGTATTCTTCCCCTCACCCCAAAAACAAAACAAAACAAAATAAAAAGCATGCCATTTTAGAGCTATTGGTCTTTGTTCATACTGGACCTTCATCCTGGAATACTTTTCCCTAACTATAGAAACAATATTCGTCCCTAAAATCTTCTGCATATTTATGTTGTCACCTTCTGGGAAGAAGGAAAGAAACACACAAATACACACTCTAGTATTTTCTGAGATCTTACATATACCAGATGCTATACTAGACATGTTTGTAACACAATACCCATGCCCATTAGTTGTTTCCTCACTTTGCATAAGAAGAAACAGAGTCTTAAATATGTTAAGTACCTTGCCCAAAGTTGCACAAGCAATTCATGGAAGAATCAGCATCCAGCTCACTCTTATCTAACCCCAAAGCATGCGTTCTTTCCATGCTTCAATAGGTTAGCTCTAAAGCCCCATTCTTATAACATGCAGAAAGATACTTTTCTACCTGTAATATTAGACGAATTAAATCAATTAGTTATTGAATGCTCACACCTTGTTTTAGTCACTGGCAAAATAATGTCAAGATAAACTTTACTACTGCCCTCCACAAGATAGAGAAAGCAAGTTATTCATCAAGTTGACCTTGACTCTACAGCTAGAGTGACCACCGGCCTCAGTTTGATTGAGACTGCCAGTTTTAGCACTAGAAATCCCATAACCCAGGAAACTATCCAGTAAAGGGCAAACTAGAATGGCTGATCACCCTACCATCACCTATACAGTAGAATCACCATGGAATGTTATTCTTAATTGAGACAGGGCTTCTGTGATGGTTAATGCTGAGTGCCAACTTGATTGGGTTGAAGGATACAAAGTATTGATCCTGGGTGTGTCTGTGAGGGTGTTGGCAAAGGATATTAACATTTAAGTCAGTGGACTGGGAGGGGCAGACCCACCTTTAATCTGGGTGGGTACAATCTAATCAGCTGCCAGCAGATAGGGATGCTGTTTGGAGCCTTTGGCAGGCCCCCATAGGTGAATCACTGTGGAGGTCTCTAGGATTTTGGAGCAAGGTCCTGCCATCTTCTGCAGATAACTACTCTCCTTTTGAGAGACAGCTCTTGGTCTGTTACTGGGCTTTGATGGAAACTGAAGGTTAGACTATGGGTCATCAAGTCACCATGCGACCTGAACTGCCTATCATGAACTGGGTGCTTCTGACCCATGTAGCCATGGAGTGCGGCGTGCACAGCAGCACTCCATCATGAAAGGAAAGTGGTATATATGTGACCAGGCACAAGTAGGTCCTGAAGGCACAAGTAAGTTACATAAGGAAGTGGCTCAAAGACCCATGTTCTCCACTCCTGCCACCCTGCCTTCTCTTGCCCAGCCTGCACCAATGGGCTCATGGGGAGTTCCTTATGAACAGTCGACAAAGGAAGAGAAGACTAGGGCCTGGTTCACAGATGCTTCTGCACAACATGCAGGCACCACCCGAAAGAGGACAGCTGCATCACTACAGCCCCTTTCTAGGACATCCCTGAAGGACAGCGGTGAAGGAAAATCTTCCTAGTGGGCAGAACTAGGATATGAGCAGGTAGAAAAATGTGAAAAGGGAGACTGGCATAGTCTTCCAGCCTACATATTTCTCTGGTGCTGGATGCATCCTGCCCTCGATCATTAGACTCCAAGTTCTTCAGTTTTGGAACTCAGACTGGCTCTCTTTGCTCCTGAGCATGCAGACAGCCTATTGTGGGACCTTGAGATTGCGTGAGTTAATACTTATTAAACTCCCCTTTACATATATTATATACATATATTCCATTAGTTCTGTTTCTCTAGAGAACCCTGACCAATACAGTCTCGTTATGTTGTGTTGGGAGCAAGCCCCCCAGAATCCGGCCATAAACTGGCCCCAAAACTGGCCATAAATAAAATCTCTGCAGCACTGTAACATGTCCATAATGGCCCTGATGCCCAAGCTGGAAGGTTGTGGGTTTACGGGAATGAGGGCAAGGAACACCCGGCCCGCCCAGGGAGGAAAACCGCTTAAAGGCATTCTTAAGCCACAAACGAAACTTGAACGATCTGTGTCTTAAAGGCATGTTCCTGCTGCAATTAATTCGGCCCATCCCTTCGTTTCCCTTAAGGGATACTTTTAGTTAATTTAATATCTATAGAAACAATGCTAATGACTGGTTTGCTGTCAATAAATATGTGGGTAAATCTTTGTTCGGGGCTGTCAGCTCCGAAGGCTGTGAGACCCCCGATTTCCCACTTGACACCTCTATATTTCTGTGTGTGTGCCTTTAATTCCTCTAGCGCCGCTGGGTTAGGGTCTCCCCGACCGAGCTGGTCTCGACAATGTTGTTCACGCTGGACTCAAACTCCTAGGTTCAACTGATCTGCTTGCATCAGCCTCCTAAAGTCCCAGGATTACAGGTATAAGCCATAGTTCCTAGCCATGGAATATTCTTAACACCCACAAGCTGATCAATTAAATATGGAGGGTGGACACAAACATTAATATTATTTAAAGGTGGCTGGAGTTAGGAACCATTGTTCAAAAACAATGGGTTTTTTTCTGGACCAGCAGTTTAGGCGTCACCTAGATACTGGTTTGAAAACAGATGCTGCTCCAGAAATACTTCATCAGAAATTCTGTGGGTAGAGCCCAGCAATCTATGTTGTAACAAGGCTTCTAGGTGATTCTAACGCATACTCAAGATTGGGAATCACTTCTCTAAAGAAATGACAGGAATAAACCTGTCCCTAACAGTGATTCAAGTACAATTTTCTGCAGACACTGTGATTGTCAGCGTGTAGTCATGTGGCTGATGTCCTTTTCCTTCTATGTATCATTTGAGACTTTTGCCATTATTTCATTCTACCTTGAATATGAGAAATGGTAACGTAATAATTTTGGACTAGTTTTCTCCTGCTTTTCTAGTTCTTTAAGATGCATTTGTTAAATTGCTTATTTGAAATTTTTCATCTTTTTTTGACGTATGCACTTATAGCTATAAACTTCCATGTTAATACTGCTTTTTCTGTATCCCATAGGTTTTGGTATGTTGTGTTTCCATTATCATTTGTTTCATAAAATTGTTAATTTTTTTTCTTAATTGCTTTGTTGTCCCACTGGTCATTGAGGAGCATATTGTTTAGTTTCTATGTATTTTTATAGTTTCCAAAATTCCTTTTGTTATTAATCTGTAGTTCTATTTCATTGTGGTCAGAGAAAATTATTGATATTATTTCAATATTTTGAATGCTTTAAGACTCGTATTGTGACTTAATATATGGTCTATCGTTGAGAATGATCCATATGGTGAGGAAAAGAAGGTGTATTCTGCAGCTCTTGGGTGAAATGTTCTGTAAATATCTATTAGATCAATTTGATCTATGGTACAGATTAAATCCAAAGTTTCCTTGTTGATACTTTTTTTCTGGAAGATCTGTCCAATGCTGAAAGTGGGGTGAAGTCTCCAGCTATTATTGTATTAGTGCCTATCTCTTTCTTTAGCTCTAATAATATTTGCTTATATATCTGGGTGTTCAAGTGTTGGGTGCAAATATACTTAAAATTGTTATATTTTCTTTCTGATTCGATCCCTTTATATATAGTGACCTTCTTTGTCACTTCTTATAGTTTTTGTTTGGAAAAATATTTGTCTGATATAAGTATAGCTTCTTCGGCTCTTTTTTGGTTTGCATTGGCATGGAATATATTTTTCTATCTCTTTATTTTTCAGTCTATGTGTGTCTTTATAGGTAAAGTTTGTTTCTTTTTGGCCACAGAACAATGGGTCTTGTTTTCTCATCCATTCAGCTAGTCCATGTCTTTGGATTAGAGAATTTAGGATGGTTACATGCAATATGAGTATTGATAAGTAAGGACTTACTCTTGTCATTTTTTTGTTTTCTAGTTTTTTGGTGGTATTCTCTTCTTTCTTTTCTTCCTGTCTTCTATTAGTGAAGGTGCTTTTCTCTGGTGATACAAATTAGTTTCTTGATATTTATTTTTTTGTGTATCCATAGTATTTCTTTTGGATTGAAGTTACCAAGAGGCTTGCAAATACTATCGTATAACCATTATTTTAACCTGATAGGAATTTAACGTGGTTTGCATAAACAAACAAGCAAAAAGAAAATTAATAAAAATTCTATGCCTTAACTTTATCTTCTCTAATTTTTAAATTTTGTTGTTTCTGTATCTTATGGTACTGTTCATGTCTTGAAAACTTTTTGTAGTTATTATTTCCGATTGGTTTATAATTTAGTCTTTCCAATTAGGATACAAGTAGTTTACAATCCACAGTTACAGTGTTATAATACTATGTGTTTTTCTGTTTACTTACTATTACTAGTGAATTTTGTATCTACAGGTGATTACTTTTTATTTATTAATATTCTTTTCCCTCTAATTGAAGTACTCCCTTTAGCATTTCATGTAGGACAAGTCTGGTGTTGAAGACATCCCTCTGTTTTTGTGTATCTGGAAAAGTCTGTATTTCTCTTTCGTGTTTGAAGAATATTTTCACTGGATATACTATTCTAGGCTAAAAGGTTTTTGTTTTATTTTTCTTCAGTGCTTTAAATATGTCATGCCACTCTCTCATGGCCTGTGTTAAACCTGTTTAGTGTTCTATAACCTTCTCATACTTGAATATCGATATCTTTCTCTGGGTTTGGGAAGTCCTTTCTTACTATCCCTTTGAATAAACTTTCTACCCCTATCTCTTTCTCTACCTCTTCTTTAAGGCCAATAACTCATAGACCTGTTCTTTTGAAGCTGTTTTCTAGATCCTGTATGCGTGCTGTATTGTTTTTCATTGTATCTTTTTTTAATCTCCTCTGACTGTATATTTTCAAATAGCCTGTCTTCAAGCTCACCATTTCCTTCTCTGCTTGATCAATTCTGCTATTTAAAGACTCTGATGCATTCTTAAGCACATCAATTGCATTTTTAGCTCCAGAATTTCTACTTCATTTTTAAAAATTATTTTAATCTTTTCGTTAAGTTTATCTGATAGAATTCTGGATTTATTCTCTGTGGTATCTTGAATTTCTTTGTTTTTCTTCAAAACAGCTCTTTAGTATTATCTGTCTGAAGAGTCACATATCTCTGTTTCTCCAAGATTATTTCCTGATTTCTTACTTAATTTATGTGGTGAGGTTTATTTTCCGGCATGGTGTTGATGCTAGTGGATGTTCTTTGGTGTCTGGGCATTTAAGAGTTAAGTATTTGTGGTGGTCTTCACTATTTGGGCTTGTTTGCACCCATCCTTCTTGGGAAGGCTTTCCAGATATTTGAAAGGATTTGAGTGGTGTGATATAAGGTCTATGTGCTTTAGGGGGCACCCCAAGCCCAGTAACACTGTGGCTGTTGTAGACTCATAGAGATACCATCTTGATGGTCTTAGACAAGGTCTGAAAAAATTTTCTGGATTACCAGGCATAGACTCTTGTTCCCTTCCTTTACTTTCTCCCAAACAAACAGAATCTCTCTGTCTGATCTGAGCCCACTAATGCTGGGAGGAGTGACACAAGCACTTCTGTGGCCACCACCGCTAAGACTGTGCTGGGTCAGACATTAAGGCAGACCAGTACTGCGTCCTGCCCAAGGGCTGCTATAACCATTCCCTGGCTTGCATTTATGTTTGCTCAAGGCCCTAGGGCTCTACAATTAGCAGGTTGCAAATCCAGCCAGACCTGTGTTTTTCCCTTCAGGGCAGTGAGTTTCCCTAGACCCCAGATGGGTCCAGAGGTGTCATTCAGGATTCAGGGACTACAGTCAAAATCTTAGAAGTGTACCTGGCATTTTACACTTAGGTACACTGAGAAGTGTACCTGTGGCTGAGCTGGCACTCAATGCACAAGAGGCAGTTTTTTTCTACTGTTTTCTCCTTTCACCGAAGGCAAAGGAGCCCCACCCCATGGTCACTGCTACCGCGGGCCACTGGGAGTGCTGCCATGTTCCTTTAAGACCCAAGGGCTCTTCAGTCAGCTTCTGGTGGATTCCTCCTGGCCTGGGAATCTCCATTCAGTGCAGTGGACTTTCCTCTGGCCCAGTTTAGGTCAAGAAATTTTGTCCAAGGGTCAAGTCCTGAAACTGGAAACTTTAAGGGCCCACTTGGTGCTCTATTGGCCTGTGGACATGCTTGTTTCTAAGGTGCAAGACAAAGTCCCCTTTACTTTTCCCTCTGCTTTTGTCAAGCAGAAAGAGCTTCACCCCATAGTCACCACAGCTGATAATGTGCTGAGTCTCACCTGAAGACAGCAAGTCCCAGAGCCTTACCAAAGTTCCTCAACATAGTACCTGGGTATCACTGGTGGTTGTTCAGGGCCCAAGGGCTCTTCTGTTAGCAAGTAATAAATGCTACCAGGACTGGTTTCTCCCATTCAAGGCAGTAGGTTACCTTCTGGCGCAGGTTTTGTCTGGGAGATAGGGCCTAGAAATGTGCTCACGCTCTGATCATTGTCTTATCCTGCTTTGGCTAAGCTGGTAACCAACATACAAGACAAAGTCTTCCCCCCTCTTCCTTATCCTATGTTCAAGTGGAAGAAAGGGGTTTCTTTCAGAGCTGTAAGCTGTGCAACCTGGGATTAGGAAAGGGGTGATGCCAGCACTCCTCAGATGGTCTCGGTAGGTCATGTGCCCCTCTAGTTTACTGCCTCTGGGCCAAGTTCAGTCTTAGAACTCACAGAAGAGTTGCAGTTTTTATGGCATAGACTGCCTTTCAAGTTTACTTAGAGACCGAGAGCACTTTGGCCGTCAGTGGTAAAGTTTCTGGGAACTCAAATTTGGACCACTGGATCAGTGATTCCCCTCTGGGTAGGGCTGGTTTATGTGCTTCCCCTGTGGGCGGACATCAACTGAGTTTCATCCAATTTTCCTTTCTGCTCTAAGAGGACAGCACTCAGTTCAACACTTCACGCCTGTAATCCCAGCACTTTGGGAGGCCAAGGCGGGCAGATCACTTGAGATCAGGAATTAGAGGCCAGCCTGGCCAACATGGTGAAACCCCGTCTCTACTAAAAATGCAAAAATTAGCCAGGCGTGGTGGCACACACCTGTAATCCCAGCTACTCAGGAGGCTGAGGCAGAAGAATCGCTTGAACCTGGGAGGCAGAGGTTGCAGTGAGCCGAGATCACACCACTGCACTCCGGCCTGGGCAATAGAGTGAGACTCCGTCTCAAAATAAAAGTCATAATGAGCAACACTTTTGCAACTTATTTTGCCAACAAACATTTTACACATGGAAACGCTCCTTCTACTGAATGCTTTGTAGGAATGGCAACACAGGAAAATATCATGGCATTTGGCATCAAGGAACTTCATTTTACATAAAGCTTTGTTATTTACTAGCTATACAAATGCAATCTACTTATCTAACACTTCTGAGCTCCCATTTTCTCATATATTATCAAATTATAACTATCCTAGCTATGTACATTTGTGAAGGTCATATGAGTTGATAGATATAAATTTTCTAAAGGAGTGCTTGGTTTACAGAAGTTGTTCGGTAAGTGTTATGTTTTTTCCTCTCTCTCTAGTATTTTCACACTCATTTTCTCCGGCAAACATTTATACACACAAAGTCAGGGGTGAGTTTAGTCAATGAAGTAAAAATAATCAGTCAAGTCTGTCACAAAATAATGAAAAAGGCTAACTCTTTAAATGATAATCCGTTTCTTGTAATGCTATAGTATTGCTTGTGATCCTTTTTCAGATGTTGCCTCTGATTTGGGAGAGCTTTCAAAGGTGGAAACTCAGAAAAGTGGAATGTAACTCAGTAAATTCTAGATTTCTATTTTAGTGTACCAATGCTTATGGTGTATTAGAAAGGGTCCCTTCGGATTTACGTGAAGAAGTTTTGATCTTTTATATTACATCTTGCAGCTAGTCATCAGCAATTTACTGTCTGCAAGAAAGTGTAACTTCAAAGCAAATTGGAGCTTAGTCAAATTAGGGCTTAAATTAAATAGGTAGTTTTCTTTAAGTGAAGTGTTAGAAGCAAAGAAATTATGTCCAATCTAGGAAGGACTCTCTAATTTGGACCATGTATAGGTTCGCATGCACCCACTTCTTCCTCTAGCCAGCTTTCCTGTCCCCAAAAATCAGTGGCACTTTATTTTTTTCATATAGTAAAAATCCAAGATTTTAGTAAAAAAAATCTGCAGCCTTTTGTTCCTCCATCCTGAATGAGTGGAAAATCTAGAGATTCTAAAGCTGAAGCTCAGGAATGGCCATATTTGGGAAACACCTTTGAGCTCTATGTTATAATAGGGCTTTTGATTATGATGTGTGCTAAAATTAGAGTACCACTGACATAAATATTGTGTGTGTGTTTGTGTGTGTGTGTGAATGTATTTAAGAAGCTTTTAAAGCATAAAGTTTCTGCTCAAGAATCCCACTATATATAGCAGAGGAGACAGATATCAGTGTAACCAATTAGAGTTCAGAGCATAAGTGAACAAATTCTAAAATGATATTGTATACACATTGTATTAGTCCATTTTCATACTGCTATAAAGAACTGCTCAAGACTGGGTAATTTATATTAAGATAAAAAGGTTTAATTGACCAAAGTTCAGCATGACTGGGGAGGCCTCAGAAAACTAATAATCATGGCAGAAGGCGAAGGGGAAGCAAGGCATCTTCTTCACAAGGCGAAAGGAAGGAGAAGTGCTGAGTGAAGGGGAAAGAGCCCTTTATAAAACCATCAAATCTCATGAGAACTAACTCACTATCACAAGAACATCATGGGAGAAACTGCCCTCATGATTCAATTACCTCCAACTGGTCTCTCCCTTTACACAAGGGGATTATGGGGATTACAATTCAAGATGCTATTTGGGTGAGGACACAAAGCCTAATCATATTATTTCATCCCTGGGACCTCCCAAATCTCATGCCCCTTTCACATTTTAAAACGAATTATTTCATCCCAACAGTCCCAAAAATCTTACTTCATTCCAGCAGTAATTTACCCCAAATTCCAAGTCCAAAGTCTCGTCTGAGACAAGGCAAGTCCTTTCCACCTAGGAAACTGTAAAATCACAAGCAGGTTAGTCACTTTCTAGATAAATGGGGATACAGGCATTGGGTAAACACACCCATTCCAAATGTGATAAATTGGCCAAAATGAAGGGGCTACAGGCCCCATACCAGTCCAAAATGCAGCAGGGCAGTCATCAAATCTTAAAACTCCAAAATGATATTCTTTGACTCCATGTCTTACATCCAAGTCACACTGATATAAGAGGAGGGTTTCCATGGCCATGGGCAGCTCTGCCCCTGTGGCTTTGCAAAGTACAGCCTCCCACTAGGCTACTTTCATGGGCTGACATTAAGTGTCTGCAGCTTTATCAGGTGCGCGGTGCAAGCTGTCAGTGGATCTGTCATTCTGTGGTCTGGAGGACAGTGGCCCTCTTCTCATAGCTCTGCTAAGCTGTGCACCAGTGGGGACTCTGTGTGGGGGCTCTAATCCCACATTTTCCTTCCACACTGCCCTAGCAGTAGTTCTCCATGAGATCTCCACTGATGGTGCAAAATTCTGCCTGTACATCCAGGCACTTCCATACGCCCTATGAAATCTAAGTGGAGGTTGCCAAAATTCAGTTTGTAAGTTCTGTGCACCTGTAGGCCCAACACCATATGTAAGCTGTCAATGCTTGGGGTTTGCACCCTGTGAAGCAACAAACTGATTTTTATGTTGGCCCCTTTTAGCCATGGCTGCAGCTGGAGTGGCAGCCCCCGTGACACAGGGTGCCAAGTCCCGAAGCTGCATGGAGGTTGGGGGTGGGGACAGCCCTGGGGCTGGCTCACAAAAAATATTTTTTCCTCCTAGGCCTCAGGGCCTGTTATGGGAGGGGCTGCCTTGAAGTCCTCTGACATGCCCTGAAGACATTTTGCCCATTGTCTTGGTGATTAAAATTGGGTTCCTCATTACTTATGGAAATTTCTGTGGCTGGCTTTAATTTCTCCTCAGAAAATGTTTTTTTGTTTTGTTTTGTTTTCTATCACATGGTCAGGCTGCACATTTTCCAAACTTTTATGCTCTGTTTCTTTTTTAAACATGAGTTCCAATTTCAGATAATCTCTCTCAAGTTGAATGTTTCACAGATCTCCAGGGCAGGGACAAAATGCTACCAGTCTCTTTGCTAAGGCATTGCAAGATTGGCCTTGGCTCCAGTTCGCAGTGAGTTCCTCATCTTCACGTGAGACCGCCTCAGCCTGAGCTTCATTGTCCATATCACCATCAGCATTTTGGTCACAACCATTCAACAAGTCTCTAGGAAGTTTTAACTTTCCCACATCTTTCTGTCTTCTTCTGAGCCCTCCAAACTGTTCCAACCTCTGCCTGTTACCCAGTTCCAAAGTCACTTCCACATTTTTCTGGTATTTTTATAGCAAACATCCCCCTGTCTGCACTACCAATTTACTGGATTAGTCCATTTCCATACTGCTCCAAAAAACTGCTCAAGACTGGATAACTTATAAAGGAAAGAGGTTTAATTGACTCACAGTTTAGCATGGCTTGGGAGGCCTCAGGAAACATGATCATGGCTGAATGTAAAAGGAAGCAAGGCACCTTCTTCACAAGGCAGCAAAAAAGGAGACGTGCCAAGTGAAGGCGGGAGAGTCCCTTATAAAACCATCAGATCTCGTGAGAACTCACTCAGTATCACAAGAACAGCATGGGAGGAACAGCCCCCATGAGCAATTACTTCCACCTGGTCTCTCCTTTAAAACATGGAGATTATGAGGATTATAATTCACGATGAGATTTGGGTGGGGACACAAAGCCTAATCATATCACACATTTTCAGTTCTGATCAGGAGATTCTCAGAATATTCCTAAAATGAAGTAGTATGGAGGCTAAGCCCTAAAAACTGATTACAAATTTGAAAGTCAAATAATACGTGAGATAAAATATAACTTATAGCCCTCTAAACATATTATGAGATTGAGTATAGGCATGCATGAATGCACAGTGGTTTAAATTTAGCCAAGATAACTTTCCGTGGTGATGTAAAAGTTCTGTATCTGTGCTGTTCAGTATAGTAGCCACTATTTCAATGTGGCTATTGGGGTTGGGCTAGTGAGACTGAAGATATATATATATATATTTAAATATATATTTAAATTTAAACAGTTACATTTTTCTAGTGCTACTATATTAGACAACACTGTTTTAGAAATTGAGTATAAAATGAGTTTCCAAGAACACATCCTCAATCCATTCTCCCTCCACCTTAATACAAACATAGCTTGAAGACTTTTCTAAAATTGCTAATTCTGCAACTGCATGTGAGAAGGACATTTCTGGGTTCCTCTTTTTTAACACTGGAGAAAATTATTTATGTGAATCTAGCTCCCTTAAATTTTTCAAGTTCCAGAATGTTTTCATAAATTCTTGTCTTGGGAATAATACATTTTGGAGAAGTCTAAGCTGGTAAATTCAGTATGGCAGTATGACTAAAACAGCATTGCAGTTTCAGCCCCTCAGGTCAAAATACCAGCTTATTTCTGAGATTTCCTTCTTACAAGTAGGAGTGTTCTCTTACAGGTGTTCCTTTTTACATCATCCCTTGTTTGTTCAGCTGCGCATATTGCATCAAAGGCAGAGCAAAGAAGATAATTAAATTGGGCCAGATGTTTTCTTTGGACTGACACATTGAACTCCACGAGTTTCTCGTTACAGGATTTGTGGATTCTTTGTGAACCAATTAGGGGTGGGGGTTAGAGACATGCATGGTTGCTTGTACAAACAAATCTTAAGGCGATTCAACAGAGATAGAAATTTGGCAGGACTAGTTTCCAAGACAACAGGTCACAAGAGCCAGTTGATAAGACAGGGGACAGTAAAGAAACAGGCCAAAAATAGCTAGAACCAAGATAATAATAAAAGAGACCCCTGGTTACCTTCACTGCTCATTGTGTACTAATTATAGTGATTAACATGCTAAAAGACACTCCTACCAGTGCCCTGACGTTTTAGAAATGCCACGGCAACACCCAAAAGTTACCCTGTATGGTCTGGACAGGGGGAAAAAAAACAGTGCTGTGAGCCCTCTGCCCCTTTCTTAGAAAACTCATACATAATCCACCCTTATTTCACTTATGATAAAGAAATGACCATAAATATAGCCAACCAGAGCCCTCAGGGATATTATGCCTATGGAGTCACCATCCTCTTATTCCTATACTTTCTTTTTAAAATTATATACACACACACACACACACACACACACACACACACACACACACAAGTGTGTGTGTGAAATGAGATATTCTGATACAGGCATTCAATGTGTAATAACCACATCAGGGTAAGTGGGGTATCCATCACCTCAAGCTTTTATCCTTTTTGTTACAAACAATTCAACTATACCATTTTGGTTATTTTAAAATATACAATTAAATTGTTTGTGACTATAGACACTTCGTTGTGTTAGCAAATACTAGGTGTATTTATTCTTTCTAGCTATTTTTTTTTTGTACCCATTAACCATCCCCACTTCTCCCTCTCCCTCCCAAAACCCTTCCAAGCCTCTGGTAACCATCCTTCTACTTATTACTTCCATGAGTTCTATTATTTTAACGTTTAGCTCCCCCAAATAAGTGAGAGCATATGAAGTTTGTCTTTCTGTGCTTGGCTCATTTTACTTAACATAATGACCTCTAGTTTTATCCATGTTGTTACAAATGACAGGATCTTCTTTACTTTCTTAATAAATTTGCTTTCACTTTCGTCTGTCAGTTCACCCTTATAATTCTTTCCTGCATGAAGCACAGAACCCACTTGAATTCCTGGGCTGAGCCCAAATTTTGGGGTTTGCCTTGTGACACAAATATCAGATGCTCTTACCCCTACCCTTTACCCAAATCTTGGTGAGCTGTGCTAAGAAATATGAATCACTTAAAAATTATGTTTTCTCAATTATTTCAGCATCTAAAGTACTGTCTCCAAAGGTGCTCAGAAATTGATATGGTTTGGCTGTGTCCACATCCAAACCTCATCTTGAATTGTAGTTCCCATAATCCCTACATGTGGTAGGAGGGACCTAGGGGGAGGAAATTGAATCATGGGGTGGTTTCCCCCATGCTATTCTCGTGATAGTAAGTTCTCACCAGATTTGGGAGGCTGTCTATAAGGGGCTTCTCCCTTCGCTCAGCTCTTATTTTTCTCTCTCATGCTGCCATGTGAAGGACATGTTTGTTTCCCTTTTCACCATGGTTGTAAGTTTCTTGAGCCCCCCCTAGCACTGCTGAACTTGAATCCATTAAACCTCTTTCCTTTATAAATTACCCAGTCTCAGGTATGTCTTTATTAACAGTGCAAGAATAGACAAATACAGAAACCTCATAATATAATGAAATAATCAAAGTTCAGAGAAATGAACTGAAATGGAAGATCCCAAACTGAAACATTTCTGTGTATGACACCAAATCAATTTCACATACTCATAAATATATTGATTCTTGAGGGCACAATCCCACAGGGTTTAGTTCCTGCATCTCCATAAGGGCAGCATATGTGCTATGCTTTATAAATTTATCTGCTGTGTAAAATTATCTTTGTAGCCCCCTTTTTTTTCTCCATGTCTATGTCTCTCATCTTCCCCTTATAAACTCCTAGAGCTGCTTTAGACTAAGATAAGCCATTATCTTTCATTCCCCTATCCCCGATCCAGGGAAGAGATTTTGTGCAAGTTACTGTGTTTAACATGGACATCAAAAGTAGTCTTGGAGGGGAAAGGAATAATCAATACATGGAATCCCTGAACTGACCAAAGAATGTGATTTTAGTAAAACAAACAAAGGGCGTAAAAAAAGTGAGGAATTAATATATTTTATCTCCAATCCAGGAGAGTGTTCTAAACAGAGAGAGACTGAATTGGAAACAATTCATAAATTGCTCTGCCTTGAGGACAGGTGGAGAAGAAATGGATCTGAAATGTACCATGTATTAGAAACTGGCAAGCACCTTATAAACACTGAATCATGTAATGTTCACAACAGCCTTATAAAGTTAGTACCGTTATGGCCTTCATTTTACATCTGAGAAAATTTAGGCTAAGAAAGATGACTGTGACTTTTTCAGGATCACATAGCTAGTGATGAATGATACAGCTAAATCGAATACTTATGCATTCAATCGCTATGTTCCACTGTCTGTTTTGAAGTTTCTTTAGTGTATTCTCCTTTTCAAATAAAGGTCTCTGCCTCTAAACATCAAGAGTTGCGCTTGGAGTCAATAGAATTGTTTTCAAACTGAATAGGGACTGGGGATATTTTTTTCCAAATTTGGAAAATAATAAAGCATGCCTTTTAAGAGAACCTATTAAAGTTGGTTTGAACACAGGTCTAGAGGTGGGGCTTTGGGAGATGACTGAGCAATCCTGATTTAAGAACAATAACAGTTACCATTTATTGAACACTTACTGTGTTCCAGGACAGTTACAATTAGTTTCTTTTAAAATCATCATGAGGAGCCTGTGAAATAGATATTATTTTTACCCCCACTTTAAATATACAGACAAAAATGTGCAAAAAGAAAAAAACAACTTGGCTGAAGATTAAGAGCTAAGTAACTTCAATTGATCATGATTATCTATTTAGTTGTTTGTCTTCTTCATTACGCTAGAAGTGTCTTTAGTAAAGATCATTCTTTATTATTTTTCATATCTTCAGCCCGAGGCCCAGGGCTTGGAACAAAAGAAACATGTAATAAATGATAATTCCTATGAACAATTTTATGCTAACTTCCAGAAAAAATAAATATAAATGGAAAACACCAAAAAGTTTGATGTGAAATACTTTTGCTTAAAGGAATATATTATCTGCTTCCTATCTGCCCATATTCTAGATAGTAAAGGGAAAGCTGTTTCCCTTTTTGGATGTTGGGTTAGGAATATATATAGCAATGGGTTATGTTTTTTATAACATCCTCCTAAACCTTGCCATCTACAAATAACATTTTTAATAGATCTTGCTAAACTGTGATTCTGATATCCCACATTTTATGGTGTTTACCTTGGTGAGGATCCAGAAAATTAGAGAAACAATCTGAATACACGGTAGACAAAGCATGTCTACAAGTGTATTTTTGTATATTTGGGAGATATTATTGGATATCCTAAAGCTTGGAGTGCGTGCTGTTTTTGCTTGATTTGATTACTGCATTCATGTTAAGAAAACATTGCACTTTGGTAAAATATGTGTCTTAACCATGTTGTGGTAGATTCAATGACTGCCTTTTTGTGAATCTGGATTAATTTCCCTGTATATTTTAATTATAACTTTTTATCTTCATATAGTTTAAGACTTACAAGAAGTCGCAAAAATAGCAGAGAGAGCTCCTGTGTGCCTTTTTCTCAACTTCCCCACAAAATAATACTAGTATCTTTCATAACCATAATTCATAATACATCGTGAAACTCAGAAAATTGATGTTGGCACATTACTATTGACTCAAGTATTTACATTATGCAGATCTCACCAGTTTTTCTCTGTACATCACATGTGTGTATGTGTAGGTGTGTAGTTTTAGTAAATATTATCATACATATGGATTTGGGAAATCATCATCAAAATTACAATACAGAACTGTCCCACTGCCACGGATAAACTTCCTCTTGTTACCACTTAAAGGTTATATTCTTTCCCCAACTCAAACACCTGGCAACCACTAGCTTCTCTTCCATCTCTGTAACTTTTAAAATGTAAGAATGATATATAAAAGGTATTATATAGTATTGTAACCTTTGAAACTGACATGTTTTACTCAGCATAATGCCCCCCCCCCCGCCCCCCTTTATTTTTTTTAATTGACAGAGTCTCACTCTGTAGCCCAGGCTGGAGTGCAGTGGTGCAATCTCGGCTCACTGCAAGCTCCACCTCCTGGGTTCATGTCTC
Source organism: Homo sapiens (assembly GCF_000001405.40). Classification (NCBI taxonomy): domain Eukaryota; kingdom Metazoa; phylum Chordata; class Mammalia; order Primates; family Hominidae; genus Homo; species Homo sapiens. Next base: position 143,125,926 of record NC_000023.11, read on the forward strand.
AGCCTCCCGCCTCCCAAGTAGCTGGGACTACAGGTACCCGCCTCCATGCCTAGCTATTTTTTTTTTTGTATTTTTAGTAGAGACGAGGTTCACCATGTTAGCCAGGATGCTCCTGATCTCCTGACCTTGTGATCCACCTGCCTCAGCCTCCCAGAGTGCTGGGATTACAGGTGTGAGCCACCGCGCCTGGCCCATAATGCCCCTTATATTTATTCAAGGTGTTAGTTGAATCAATATTTGATACGGTTTGGCTGCGTCCCCACCAAAATCTCAACTTGAATTGTATCTCCCAGAATTCCCACATGTTGTGGGAGGGATCCAGAGGGTGGTAATTGAATCATGGGACTGGTCTTTCCGGTGCTATTTTTGTGAGAGTCGATAAGTCTCATGAGATCTGATGGGTTCATCAGGAATTTCTGCTTTTGCTTCTTCTTCATTTTCTCTTGCCACCACCATGTAAGAAGTGTCTTTTGCTTCCTGCCATGATTCTGAGGCCTCCCCCACCATGTGGAACTGTAAGTCCAATTAAACCTTTTTTTTTCATTCCCAGTCTCAGCTATGTATTTATCAGCAGCATGAAAATGAACTAATACAGTAAATTGGTACCAGTAGTGTGGGATGTTTCTGAAAAGATACTCAAAAATGTGAAAGCAACTTTAGAACTGGGTAACAAGCAGAGATTGAAACAGTTTGGAGGGCTCAGAAAAAGACAGGAAAATGTGGGAAAGTTTGGAACCGCTAAGAAACTTGTTGAATGGCTTTGACAAAAATGCTGATAGTGCTACGAACAATATGGTCCAGGCTGAGGAGGTCTCAGATAGAGATGAGGAACTTGTTGTCAACTGGAGCAAAGGTGACTCTTGTTATGTTTTAGCAAAGAAACTGACAGCATTTTACCACTACTCCACAGGTTTGAGGAACTTTGAACTTGAGAGAGATGATTTAGGGTGTCTGGCAGAAGAAATTTCTAAGAAGCAAAACATTCAAAAGGTGACTTGAGTACTGTTAAAAGCATTCTGTTTTAAAAGGGAAACAGAGCATAAAAGTTCAAAAAATTTATAGCATGATGATGCAGTAGAATATAAAAACTCATTTTTTTGAGGAGAAATTCAAGCCAGCTGCAGAACTTTGCATAAGTAGCAAGGAGCCTAGTGTTAATCCCCAAGACCACGGGGAAAATGTCTCCAGGCCATGTCAGAGAACTTCACTGAAGCCCCTCCCATAACAGGCCTGGAGGCCCAGCAGGAAAAAGTGGTTTTGTGGGCTGGGCCCTGGGTCCCCGTGCTCTGTGTAGACTAGGGACTTGGTGCCCTGTGTTCCAGCCGCTGCAGCCATGACTGAAAGGGGCCAATGTGGAGCTCAGGTTATGGCTTCAGAGGGTTGAACGCCCAAGACTTGGCAGCTCCCATGTGGTCTTGAGCCTGTGGGTGCACAGAAGTCAAGAATTGAGGTTTGGGAACCTCTGCCTAGATTTCAGAATATTTATGGAAACGCCTGGATTCCCAGGCAAAAATGTGCTGCAGGGGTAAGGCCCTCATGGAGAATTTCGGCTAGGGCCGTGCAGAAGGAAAATGTGGGGTCAGAGCCTTCACAAAATGTCCCTACTGAGGCACTGCCTAGTGGAGCTGTGAGAAGAAGGCCACCCTACTCCAGACTCCAGAACGGTAGATCCACCAACAGCTTGCACCCTATGACTTGAAAAGCAGTAGACACTCAACGCCAGCCAGTGAAAGCAGCCAGGGGGGAGACTGTACCTTGCAAAACCACAGGGTTGGAGCTGTCCAAGACCATGGAAACCCATCTTTTGCCACAGTGTGACCTCGATGAGAGACCTGGAGTCAAAGGACATCATTTTGGAGCTTTAAAATTTGACTGCCCCACCGTATTTCAGACTTGCACGGGTCCTGTAACCCCTTTGTTTTGGCCAATTTCTCCCATTTGGAACAGTTGTATTTACCCAATACCTGTACCCTCATTGTATCTAGGAAGTAACTAGCTTGCTTTTAATATAGGTTCATAGGCAGAAAGGACTTGCCATGTCTCAGATGAGACTTTGGACTGTGAACTTTTGGATTAATGAAGAAATGAGTTAAGAATTTGGGAACTGTGGGGAAGGCATGATCAGTTTTGAATTGTGAGGACATGAGATTTGGAGGGGCCAGGGTTGGGATGATATGGTTTGGCTCTGTCCCCACCAAAATCTCAACTTGAATTGTATCTCCTAGAATTCCCACATTTTGTGGGAGGAACCCAGTGGGAGGTAATTGAATCATGGGGTCTGGTCTTTTCTATGCTATTCTCGTGATAGTGAATACGTCTCATGAGATCTGATGGGTTCATCAGGCATTTCTTCTTTTGCTTCTTCCTCATTTTTCTCTAGCTGCCACCATGTAAGACGTGCCTTTCGCTTCCTGCCATGATTCTGAGGCCTCCCCAGCCATGTGGAACTGTAAGTCCAATTGAACCTCTTTTTCTTCCCAGGCGTGGGTATGTCTTTATCAGCAGCATGAAAATGGACTAAAACAATTTTTTTCTTTTAATTCAAATAGCATTTAATTGTGTGGATGTGCCATTTGTTCATCCTCTCACCAGTTGAAGGACATTTGCATTGCTTGCAGTTTTGGGCTACAACAATTAGGGCTGCCATGAGCAACTGTATACAAAATTTTGTCCAGACATGAGTTTTTATTTTTTCTCTGATAAGTGCCTAGGGGTGCAATTACTGGTTTACATTTTTAGTTGCAGGTTTATTTTAGTTTGCTTGTTTTTTTTTTTCTTTTTGGAAATGCCATTTTCTCTTCCAGGGTGGTGGTGCCATTTTACATTCCCACCAGAAATGTATGAGAGATTTAGTTTCTCTGCATCCTTGCCAGAATCTTGTATTGTCCTAATTTTTAAAAAGTTGCTGTTTTAGTAAGTGTGTAGTGATACCTCATTGTGGTTTTAACTTACATTTCTATTAGGTTGGTGCAAAAGTTATTGTAGTTTTTGTCACTACTTTCAACGGCAAAGTATAATAACAATGCTCAACATATTTTCATGTACTTATTTTTCATTAATGTATTCATTTTAGTGAGTTTTTTATGTCTTTTGCACACTTTCTAATTGGATTATTCATTCTTACTGTTGAGTTAGAGGTTTTTCAGTATGTATATTATACATACAAGTCTTTTTGTCAGATATGTGGCTTTCAAATATTTCCTCCCAGTCTGTAGTTTTTCTTTTCATGTTCTTAACAGGGTCTTTCATGGTGCAATGTTTTTGAATGAGGACTAGTATATTGATTTTTGTTTGTTTGTTTGTTTGTTTTTGAGACGGAGTCTCACTCTGTCGCCCAGGCTGGAGTGCAGTGGCTTGATCTTGGCTCACTACAAGCTCCGCCTCCCGGGTTCATACCATTCTCTTGCCTCAGCCTCCTGAGTAGCTGGGACTACAGGCACCCGCCACCACGCCTGGCTAATTTTTTTTGTATTTTTAGTAGAGACGTGGTTTCACCATGTTAGCCAGGATGGTCTCAATCTCCTGACCTCGTGATCCGCCTGCCTCAGCCTCCCAAAGTGCTGGGATTACAGGCATGAGCCACCACGCCCGGCCTGATTTTTTTTATCTGACGGACCATGTCTTTGATGTCATTTCTAAAAACCTTTCTCTTAAACCTAGGTCATAAAGATTTTCTCCTATGATGTCTTCTAAAAATTTATAGTTTCACATTTTACATGTAGACCTCTAATCCATTTAAACTTACTTTTTTAATAAGTTGTTCGGTAGAGGTTAATTTCTTTTGCCTACAAATTTCCTGTATCTGGGAGTTTGAATATGCTCAACAGACTCGTGGGCTTTGTAAAAAGCAAAGACGACGGAAACAATTGTACAAGAATGAGCTAGGAAGGCAGGGCTAATAAAACGATGTTTTAAAAACAATAATGTCAGTAAGAGTTTTCGAGTGTTAGCAGTGGCTAATAACTTGTAGCTAATGATCATGAGACCCAGTAAATTAAACATTATGCCCATACTGAAACCTTCTTTTGTCAACACAAGGCTGACTTCATGGGCATGCAACCAGTGCAGTCATATAGGGACATTGCTCAGAAGGAGCTTCATGCTTGGGGTTTAATACTTTGAAATCAACATTCTGAAATTCTTAATAATTTTATCTTTGAACTTGTTTTTCGCAAATGAAATCTGTTAGGACAATGGAGCATGTTCCTGGGATTGGAGTTTCAGATTACATGCGGCCCTACCACCCCACCTGCACAGGGTAGGTTCTCAATTGTTTTCTCCTCTATCATACCCAGCACTGCTGCCACCCTTTGCCTTTAACAGGGCCCTCGGCATAGGTGGGTTAAGTTTGAGTGCACACGCCCTGTGCATTGAGTCACAGGGAAGGGCCCTAGACACCTATGAGAGTCTCACTTGCTCTATGAAAACCACCGTATCTAAGGTACCACACCATAAAACAGAAAATAAAAAGCTCCGTGAGAGGGCTGAGAGAGAGAGAACCAAATAAAGGAAAAGTATTTTTCCTGCTTTTTGAACAAAGGACAGTACATTTTATTTTGTATTAGGCCTTGAAAAATATGTAGCTGGTGCTACGTCAACTTAGCAGCTTGTTTATTTAATTGTGTTTTATAGGAATTCTTAGAACATCAAAATTGTAGTCAGTAAAAGAGAAACAATTTATGCCATGATAGGCTCAAATAAAATCCTCAATTGAGTGACTCCAGATTTAATGCAGCAAATTAAATTTGGGTATTCCCCAGTCATGTAAAAAATCACCCTAAAGCCAAAATATAAAAGCAAAATAGCAATACAATATGCATGCTTAAAAAAATGAAGAAATATTTAAAACCTCAAAACACAAAATACAAGAAAAAACTGACAAAAATAGTGAAGGAAAACAGCATGCAGGAAGATGCAGACAAGTAAGTCCATGAATGCTGATTTCAAAGAAAAAAATGCAGAGCACATTTCTTCTTTGAGTGTGCTATACCTATAGGTAAGAAAATACACACATATTCTTGTTTGCAAAACTGGAATGGAATCAAAGATTGGCAATGGTAGTTTATCTACACTGTATTTGGTTCTAGGAATTAAAAATGGGGATAAATGAGAAATCAAAGAAGCAATGTCATACTAACTAAAAGCATTCAATTAGTAAGGTAATTGACAAAAAGGAGACTCTATTGTCAGGTGCTTTTTAGTGCAAAATGTGGAGAGAAGTAAAAGCTTAAGGAATTCACTCTCAAAACAAAACTATGAGAAAGAGAAACCTCCTTCATGAGAATAAAATAAATCCTGCTCCTTCTTGTATACAAATTTCCTGCATATAATTTGTCCAGAATGCAACCATGTATCTTTACAAAGATACAGCACAAAAAAAGGAACAAATATTAGGTGAAGAATACTCACTAAAAACATGTTGCCATGGAGCCAACCAAATTGTGACTAAGTATAATACAATGAATTGTTAAAATATACTGGTGCAATTATCTCTGTATAAAAGCCCTCAGAGAGTAAATACAATAACAATTTTTTAAAAACCTGTTGAGGCAATAACAACAATAATAACAACAAAAACAAAAAGATGATGTATGGGGTTGTGGAATTCAGGAAAGAAATTGAAAAAAATATTAAACATTAAAAGTAATATTAAATCTTTTTCTAGGTTATTCCAGGCTTCTATAATAAAATATTGTAGACTACATGATTTATATACAACAGAAATGTGTTTCTTACAGTTGTAGAGGCTGGGAAGTCTAAGATTCAGACACTAGTAGATTCTGGTATCTGGCAAGGGCTTATTCCTTACAGATGGCACCATCTAGGAGTCCTCATGTGGCAGAATAGATGGAAGAGCCGGGCAGCTCTCTAAAGCCCCTTTTATAAGGGCATTAATCCCATTCACGAAGGAAGGGCCCTGATGATTTAATCACTTTCGGAAATGTCCCACCTCTTAATACCACCACAAAGGGGATTAAATTTCAATATGAATTTTGGAGGGACACAAATATTCAAACCCTAGCAAAAATAAAATGTGAAATTAGAAGCGGCTCAAAAGATATTAGTGAAAATAATGTAAGAGGTGTATAGAATATAAAAGTGTTCAAAAATAGAACGTAAATAAAAATAGAAACTAGAATAGAAAATAGAATGTAAATAACAGTGTTCAAAGAACAACAGAGAAACATATAAACAGAAGAGAAGAAAGATCTAGGATGTATATTTTAATTTTTCTCTTGCTGTGTAACACATTTTCTGAAATCCTAATACCTATAACAGCAACGAGCATTTGTTTTACTCAGCTTATGTGTGTTGAGTTCAGGAGCATCTTAGCAAGGTTTCTAAGGAGATAGCAGTCGCGATGTCATCTGTGACTGTCGTTATCTAAAAACCTGAAAGCGTCGGGAATATCCACTTTCAAAGTTACTCACTGACACTGATGGAAAATCGGCTTTAGCTCTTGTTGGGAGGTCTCAGTTAATCCCCATGTGGTGTTCTCCATGAATTGTTTCAGTGTCCTCACTACATGTTAGCTTCCACTCCCAGAGGTAGTGATCTAAGATATCAAGCCACAAAAGGCTATTCATTTTATGACCTAGTCTTGGAAGTTATACACAGTTACTTCTGCCAAATTTTGTTCACTAAAAGTGAGAGCTGAAGTCCCTCCCCAAATCAAGGGAAAGAGAATTAATTAGTTAGGATCCACCTTCAAAGAGAGACCTGACAAAGAAGTTGAGGGCATATTTAAAACCACCGCAATATGCAAAATCTGTATTTTTATAATGGACTATTATAAAAATTAAAAATGATCAGTACAACTTTCCAAAAATAAAACAAGAGGCCAGGCACAGTGGTTCACGCCTATAATCCCAGCACTTTGGGAGGCCAAGGCGGGTGGATCAGCTGATGTCAGTTCAAGACCAGCCTGGCCAACATAGTGAAATCCCGTCTCTACTAAAAATACAAAAATTAGCCGGGTGTAGTGGTGCACGCCCATAGTCCCAGCTACTCGAGAGGCCAAGGCAGGAGAATCACTTGAACCTGGGAGTCAGAGGTTGCAGTAAGCCGATATTGCACCACTGCACTCCAGCCTGGGCAACAGAGTGACACTCTGTCTCAAAAGCAACATCAACAACAGATATAACAAGACTTGAATATACAAATTAAAAGGGAATACTATGACTCAGGAAAAATCAAACAGAGCAGTTAACATCTTAATGTGTATCTTTAATAATTTAATGGGTTCAAATCATTCATTAGGAAATAGGCAAAAGTTCAAAGTACTCATAAAGGGAAAATATCGTATCGACCACAGTGTTTTTTCACAAAGATAGTCAAATTTAGTCGATGTAACAGAATTTGGGGAAAAGAAAATTAGGTACAAGAATGTCATAACCTGACAACTTTTAACATTAAAGCAACAGAAAAATACCTTTGAACACCAAATAACTAAGGAAATATAGATTCCATGGATTCTCCTTGAAGAGACTACGTTAGGATAACCTCCAGCCAAATAAGAGATGAATGGACAAACTATGGCACTAGAAGAAGCAGTGATCATGGACTATATTACTGGTAATGGTTACAAAAATAACTGTATATTTTATCAACCCTTTATATAAACAGTCACCACTTGACATCCATGGGGAATTGCTTTCAGAACCTCCCTCCACACCAAAATTGACAGATGTTCAAGTCCCTTATATAAAATAGTGAAGTACTTTCTTATAACCTATGCACACCCTCCCAAATACATTAAATTATCTCTAGATTACCTATAATAATGAATACAATGTAAATGCTATATAAATAGCTGTTATGCTGTATTGCTTAGGAAATAATGACAAGAAGAAAAAAAGTCTGTATCTGTTCAGTTACAAACTCAACCATTCATTTTTTAAAAAATAGTTTTTATCTGTGATTGGTTGAATTCATAGATGCAGAACCTATGGATACAGAGAGCCAAATTACATATAAAACAAGTTGGGAAGATAAGTATAGAAATGTTGGTGAACCAGTGAACGGTTCAATTTCCCCATTTTCATAGTAAAAATCTGAGGTTACTTACATCATATTAATAAAGTAACAGAAGTTTAAGTATATTAAAGTTACTGTATGGTTACGAAATTATGTTACCAATAAAATAGGTGGTGAAGAAAAGAGAAAGAAAAAAATTACCTATTTTGACATTGTTCATAGAAATTAACACGAGACATTAAAATTGAAATTAAACAGTTAATAGACACTGTTCAAAAAATAGAATAATTGTAAAAAAACATGATGCCTTATACTTTTGGAGATAACTATTAGAATAAACTAACAGAACAAACACATAAATGATAGTAAACACTAATAGAGTGGAAGTTGCCTTAAATATTATAAAAATAGACAAAAACATAAATATGATGACAGAAAAGACAACAAACATATCTATCCTGTCAATAAATATAAACGGAGGTAAAACTCATCTATAATTTTAAAAAGGGTCCTAGAATCTAGACTGGATCACAAACTCACATCTATCTATTTGTGGTACACAAGGCGCATACAAAACAAAGTGATTCAGAAGGTTCGAAAAGAATAGGAAAATACACAACAGGCAAATGCAAAATTTAAAAAAGAAGAAGGCAAAGCAGAGATCATAATTTTAACGGTAAGCCAGGTTAAATTCACAGCAAAAATGTGTCATATGAGAAAAAGGAAAGTTTTTTTGATTTACAGAACATACAAACACAATGAATATAATAAAGTTATAACAAACATAGAATTAACTTTCGTTTCAAAAAATCCACCAGAAATATAGAAGATGCAAAAATGCATTAGAAACCATAGCTTTAACTTGTCTCTCAGTCCATGAAAGATAAACTAGACAAAAGGAAAAATACAGAAAGTTTTAATAACATAATTAATAATAAATGCTAAATGGAACTAAATTGAAATCAATACTTTAAAAAGAGAAACCACACATTATTTTCATATATGTATGAATCATTCACAAAATTCTACTTTATATAAGTCAAAAATAAAACCTCATAAAATTTCAAAATTCAAAAATAGTGTAGAAAATATATACTATGTACTAGATATTTAAAAATATCTTGAGAAGTTTATTGGGTCAAATTGGGAAAAACATTGAAATTGTAAAATACCTGGAGTAGAATTATAATGAAACTACTATATAAAATAGCTTGTAGATATATAGCTAAAGAAATGCTAAGAGGAAAAAGCTTAGACTTACATATTAATAGAAAGAATGAGGTGGTTTTCGTTTGTTGTTGGAATTTATGTAACTTGGCACTTATTATTCATATCCTTACAAAACAACAACAAAAGCCGAACAGTTTGAAACCCCACAACTTTCTTTAGATACTTCAAAGAATTCAGGTCATGGGCAAAATGTTGCTCCCCACATTAGAAAGATAGACAGGTGGGTTCAGAGAATCACAGTTTACCAGAGCATAAGCCCATGAGTAGAAGCTGGCCTCTGGAGCCAGTACTGCGTTAGGAAAACTTGAACTTTAATTAATGAATTGCTAGAAGCTCAGCGTGCACAAAGCTGAGAGTTAAACATTCCAGGGGGCTCCTGTCTTAGGGGGACATCCACATGCTTGTCAGATTTGCCTCCAAAAGCTCTATCATATCCTCACAATGAAGATAAGAGAAACATCCCTTCCAGCTTCTGGAAGCAGAAGGAGGAAAGTAGCCATTTTGAAATAGTCTCCGAACATCTTGTTCTTAACAAGGCCTGCCTTCAAGATAAATTATTTTAACAGAGTTAAAACAATTGTGATTATACCAGAGCATAACTGATATAGGGGAAGGGAAATACCAAATCCTGCATGCTCTAGCCTCCATGTGAGAAAGTGGAATGCCAAAGGAATGCCCCATGTAGCCTTCCTGTCTCAATTAAGACGGGGAAGGAAAACTGACAAGTACTGGTGAAATTCACAGCCATAGCCACAGGCTCACTAAAATACTGAGACTTAATTTTAGGATTATAAAATGTTTCCCTCCCCTACACATTAGCACCACTCTAGTAGGGCTCCTATATAATAATAGGGAAATACAATACAGAGAACTGCTAGTTTCAGACCTTATTTAAGAAGTCTCTAGGGAAACCCAAAGACAACAGTAGAGACAAAACCAAGGGCAGCAGAGGAAATTTTAGCTACTGCCAACTACAGCTAAGAAAAACAGCAAACACAGCCTAATCCATAGTTAGATAAACATAAATCCTCACTTTAGAGGCTTACTTACCTCAGTTTCTTTTTCCCAATACATCATGTTTGGCATTTAACAAAAATTACAAGGCATACTAAAACACAAAAGATACAACTGGAAGAAACAGAGTAAGCATCAGGACCAGACCCACGTGTGGCAAAGATGTTGGAATTATCAGACTAGAACTATGATATTCTAAGGAATCTAATGGAAAAAGTAGTCAACATCCAAGAACAGATGGGTAATGTAATAATGTAGATTGAAACTCTAAGGAAAAAATAAAAATAAAATTCTAGAGATAAAAGAAACATTCGTAAGATAAATGAAGAATGACTTTGATGGATTTATTAACAGACTAGCAATGGCCAAGGAAAGGATTAGTGAATTTGAAAAATGCCAATAGAAGCTTCTAAAGCTGCAATGCAAAGAGAAAATAGAATAAAAGAGACACAATGGAATATTCAAGAATGATGGAATAATTACAAAAGATGTGAAATAAAATTAAAAACAATAGAGGATACAAAAAAGATAATGGACTATATGAAAACAGAAAATTAAATAAATGAAAGAAATAAGTACATTTAAGACGCATTGTTCTCTAAAAAATCAGTAAAATTATAATTATTGCTATCATATAAACAATAAAAAGCAGAAACATATAAAATAAAAAATAATTAGAAAATAACCACGATATGAAAGACATTAAAGGAAACATTATTAGCTGTTTTTCTAAATTCTATGCAAATAAAAGTGAACATAAATTTAAACAGATACCTTAAGAGCTAGAAAATCTAAACATCAAATGCCATATAAGAAATAAAACTGTAAAATAGCAAACATCCCCAAACCACATGAGGTACAGGTTACTCTTTCTTACTAAACCTTTAAGAAACAGATGACTATAGCACTATGTACATTGTTCCGGAGCCTAAGAGAAGAAGAAATATTTCAAATGATTTTTATGAACTCTTTTTTACCTTGACAAAAACAACAACCCTAACAATTATTGCACAAAAATAAAAATATAGACCAATATTACTTATCAACATAAATGGAAACATTAGAGCTAAAATACTAGCAATTGAATCCAGCCACACTTATGTGACAACCAAATGGAATTAATTACCAAAATGCAAGGGTTGCTTGGTATTATGCAATCTTATGTCACCATATTAATATATCAAAAGAGGATAATCTTTTGTGCATTTCTAAATATGCTGTAAAAACATATTATAAAATTTAACCTATATTATTGAATTAAGAAATCTAGTAATAAAATATATAAACACTGTAGCAAGCAAACTATAAAGTGGCAACCTCCATAATATTTCTCTCTCTATGATGCTTCTAAGTAACACACATGGCAAAAGTGAACATGTCACTCCTGTGATTAGGTTACCTTATTTAGACTTTCTCTTGCTAGCATTTTTCTCTAGAGACTATTCTTTCTACCTTGATAAAGTAAGTAGCCCTACTGGAAAGCCCATGTAGTAAACAAAGAGCTATGAATGTTGCTAAGAGTGGAGGCCAGCCAACAGCCAACATAAAACCAGAGACTTCATTACTACAACCCCAAGGTAATACATTTTGACACAACCTGAGTGAGCTAAGAAGCATATTGGCCAGTTGTACCTGCACATGAGTATCCAGCATGGCCAACAACTTGATTTTAAACTCCTGAAACCCTAAACAGAGGACATAGTAATGCCATAACTGCCCCACAGACACTATGAATTAATAAGTGTGTGTTATTTTAATCCACTAAGTAAATATTGATGTTTTATCTAATAATAGATAATTAATAAAACCCCAAAGATTGTATATGGGGAAACATTAGAAGGCTTCTCATTAAATTAAGGAAAAAGAATCCTGTCCCATACTTTTTGTTACACTTTTACTGAACATTGGTTTGGAGGCACAATTAAATATAATTGTATGAGATAAAGATAAAAGGTTGATACAGTTTGGCTGTGTTCCCAGCCAAATTTCATCTTGAATTGTACCTCACATTATTCCTATGTGTTGTGGGAGGGACCCAGTGGGAGGTAATTCAATCATGGGGGTTGGTCTTTCCCACCATGTAAGATGAGACTTTGCGTCCCCTGCACCTTCCACCATGATTGTGTGGCCTCGTCAGCCATGTGGAAATGTGATCTAATTAAACCTTTTTCTTTTATAAATTACTCAGTCTCAGGTATGTCTTTATTAGCAGTGTGAGAATGAACTAATACAGTAAATTGATACTGGGAGTGGGGAGGTACAATAAAGATACCCCAAAATGTGGATGCAAATTTGGAACTGGGTAAGAGGCAGAGGTTGAAGCCGTTTGGGACAGGAAGATGTGGGAAAGTTTGGAACCTCCTAGAGACTTGTTGAATGGCTTTGACTAAAATGCTGATAGTAATATGGACAATACAGTCCAGGCTGAGGTGGTCTCAGGTGGAGATGAGGCACTTGTTGGGAACTGGAGTAACCGTGTCTCTTGCTATGCAGAGACTGGTGACATTTTGCTCTGCCCTAGGAATCTGTGGAACTTTGAACTTAAGAATGCAAAGCATTCAAGAGGAAGTGGACCATAAAAGTTTGAAAAATTTGCAGCCTGACAATGCGATAGAAAAGAAAAACCCATTTTCTGGGAAGAAATTCAAGCCAGCAGCAGAAATTTGCTAAAGTAATGAGGAGCCGAATAGTAATTGAAAATACAATGGGTAAAATGTCTCCAGGGCGTGTCAGAGATCTTTGTGGCAGCCCCTCCCATCACAGATCTGCAGGCCTATGAAAGAGAAATGATTTCCTGGGCCAGGTCCAGGGCCACCTTGTTGTGTGTAGCCTAGGGACTTGGTGACCTGCGTCTGAGCTGCTCTAGCCATGGCTAAAAGGGGCCAAGGTACAACTCATGGCATGCCTCCAAAGGGTGCAAGCCCCAAGCCTTGACAGCTTCCACGTGGCGTTGAGCCAGTGGGTGCACAGAAGTCAAGAATTGAGGTTTGGGAACTTCCACCTAGATTTCAGAAAGTTTTTGAAAATGCCTGGATGTCCAGGCAGAAGTTTGCTGCAGGGCCCAGGCACTCATGTAGAACTTCTGTTAGGGCAGTACAAAAAGAAAATGTGAGTTTGGAGTCCCCACACAGACTCACCACTGGGGCACTGCCTAGTGGAGCTGTGAGAAGAGGGCCTCCATCATCTAGACTCCAGAATGCTAGATCAAGTGACAGCTTGCACCATGCACACAGAAAAGCTGAAGACCGTCAATGCCAGCCCATGAAAGCAGCAAGGAGGAGGGCTGTACCCTGCAAAGCCACAGGTGCAGAGCTGCCCAAGGCTGTAGGAGCCCACCTCTTGCATCAGCATAACCTGGATGGGAGACATGGATTCCAAGGGGATTATTTTGGAGCTTTAAGATTTCATTACTGCCTTGTTGATTTTCAGATTTTCATGTGGCCTGTAGTCCCTTTGTTTTGGCCAACTTCTTCTATTCGGAACAGGTGTATTTAACCAATGCCTGTACCCCCATTGTATCTAGGAAATAACTAACTTTCTTTTGATTTTACAGGCTCATAGGCAAAAGAGACTTGACTTGTCTCAGATGGGTCTTTGGACTTGGACTTTTGAGTTAATGCTGGAATGAGTTAAGATTTTGGGAAACTCTTGAAAAGGCATGATTTTAAATGTGAGGGTTACAGAACTTTCTCTTTAGTTCTGCTAAAACCTGGCTCTTGTCACGTGACCAGAAAAGATTGGGATTGTGGACAAATAAAAGGTTGAGGAAAACAGAATTTACTGGGCAAAGTGGAAAGGGGAAAAATAACTCTCAGCAAAGCGAAAGAGAGTCCTGCTAGCAGGTTTCCTGCCTCACAGATTGAATTCTAGGTTATCACACAGGAACAGTGAAGACCAGGCTCCTCCTTCCTGCAAAGGGCACAAACTTCCCAAGGCTCCATCCCATGGATCATTTGCATAAGTAATGAAGAGCCAAGTGGGCATTATTCAGAAATAATCAGTCAGGAAATTGTGGGCTTCATCTGGGATCAGCAGTACAGATTTTCAGCCTTTAGGCTATTTTAGGCTTCAAGGCAGGGTGTTGCCAGAGATCCTAGCTGTCTCCTATCTCTATCATTGCCCCCTCTAAAGAAGTACATATACCTGCCATTAGAATGAGGACAAAGATAAGGACAAAAACCGATCTTAACGGCTTACTGTTGACAGAGGGGCGCTGTTTTGAAAAAAACAGCAGTCAGATCCCCCTCAGAGGCCTATCTAAGGGTTCCTGGAAAAAGAGGCCATAATCTGAGGCTCTAATTGCATGACTATTTGGATTTCGATGGCCTGAAGGCAAGAAGACACAAACCAGGTTATTAGAAAACATGTATAAAAATGAAACAAGAGATGGTGAAGACAACTCAAAAATCTCGAGGCCTTTTACCAGTTGGTACAGGGATGGGGGCCAAAAGCCCGACTGGTAAATAAAACTTTTACCCTTTTGCTGCCATTTTGGGCTTCTGGGTTTTCCTCCCCTGAGCCCAATCCTAAGGCAATTACTTTAAAGTTTTGGAAATTAACTCTTCCCAGTTTGGAGGCTGCATCAGAGAGGAGTGTCCCATAGTACAGAAATACAATTATCTATCAAGTAAGAGAGGACAGAGGAGGAAAAAGGAAAAAAAAAAAGAGATTATTTTGTTTTTCAGAGGAGTCCCAGGGATTCAGAATACATTTGAAAGAGGTACAGATTGAAGATGAAATGCTACTCATCTAGAAAGAGAGGAGCAGGAATCCCTGTTTCATTTCTCTTCCTAGCCCAGGGTACATGAGGGAGAGAAAGTGAGGCATTCTTCTTCCTTTCTTCTGTTATTGTATCCCTGAGTCCTGGTGAGTATGACAGGGTGCTGCCCATGGGTGACAAAGAAGCTTTCACTCATGTTAACAAGGGGGTCTGGGGGTGGGGTTATCTGCTCTTACCCGCATACATCTGATCTCCTCTGCTATTCAGTAGCCTTTGAATTACCAATACCTCATTTATGCCATGGATGCTAGCATGACCTTTATCCATGAAATGGGAAGCTTAATCAGCAGGAACCAGTCATATTCACCTGCTCTGTACCTTTTCACTTCTGTTATCATCTGCCTCTGGATCTTTCATATCCAATTATCTTTTCTGGACCTTTGACCCAAAGCTTGGAATTGAGTTTGGGACAAAAATATGTCTCAGGGGGATTGCATGGGCTTCCTTTCATAAGCTGAATGCTAAGGTGAAGCTTCGCAATTGAGTTCTTCTCCAACAAGGAAGACAAAAGGATGTCCTGTGATATGCCCAGATAACTGGTGGCTATAGTTCTGCTTGCTAAGATTTGGATGCATTGTGCTTGGCTTTGGTTAGCTCTTTTGGTCTTACTTTCCCAAAGAGGAAACCTCTGGGTGATGGGCATACTGTTTATTCCCATCACCCAGAAGTATTTGCAGGATAATTGCTCACAACTAGAATATTAATCCAGATTTCTACATTATCCATCACTTTTGTTCTTTTTGAGCTGCAGCTGGAGATTACTGGTTGGTTCACAGTAACAAGCAGGGTTACTGCAAAATGTAGGCAAAAAGTTTAAAACAACTAATGAGTCTAGATTTTAATGACAAACATATAAGGTTTGAAACATAATTTCTTTCTCTCCAGTCGTTATTTAAAAAAATAATCATGATAAGACTGAGTTGCTTGCAAAATAGACTAGTCTTATAATTGGCCTGCTTATTTTCATTAAGCACAGCAAGAATAATTATTTCTACAGTGGCCTTTTACATTGGCTTTGATGGAACTCTGTTCCACAAGGAATCTCAGGTAAGACCTTTGAAAGCTGAGCCCAGCCATGGGTTTGTATCCTCCAATACCTGTGAGTTGGGTGATCCTCTCTTCGTAAGGTCCCAAGATAAACTTGAGGGTCCTGGGCCTGTCAGAGAGTTACATTTTTTTACTTACTACAGGTCAGAAACCCTGTACAGGGACTGCATAGACAAAAATACAAGGCTAGTTTTTCCAAGAGGCTCTAATCAGCTTTTCAGTTCAAGCTTGACTCATTAAAGGGTAGCATACTATTTCAGTCAAAGCCTTGATAAAACACCAGTTTCTCCACTTGCATCCTATTGCAAAAGAAAATGGATTCTTATTGCACTGATCCAAACAAGCATACTGCCTTGAGTTAAGAATAGTCACAACTAGTGTCCAAATTTTAGAGAAGTCAGGCAGAGAGGGAGAAAAACATGCTCCAAATTTTGTTCACATGAGTATAGCTTACTCAATTACTAGAGTCTGTAAGTAGTTCAAAAAAAGTTTCCTTGATTCTGAAAAACAAAACAAGGATCAGCAATGTTCTAAACAAAAGTCAAAAGGATTACTCTAGTTTCTATTAGTTCAGTCCATTCAGTTAACCTGTTTTGCTTGATATTTGTGAACATTTAAGCTCTTCATGAGTCCTGTACCTTTTCCTTTACTCCAATGTCACAATACCCAAAGTTATTAGAAACCTGCCTTTGAAAGCACCAGTCAAATTTCTATAGTTTATTACAAACCATCTTTTTAAAAGAATTAAAACAAGACACCAACTGTCTGTATAAGAAAATATCCAGGGTAGGTACAGTTAGAAATACAATTAACAAAAAAAAATTTGATTATCTTCATGGTTTACAATAACTTAACATAACAAGTTTAATTATGATTTGATAGCATAGACATTAGAATTTTAGAAATCTCATACAATTTTAAAACATATATTAGTATTATTCACCAAAATATAACCTAAAGAAGATTGATTTTGGCAATGTCATGTACCTAAATATGTCAAATAATTCTGTTACCTCTCTTTTGGATATTCCTGGGGCCCTCTGTAGCATCCAAAAACCAGGTATCAGGAAAGACAATTTTGAAACTGAAGTTAGATTTTGGGAAGCCTGTTAAATATGTTACAGGTTTAGAACACTTGATGTTTTTAAATAGAATTGCAGGTTACCGTAAATTATTGATTTTGCCAAAATGATGACTCAGAAATTTTCAAAAAGCAAAACCCTTTTATAACCCTTTACAAATTTTGCTAAAGAGAAGATTAATGCCTTTAAAAGTACCATGTTGTGTTTTTAGTTCAATGTTTAATTTACAGAAAAATTATATAATACCCTTTTGAATTTAGTCAATATTTTTACACATGGAATTACTTTTGCAAGATTAATTTTTACAAACCTTTCATCATTTGTTTAAACCTTCAACTTTATTTTATCTATTTCAAAACAATCCTTTAACCCTAAGCAAGAATGCAGATGATGTAATATTATATTTGGAAAAACCTAAAGACTCCACAAGAAAATTATTAGAACCAATAAACAAATTGAGTAAAGATGCAGGATACAAATTCAACATACAAAAATCAGTAACATTTCTATAGACCAACAACGAATAATGTAAAATAGAAAATAAAAAAGTAATCCTATTTACAACAGCCAAATATAACAGTAAAATACCTCTATAATGTAAACTACAAAGCACTTATAAAAGAAATGATGAGGACATCAACAAACGTTAAAATATTCTATGGTAATGAATTGCAAGAATAAATACTGTTAAAATGTTCATACTACCCAAAGCAATCTGCAGGTTCAAGACAATCCCTATTAAATACCAATGACATTTTTCACAAAAAGTGAAAGAATAGTTCTATACTTTATATGGAACCATTAAAGAGCCAGAATGGTCAAAGCTATCCTGAGCAAAAAGAACAAAATTGTAGGAACCACATTACTTGACTTTAAATTTTACTACAGAGCAACAGTAACCAAAACAAGATGGTAATGGCATGAAAACAGACACATAGACCAATGGAACACAATAAAGAATGCAGAACAAAATCCACACAACTACAGTGAACTCATTTTCAACAAAGGTACCAATAACATACACCAGGAAAAAGGCAATCTCTTCAATTAGTGATGCCGGGAAGATAGGATATCCATAGGCAGAATGAAACTAGACCCCTATGCAAAAATCATATCAAAATAAATTAAAGACTTACATGTAGGACCTCAAACTATGAAACTACTACAAGAAAACTTTGGTGAAATTCTTCAAGACATTGGTCTAAGTAATAATTTTTTGAACAATACCCCACGAGCACAAGGCTACCTAAGCAAAAATGGACAAATGGGATCACCTAAAGTTAAAAAGCTTCTGAACAGCAATGGATACAATCAACAAAGTGAAGAGGTAACCCACAGATTAGAAGAAAACATTTGCACAGTACCCTCTAACAAGGGACTAATAACCAGAATATATAAGGAGCTCAGAAACTTTATAGGAAAACAAATATAAAAATCAAATAAAAAATAAACAGAAGACTTGAGTAGGCATTTCTGAAAAGAAGACATACAAATGACAAAGAAGCACATGAACAGATGTTTAACATCATTGTTCATTAGAGAAAGGCAAACGAAAACTACAATGATATATAATCTTAACCTGGTTACAATGGCTTATATCCAAATGACAGACAAGAACAAATGCTGGCAGAATGTGAAGAACACTTATACACTGTAGGTAGGAATGTAAATTAGTACAAACACTATAGAGAACATTTTGGTGGTTTCTCAAAAACGAAAAATTGAGCTACCATATGATTCAGCAATCCCATTGCTGGGTATGTACCCAAAAGAATAGAAATTTATACATCAAAGAGATATCTGCACTCCCGTATTTGTTGCAGCACTGTTTACAAGAGATAAGATTTGGAAGCAACCTAAGTGTCCATCAACAGATGAACGGATAAAGAAAATATGATACATATATACAATGGAGTATATTCAGCCATTAAAAAGAATGAGATGTTGTCATATGCAATCACATGGATGTAACTGGAGACAATTATGTTAAGTTAAATCAGCCAGGCACAGAAAGAAGAACTTCAAATATTCTAACTTATTTGTGGGATCTAAAAATTAAAACAATTGAACGCATGGACATAGAGCATATAAGGATGGTTACCAGAGGCTTGGAAGTGTAATGTGAGGCTGGATAGGGGACATGGAGATGGTTACTAGGTACAAAAAAAGTCAGAAATAATGAATAAATCTTTCTAATTAATAGCACAACATGCTGACTATAGTCAATAATAACTTAAATGTACATTTTAAAATAAAGGGTATAATTGGATGGTTTGCCACTCAATCAATGGATAAATTCTTGAGGGGGTGGATATCCCATTCTTCATGATTTGCTTATTTCACATTGCATGCCTGTATCAAAACATCTCCTATACCCCATAAATACATACACCTACTAATTATCCACAAAAATTAAAAATAATGAGAAAAAAAGATAAAAAAGGCATTATATAATGATAAAAAATCAATCCAATGAGAAGGTATTACAATCCATAACTATATGCATCTAACATTGTAGCTTCCAGATTCATAAAACCATTACTAATAGACTGAAGAAATAAAATAGGCAGTAAACCCAATAATAGTGGGGGACATCAATACTCCACTGGCAGCACTAAACAGGTCATCAAGACAAAAGTCAACAAAGAAATGATGCATTTAAATGACACTCTTGAAAAAATTGACTTAACAGATATTTAAATAACATTCTACCCGCAAACTGAAGAATATACTTTATTGTCATCTGCACATGGAACATTCTCCAAGACAGACCATATGACAGGCCACAAAACAAATCTCAATCATTTTTATAAAAGTTGAAATCATATCAAAAATTTTCTCAGACTACAGTGGAATAAAACTAGAAATCAACTCCAAAAGAAGCCTTCACCATTATACATGTACATGGAAATTAGGTAATATGCTCCTGAATAATTTTGGAGTTAACAGTGAAATCAAGATGGAAATTTGAAAATATTTGAAATGAATGATAATGGTGACTGATATGGTTTGGCTGTGCCCCCACCAAAATCTCATCTTGAATTGTAGTTCCCATAATCTTCACCTGTTGTAGGAGGGACCCAATGAGAGGTAATTGATCATGGGGGTGGTTACCCTCATGCTGTGATTGAGCTCTCACAAGATCTGACGGTTTTATAAGGCACTTTTTCCTAATTTGCTTGGCACTTTTTCTTGCTACTGCCATGTAAAGAAGGACATGTTTGCTTCCCCTTCCACCATGATTGTAAGTTTCCTAAGGCCTTCCCAGCCATCCTGAACTGTGAGTCAATTAAAACTCTTTCCCTTATAAATTACTCAGTTTCAGATATGTCTTTATTAGCAGCATGAGGACAAACTAATACAGTAAATTGGCACCAGGTAGTGGGGTGCTGCTCTAAAGATACCTGAAAATGTGGAAGTGACTTTGGAACTGGGCAACAGGCAGAGATTGGAACAGTTTGGAGGGCTCATAAGAAAACAGGAAAAGGTGGGAAATTTGGAACTTCCTAGAGACTTGTTGAATGGATTTGACCAAAATGCTAATAATGATCTGGACAATGAAGTCTAGACTGAGGATGTCTCAGATAGAGATTAGGAAGTTGTCGGGATCTGGAATAAAGGTGACCCTTTTTTTTTTTTTTTTTTTTTTTTTGGAGATGGAGTCTTGCTCTGTCACCCAGGCTGGAGTGCAGTGGCATCATCTCGGCTCACTGCAAGCTCCGCCTCCTGGGTTCACGCCATTCTCCTGCCTCAGCCTCCCAAGTAGCTGGGACTACAGGCACCTGCCCAGCTAATTTTTTTGTATTTTTAGTAGAGACAGGGTTTCACCATGTTTGGCTAATTTTTTTGTATTTTTAGTAGAGAGAGGGTTTCACTGTGTTCGGCCCACCTTGGCCTCCCAAAGTTCTGGGATTACAGGCATGGCCACCGTGCCCGGCCCAAAGGTGACTCTTTCTATGTTTTAGCACAGAGTCTGGTGGCGTTTTTTCCCTGCCCTACAGACCTGCAGAACTTTGAACTTGAGAGAGATAATTTAGGTTATCTGTCAGAATAAATGTTCAAGTAATGAAGTGTTCAAAAGGTGACTTGGGTGTTGTTAAAGTCATTCAATTTTATGTATTCACAAAGATCTAATTTGGAATTGTAACTTTTGTTTAAAAGGGAAGCAGAGCATAAGTTTGAAAAATATGTAGCCTGACAATGCGACGAAAAAGAAAAACCCATTTTCTGAGGCGAAATTTAAGCCAGCTGCAGAAATTTGCATAAATAATTTGGAGTCAAATGTTAATCCAAAAGACAAAGGGGAAAATGTATCCAGGGCATGACAGAGACCTTTGTGGCAGCCCCTCCCATCATAAGCCTGGAAGTCTAGGAGAAAAAGAGAAATCGTTGTGTGCATCCTGGCCCAGCCATGGCTAAAAGGGGTCAAGGTACAGCTCAGGCATTGCTTCAGAGGGTGCAAGCCACAAGACTTGGCAGCTTCCACATGATGTTGAGCCTGTGACTGCACAGAAGTTAAGAATTGAGGTTTGGGAATTTCCACCTAAATTTCAGAGGATGTATGGAAATGCCTGGATGTCCAGGCGGAAGTTTGCTGCAGAGGCAGAACCCTCATGAAGAGCCTCTGCTGGGGCAGCGTAGAAGTAAAATGCTGAGTTGGAGCTCCCACACAGAGTACCTCCTGTGGCATTGCCTAGTGGAGCTGTGAGAAAAGGGCCACTGTCCTCCAGACCACACCATGGTAAATCCACCGACAGCTTGCACTGTGCACCTGGAAAAGCTGCGGACACTCAAAGCCAGCCCACGAAAGCAGCAAGGAGGGCAGCTGTACCCTGCAAAGCCACAGTAATGGAGCTGCTGCCAAGGCTATGGGAGCCCACCTCTTTCATCAGCATGACCTGAATGTGAGACATGAAGTCAAAGGTGATCATTCTGGAACTTCAGTTGAATGACTGCCCTGTTAGATTTCAGACTTTCATGGGATCTGTAGCCCATTCATTTTGGCCAATTTAGCCTATTTGGAATTGGTGTATTTACCCAATGACTTTACCCCCACTATACTTAAGAAGTAACTAACTTGATTCTAATTTTACAGTCTCATAGGCAGAAGGGGTTTGCCTTATCTCAGATGAGTCTTTGGACTCAGATTTTTGAGATAATGGTGGAATAATTTACAACTTTGAGGGATTGTTGGAAGGGCATGATTGTTTTTTGAAATGTGAGGACATGAGATTTGAGAGGGGCCAGGTGCAGAATAATATGGTTTGGCTTTGCCCCCACCCAAATTGGATCTTGAATTGTAGTTCCCATAATCTGCATGTGTTGTGGGAGGTAATGTAATCATGGAGATGGTTACCTTCATGCTGTTCTCATGATAGTGAGTGAGTTCTCACGAGATTTGATGGTTTCATAAGGGGCTTTTCCTTCTTTTGCTTAGCACTTCTCCTTGCTGCCACCATGTGAAGAAGGACAGGTTTTCATCCCCTTCTGCCATAATTGTAAGTTTCCTGAGGCTTCCCAAGCCATGCTGAACTGTGAGACAATTAAACTTCTTTCCTTTATAAAGCTACCCAGTCTCAGGTATGTCTTTATTACCAGCATGAGAATGGACTAATGCAGCAACACAAGTTGTCAAGACCTCTGGGATACAGCAAAAGCAGTGCTAAAAGGAAAATTTATAGTGCTAAATGCCTACATCAAAAAGTCTGAAGGATCACAAATAAACAACCTAATGTCACACCTGAATAAATCAGAAAAACAAGAACAAACTAAACCTAAAGCTAGCAGAAGAAAAGAAATAACACAGATCAGAGCAGAACTTAATAAAATTGAAAAAAAACAAACAAAAAATGTTACAAAAAAATCAATGAAATGAAAAGCTGGTTCTTTAAAAAGATAAACAAAACTAGGAGACCATTAGCTAGTTTAACCTAGAAAAGAAGAGAGACGATTCAAGTAAGGTTCATTAGAAATGATAATGGAGTCATTACAATAAACACCACAGGAATACAAAAGATCATTTGAGACTACTATGAACACCTTTATGTCCACAAACTAGACAACCTAAAGGAAATGGATATATTCCTGGACATATAAAATCCTCCTACATTATATCGGGCAGAAATAAAAACCTTGAAAATATGAATAACAACCAACAAAATTGAAACAGTAATAAAGATATTGCCAACATAAAAACCCCAGGACAAGTTAAATTCACAACTGAGTTCTACTAGTTATTCAAAGAAGAATTGGTACCAATCCTACGAAAATTATTCCAAAAAACTGAGAAGAGGGAATTCTCCCCAAATCATTCTATGAAGCCAGTATCACTCTGATACTAAAACCAGAAAAAAAAATAACAAAAGAAGAAAAAGATACAGCTCAATATCCCTAATTAACATAAATGCAAAAAGCCTCAACAAAATACTAGGTAATCAAATCTATCAGCACATCAAAAAGATAATACATCATAATCAAGTGGGTCTCATCCCAGGAATGCAGGGATGGTTTAACATATGCAGTTCAATAACTGATTCATCACATAAAGAGAATTAAAAACAAAAACAAAAACAATATGATCATCTCAATAGATGCAGAAAAAGCTTTCAATAAAATCCAGCATCCCTTGATGTAAGAACCCTCAACAAACTAGGCACTTTCCTCACAAGGTAAGGGACTTATCTCACAATAATAAAGGACATCTATGACAAACCCACAGGCAACATCATACTGAGTTGGGTAATGTTAAAAATTCCCCCTGAGAACTGAAACAAGACAAAGCTACCCACTTTTAACACCTGTATTCAATGTAGTACTGGAAGTCCCAGCCAGAGCAATCAGGCCAGAGAAAGAAATAAAGTGCATCTAAACGTGAAAAGCAGAAGTCAAACCACTGGTGTTCCACAATGATATGATAGTATACCTAGAAAACCCTAACAATTCCTCAAAAGACTCCTATATTTGAAAAATGACTTCAGTAAAGTCTCAGGTTACATAATCAATGTACACAAATTCATAGTACTGCTATAGAGGAGCAACAACCAAGCTGAGTATCAAACCAAGACCTTAATCCCTTTCAAAACAGCTGCAAAAGACTAAAATATGGAGAAATACACTTAAACAGATAGGTGAAAAACCTCTACAAGAAAAATTACAAAACACTGCTGAAAGAAATCATAGATAAATCAAACAAATAAAAACACATTTTATGTTCATGGATTGAAAGAATAAATATTTTCAAAATGATCAGACCACTTAAAGCAATCTACAGATTTAATGCAATACCCATCAAAATACCAATATCATTTTTTTACAGAATTAGGATAAACAATCTTAAAATTCATATGGAATCAAAAAGATCCCAAATAGCCAAAGCAATTCTAAGAGGAAAAACAACAAATCTGGAGGCATCACATTACTGGACTTTAAATTATACTACAAGGCTATAGTTACGAAAAAAACATGGTACTGGTATAAAAATAGGGAGACATAAAGACCAATGGAACACAATAGGGAACCCATGAATAAAGCCAAACACTAACAACCAACTAATCTTCAACAACCAATACAAAAACATAAACTGGGGAAAGGACATCCTATTTATAATGGTGCTGGGAAAACAGGGAAGCCACATGTAGATGAGTGAAATGGGACCAGTTTGTCTCACCTTATACAAAAATCAACTCAGGATGGATCAAAGACTTAGGTCTAAGACCTGAAACCCTAAACATTCTAGAAGATAACATTGGAAAAACTCTTCTGGACATTGACCTAGGCAAAGAATTCATGAATAAGACCTCAAAAGTAAATGCATCAAAACCAAAAAATAAATTAATGAAACCTAATTAAACTGAAAAACTTCCTCATAGGCAAAGAAATAATGGAGTAAACAGACAACAGAGAGAATGGGAGAAAATACTTGCAAGCAATGCAGCTGAAAAAGGACTAATTTCTGGAATCTACAAGGAACTTAAATCAGTAAGAAAAAAAAAATTCCCGTCAAAAACTAGGCAAAGGATGTAAATAGACATTTCTCAAACTAAGATGTACAAATGACTAACAAGCATAAAAACATACTCAATATCGCTAATCATCAGGGAAATGCAAATTAAAACCACCATGAGATACCACTTACCTCTGAAAAACGGCCATAATTAAAATGTCAAAAAACAATAGATGTTGGCATGGATATGTTGAAAAGGGAATGCTTGTACACCACTAGTGGAAATGTAAATTAGTACAACCTCTATGGAAAACAGAATGAAGAAGTTAAAACCCAATTTCTGGTGCCCTCAAGGCATGGCAAAAACTTTTGAAATTAGCATATTACAGACATATTTATCATGGCTGCTTTATCTAGTTTAATATGTTTTAATTATTTGTTGGTGAAATTCACATCTTGAGATAATTTTATTATATCAAATACAAGCTTAAAACTCTAATAAACAGGAGAGAACAAGGGTGAATTTATCTCTAATATGTCACTACTAAAATAAAAATAAGTAATGTGCTTCCAAATTACCTTCAGAGCTTAGTTTTAGATCACAGATAATTGGTAAATGGGCTTTTTAGATGAAACTCATTTATTTGGGATTTCCATGGATTATCTATCTCTGTATTTTTACAGGATTATGATTCTCTGTTACAGCCTATTTTGTTCTAAGTATTTAAGACATCAAAGGAGAAGAAAATGATAGCCATTTCTTGCATGCAAGAATCGGGGAGATTATTTAGGGGACCTTTGTTCCCATGGATCCATTGATGGCTGTTACAGGAAGCTTTCAGGTCACCAAGCCTGGAATTCGCTAGACCCAGGTAAAGTCCACACTACTCTCAAAATTTTCATGGAGTATGCTCTAAGTCCCGTTTTTCAAATGATTGACAGAATGATAGATTTTGCTTAAATTTACAACATTGAATTCAAAATTACTGAATTCAACAATCTGGAATCAGTTTTGGCTGTTCAGTGTTGCCATAGCTGCATGTGAAATTGAGAGTGCATAATCAAAGTGTATTGCCTTCCGCCCCAAATTAACATACTAATGCCCTGTGCCAACAGCTTTGCCTTCAGACTCTGATTTTATAAGTAAGTGAAAAATGTCCACAACTTAAACTGTGGCTTTCATTTTTAATTTCTTTGAATTTCTTCCATTCCTTGAATCAATCAAGGATTCCTTAAATACCTACTTCACGCACACCATGAGCAGAATGAAATGAAAAGGGTACTACCTCTGGCAATTCAGATCTATTCCCATGAAGAGCACTAAATACAGAGAAATAAAACTCTTTGGGACGTCGCTTGTCTAATCTGTATTTAGGAAGATCCTATGCACCCTTCAGTGTCTAGCTGAGATTGTCATATTACTTTTGTTGTGAAGGCCCATTCAGTTTCATTGCTCATTCGACAGTTTGCACACATCACAGATTGCATCTTTTCACATTTGTAGTTTAATTATATAACTGAGGAGAGTAAAAAGTATGCTTTTAAAGCTGGTCAGCTGCCCTCTTCTGGGGAGAGTACTGTTTTTATTTGGGAAAATAACTTGACGGCCACTTAATATGTAAAAGATAAAGCCCCATTCCACCCCCATTCTGCCCCCAGACCTCGGCTACTTTAAGGCACTTTGAGAATGGGCTAGGCAGAGACAAATAAAAGAGCTGAAACATCCAACTTAATAAAATGCGAGGAGCTGTGGATATTATTAAACACTCTACAGATATTTCAGGGTGAAACTGCTGATAATTAAGAAGAGATATAGGGGCCTTGTGCGGTGGCTGATGCCTGTAATCCCAGCACTTTGGGAGGCCGAGGCAGGCGGATCACGAGGTCAGGCGATCAAGACCATCTTGGCTAACACGGTGAAACCCCGTCTCTACTAAAAATACAAAAAGTTAGCCGGGCATGGTGGTGGGCGCCTGTTGTCCCAGCTACTCCGGGAGGCTGAGGCAGGAGAATGGTGTGAACCCGAGAGGCCGAGCTTGCAGTGAGCTGAGATTGCACCACTGTACTCCAGCCTGGGCAACAGAGCGAGACTCGGTCTCAACAACAACAACAACAACAAAAGAGGAGATATAGGGACAAAGAAAGCTCAGCAACATGACAAGAAGACAGGGATCCTGAGAAGCAAAATCAGCCACTGCAGAGTCCCTTGTGATCAGAAAGGCCATGAGGCTTAAACAACAGAGATGCTGATACCGGCTTTTAAGTCAACTTCTTTTCTGTTCTGTAACTTCCTGTCTATTACCCATGAATCTTCTGTATACTATACACATCTGCTTTGAGAGAGAGGTGTTTGTGTAAATCAAGGAAAGAATGTTAAGTTAAGGGTTGATAGAAAACAGGATACTAAGTTAAACTTGAATTTCAAACTAAAATTGAAATTAAAATTAAAATTGTAATTCATTTTAAGTAGATTTTTAAATCTCTGAAATAAGTTACATGTAGAGAAAAAGCAAGAGTCACAAGAAAAAATAAATGTAGGTAATACAGAGAATTCAGTGTAAGCAAGAAAAATGTAGCCGGAAATAATTAGGAGATATGTAAGTACTCTGAGGTGTTGCAGTTGTGGGAAGCTTTACTTTTTCTTTATAAGTGAATCGGAAGCATTTTTAATTAAATATTCAAGGTAAAGGTAACCCATAAGGCTAGAGAACATGGAGATCCCTAGCTGATAGAAATCTAGGTTATAATTAATTCAGTTTTCTGTATATTATTACTTTCAAGCCTGGCTCTCACACTAGAGGGCATTCCCAGGGGGCTGACCTTCCCTCAGTTGTGAGGGAAATCAGATATAGTCCCCACATGAACAACAACTGAGGTAATACAGAAAATCATAGTTCCTCTTACACTTTTTGTTCTGAATCAAGCCAAAGTTCTGCAGTTAGAATAAAGATATTTCTGAGGGCTCTGTTCTGTTCCATTGATCTATATCTCTGTTTTGGTACCAGTACCATGCTGTTTTGGTTACTGTAGCCTTGTAGTATAGTTTGAAGTCAGGTAGTGTGATGCCTCCAGCTTTGTTCTTTTGGCTTAGGATTGACGTGGCGATGTGGGCTCTTTTTTGGTTCCATATGAACTTTAAAGTAGTTTTTTCCAATTCTGTGAAGAAAGGCATTGGTAGCTTGATGGGGATGGCATTGAATCTGTAAATTACCTTGGGCAGTATGGCCATTTTCACGATATTGATTCTTCCTACCCATGAGCATGGAATGTTCTTCCATTTGTTTGTATCCTCTTTTATTTCCTTGAGCTGCATATCTACAACTATCTGATCTTTGACAAACCTGACAAAAACAAGCAATGGGGAAAGGATTCCCTATTTAATAAATGGTGCTGGGAAAACTGGCTAGCCATATGTAGAAAGCTGAAACTGGATCCCTTCCTTACACCTTATACAAAAATCAATTCAAGATGGATTAAAGACTTAAACGTTAGACCTAAAACCATAAAAACCCTAGAAGAAAACCTAGGCATTACCATTCAGGACATAGGCATGGGCAAGGACTTCATGTCTAAAACACCAAAAGCAATGGCAACAAAAGACAAAATTGACAAATGGGATCTAATTAAACTAAAGAGCTTCTGCACAGCAAAAGAAACTACCATCAGAGTGAACAGGCAACCTACAGAATGGGAGAAAATTTTTGCAACCTACTCATCTGACAAAGGGCTAATATCCAGAATCTACAATGAACTCAAACAAATTTACAAGAAAAAAACAAACAACCCCATCAAAAAGTGGGCAAAGGACATGAACAGACACTTCTCCAAAGAAGACATTTATGCAGCCAAAAAACACATGAAAAAATGCTCACCATCACTGGCCATCAGAGAAATGCAAATCAAAACCACGATGAGATACCATCTCACACCAGTTAGAATGGCGATCATTAAAAAGTCAGGAAACAACAGGTGCTGGAGAGGATGTGGAGAAATAGGAACACTTTTACACTGTTGGTGGGACTGTCAACTAGTTCAACCATTGTGGAAGTCAGTGTGGCGATTCCTCAGGGATCTAGAACTAGAAATACCATTTGACCCAGCCATCCCATTACTGGGTATATACCCAAAGGACTATAAATCATGCTGCTGTAAAGACACATGCACACGTATGTTTATTGGGGCACTATTCACAATAGCAAAGACTTGGAACCAAGCCAAATGTCCAACAGTGATAGACTGGATTAAGAAAATGTGGCACATATACACCATGGAATACTATGCAGCCATAAAAAATGATGAGTTCATGTCCTTTGTAGGGACATGGATGAAATTGGAAATCATCATTCTCAGTAAACTATCGCAAGAACAAAAAACCAAACACCGCATATTCTCACTCATAGGTGGGAATTGAACAATGAGAACACATGGACACAGGAAGGGGAACATCACACTCTGGGGACTGTTGTGGGGTGGGGGGAGGGGGGAGGGATAGCATTGGGAGATATACCTAATGCTAGATGACGAGTTAGTGGGTGCAGCACACCAGCATGGCACATGTATACTTATGTAACTAACCTGCACAATGTGCACATGTACCCTAAAACTTAAAGTATAATAAATAAATAAATAAATAAAAAAGATATTTGTGGTCCCATAATAAATTTGAGCTTGTGGACATCAGAGACATTCAATATTGTTTCTGGGTAGAACTCTAGCAGCTATCAGCAGTGGTGTCTCTGCTGGGAGTGTGGTGAGCACCATGAGGTATCACTCATAATGTATCAAGAGGAGTTTTCTTAATTTTATTTGCATACTCATTTGCAAATAGATGTGCAGATGTGTGTTACTTTCAACATCTGGCTGTAGGTTCCATTTGTTTTTCCTAAGGTTACTTTTACTTATTTTCTCTCCAAACTTTTTTGTTATTCTGTTTACTGTTTATTCCCTGTCCCAGATTGGGAGATGACACCAGAGATGTGGCTCAAATTCATGTAACTTATCAACCAAAATTCTTAATTATCCTCCTCTCTTTTATCTATCCTGTGTATAATTTTGATGAGGCCAGAATATGACTTAATGTGTTATAAGGCTTATGTGCAGGGACGAACTGCTTAGCTAGTAAGTGATTCTAGCCATCTGCCCAGTATACCCTTCTTAATTCACCTGTCTTCCTCATAGCAAAGTCTGCATATTTTGTAATGGAATTAACATGCTATTGAGGAGTTGGTAAAAGTCCTGAGATGCTTTATTTGTAAACAATAAGACTTAATGTATAGTGTGATTATTGTTATAATAGACAGATGTTGTCATTTCTATGATTGAGAAAGGGACACTAAACTCAGGCTAGACAAGATAGCATAAAGAAATTGCCCCAGAGGAGAATATCTGTGTGCCAAGTCATGAAGCCACCTTTAGAAGGAGAAGTGAGTGAAGCAAAAAAATAAATAAATAAATAAAAAATAAAAATAGAAAAACTGAAGGAACTTTCATGTAGAGTGAACAGCATAATCAAAGAGCAGACAAGACAATGAAAGAACAAAGATTATTTAGAGAACTGCTAAATTGGTATGAAAGTATTTTGAGAGCATGAAGAGGAAGTTGTGTGAGGTTATAGCAGATGCAGGTAATAACTATATGAAGGTAGTATTTATTGAAGAGGTAAGCTATAGAGAAAATTGGCTAGAGATTTCAAAGTCTGCATCAAGAAATCAAAGCCAAAACATCTTTTCCTGCAATTGTTGTTGCTATATCAAGATATCTATTTGGGCACAGTGAAAACAGACAATGGAGACAGTTCATTTGAAAATTTTAGGCCAAAAAAGGGGGAAAAAGTGCTTCCCCTTTCCCTCTCAGCAGCATGATTAGTTTTGTCTTGAAAGATATGTGCTTTTGTATCGATTCTTCAATATTTCACGTTTTTGACTGGCCAGCCCAAAATGACATTTCACACTTTAAAATGAAAAACATCTAGTTTGAACCTACAATGAGAATAATTTCTGCCTATCACAAGCCTTCTGTGCATCATAGGTGACCAGCAATGGCTGGCATGTGTCAGAGGCCATGGCATTTAGAAATATCATCTAAATGTCTCACACATTCCAAATAACAAGGGTCCAATCTATAGTCTAGTCATCGGTACTTAAAAATGTATCAGTTACATTAATTATAGTAAGCAGAAAACTTCTTTGAAGTATGCCAACTTGTGTTTATCTGAAAGAGCCTCATATATGGTATTAAGAGGATATCAATTTAATATATCTTGCTAGTTACAAACTCCATTGCATGAAAATCTTTGAGCCATAACATATCACAGGCTAATTATGAAAATTGATTTTTTAATTTGCTCCTCACTAAAATTACTCAGCTATTGTACATTATTTGCTTAGAGTGATTTTTGCCATGTAAAATAGTCTTTTCTTATCACCAGAGTCAGCTCCAGTAGTTTCAAAGAGTCAGAGAATTGTGACAAGTTGAAGAATTCAACTTTTCTTTAATACTCACTTTAGTACAGAGAATTCTGAGTGAGGAGAAGGGAGAAGATTATACACATAGTAGGCTCACATAGGTTTCTAAATCATTTATCGATAGAAATAATTATATATCATGAGATACACCCCTTACAATCATGTCAGTTAATACAGATGATGGTAACAAAAAGCCCATAAACAAAATAATGGGATGAAAGGTGCTTTTTCAATTATCTCATCCTATCTCCCACTTAACACAGCACCTATGAACATTAAGTCCCTACATTACTGCTACAAAGTGGATATCAATATTCCCATTTTACAAATGATAGAGCTGAGCTCCAAAGAGTTTAAGTAATTTACTCAAATCTCCTAACTGAAAAGTTACAGATTTAGGCTTCGCATTTAAATAGTCTGAACCAGACACACATGTTTTTCCATAATATCTGACTCCCAGCAAATTGCATATTCACTTAATCTGCAATTGTCTTGTCTGCTCTTTGATTATGCTGTTCACTCTACATGAAAGTTCCTTCACTTTTTTTTTCTTTTTTTTTTTTTTTTTTTGCTTCACTCGCTCCTCCTCCTAAAGGTGGCTTCATGATTTGGTACAAAGATATTCTCCTCTGGGGCAATTTCTTTACACTATCTTGTCTAGCCTGAGTGAGGATTCAGGGTGAAATGAGGCATTTGGCCAAATGCCCTATGAAAATAACATTTCTCTGTTTAACAAACTCGTAATGTTATCAAAAAGAAAGTACACCTACTTGGGTAAATTATTCTTAGCCCAAGCTGATACTCAGTGATTATTTTTTTCTTCCACATGCTTTCTTAAAAAATATAATACTAATTATTATATAAAAGTACACAGCATTTACTCTAACCAAGACACTGTTTTAAGCATTTTATATTAATTTTTACAATAACTTTATGAGATGGGCATTATTATTATCATTTTAAAGATGAGGAAAGCAGGTAATAAGAGGATTAAGTCACATGGCCAGAGCCACGCAACTAGTATATAGCAGAACAGAGATTAGAACTGCGACAGTCTACAGAATCCATGTTTTAATGGCTATGTTATACTGCTGCATGTAACCATATGTTTAATAATTTTTTCTACAATTTGGACATGGACTGCTTTTATACTTAGTGATTTCTATTTTCCAGACTCCATTATATTTCTCTTTTTGATAAAAGGAGCAGTACTTGTTCACTTCCAGTCTCCTGGTTATTCTCTAACATTCTACAGCTTCTCAAGGGTGAAATTGATGATCTATTCAGACCTCTGTGTCTGATTCCATTATGTGCTGCTGTAACAGAATACCTGAGAATGAGTAATTTCTAAAACATAGATTTATTTTTTATCATTCTGGAGGCTGGGAGGTCCACATCTGGTAAGGGCATTTTTGCTGTGTCTTAGCATGGAAGAAGGTGAAAGGACAAGAAAGCGTGCGCATGCATGAAGAGTGAGAGAAGAAAAAAGAAGGGAAGGGAAGGGAAGGGGGCCAAACTCATTGTCATTATCAGAAACTCACCTCCATAATAACAAACCCACTTGCAAAATATAAAGGCATTAATCCATTCATGAGGAAAGAACCCTCAGGACCTAATCACCCCTTAAAAGTTCTACTTACCAACGCCATTGCATCAGGGACTAAGTTTCCAACATATGTATTTCAGGGGATGCATTCAAACCATAGCACTCTATAATGCATCTGTATACAGAGCCTTTAAATATTTTAAAGGGTTTAGATACTGGTTCAGAAATTTCTTGTCCTTCAATTCCCTCTTATGTATGTTGATCCACTCTTTCCAGTTTTAAGATTATTCTCTTTGATGTAGAAACACTTCAGAAATTGCACAGTCCTGCTCTCTTTTATCTCCATAAGTCTTTACCAAATATGGGGAATAATTCCCTGTCTGTCTGCAATGTGCAATGTTCATCAGGGTTTTACAATTGTGAGAAAAAAGGCATGGGTTTCTGTCATTCAAGTAGTATTACAGTCAGGAATCCAGGCATGTCTGAATCCTCTTCTGCCAGGCAACCTTCCTCCCTTTGGGGAAGCACATGTGCATGTGAGCACATGTGTGCACGCGTGCACGCACACACACGCACACACAATGGGGGGAGAGAGAGAGAGAGAGGATAATAGTAAACGAACAAAATGACACTCCTTGATCATTAGCTTCACAAGTGCCTGAAGTGTCTGACTTTTCTGAACAGTGCTTCTTTGCAATGTTTTATTGAACACACATCCTCTCCAAAATAATAATGAGGGCTTCTAGTGCCTCCAAAGTCTAACTTCAAATCTGTTCACTTACGTCTCTATGATTGCCACATAGGACAAGAGGCAGAAGTAATTTTAATTAGTTTAGCACATCATAAAAATTTTTCCTGTGTAGTGTCTGTACTAGTAAACAAGAAAAAAAGAAAGATGTGTTGAATGGAGGAAAGGTTACCTCCCCTGATGTAATGATTTTCTGCATGAGCTCGTTAGACCATTTCTTAAGTTGGCTCTGTGACTCTTAAATCCATTCTCCATGCAAATACCAGAAATATTTCTTCTAAAGCACATCAGACTGTAATTCCTCTTCACCAGAAACTTCCATGGCACTCTGTTCAGTCAACAGTTTTATAGGAATGAGAGACCATAGTGGCTGCAGCAGTGATAATAGTAGCATCAGCTGCGGCTCCTTGACCTCTGGATTGCAGTGATGGTGATAGGTCCTTGAAATCAATAGTCCAGTGGCAAACATCCAAATCCTGTTCTTCCAGTTGTTACTATAGTTTTAGAAGTATGGAGTTCCATTTATGAAATATATTTCTGCTTTAAATACCTAGAATGGTTTCTGTACACTGACTTACTGACTTATGGGCTAATAAGCAATACATTAATAGACTAAGATCAAATAACTTGTAACAGAAACGATAATGCCCCACTATTGTTAGACCCACCTCAGAAGGAATCTCTATTGGGCATTTGTGTTTAGTTCTTATGCTTACCTCCACAACACTAAATAGTAAGTTTATAATGCTATTTCTTGATTTATCAACTTGAAAAAATGATGAATATATTTACTTATACTACTTGAAACTTTCCATCCCATCCTTCTTCCAAATATTGGTAGTTTTATAGTCGTGGTTACGTTTCTAAGCTTACATCAGATGCACAGACCTCCATTTCCTGTTCCATTACCTTTAACAGTAAGTAGTCCTTAATGTCCCATTAGGTAAAACTAGGATGTTATTGTCCCTCACTATTTTTGCACTTTTTATCCTGCTTCTCATGGCTTTATTTCTGTCTGCTAGCATCCCTGATGCTGCAGTATCACATCCAATCTCTCTAGAGAAAAACTTCCTGTCATTTGTTCAAAAGTCCATTTGGGATTGCCTGTTACTCTTTCACTCATCACTCTATAAGAGTAAAGAAGTTGACACTAAATAAAATTCTTAAAGTTATTCTGTAATAAATTTCCAATAATCCCCATGTTTTTAGCATCACTTCTAAACTCTGCTACCTGTACCTGCAAACTCCAAGACTAGAACTAGAAAATTGATTGGTAGTCTCTGCAGTCCTCCTTGGGCTGTTTCTTCTTCCATTTGACTTCATTTACCAATATGTTTCCATTTTCAGTCTTCCAGAAATTTGTGTAAATGCCTTAACCACTAGTAGTGCCCTTCCCATTCTCTTCTGTTTAAGGAAGTTATTCCTGTATTAGTTATGTATCATCTCAAATGACATTGTATAACAGCAAAACACAAAGGCTCGCTGGTATACAACCATAAACATTTGCATAGTGGTGTTTTCCCTGGTAATCATCCGATCTAAGCAGGACTCAGCTGATTTTAGTTTGGCTTATCTTTCATTTGTAGTCAGCTTCAGGTGCACTAAGTGCTAATCGGCTGGGCCTTCTCCTGTATATGGGAGTAGACTGTCAGCAGGGCAAATCTACTCTGCTCTATGTGTCTCTCACTTGTTCCAGCAGGATAGCCAAGACGCATTCTCAGGTCAAAGGTAGAGGTACAGGAGCAAGCACACTCAATTATGCAAGCATTTTTCAAACCTCTTTATATGTACTAACATCTCATCTGCCCAACCAGATTACATGGCTAATTCTGGAGTGTGCACAGAAGAACACTAAAAAGTTACAGGGTAAGATGTGTGGAGGAATAAAGAACTAAGGTCATGAATTGAGTTACTCTATCACATTTTCTTTTTGCATTGTTTTATCCTCATGTTAATGGTGTCCCTGGAAGGAAGGCACATGTGAATGCTCAGTGCATCAAGTTCGCCTGGAAGACTTTATGTTCTTTCAGGTCACAAGTCATTACCAATGCTGATTTCTGAGCCTAGAGTGCCTCTTTTCCTCTCTTTATCTATTAATATGCTAACCATCTTTCAAAGACCAGATCAAATACCATTACTTAATGGAAGCCTTCTGTAAATGACATAAATTGTTTTTGCCTATTTATTATCCATTCCCCATGCTCTGATAATAGAACTTCAGTTTCACTGTAGAGAAATGACTCTTCCTATTAGTCTTTAGAGTTTCTGGTGAGACAGAACACATTGTTCAATTTAAGTGGGTTTGTGATCTGGCCAATTGGCATCAGATCCGTTGGTGATAGTGATTGGTTCAGATATAGGCACATGAATTAAGCTGGTCTATGTCAAAGATAATACTGTAACTTAAGCTAAAAATAACAAAAAAAGAGGCTTATGCTTTTCACTGGAATTATGAAGCTATTAGGCTATAGTTCTGAAGCTTTTGTTGGTCATCTTTCTCACAACATGGGTAGAGTAGCTACTGAGTAAAGGCAACACACACACAAAAAGTAGATCTAAGTGATGGAAGCATAGAGATTGCCGAAGTCATGATGTAAATATCTAGATCTAGACATAACTCATATTTTCAGTTTGTTTCAGTGCTTTTCAATACCCTTGGGCATTCCAACTACTTGAACCAATAAATATCATTTTAACTTAGGCTCACCACTTTAGCACCAAAAGAATTATGAGTATTTTCCCAAATGCCTGCCTCTGTTTTACTATGGCTATTAAGTGCTCATCCCTTGAGCCTTGTTCCCTTCTCTCCATTCTCTACTTTGAAAATTATTAGTAGGGGGAAACATCCAGTAAGGTTGTACAGAATTATCAGAAGGGAGAGATTTTTCCACCTGCTTTTCCCTTCTCTGAAGATTCTAACATGCCCTTCAGTTGCCAATTAATTCTATAATGAACTAGTACAAAAGTAAGTTTATTTGGTCTCTCAGGTGTTTTGTGATGGTGGTGGGTTGAAAATTTAAGAAACCCTAACAATTATGTATTTTACAGCTTGCATTACAACTGGCTATTTCTAAATTAATATTTATTTGTGTTTGAAAAATATCTGATGTTTGTTCTAACCCGGAAGCTTCATGTTGACAGTGCCTAAGTATGTTTTGTTCATCAGTTTATCTTCAGGTCCTAAGACAGTGTCTGGCACATATTGGGGAGTCAGAGCATATTTGTTGTATGAGTTAATGCAGAAAATTGATTCTGTGTTTTATTTATCTCTATACCTGCATATAAATTAACTCAATAACTGATTCTTAAAATAAAAAATAAGCGACATGAGCCACAAGTTTATTACTTTGCGTCCTATGACTAGCACACACTCCTCCTCTTTATTCTGATCCTCTCTCTGCAAAGACATTTATAAACATATTTAGCAGTATTATGGATTCGGAGCTTCTCGAAGACAGCTTACCTGAAATTTTTTGATGTATTTATTCTTGATTGTGTGCCTGTTCTTGTATTTTTTACTTAAATCCCTTTTAAATTAGAGATCTTCCTGTGAAGCTTCATTTGTTTTGCTTAAAGCTTTCTCTTTTGTAACTTTAGTGGACCGATCTTTCATTTAATAGCCCAAACTGTATTTCTCCAATCTTCTTTTATTGCTTTAGTTTCACTACCTTTTAGAATTTCAGACTATTAAATTACAGTGACCTTTTCTATGACATTTCTCATCTGAAAGTCACAACCTCCACCTTATTTCTACACTGCCATCATTAGGAGACAAGAGGGAGCCTTAGAGTTTCTAATCTCAGGATCAAAACATCTCTTCTCTGGTTTCCTCATATTGTTTATTTAAGAGGAAGGCTTGCAACTCTATGTGCTGCAAAGAAGATTGTTTTCTTCTAGCCTCCAAACTGCCCTTAAAAGAGTGAAAAAAATGTACATGCAACATGGCTGAATAGAGGCATCAGACATCAGAAAAAAGAACCAAAGTTAAAGGTGAATAATCATAACTCAAATAAAATATTGAGGGAAGGGTGTTTGGAACTTTTAGAAGAACTCATGGAAATAAGGTGGGCACAAAAAAAGCAGAAATCAAGAGTTTGGCAGAGATCAAACTGAGAAACTAGGAGTCCCATGGAAAGAGTAGGTGGAGATATTTTGGGGGCTCCCCTCAACCCTGTAGCCAACTACTGGTTTCTGATCTACCAGAGAACTCCTCTGCCCTTGCAAGCTCAAGCATTGGCCTGGAGATAGAAAGCAGTGTCTTTTTGAACTTAGAGTCAAGAGCCCTGGAAAAGAAGTGGAGAGAGGCAGATCTTGTTCCTGTCTGCTCAGGACCTGGAAATGGTACAACCACCTTTGTCTCTATGGAGACCTTGGTGCATCTCCCCATGAGCTTCCCCTGCCACTTCCATCAATATTGGTGGTTATGCTCATCATTGGGGTATCTGAAAACAAGATTGGTGGTCCAATTCGACCCAGCTTTGGCCCCCTCTCTGGAACTTATGAGAGATCTCAGGGCATAAGGCATTTCACAGATCACCCCATAGCCTGAGACAACAGAGAGCTCTTCCCAGTAAATAAATATCAAGCACATACCCACCTGTGTCTGCCACAGTTGGCTCTGACCTGTAAGCACCAGGCTTGAGGTTGAACTACACAATTCAATAAAAAACCTACTAACAGAAGTGCACTGTGCTGGGTAATGAGATAAACTGCCCAAAGCTTCCACAATCCCAGTCCTACAGAAGGTAATATGTCTGCTTATATGCCAAGTACATTGCTAATACAACCAGCATTGGAGAAAGCCACTTCACAAAAGTTATCTATAACTAAGGAACTGATACAGGGCCTTGGCCCCCTGAAAGCATTCAGAATTGAAGCCAAATGACCAAACACAACATACATTACAGTCATAACCTCAAGAGGGTATAAAAATGTACCATCCAAATGCAAGTAAATTCAAAAATAAGAAGTGACAGTTTCTACAGATGGGATGTAACCACTGTAACAATTCTGGTAGTATGGAAAAATAGGGTGTTATGACACCCCTAAAGGACCATACTAGCTCTCTAGCAATGAATCCTAACTAAAATTAAAACTCTGCAGTACCAGGTAAAGAATTAAAGAGATGGATTTTAAAGAAACTAAGAAAGATCCAAAGAATGTTGAAAATAAACACAAGTAAATCAGAAGAACAATTTAAGGTATGAATGAAAAATTTATACTAAAGGAATATATCTTTAAAAAATTTTGAGTATGAAAAATTAATTGAAGGAATTATAAAATAAAATTGAAAACATAAAGGTAAACTAAACCAAGCAGAGGAAAGAATTTTAGAGGTTGAAGACAGGACTTGAATTAACTCAGAGAAAAATAAAGATAAAATAATTTAAAAGATGAACAAAGCCTTTGAGAACTATGGGATTATGGTTAGTGTCCAAACCTACAAGTTACAGGTATTCCTGAGAGAGAATAAGAAAAAGTTAAATGTCTGGAAAACTATAGGAGTAAATAATTGAGAAAAACTTCCATGGTCTTAGTAGAGATTAAGGCAAGCAGAGTAGAAGTACAAAGGACTCCTGGAAGATACATTGCAAGACAAACTTCAAAAAGACATGTAGTCATCAAACAACCTAAAGACAAGAGATTGAAAAAAAAATCATCAAAGCAGCAAGAGAAAGGCCTTTAATTACCTGTAAAGAAAACCCCATTAGAATAACAGTAGACTTCTCAACAGAAATCTTACAAGCTATAACATTGGGGTTCTATTTTCAGTCTTTTTAAAGAAAAAGCTGTCAGCTGAGGATTTTGTATCCTGCCAAACTAAGCTTTATAAATGAAGAAGAAATAAAGTATTTCCCAAACAAACAAACATTGAGGGAATGTGTTATCACTAGAGTGGACCTACAAGAAATGCTCAAGCAGCTCTATACATGTAAACTAAAGGTTGACATTTGCATGATAAAAGCACACAAAAGTGTAAAACTCACAGGTCTTGTGAAGCAACTAAACAATAAAAACTTCAAAGCAACCAAGTAACAATTAATATTATTACAGGAAACAATCTCACATACCAATATTAATATCAAATGTAAATGAACTAAATGTTCCAATTAAATGATATAGATTGGCAGAATAAACAAACAAATAATATCCAACAATATGCTGCTTAGAAGAAACCTACCTAACTGAAAATGATACTATGAGACTCGAAGTAAAGTGGTGAAAAAAGATATTCCACACAAACTGAAACCAAAAGCAAGCAGGAGTAGCTATACTGATATGAGACAAAACAGACTTTAAATCAACAACAGTAAAAAATGACAAGATTATTATATAATGATAAAGGGATGAATTAAACAAGAAGATAGAACAATCCTAAATATAGATGCTGTTTATTCTTCTTAATTATTTGATGGAGTTAACAAGTGAAGCTATCACAAACCGTATTTTTCATTGTTCAGAGGTTATGATTACTAATCCAATCATCTTCTTATTGATCTGTTCATATTTTCTATTTATTCATGATTCAATACTGGTAACTGTATGTTTCTAGAAATGTGTGCATCACACTGGTAATTAAAAAAATTATAAGTGAAAAAGTCAAATAGCAACTGGTAAAATTACTTGTAACGTCTTTGCATGCACTTATGAGCACTCTAGATCCATATGTATTAGAGCAAATTTTCCAAATAATTTGAACCTCATAAACTAAGAGTAACATGTTAGAATGAAAATGTGGAATCTGAAAATTTTGAGCATACATATTAGAAATCTAAGGCCTTTTCTCAATGATTGCTATGTTAAAATTTCTTTGTAACTTTGCTGGTTCAATTATGTAATGCCTAGACTGTAAGTTGATGACTTTGAGGTCAAATGGCCAATGTAGAAAGTCAAATAATAGGTTACTTTGGTGAAATAAGTCATACAAGTTTAGATGCTGGGGTATGGGGAGAGAATTAACCAAAATTCTCAAATAGTCTTCAAAGTATCCTAAGTAATTAGTATTAGATAAAACTTTTTACTTAGCTTGCTGGACAACTTTGTGATAACTAAGCTCAATTTACCTATTACATATTGCTATCACCACAGGGCCTTTTAATGTTGCTTTGGTGAGAAGGAAGTTATGTAATTTAATGGCTTACACTTTTTACCAATGAAAACATCCCATATACAAATATTCTTCTGAAATTTGAGGGTTTATAATTTTAAAATATTACAGTAGTAGTCAAACATTGGCCTTAGCATGTAGCAATTTAAAATGTCCTTTTAGCATTTAAAATGCAAACATTTGAGGAGATTTTATTTTACAGTTTTCTATATTCTGCTGTGTTTTCTCAGAAACCAAATGCAAATCAACATCATCTAGAGTGTTATATTTATAGTACTTAAATATAAATGACAACTTCAATTTGATTAAAATAGGAGTGCATGCAGTATTAAAAGCTTCTTCTCCCTATGGCACCTAGTGCCAGTTTCCTTCTGTCCATAAAAATCACCTTATTCACTGAATACACAAAATATTCAGTTTTCTGATTCATCCTGTGTGGTGTCTTCTGAGTGACACTGAAGAAGCAGAAGGAGGGTGGTGAGGCAGATCACTTGCTGTGCCCTAAGTGTAGCTACTAGTTAAAGGGTGACAGTCCAGCACTGTTCACGTAGGGATGACAATTTATTCTTGGACTCATCCTCAGCAGGTGTTGGGCCAGAAGCAGGTTAATTTTTCACATAATTTCTCAAACAGGTCATGCTGACGGTCACTAAGGTCACCAGTGACACATCTTCAAAGTTTTGGTTTATAAAAGGCAATGTACTCAGTGTTGGGCTGCCTAAGATAATTAAATTCTGGGCATTTGTCCTGGCAACAGACATAGAAGGAGCAATGGTGATGGCTTAGAACACTCAGCTTTCATAAAGGAGAAAGTTTAGATGAGAGGATAAGTTTGGATTTACATATGCATGGGGACCTTTATCTTCTGTCATTACAGCTTCTTAGTATTGGGCATCATCAGTAGTGGATGATTAAATGTCATATCAGAGCTGGTCTTCTGTTTCTTTTGTGGGAAAACCGTAACATTTTATAGTGGATAAATAATTTTCAGCAAGGTAGGATTAGAACAATCCTGCTTGTTCTTTATATTTACCCCCGTCTTATTTCTCATTCCTCCTCTGCAGATACCTCAGGTTCAAATCAGCCTGAATTTTCCCTGAATATGCCTCCTTAATGTCCTAAAACCACACCTCTGCTTATAATAAATCTAGAACCTATGATGATCCTCTATCCCTAAACAAACTTGTCAAAATGTGCTCTTCTTCAAACCCCCTTTCAAATATGTTTCCCTGTGTGGTTTGCATTTAATGCAACATGTATTGCATAGTTACCAGGTACACTGCTATATGAGGAAGACCCTCTTTTGTGTGCCCTTGTAAAGCATGACTTTCCTCCCATAACACAATTGTTTTTTTGTTTTGTTTTGTGTGTGTGTGTGTTGTTGTTGTTGTTGTTTTTCTTGAGACAGAGTCTCGCCGTGTCACCCAGGCTGGAGTACAGTGGCACGACCTCCGCTCACTGCAACCTCCACCTCCCGGGTTCAAGCGATTCTCTTGCCTCTACCTCCTGAGTAGCTGGGAATACAGGCACATGCCACCACGCCTGGCTAATTGTTTTGTATTTTTAGTAGAGATGGGGTTTTACCATTTTGGCCAGGCGGGTCTTTTAAGTGAAATGTTTAAGCAGATTTTTCTAATTCTCTGACAATGGACTACTCAAAGTGAGGGAAAGTCTCTTATTCATCTTTCTAACCAGTCAGAATTTAGGACAGCTTTTGACATTAGAGTATCAATAATGTTTCCTAAGTAAAATAGCACAAAGAGATGACTATCAAACACATAAAGGTACTTTCATTCAAAGGTGTATCTACATGTTACTTGGCCTATTATTAAAAGATACTTTGTGAGACTTCTAAAACGACGGATAGTAAAAGTATATTTATGTCACCTTAAACTTGAAGCAGACAGGGACAAAAGAAAATAAGCCAAAAATTAAAGCTCCATCCTCAATGAAACTAGGAAGTGACTACTTTCTCAAAACATAAAATACAAAGAATATCTGCCACATAAAATGAAATTAGACGAACCTGAAAAAGAAAACAAGGACGGATAAATATGATTATAATCTCTAGCTGGATGCAGAACTCTGTAAGTACAATATAATTTGTCCCTGAAAATTCTAATCAAAAATCAATTATTTGGCATTATAAGCCCCGAAATACAGATAGACTCAATAAGAAATTGAGTCTATCTGCTGAGCCTCTATGCCCAATCATACAAATGGAAAAAAAAAAAAGAAACCACATGGAAATTTCAGCTATATTTTTTGTCAAATCTGTAGAAAAGATATGGAGGTAAAAATGGTTGGAGGAAATAGTGGAAAGTAAAATAAGATTTGTAACTTCTAACCAAGATCAACTGAATAAAATAATAAAAGTGAAATGAAAATCTCCAAATAAACAACAATGAGATACAAGGAAAGCCAAAATTACAACCACCTTGTATGGTCTGCTTATTTCAGGGGGACAAATAGCGATAAAACTAAAGAAGAAGTATATCCCTAGGAGAGGAAAACATTTATAAACGAAGTCTTCTGAAATCATATGACTAAATTAAAGATATCTGCTACTCAGGATCACTCTCCCTAGTTTAAGTAGTTGGAAGCTCAGGAA
The DNA here is from genome assembly GCF_000001405.40 of Homo sapiens. Lineage (NCBI taxonomy): Eukaryota > Metazoa > Chordata > Mammalia > Primates > Hominidae > Homo > Homo sapiens. Next base: position 143,169,475 of record NC_000023.11, read on the forward strand.
GAACTGACACGGATATAAGGGAAATAATAAGCAATAAGGATGATTAGAACTAAGAACAGATATCTCCTCCAAAGGGACAAATCATGATCAGAGCAAGACTATAAATAATATACAACAGAAGAAGAAGTGCTACCCTCTTAAAAATGTTTCTTTTGACTCAACATTCCACTTGAACTGTTGTACAGTTTTCACATTTTCTTTACTGCAAACTCCAAAAAGAAATTGTCTGGATTTATTATTCCCCAAATCTCTGCTCCCGTTTTCTCTTTAACCTGAAACAATCAGATCTTGCCCCTATTATGCCTCTGAAACTGCACTTCTATAAGTCACATAGAAAGTTTGTATTGCTAAATCTGATGATTATTTTTCATACTATTTGGTCTATCTGAAGAATTTCACAGAGTTGAATACCCTCTTTGTGCTGCAGTTTATTTTTTGCTGGGCTTCAAAGATATCTTAGTCAGCTAAGTGCAACTTTCCAGTCAGTCTTCTCTTTGCTCCTTATTTCCTGGACTTGGAAAGCCTGCAATATCCCACGTGACATAGTTCCGGATTCTGTAACAAAATTACATAGACTGGATGGCTTCAACAACAAGGATTTATTTCTTATGGTTCTGAAAGGTGGAAGTCTGAGATCAGGGTGCCAGCATGAGTAGCTTCTAGTGAGGGCCCTCTTCTGAATTGAAGACTACTGATTTCTCCTTGTATTTTCACATGGCAGAAAGAGAGCCAGGTAGATGTCTGGCCTCTTCTTATGTGGGCACCAATCGCATTATGAGAGCTACCATTATAATGTAAATACTTTCTAAAGGACCCACCTCCTAATACCATCACATTGGAAATTAGATTTCCCAGATAAATTTGGGAAAACACAAACATTCAGCCCATACCACCAGACCTCTGTCATTTTGCCTATTATCTTTTATATTTATACTTACTACTTGGGTCATCTCATCTTTAAATATAATCCATACACCGATTACTCACAAGTGTATACCTATTGTACAAACTTCTGTTTGGAAATCTAAATTGTTACATCATAACATCTACTTAACATCTTCTCTCATATGATTGATTGAAATATTAAACCTAACAACTCCAAAACTGAGCTACTAAACTTTCACTTTCAAACTGCCTCTCCTGAAGTATTCTCCATCTCAGCTGATGACAACTTCTTTCAGTTGCTCAGATCAGTTACCAAGCTATCCCTCCTTAATTCCCGTCTCTTTTTTCTCACTCCATATTCAATCCATCTATAAAGAATATTAGCTCCCCATAACCACCCAGTTCTTGGCTATCCTCTTCTATTACTTGGATTACTGCAATAAACTCATTGTTAGCTGTCCTCCTAATACCCTTGCTTCCCTTTCATCAGTTTTCCACAGAGCAGCCAGAATGATTGTATTAAATGTAATTTAAATTACATCTCTTCTATTATCAACATTCATCAAAATCATCAAAATTTTATTTACCTTTCTATTTACAATGCAAATGACCTCACAATGATCTATAAACCCTACATGATCTGCTCCATGTCCTTACCTTTTTAACATCAGGCTCTTGTTAGTCTCATGCATACTCATTCCACTCCAGCCTTAGTAGCTCTGTTAAACAAATATATCAGCAAATTTCCATGTAGAAACTTGGCACTGATTTTTCCCTTTGTCTGGAGCGTTTTTCCTCATTATCAAAATTCTTTTTTCCCTCACATTGTTTATGTTTTTATTTAAATAACAACCTTACAGCAACAACTACTCTAAAATTGCAACTGTCTCCCACAATATCTTATACTTCATCTCTACTGCTTTCTTTTTACCTCTAGCACTTAATATACTGTACATTGTATTATGCATCCATTTTATTATGTATATCTTCCCACTGGCATATAAGCTATATGAAGGCAATTTTATTTGTTTATGTACTAATGTAGCCCTGATATCTAAAAGAGTGCTTGGCACATTGTAGGCACTCAATAAGTATTTATTAAATAAGTAATTGAATATGCAGGGAAATAAAATAAAATTTTATAAAATATGAACGCTTTATATATGGACACTTTATAGTAAAGAAAAAATATATATGAAAAGTAAAGTAAAAGGTTGAAGAGGGATATAGAACAGTAAAATTGTCAGAGGAATAAAAAAAATGATAGAAACTACAAAAAATGGAAAAGACCATTCAGAAAACCACGGAGGCCAGGCTAGAGAAATTGCACAAACACAAGGACATGCAAAGACACGTGCAGACACATATTCACTATAAAGTGACAGAAGTTAGAAGAGAGAATGTGATGTGTTTAGATGACAAGTTTCAGCATTTATGTAACTGGTGTTCTTGAAGAAATTAACAGATCAACAAAAAAGAAAAAAATAAACAGCATTCAAATACTCATAGCAGAGAAATTCTCTGAAATGATGAAAGACATATATCTGAAAGTCCAAATGACATGCTGTTTTAGGGAAATGATACAAAATAATCAACTCCGGAACATATCTTGGGGAAGTCACTACATGCGAATTATAAATAATCCAATAGATGTCTAGACAGGGAGAAAAGCAGATCACTTATGCAAGGGTGGAAATTATTATGAGTTTTCCACAGGAACATTCAATGCCAGAAGTCACTGAAACAAAACATACAGAATTTTTTGGAAAAAAAGAAAGATCAAGACTCTATAATTTTATAATTCAAAAAAGCTCATCAAAGAACAAAAGTGTTAGACAGACAAATACTGCAAGGTCTGCCTTATATGTGGAGTATAAAACATTGAACTCATACAAGTACAGAATAGAATACTGGTTACCAGTGGCTTGCAGAGAGGAAGAAATTAGGAAAATGTTCATCAAAGGACACAAAATTTCAATTAGATAGGAGGAATAAGCTCAAGAGATCTATTGTACAATATGATGACTATACTTAATAATGATATACTGTATTCTTGAAAACTGAAAATAGAGTATATTTTAAGTGTTCTCACCACAAAAAGGATATGTGAAATAATGCATATGTTAATTGGCTCGATTTAGCCATTCCACAATGTATACATATTTTAAAACATTATTTTGTACACAATAAATATATACAACTTTTATTTGTCAAAAAAATGTACAAAGGATGTGGCACTTAAGCATTAGTACCCATGACAACATTAAGCCAATTAAGAAAGCAATAAAAAATAAATAATTCAGCCACAGATAAGTTGTAGTTTAAACGAAAACCATTGATAATCCATTTAAGTATTTAATATATAATAGTGATGAAAAATATAAAATTTAACTTAATAATAAATATTATATTCATTGATAATTCAAAAATGAGGAAAGGAAATTGATTCAGAGTTTGAAAATAAGGGAGGCCATATGTGCACGTGTATAACACACATTAGAGCAAATGTAAAGTAAAACCAGAAAATGACATTAATATCATTGAAAAATTTAAGAGAAATAATTTAATGACATTTTTAAAAGAGATATTTTGTATTGAAAATGGTTACAATCCACAATGAAGAGCTTGCTGTCCTCTGTTTTGAAACGTTATGGACAAATAACATAGCATCAAATTCATAGATCAAACTCTCAGGAAGAAATGGAGAGAAACTTATTAGTTATAGAGATTTTAAATCATGTGTTGTAGCTCAGCACAAATAAAATACGCAAAAATCAATAATGCAGATAATTATTTTAAATAGTTAATAAGGTCAAATATATAGATAAAACAATGTATGCTGTAATTAGACAATAAACTTTCTTTCAAGCAAATTCCCAAAAATAGAAAATATACAGGCCAAATTATCCAACTACAGAGCTATGCAACTAGCTACTTATTAAAAAAAAAAAAAGAAAAAACCAACAGAGCAAAATAATGATGTAGAAATTATTAGCAACAAAAACAAATTGTTTGCCGTATAGTTCTTCTTCCATATAGAAAACTAAAATTAAAATCACAAACTATCTGAAAATGGAGATAATAGAAAGAAAATGTATCAAAGGCTTTGATCAAAGCTATCTCAGAGGAAGTTACGTTGTCATATAAAGTTACACCATTAAGTATGAAAGAAAGAAAACATGTAATAAGTAAGTAAAATTAAAGTAACTTAACATAAAGCAAAAAATAAATGATTAATAATATAAATAAAATATTAATGATTATGAAAAGTGAAAAAAATAGAAGAGCAATAAACTACTTCCAAAAGTTTGGTGTGCCAAAAAATTGAGAAGATATAAAAATCACTAGCTAATATAATCAGCAAATAATTGAGAAATCAAAAATATAGAAAATTACAAATAACATGGGAAAATGATATAAAATGCTAATAATGTTTTAAGTATAAGAAAATTATTTGCACAAATTGTATGCAAATTAAATAACTGGATAAAAGAACTTTCTAGAAAAATATATCAAAATTTATTCACAATAATAAATAATACCTAAACAGTTATTTTATTTATTTATTTTTAATTTTTTTTTTTTTTTTGAGATGGAGTCTCACTCTGTCGCCCAGACTGGAGTGCAGTGGCACAATCTCAGCTCACTGTAAACTCCGCCTCCTGGGTTCATGCCATTCTCGTAACCAGTAACTACGGGAGAAACTAAAAATATTTTTCAGAGCTAATCTTCCCCAGAATTTCCCGTTCATAATTTCAGAGAGAAGTTTTCCAAAATGAAGAACATAAAGATAATTCCAGTACTATTTAAAAAGGTACAGAACACAGAAAAGAATCAAGGTTTCATGGTTTCATGTTTTTAATAAAGTAAACATTGCATAGATAGCAAAGTTTCACAAACATAACACAATGAAAACTACAGAACAGTCTCATTGTGTATTATTGATGCCAAAAATTTAAATAGGATATTGCGTAGAACTTCCAGTAGCATATTAAGAAGAAAAATCAACCACTTTATTCCTCAGTTTTCTCATCCAATCAATGGGGAATTAAACAAGCTCATAGGAATTTAGTGAGGGCCAAATAAGTCAACCCAGGTAAAGAGTTTAGAGAACAACCACTGAATCATAGTAGATGCATGGATAGAGAGATAGAGAGAGAGAGAAACAGACAGACATGGATAAAGGTAGGTAGATAGATTTATTGCCAATTTTGTCCATTTAAAAAAGGTACAGAGGAAGTGGCACTTATGTAATAAATATTTGAGTTCACGGCTGACCATTGCTCAGTACTGAGCACTGATATGTGTTTGTTTGTGTCTTTGTTGTCTGTCTTACCTCCTATAATGCATGAGCCATAAGCAAATCAACTTTGTCTTGTACGATGCTGCATCATTCCGGAAGGATATTTTCACAGGGTGTGGAATGGGATTAGTTCTTATGCTTATAAAATCATTGGCTTCCAATGAGTGACAATTCCATAAACCAACTGGTGTAAAACAAACTTTCTTCTTGGCCCCCGCCCTAGCAGAGCTGAAAACAATAGATTTTCCATTTTTCTATCAGCCCTTGGATCGCTTTACCTCAAAAAGAATTTGTTATGTGAAAACCACATACTTTGAACAAAAATTAGCTTATTTTGGCAAGTGTGACAAAATTTCTTCAGAATTCTGCTAGGATAGTTTGAGGGTAAGAAGAATTAGTATGCTTCCCAGGCCATCCCCAACCCAGGCCCTTCAATGAAGTACTATAGGGGTTATTTTCTTACCTGACAGAATCTAACCCACTTTCTGAGAACCAAATTATCTGAGTTAGTGTATCTCCTCCTGGGAGTGCATGTGCTTCATTGAAATTCACTGAAGTCACTCATCAGAGGATCTAATTGTCTGTCCCTGTGAGACTGTCAGCCACAAGAAATGTGTCACTGATTTTAACAATAAAAAGTTAGTTTCTGAAGTTGTTCCATTTGAAATGGATGGGGTTCAAATGTCCTCTGAGTAGGCAGCATAGAGTGTCCTGCTTATAAATGTGGAACTTCATTAGGTTACACACCCACTATTATCTCACTTTTCATTTCAAAAACTTACTCTCTTTTGTCACAATCACTCCTATAGGTCTGATTTTGGCAGGCCTATGCTATTTGCAGAGTAGATTAAACATCAGAAGCAAAAAGCCAATCAAGATGCCTTAATAGTTAAAAGGAAAATGTATGATCACCTATTATACCTCCCACAATTTTCAGATAACAAAGAATGATAGTCTACAATGACAATACTTTTTCTGCACTATGCCACCTCACTTCCATGCCAAACTTAAGTCATGCATTGTGAATAACAAACATAAAATGAAGGTATATTTAAGAATTGGTTCCAACTGGGTGACATGAAAAAAAGAAGCCTCCCTTATGAAAGATTTGCCACATGAAAAACATCAAGAGAACTTCTGATTGAAAATGACATCTAGGATAGAACCACTTCTGAAATGGCAGAGTAAGGACTTCCAAATTTTCATTTTTCCATGAAAGCAATGAAAATGTCAGCAAAAACTGTCAAAAGTAATTGTTTCAGAATTACAGAAATTAACAAAAGGCTTGTGGCAATCTAAGAAATGTTTATTGAAGAAAAACAACAAGAAGAGTAAGAACAGTAAAGTTTGTAGAGTTTTAATTGTTTTATTCCCATTCCCCACTCCAGAGTGCCACAGAATCCTTGAAAACAGCCTCACAACAACAATAGTTGCTAAAAGTAGCGACCTAGCAGACCATGTAGAATGCAGAATTGGTATGGAACTCTTAACACACAATATCCAAAGAATAGTCATCATTTGACCTTTCTGGCAGCTTACTGAAAACACTACTTGGAAATAAAAAAAAAAAAAAAACATAGCGTTTGTCTTTACTTAATCTGATTCTGAGCTCTCTTGAGTGGAAAAGTCTTATCCCCAGGTTTTCTGTCAAAAGCAATATCCAAAAATTAGCTGGGCATGGTGGCAAGCACCTGTACCAGGTTATTCAGGAGGCTGATGTGGGAGGATCAATTGAGCTCTGGAGGTTGAGGCTACAGTGAGCCATGATTGTGCCACTGCACTGCAGCTTGGGTGACAGAACAAGACTCTGTCTTAAAAAAAACCCATCAATTTCTTAATATTTCAGCTGCATGAAGTGATGATAGCAGTTAGGATTAAGAAGAGATTGGTCAAAAATATAAAATGAATGCCTGTGGAATGAGATGTTCATAGGGGGCTTTGAAAAACTGCATGCTTTTCTGGGGACGTACAAGGCAATGCATAAATAGAGGGCTGTGTAAATGCCCAGAGAACGCCGGGAAAGACTCAAAGCTTTCATCTTTTACTGATCATAGGGTTCTACATAAGCAGAAAGTGAAAGCTAAGGAAAAATTGTCAACTGCCTGCCTGAGAGATTAAGACATGCCTAAGTACAGACATAGAGACCTTGAAAAAATCTGGGAGAAATATCGATTTGGGGATTTAAGTAAACTTCTGTTTAATCATGATCTGTCTACTTCATCTGCTTAGATTATTCAGGGAATCAGACTGTGAAGGCAGAGGGAAGAAAACAGTTCAGTATGGAAGATTTGTACTCAATGAAAGATGCTGACATGAAGAATCTGTGTGCATGAATCATATTTTGACAGATGGCATTTCATTTTTAAGTCACTAGAGCAGTTGTATATTGGTATGGAATGTAGTACTTTTCAGTTACCTGGATGCTATGGGTCAGGAGAAATAATAATGTAAATACATCTCCAGAAGAATATCTACCCAATGGCCAACACCAAGGGAGCACTAACTGCCACTTTCAGTGGCCTCACGTTCTACTAAGAGCTCCGTTTCCCACAAGCATCGCTATGAACATCAAGGCAATACCACCAAATGAGGACCAGTAGGCTGGTTAGTCTTATGTCTTGCCCAGTTTGCTGCAAATGAATACCTTTTTTTGAATCTCTATTCTATACAAATTTACCTAACCCTATCTCAGCTGTTTTCATGGATATGGCTAAAGAAGAGGATTCCATGACTTCATCAGCATGCAAAACCCAAGCTCTGTTTCTCTTAAATTAATGTTTTCTACTTAGAGAATATAAATTGTGATGGATACACAATAAAGAGTCTGGTGTGTTCAGTTTTCCAAAACAAAGGGATTTCTTTTTCAGTATTCACTCGTTTTTCCATGAAGAAAAAGAAACTTATTAGAAACTTTTAGAAGAAAGATGTCCACTTTAAAACTTGAGAAGATGAAGAAAGGAAATTTCATCTATATGCATTTTATTAAACTACTATACTCACAACATTCTCACCATTTCTGTCTCTCTCTCTCACACACACACCCACACACACAACTAACTTACTTTCAAGGACTAGGTTATGGAAAGTCCTCTCCTAAATCTTGTGCACCTCCATTTAAATCAGGAAGTTCCAGCAAAGTCTCCTATACTTTCATATCCCTTTTTCCTTAGCCACAGTTGATGGGTTATGCACAGATCACCAAAGGGGGGCAAATCTTAGTACTCTGACTCCACAGTTGCATATCATTGATCCCAAGATAGGCACATGATTGACGCCTAGACAAATAAAATCCAACCTTGATTTTTTTTTTTTTTTTTTTCAAAAAGGAGCAGAGGAAAGAGACATAGTCCCCTTCTGGGTATGACACATGAATATGAAGCATGAGACCTACTGGTGGATATGTTTTCTACAGTGTGGAGAAAATCAGGTTGAGTAGATGAATTACAGAGAAAGAATCCACATGATATTAAAGTTCATTGTTCCAATTGTCCTTGAAAACATTTGCCCCATTGCCATTTTCATGATTACACGAGCCTCAGAGTAAATCCTGCTGCTTACCTCAGCTAGAAAAGAAAGCTGGTGGTTGTATGTAGTGGACAGGAGGTAGTAGAAAAATATTTAAGAGTAGATGTTGTAAGGACTGAGTAATTGGATGTAAATGTTCAGAAAGACGAAGTCATGAATGTTGCCCAGATTTCTGGCTAGGACTATTGGGTAAATAAGTAGTTTCATTCACTGAGCCATGAAATACAGATAGAGAAGCTGTTTGGTGCAGATGATGAGTTAAGTTTTGGGTATGGTTATTTTCAGGTGCCCATTCAACATTCAGATATATATATTAAGTAGAGAGTTTTGGATCTCAGAGTAAAGAACTGTGTTAGGGACTCATAATATTATGGAGTCTTCTGTTTATAATTGAACTCAGGGAGTATATTAGATTGTCTAAGGCAAAGTGAGACAGAAAGAGGAACGAGGAGCCAACTTTTAAGGGCCAGCTATAAGATAATGAGACTGCAAAGGAGAATAAGAAAAAAGTAGCTAGAGGACCAGGAGGAGAACCAGGAATGTGTGGCTGTTCAGAAGCCAAGGGAGTGTTCATGAGCGAGTAGTCAATTCTGTAAAATGTCATAGAGCTATGTAGTGTAATGAAAACAAAAACTATTAACTGGAGAAATATAAAGGTTTTTGGTAATCATAAAGTAAGCCATTTTGTGGAAACATTAATGGTGGAGCTGTAGGAACAAACTGGAGTGGTTTAACAAGTAAATAGATTGGTGTAGGCAATTATTATTTAAAGATGACCCTAAAGGCACAGGCAACAAAAGCAAAAACAGACAAATGAGATTGCATAAAAATTGAAAGATTATACACAGCAAAGGAAATAATCAGCAGAGTAAAGAGACAACTTATAGAATGGGAGAAAATACTCGCAAAGCATATAGCTCATAAAGGGTTACTATTCAAAATACATAAGGAACTGAAACACCTCAATAACAAGGAAACAGCCAAGTTAAAAAATGAACAAAGTATCTGAATAGGCATTTTTCTAAAGAAGACATACAAATGGCTGATGGGTATATTTAAACATAAAAAACTACATCACTAATCATCAGGGAAATGCAAATCAAAACCACAATGGGATATCACATCATACCTGTTAGAACAGCTATTATCACAAAAATCAAAAGATAATAAGTATTACTGAAAATGTAGATAAAAGAGAACCCTTACGCACTTTTGATGTGAAAGTAAATTGATACGAACATTATATAGACAACGGTACTGAGGTTGCTCAAAAATTAAAACTAGAACTACCATATGACCTAGCAATCCCATCTCTGGGTATATATCCAAAGGAAGTAAATTAGTATGTCAAAGCGATATCTTCATTTCTTTTCATAGCAACATTATTCACATTAGCCAAGATATAGAAAAAACCTGTGTCTGTTGACAGAGAAATTGATAAAGAAAATGTGAACTGTCTCTATCACTCTCTATCTCTGTCTATCTCTATCTCTATCTTTAATCTCTCTATCTCTATCTCCATCTCTATATCCAGATGGCCCTCCATACTCACAGGTTTCGCATCTGCCGCTTTGACCAGTCACAGATCAAAATCTGCCCACAGGGAAACCTAACTGTATGTATTTTTCATCGAAGGTTAGTTGAATCTGTGGGTGCAAAATCTGAGGATATGAAGAGCCGATATTGCTGTGCTATTTTATATAAGGCCCTTGAACATTCACAGATTTTGTTATCTTCAGGGATCCTGGAACCAATCATCTGAGAAAACAGAGGGCCAACTGTATGTAAAATGAAGTATTATTCAGCCTCAAACAAAGAAGAAAATCCTGCTGTTTGGAACAACATACATGAACCTGAAGGACATTATGCTAAGTTACATAAACCAAACACAGAAAATCAAATACTACTTTATAACATACTTGAAATTTGCTAAGAAAGTAGATTTTAAGTTTCTCACCACACACACAAAAGGTAACTGTATTAGGTGATGGATATGTTAATTAATTTGACTGTGGCAATTATTTCACAATGTATATATATATACATGTAAAAGAACATCACATTTTACACCTTAAATAGATACAATTTTCCTTTAAAAATTAAAATTAAAATAATAATGAAGTGGATAGATCATGAGGTAATGAAGAGAGCAAGTAGAGGTGACTCACTTGAGACATTTGCTTCTGAAAGTAAGAAAAAACATAAAGAATTAGTTGAAGAGGGAAACCTGCAGTGAAATTGTTTACCTCTATTTTTAATAACTTTCTTTTTTACCTAATTATTAGTATTGGTATGAGGCTGACACCAGATCCTGAAGTCTCTTGAACGCCATCTTTGAGTTTGGGATTTTTTTTTTTCTTTTAAGCAATATGGTACCATTGGAACTGGCATAAACAGATCTAGATTTTAGTGCTAGTAACAGAGATTCTAAGGGTGAGATTAACAAACAGAGATAAACAAGGTGACTATTATAACAGTACAGCTAGGAGATAAATGTCTAAAGGCAGTAGCAGTGGACTTTCAAATATTAAAACGTTGCAATTAACAGAGTACAGCTACAAGGATAAGGAAAATCCTAAGGATGACACAGATATATTAATCCTGAGTAAATGGATAGATGATGGTGTCACATAAGGCACTGAGGAATACAAGAGGGACAAGCTTGTGGGTACAGTGATGGTTTAATTTGGATACATTTTACATGTGAAATGCCACAATAGAAATGTGTAAGGCTGGGTGTGGTGGCTCACACCTGTAATCCTACCACTTTAGGAGACTGAGGTGGGCGGATCACTTGAGGTCTGGAGTTTGAGACCAGCCTGGCCAACATGGTGAAACCCCATCTCTACTAAAAATACAAACATTAGCCGGGTGTGGTGGTGGGCACCTGTAGTCCCAGCTACTCAGGAGGCTGAGGCAGGAGAGTTGCTTGAACTTGGGAGGCAGAGGTTGCAGCAAGTCAAGATCACGCCATTGCACTCCAGCCTGGTCAACAGAGCAAGACCCCATCAGGAAGGAAGGGAAGGAAGGGAAGGAAGGGAAGGAAGGGAAGGAAGGGAAGGAAGGGAAGGAGGGAAGGAGGGAAGAAGGGAAGAAAGGAAAAAAGAAATGTGTAGTAGATGTATGGGAAATGGGGAGAGAGGATTAGGTAAAGTGAAAAATAACTGCACTTAAGGTGTTTCATTGCACAGAGGCTTGGTGTAAACTCTCAAAAAGAAAGTTTTAATTTTAAAGCTATATGTGTGTTTTTATTTTCCTAGACTGAATATATGTATATATATATAAAATATATGATACATAAAATATGTATTATGTATATAAAATGTGTGTGCATGTGTGTGTATGTGTGTGTGTAGAATATATATAATCATAAAAGATACAGATTCACTAATTTAAAAGGATTCCCATCTCTAGGAAACCGTGTGTACCAAGAGTTCTACAAAATAGAATAATAAATAATTCAATAAAATCCCAGGGGATACTTCAGGGGAAAAATAACTTTTTTTGTGTGGGTGTGCCTGAAGAAATCGGCACATTTAGGTTGACAACTTTAAATGATATATTTTTGTTTTCACAGAAAAATAAACAACGCTTTCCCGTGGTTTATTATTAATATGGTTGCTCATATAGGTTTGAAAATTACTCATCAAGATACATAATCATGTTGAATACGCAGTACCCTACGTTTATCCCGATAGTTTGGGGTTGGTTGCCCTTTGTGGAGCACTGGAATGTGCAAGCCTTTGAAATCAATTTCATCTTGTTCTGTTAGGAAGAAGGAGCTTGTTAAAACTTTACATGAAATATTGGGAAAATACTATATCAAATTTGTCTATTGAGTCAGAGTGAAATATTAGTGTGCGTATGCATTGTATTTGAACTGCCACCTTACATCAAGGGATTCTAACTTGGAAACTTCATTCTTTGTATGCTTTCTCCCCAGTTTTGACATCCGGTCCAGACACAACTTAATATATACCTATTTTTCTCAGTGATATGGTAGGCATGAAACTTTCCTCCGCTTACAAATATTTTTTAAGTTTCTTAGTTATTTTGAAATAAGGATATTTGTTAAATATATTAGATTGTCAAAAGATTCTGCTATAGTTGTAGTGCATTAACTCCAGGCAATAACTTATATGGTATGAGAAGGACAGTAGCATTTATTAGGGTAGAATATGACTGGAAACATACTTCTACTGATGTCAACCAAACTGTCTCCATGTGCGTGATGTTTAATATTGAGTGTCAACTTGATTGGATTAAAGGATGCAAAGTATTGTTCCTGGGTGTGCCTGTTGGGGTGTTGCCAAAGGAGATTAACATTTGAGTCAGTGGACTGGGAGAGGTGGGCACCATTTAATCAGTGGCCAGCACGGCTAGGATAAAAGCAGGCAGACGAACGTGGAAAGACCAGACTGGCTAAGTCTTCCGGCCTCCATCTTTCTCTCATGTTGGGTGCTTCCTGCCCTCCAACATCAGACTCCAAGTTCTTCAGCTTTTGGACTCTTGAACTTACACCAGTGGTTTGCCAGGGGTTCTCAGGCCCTCAGTCACAGACTTACTTTTGAGGTTTGGGAACTCGGAGTGGCTTCCTTGCTCCTCAGCTTGCAGATGGCCTATTGTGGGACTTCACCTTGTCACTGTGTGAGTCAATACTCCTTAATAAACTCCCCTTCATATACACATCTATCCTATTAGTTCTGTCCCTCTAGGAATCCCTGACTAATACATTGTGTGACCTTGAGAAAGTTACTGAAGCTCTCTAAGACATAAGCTGTCTCTATACAATGACAACCTGGAGTTATTTGGGAACATCCAGACAATGATCCACATTCAGAAACTCTTGCATTACCTTCCTATCCTGGGGTTAAGTTCCCCTGCTCCATCTTCCCAGATCAGTTTGAGGAAGTCTATCACTGTCTTTACTATAAAATTTTGAAAGATTCTGTGCATAGGCCTGTATCATGAGGTTTTTTGCCATGTCTATTCATCTGTCCCTCATCTCTGCATGGAAAAGTACTTGGAATTATAGTAAGTGCTCAGTAAACCTTTATTACACTTAACTGAATATTTTCCTGTTTTCTAATTAATTATCTAATCTTGTGAAGTATTATCCACTGTTATTTACAGCTTTACCAGCAAAGAAGACATACTGTTATGTATCCATTTTAAACATCAACTGCTCTAAAAGGTCAGAAAAGTTCTCAAGCTATCAGAATATTGTTGCTGAATTACAAAATGCCAATTCAATTTTCAATAAAAAGACCCTATTATTGTCCTGTTCATTCATTCTGGCTGATTATATAGGGTAAGTCATACCATGCATAATGAATTTGGTTTTTGATGCAAAAGATATAAGTGATAGGAAGAGAAGCTACAGGCCCTTCAGCCTCAAGACAATCAGAAATCCAATCCCAATTTTAGAGTTGATGAGTTACAAATTGAAATATACTTGCATATACAAATAAGTATAGACAGAATATCGCTTTGACCTAATATCCTTAGGTCAAAGAGAAAGCAGGAAATCTTCAAAAATAAGCACATTCCCTAGAGCAGTTTGACATGGGTAAACATAGACTATTGGTGCAGCATGTTGAAATAGGAAAAATAATCAATTATTCAAATTAATTTTGTCAATAATTCAGCAAGAATATATTCTGGATATGGCAAAATGCTTGGTGAGCTATACAATACTATATAGAGTGCTTGGTGAGCTATACAATACTATATAGAGTGCTTGGTGAGCTATACAATACTGTAACAAATTTAGTACCTAACCTCACAAAGCTCATCACCTAGGAAGACAAAGACATGAATTCACATCACTATAATATCAAACAGGCTATAATGGGTGCTAGAGCAGAGGTTCAAAATACTATAGAAACAGACACAGATAGAGGGGGAAACTCATTTTGACCAAGGATTGAGAAAGAATTGGCAAAGAAAGAAACATTTAACCTTGATATTATCCTGAAGAACAAGTAGTTTTTTGACAAGAAGACATGAGGAGAATGGTAAAAGCATAGCTCAGAAGTGGGAAGAAGGACTTTGGAAAATTGCAAGCAGTCAACTTATGTGGAGCTGAAACACAGTGTATTAGTCTGTTGTCACAGTGCTATAAAGAACTGCCTGAGACTGGGTAATTTATGAAGACAAGAGGTTTAACTGAGTCACAGTTTCACAGGCCCTACAGGAAGCATGGCTGGGAGGTGTCAGGAAATTTACAATCATGGTGGAATGGCAAAGGGGAAGCCACCACATCTTCACATGGTGGCAGGAGAGAGATGAAGGAAGGGAGAAGTGCTACATGCTTTTAAACAACCAGATCTCTTGAGAACTCACTCAGTATCACGCGAACAGCAAGGGGGAAATTTGCCCCCATAATCCAATCATCTCCCACCAAGTCCCTCACCTAATATAGGGGATTACAATTCAACATGAGATTTGAGTGTGGACACAGAGCCAAACTGTATCACACAGTGTACTGAATATACTTGTTGCTTATTGTTTATTGTTTTGGTTTGCCATAATCTCTTGCCTCTTTCTTCTAGTAATGACATCCTCAGTATCTCTGGAGTTGATATTCCACTTTCCTTTCATGTAGTTCACTTGGAAGTGAACTGACTCCAGTGGTAGGACATAAAACCTAGGCCTGGCCAATGAATTCACAGAACCCCCTTAGTCACAGGGACTGATTTAGAAGTGGACGTAAGACCTCAGCTTGTCCAATCAGAGTGAATGTGTGGACTTGTACAGAATGTACTGGGAATTTATATACTCTCTTTCCCACTGCCCTTACAGGTGGGAAGTCATAAGCCTGTAGATTCTTCGGGTAACTATGTGGAGCCTAAGAATGAAGACAACACAGGTGAGGACATAGCTAAGAATGGAAATGAATCAAGACAGGATAACATTGGGATCAAGAACTCCTAGGGATCAAGTCTCTTCCAGGGACTTTTACATATAAGCTAAAAAATTCTCTTTATTTAAAGTAGGTGTTCTGTCACTTGTATCTAAGGGGTCTTGCCCAATGGAGAATAAGATGATGAATGAGAGAAAAAAGTATGGAAAATTATGGCATAACTTACGTCAGAAACGTGTTACATGGGTCTCATTTTTATCGCAGTCCCCAAACATACAGGCTGCTTTACAGAAGATTCAAATACTGCTGATAGGCAAGTAATCAAGGTCTGAAAGTTATGGAAATATCTTCAGCAGTTTCTTGCCCTTCTAGTGGGGTTCCTCATTTTTCCCATCTTTTTAGAAGCCAAATAACAAGCAGCCATTCTCCCGGATCCAAAGTACCCCACTAATTCACTTCAAAAAATACAGCACAACTGGTACCACAATCATCCAGAATCTGTACCAGGATATAATTTGCAAGAACAGTTTTGAATATAATTTTCTATATTAGGAAATTGTATCATTTTATAGTCATGCACAGAACTTTGTGACCTTGCTAAAAATATGCTGCCCCTAGTTATGTTAAAAATATAAAAGGTCTTAAAAAGAAAAGTGAGGTTCATGGAAATGATGAAAAGTTCCTTCTAGCAGAGAATTGCAAGAGCCTTTATAATGTTAATAGCAATAATCCTCACTTATTTTATAATATTTCATTGATTATCTTTTAAAACATTAACTGAATGCCTGCTGTGCTAGATATTTAGAAGATATAAGTGAATCTGTTGTTTCAGCCCTCAAGGAACTCAGAATTATGGTAGGAATAGATAAGACTATTTTTCTTTCCTTTCTTCATTCATTCAAAATGTATTTTATATATCAGGCACTGATAGGTACTGTAGGTTGAGCAAGAGAAAATGACAAAGGCAGAAATCTGGCCCGAATTGGGTTGGCTATGCATTGATAAAATGCTGGGTAAAGAGCAGAATAAAGTGATATATTCACTGGTATGTAATAGCCAAGGCAGAGGCAAATCAAATGATGTTAGATCTAGAAGAATAGACTCCACACTGTTTGGGGTTGTTGCTCTCTTGGCCAGTGACTCTGACAAGGAGATTTTTTAAATTAAACTTTCTATTTTGGAATAATAGATTCACAAGAAGGAGTAAAGATAGGACAGACAGGTCTTCTGTACTCTTCACTAAATTTGTCCAACTAGTTACATTTTATGTAACTGTAATAAACCATGTAATTGATATTGATACAATGTGTGAGTACAGTTCTATGTTAGTTGATCACATATGTAGATAGGTATAACTACCTCCTCAGTTAAGATATAAACTATTTCATCACTGTAAAGGTCTCCCTCAAGCCACCTCTTTATAGTCACAACCACGACCCCCTGTCCCCACCATCTCTAACCACTGCCAACAACTAATATGTTTTCCATCTCCGTGGTTTCTGACAAGTTTCTAACTCTATGTATGGGAGTGATGCCCTTTGAGTCCAGTGGTGAATCCATGTATCATTGTCCTCAATTTCTGACTCTGAAGGAATGTAGCAGAGCCTGTGCTTTTAGTGTGTAGTTACAACAAAACTTAACAATAGAAACAAAAGAGAGGAGGACGCCAGTGGATTCTGAATTTTTCATGTTGGTAGTGTTGTTTAAATATTTGAATTTTTGATAATCATTCAAAATAGTTTAATATTATGAGTAAGGCATGTTGATTTTTTAAAATAATTGTGGAATAATTATCTCTGTATTATTCATTAATCAGAGTCTATGAAGAAGTTACTCAATTCTCAGAATTGCAAGAGATAGTTTTCGTATTGTGAATCATCACTTTGGGGAACCCCATTAATGTAACAATGTAAGTTTGTTTTTTAACCAATATTCTTCATGGTCGATTATCTTGGTCACACATGTATATTCCTTATGGGGTTTTTAGTAAGACAGAAGAAAATTCTGGCAACTCCTCAAAACGAAATGTTTCAATCTTCAGGATACAGTTCTCCTAGGGAAAACCATTGTCTTAGACATCTGCTGAGTAACTAATTTAATCATTTGTGTACATGGATATTTGGTCTATATAGGGGAAATATTTCTGTGCCAGAAAAAGCACATGTTAAACATAAAATAAATCATTATGAACTGGATTAATAGATGTATAGAGAAAGGGATTGAGAATCTGCCATTGGTAATATTTGGAGACAGGTGCGGGGTATTCAAACCCTAATTTCTCATGAATGAGGAATGAACATCTGCTCAGAATAGCAATGGCGGGAAATATGCACATATATATATATATGTATCCATATATATATATATACACACATGGCCATCTATGTGCTAGTTAACATTTCACTACTCTTCATTGAGCAGTATTCTACAACAAACTCTCCATTCTGGTGGTGCATTGTGACCACCATTGGAGCGTATTTAAAATACTGCTTTCTGTTTCATACCTCAAGAGTGATGCATCAGAAAATCCAAGAATTGTGTTCTAGAATATACACTGTTGGAAAACTCTTCCACTGATTCCAATATGTAGCCAAGTTCAGAAACCAGTGTTCTACATGCTATGTAATAGAAAATATCCAAAATTAAATTTACCAGTGCTCTCCTTGCTTCTCAGTGAATGAGCCATTTAACTTATTCCACCTATTAATTTTCTCCCTATTAATTTAAAACCCATTAATTTAAATCCTATTAATTTTCTCCCTCTCTCTAGTCTTGTACTCTTCCATTCTATCATTCACAATTTTATGATGCAGCTACACATTACATCCCAACATCCATCCATAGATGGGTGGGCCTCAGAGGAACCTAGTCTGGAGGACAACAGATAGCATCTGTTCTAATCCTGATGATAGAAAATATTATTTTGGGGACCCTAGAAGGAAGAAGAAGCAAATGTGATGAGGCAGATGGCAGAGAAAAACATAGTGTGTTGCGGGAGAAAAGGCAGGAATGATGAAGAAATGTGCCAAACTGGGTATTTGATTTTATGTCTACTTTTCCCATGAAATATTTCCTTGCAATGTGTGATAATATTTGGGTTATATATAAGTCTGACCTTGTCATCCCCTTACTTAAAATGCCTTGTAACTCCATCCTCTATACTGACTTAGCTCCTTTGCATGGTATTTTATGTGCTGTCTGACTTGGCTCCTCCCTACATCCCCTTTTACCTATTCACTTGCTTTTATGCTTTATGTTTTAGTAATGTTGTGTTTCTCTTGTGATTTGATCAATATGTTGTCTTTCCATGCTCTCTGCCTTGGCAAATCTTGTTTCTTCTTCTTGAACAATTCCTATTATTCCTTCAAGTATTCAGCTCAGATGCTATCTCCTCTCAGAAATTGTCCCCAAACACCCTAATCCTTAGACATATTTAACCACTTCCTCTTCTCTGTTTCTTCTGTAAATCGTAGATCTGTCTAGCATTAAAATTGATTATTAAATTTTAGTTATTTATGTGCTTATATTCCTACTATATGGTGAGATCCTTGAAGATATGGCCCCCTTGATATTTCTCATATCATAAAATATTTTTTAAAAATATTACATTTAAATACAATTACTGACAAATATTTTATGTGACTATTTCCTGGTTTATGGGATTTTAGGATGGGTAATATATTCTTTTTTATAAATAATATCATGAAGCACAACTTTATATATAAATTTTGTACTGTATCAATGTATATTTCTTCTTGGAAAATTTCTAGAATTTGAATTGATATATCAATAATTGTGCCTCATAGGCCTTTTAATTCTTATTGTCAAATAGTTTTAAAGAAAAATTGTAAATTTTAAAGCTTCTCCAGCTGTATGTTATGTCTCTTCACATTCACTGATATTCATACGCCCTCTTCTCTTTTATGTTAATACATCGATCCTTGGTAAAATCATGTTGTACTCTACCATTAAATATAATTTGTAGCTGATGCCCCATAAATCTGTGGCAGGCCCTGACTTTCCTATAGAACTCAAGACTCATATATTAAACTGCCTGTTTGGTATCCCCACAGTTTATCAAAAGGTATCTCAAATTTAATAAAGTCAAAAAGGAATTGTTGATTCTGCCATCAACAAATTTGTTCTTTCCTAGTCTTCTTCATCTCAGCGTATGTCATCTCTTCACACCAAGCATCACAAAATCTATGAGTTATCTTTGATTTCCCTCTTATTTCCTCAGACCCCTCAATCTTCACTATGTGCTGCAGATGTCATCTCCAAAATCTATCTGAAATTTGTCCGCTGATCTCCATCTTTCCTGCTACCATCATAGTCACAGCCATCATCTTCTCTCAGTTGGATTACTGTTGTAACCTCCCAACTGGTGTCCTTGCCTCCCATCTTACCCCTTCTTACAAACAATTTTCCAAACAACAGCCAGAATAATCTTTTTGAAAATTCAGCTCAGATGATATCACTCCCCTACTTAAAACTTGAAGGATATTCCCACAGCACCTTGAATAAAATCCAACTTCTTACCCTATCTTAAACCTACATAATCTGAACATGTCAACATTCCAAGCTCATGTCTTGTCATTCTCTCACTTGACCAATGGGATCCATCTGCACCTTCTATGCAAAGTTTACTCCCATTTAGGGTTGTCTACTAGCTATTCCCTCTAGCTGGAATACTCTCTGTATCTTTACAAGATTGACATGTTATTCAGATTCTCAACTAAATAACAGTTCAGAGGCCTTCCCTAACCACTCATGTTAAGAAGTCATCTAGTTATAGTGATATCCTACTTTAACTCTTTGCATAGCACTTATATATATCGGATACTTTCCTTATTTTCTTGTTTTGTTTGTCTATGTTCTCCCCACTGAAAATAATTTCCATGGAATCATTGCTTTTACATGCCTTTTTCTATAGGCATTCCTGAAATTTCAAAATGTAAACATCTGACACACAGCAGATGTCTGATCAATATTTTTGATTAAGCGTGCTTTTTAAAACCTGTCTCAATTAGATGAATGATGTCTAATTGTTTTCATTTGCATTACTGTGTTTTCTACCAAGACGGAACACTTTTTATATACTTAGTAGACATTTATAGTTCTGTCACTATTCTATCTTCTAGTGAAATAACTGTTTCATGTCCTTTGCCTTTTTTTCCCATTATAAGGTAACAGAGCTTTTATTTGTAAGTAAATATTAAAGATATTTACTATTTGTCAAATTCATTGCTTACATTTTACTAGTTTGTTGTTTAATTTCGTTATTGTTTTTGGGCACATGAATGATTTAATTCTCATGTAGTCATGTATTGATTTTATCCTTTGCCACTTATTCTATATATTTGAAATTATATTCCATATTATATTTTGACAGTCCAGAGAACTGATAGTCACGAATGTCTTCTTTTAGTTTTAAATGATTTGATTTTCTACATTACATTATTTGACCTACCTGAAATTAATTATATTATAAAATATAAGGATCTATGTTTATGTATTGAAATGGTATATTTTATTTCTAATTGAATAGTCATTCTATTATCTACTAATTTATAATATAATATTTTTCATGAACAATTCACACACACTCTATAAGTGTGTGTGTGTGTGTGTGTAGTAGTAGTGGCAGTGGTGGTGGTGGTGGTCATAGCAATTGTTGTAATAGTATTAACAGTGATGTGCATGGACTCTGGAGTTAGTAAACTGGATAGGATTGCTAGGTCAACCAATTAATAGCCATGCAACTTTGGACATGTTCCCTAAATTCTTTGCGCCGTAGTTCTTTGTGTATAAAATGAGACTAATAATAGTACCGGATTATAACGATATTTGTGAATTAATAAAGAGAGCACATGTATGGCAGAGCCTGCTAGCTGTACATCAAAATATACCCTCTCCTTCTCCCAGACAACAGTTAGACTACATTTTCCTAGTTGCCCATTCAGTTAGGTTTGGCCATAGGACTAAGCTCTTTTTCTGACTTATAAATAACAGATTAAAAAGAAGTGGATGTGATATATAAAACTTTCTGGTCTGGTCTATATAAACGTCCTCCATCCTCTTCATTTTCTTTCCCCCTGTGGTTGATTGTGTTGTTGGTAGCCATAGGAACCTTAGAATTCACCTTCATCATCTTTCAAAAAGAATATTTGACAGACTGAGCTCTGGTATGGCTACATAGACTAGAGCAACCACTGAACTGGAACCTCTAACCAAGATTGTTATACAAACACGATGTAAACTATTCTTTTGAGTCATTACATGCCCAGGTCTATTTGCTACAATAGCCTGACTAGCCTTAATATCATATACAAAATTATAAACAGAGTAACTAATTAGTACATAGTAAGAGCTTAAACAGAGTAGATATATAGCCAGATGTGGAATACACAAGTGCAGGTAAAGATGAGGTATCAAATAGTAGTTGCTTGCCCTTATGTTCTGTTTCACTACCTTGTCAATTCTTGTGGCAATATCACAACATTTTGAATACTGTAAACTATGTTGTATGCCCTAAAAGCTTGTAGTTCAAGTGCCACTTCATTACTCTTATTTTGATAGATATCTTGGGCTGTTTTTCCACATGGATTTTAGAATCATTTGGTCAAATTAAAATAATTGCAAGGAATGTTTGATTGTATTCTTATTAAACTAATAAATTGAAGATAAATTATGTATTTTACATTATTCATTTCCTAGTGTAACAATTCTTTTAAATAAATAAAATAAATGCATGCTCATTTCTGTTTCTGTAATTGCTGAGAATAAGATTATTTTCTTCTACTATATGTTCTAAAAGATTATTGTCTATATAAAATTACAATCTCTGAAGACAGTGTAATTCTGTATGAGCAAAAACTGATATATAGTTTATATATAAGTATGTTTATATCCATGTATGTATATTAGGTTCTTACAAAAGTAATTGCAGTTGTTGCCATTGAAAGTAAGGGCAAAAAATGCAATTACTTTTACACCAACCTAATATATGTCTGTGTATATTCATGCGTATATATATATATATATATATATATATATATATATATATATATACACATATCCATGTTGTTATAGATATATGTGTGTGTGTGAACAGATATATGTAGGGATGTGTTTGTGTTTACTACATGACCACTTTAATAATATTCTATTAATTATATTAATTTCTACATTATTTATTTTTAGTTCATTATCTTGACATCTATAGTTATATGATCTTTCAGTATTTCATTTATTTTCCTATATGTCTGAATTCTTTCCTTCAATGTCCAAAATCTATCAAATAATACTACATTATAGAATTGATAGGAAATACTGTTCTATTTATCCTGACGTAAATGCTTCTTGGTTTCAAAATGATGCTGGCTTTCTGTTTGATCACACATTTTTATCTTATTAGTAATGGATTTATATTTTCCAGGTTTCTATTTATAATTTGACACCAGGAGTATTCTCTAGTTTTAGTTTTTTTGTAGTTGGTTTAAAAGAATTTGGTATCTAGCTTGTGTTACCTTTTTAAAGAAAATTGATACATTTTATGCATATATATATAAATTTTTTTTTACTTAGGACATATAATAGACCAGAGCACAAATTAACTGTTCTAGAATTTTTTGGTGTATTTTTTTTGATAAGTTTAAACTTTCTTTCATAGTTATTTATATACTAGTATCTTCTTTCTTTTAAGCACTGTTAGTCATTTATATTTTCTGAGAAAAATTTTCATTTTAATTAGATTTTATAATTTGTAAACATATAATTGAACAAAGCAATCTATTTTTGTCTTGGTTTTGGCTGGTATAACAAAATACCATAGGCTGTGTACCTTATCAAAAACATAAATTTACTTCTCACAGTTCTGAAGAATTTATTTTCTTACAGTTCTTACAATGTTGTGGGATCTTGAAGTCCAAGATCAATGCCCCAACAAACCTGATGTCCGGTGTCAGGCGTCTGATATTTGTTGTCTAGTTTTCTGGTTTACAGATGAGTCCTTCTACCTGTGTCCTCATTTGATGGAAAGACAATGAATCTCTCTGGGGTTTCATTTATAAGGGTACTAATTCCATTAATTAGGGCACTGCTCTCATCACCTAATCACCTCCTAAAGGTCCTGCCTCCTAATATCATCATCTTGGGGATTAGGATATCAAAATATAAATTTTTGAGGGGGGAGGGCACACACATTTAGACCCTAGCAATCTCTGTCATTCTCTCTCCCTCCACTGGTCTCTCTCTCTCCACATTTTCATATCTGTTGCTATAAACCCTAGCAGCCAGTTTACATGTATTTTATATCCTTTGTCTTCATTATTTTACTTTATCCCCCTCCATCCCAAATTACTTGCCTCGTTTATTTATGAGTTAATTTTTGAATGATTTCCTCCTGTCTGTTTCAGTATGTTTCATTTATTCTCTCAAAATGTTTGAGAAAATGATTTGGGGAAGCCTAGTTACTACTTTTTCACCTCTCTAGCTGGTAAGCCATTGAGAAAAAAATGTAAATATTAAAATGCAGATGAAATCACAATATAACAACTTGAATGTAGTTGAAAGTTTATTGTACAATATACCAGAATCTCCTGTCCCAGTCCTGATATGCACTTACATTTCCAGACACATGCGCACACAAAAGGTGGACGGTGGCTGACTTGGAGAGTGTGGGCCAACTCTTGTAGTAGGCTTACATCATCACTTAATAGCTATGAAGTCAAATACTTTTTTATTTTATTGAGGCAATCCATGTCTATTGTGAGACAGAAGGAGTGGTAGACATTTCCATGATACTTGACTTTTTCCTAATGACTCCAACACTAATTAACATGGCCCACTGGCTACTAGGACCTCCCTGTTTTTTTACCAAACAGACACATGCCTCTTCCTCTGGTGAGGAGAAGTAGCCTCTGTACTTTAGAGAGGTACCAGAAGGGTTGACTCCAATACTTCACATTTCTGGGAAATGCTGTGGGCTCTGGAGTCTGACTACATGTCAGCTTAGAGCTGTGTCTGTCCTGAAAATCCCATCCAGTAGAAGGGAGCTTGACCCACTCCACCGGGCAGGTCAAACCCAATATTGGGTGGATGCAAGGGTATATAGTTCCTGCTAACTTGCCTAAATTCGGGACAAATGTAGAAGATTGTCCCAGCTCCTGACCTTCCTGTGGCATGGACTGTAGCAGAGACCTCTGTGGTAACTGTGGCAGTTCAACTTTATCTGCCCAATCTTTTAAAAACTTTTCACTACTTTACAGGTGTTGTTACTGAGAATTCTTCCCAATCAACTTCCTTCATGGGTACCTCTGTCACAGAGTCTGTTTGCAGGGGAACAACATAAGACAGATGCACACTGGAAATACTCAGGAGCTTTTTAGTGACACTTGACCCCAACCTCAGAGATTATGATTTAATTGGTCTAAGAAGAAGCCTAAGCATCTTAAACACTCCCTAGATAATTCTAATGTGCAGCTAGGAATGAAAACCACTGTCTTAACCCATTGAGCTTAATAATGAAGCATATGGTGTGGCCATTACCTTTGGAAGAGTAAACTAGTAATATATCAGGGCAGTACTGCTCCACCTAATCTCCATAAGGCAGCACGTACTTGCAGCCCCTGTATGAACCACTACTATTTTATCTATTTTCTATGATGAGCTATGAGCTATGAAGACAGTACAATTTTTTTCTCAGAAGACTGTAAAGTGGCTCAGAAGAAGACACTAATACAATTAACTTCAAGGCTGCATTATACCCTAGGCAGAGTACTTTATCATTATTGAATTTTCCATCTCAAATTATGCCCATCTTTATTGTTCAGTATAGCACACCAGAGATTATGCAATTAGCCCAAATAATTACAACATGAACAATGCCCCAAATTTGAACACTCTGTACGAAACTCCTTCAATTATTAATTTTCCAGGAAGAAATTAGAGAAGAAAAATGAAATCTTATCAAATTAAAAATCCGAAGAAATAAAAGATAAAAATGTTTGCCCTTCCAAATTGATATTTTTGTAGGTCACAAATAGAGTGATCTACTGCAAAAGCCTGTGTAAAGCTGGGTTTTCTTCTTCAATATCTATGGCCAATTTACTCTTGAAATAAGTCCCTTAACACCATCCCAAAAGCCAAAATAATCCAGCACTCTATCTCTCGTTTGTCTCACTTTCACACGGCATCAGAGTGCCAGGCCCACATTCAGAAAATTTAGAAATCAGGAATATAAATCTAGCTACAGAGATGTTCTCCTGATAAACATTATATTCCCAGAAACTGGTACTTTGTAAAAGTCCCCAATATTTTTAGCAACCAGACAATAGCAGACACAGTTGTTGTAAAACAAGTACACAGCAAAAAGAAAAAGCATGAGACATGAAAGGTGTTATGTACTTTTTAATTTTTATGTTTAAAAAAAATTGCTGATAAGCTTGAATATTTTCTTCATATGTTAATCATCTGAAATAATTATGTGATTGCCCAAGACTTGAAGTACATAATTTACACTTAGAGTGTACTTAGGTTCCTTATAAATCTACGGAAATGAAAAACCTTGCCAATTGTTTGGCTGGTGATGTAGAAAATAGTACTAGATTTCAATATGAAATTAACCTGCTTCAAAAATTTTCTATAAGGCAAAAAAGAATGGTGGTATTGACTAGCCCAGAAGCCTTTTTTATTATATACAATAAGAAAAATTAAATACAAATATGCTAAAACAAAATTGCATGCACTTTTTATAAAGACTTGAATATCCTCAAATACATATATGCTTTCAATGCAAATAGTCAAGGTCTACTGCTCACTCGCTACTAATAATGAAGTAGGGCACATAGTCATCAGTTGCTTCTGCTTTTTTGTGTGTAATTGATTCTCTTCTCTGCCTTGCTCAACCTCGTTCTATTCTTATATAAATCTTCTTGTCTTTTGTGCCTTCTCCAGACATTTTCAGCTGAAGCTCTCCTGAAAACAATCTCCTCAGACAGGAAACGTTAGAAAAAAACTGAACCTAACAAATAAGTAGGATTTGAAATTTGTTTTACTCTTATATGTCATCATCTAATTTTTCCAGAAAAGACCCTAGGCAATTTTGGATACACTGAGCATTAGCTTTCCCTTGTCCTACCCAAGCTAATTTGGTATCAATTCCTACCTTATTTCCTGAAAGTCAGCCCGATTCCCTGTGGGTTACAGATGGGATTCCTATGACTGTGCCTTATGTAACAATTTGAAACTTCTTGGCTACAACTAACTCCAAGGTACCACACTCAAACAGACAATATACTTTTGGCTAGCTCAACCAGTGAGATTCCATAGCCTCGGTTCAGATTTAGAAGTTGATTACTGCTACTATAAAATAGATCTTCCTGCCTTGTAAAACATACACACGCACATACACACACATTAATCTTGATTTTTATGCAATGATGCTTTTTCTTTATGAATGGCTGAATAGGGAAAAAGTTTTGATGAGAGAGATTTATATGAAGGGGTATAAGCAGTGTAGATTTATTTCAATATTTTGAGTGACTGTATACTATCCCATTATGTGCATATTTATAAGTTATTTAACCATTCTATTAATGGTCATTTACCTTGTTTTCAGTTTTTTACGAACAATATTGAAATGAACATCCTGTTACTTATACCTTTATTATATCTCAGTTGGAAGGCCGAAGACATGTACAAACATAAATAGGAATAGAAACACAAATGTGTATATAAATATAAGTATAAATCACCAGATTGCTTTCTAAATGGTTTGTAATCCTTTACATCTTTACCATCACTGGGTATTTTTCGAAAAAAATATTATCTGTCTAATGGGTGTGTAATGGTATCTAGTTGTTACTTTAATTTAGATTTCCTAATTACAAGGATAATTTGATTATTTCTCATGTATCTACTGGCGATTTGAATTTACTTTTTTTGTGAATTGTCATTAATAATTTTTGTCCATTTTCCTCTTGGATTGTTTATCTTTTACATATCAGTTTGTAAGATTTCTCTGTATATTCTACTGTTACACATATTTATTTCCATTTTTTTTAAATTTTTGTGGGTACGTAGTAGGTGTACATATTTATGGGGTAAATGAGATGTTTTGATACAGGCAGTGTGAAATAATCATATCATAGGAAATGGAGTATCCATCTTGTCAAGCATTTATTCATTGAGTTGCAAACAAATCAATTCCACTCTTTAAGTTATTTTAAAATGTACAATTAAGTTGTTATTTACTTTAGTCACCTCATTGTACTATCTAATAATAGGTCTTATTTATTCTTGAGAGCTTGTTTGGAGGTTCTAGCAAGGGAGTACAGCTACTCGTATATGTTTGACCAAAGACTGGTACTCCTCTGTTGGGGATGGTCGTTCTCTTCGACCAAGTTTGCAGCTCTGGGAGAGATGCATATGGAGTGGTGAGGGAGGAAGGGAACTCCCACCCAGCCAACCAGATCAACTGAATAAACCCTGATGATCAATGGGGTGACAGATGTTGCAGCCAGGTCACCCTCACATCCTATTCATTCGCTCTATTTTTTTACACCCATTAAACATCCCCACCTTCCCCCAAACACCCACTACATTTCCCAGCCTCTAGTCACCATCCTTCTACTCTCTATGTCCATAAGTCGATTGCTTTGGTTTTTAGATCCCACTAATAAGTGAGAATGTGTGAAGTTTCTCTTTCTGTGCCTTCCTTATTTCACTTAACATAATGATCTCCAGTTCCATTCATGTTGTTGCAAATGACTGGATCTCATTTTATTTTATGCTTGAATAGCATTCCATTGTGTATATATACCACATTTTCTTTATTTATTCTTCTGTTGATGGACAATTAGGCTGCTTACAAATCTTAACTATTGTAAACAGTGCTGCAACAAACAAGGGAGTCCAGATATCACTTCAATACATTGATTTCCTTTCTTTTGGGTATATACCCATCAGTTGGATTGCTGGATCATGTGGTAGCTAAATTTGTAGTTATTTGAGGAACCTCCAGAATATTCCCCATAGAGGTTTTACTAAATTCTATTTCCATCAAGAGTGTACAAGGGGTACCTTTTCTCCACATCCTTGCCAGCATTTTTTATTACTTGTTTTTGGATATAAGTCATTTTAACTGGGGTGAGATAATATCCCATTGTAGTTTTGATTCCCATTTCTCTGATGATTAATGATGTTGAGCACCTTTTATATGCCTGTTTGCATTTTGCATGTGTTCATTTGAGAAATGTCCATTCAAACATTTTGCCCATTCTGGTTATTAAGTCTTTGTCAGATACGCAGTTTGCAAATATTTTCTCCCATTCTGTGGGTTGTCTCTTCACTCTGTTGATTGCTTTCTTTGCTGTGCAGAAGCTTTTTAACTTGATGTAATCCCATCTGCCCATTTTTATTGTGGTTGCCTGTGCTTGTAGGGTATTACTAAAAAACCCTTTGTGCAGACCAATGTCCTGGAGATTTTCCCCAAAGTTTTCTTGTAGTTTTATGCTTTGAATTATTATATTTATGTCTTTAATCCATTTTGGTTTTACGTTTGTATATGGTGACAGACAGGGATCTAAATAAAATAAATTCTTCATATGGATATTCAGTTTTCCCAGAACCATTTATTGAAGACACTGTCTTTTCCCCAGTGTATGTTCTTGGTACTTTTGCAAAAATGAATTCACTATAGGTGTATGGATTTGTTTCTGGGTTTGCTATTCTGTACCTTTGGTATGTATGTCTGTTATTATGATAGCACCATGCTGTTTTGGTTACTATGGCTTTGTAGTATAATTTGAAGTTAGGTAATGTGATTCCCCGAGATTTGTTCCTTTAGTTTAGGATAGCTTTGGCTATTCTGGGTCTTTTGTGGTTCTGTATAAATTTTAGGATTGTTTTGCTTATTTATGTGAAAATTGTCACTAGTATTTTGATAGGGATTGAATTGAATCTGTAGATTGCTTGGGTAGTAGGTAGGCACATTTTAACAATATCAATCTTTCCAATACATGAACATGAAATATTTTTCAATTTTGGGGTGTCTACTTCAATTTATTTTATTAAAGTTTAATAGTTTTAATTACTGAGGTTTTTCTTCACTTCTTTAGTTAAATTAATTCCTGGATATTTAATTTTATATGTGGCTATTGTAAATGGGATTACTTTTTTAAATTTCTTTTTCATGTTGTTCTTTGTTGGCATATAAAAGTAGTACTGATTGGTGTATGCTGATTTCATATTCTGCAACTTTACTGAATTTGCTTATCAGTTATAATAGTTTTTTTGTGGAGTCTTTAGGTTTTTCCTAATATAAGACCATACCATCTGCCAACAAAGATAATTTGACTTCCTCCTTCTGAGTTTCAATGCCCTTTATATCTTTCTCTTGTCTGATTGCTCAACTTCCCATACTACGTTGAATAATAGTGCTGCCAGTAGGAACATTTGTCATGTTCCAGATCTTAAAAGAAAGGTTTTGTTTTTTCTCCATTTGGTATGATGCTAGTTGTGGTTCTGTCCTATATGGCTTTTATTATGTTGAGGTATGTTCCTTCTCTATCCAGTTTTGTAAGGGTTTTTTCATGAAGCTATGTGGAATTTTATCAAATACTTCTTCAGCATTCATTGAAATGATATATGATTTGTATCCTTCATTCTATTGGTAAGGTGCATCACATTGATTGAGTTGCATATGTTGAACCATCCTTGTATCAAATGGATAAATCCCATTTGGTCATGAAGAATGATCTTTCTAACATACTGTTGATTTTGGTTTACCAGTATTTTTTTTAAGATTTTGGCATTAATATTCATCGGACATACTGGCCTATAGTTTTCTTCCCCACCGCCTTTTTTTTTGTTTTTTTTTTTTTGGATGTGTCTTTGGTTTTGGTATCAGTGTAATACTGGCCTCATCAGGTATATTTGGAAGTTTTCCCTTCTCCTTTAGTTTTCAGAAGAGTTTGAGTAGTGTTGGTATTTGTTCTTCTTTAAATATTTGGTAGAATTCAGCTGTGAAGACCTCAGGTCCCAGGATTTTTTTTAGTGGGAGACATTTTACTATGGCTTTGATCTCATTACTTGTTATTGGTTTGTTCATATTCTGGCTTTCCTCCCAGTTCATTTTTGACAGGTTGTATGTATCTGGAAATGTGTTCATTTATTCCAGATTTTCCAGTTTATTGGCATATAGTTTCTAATAGCAGCCACTAATGATCCTGTACATTTCTGCAGTATTAATTGTAATGTCTCCTTTTTCATTTACGATTTTATTTATTTTGATCTTCTCTTTTTTTTTCTTAGTTTGGCTAAAGTTTTGCCAATTTTGTTTAACTTTTCAAAAAATGAACATTTTGTTTCATTGATCTTTTGTATTGTTTTCTTTGCTTCAATTTCATTTATTTCTGACTTGATCTCTATTATTTATTTTCTTGTACTAATTTTGAATTTGCTTTGCTCTTGCTTTTCTGGTTCTTGAAGATGCATCATTAGATTGATTATTTGAAGTTTTCCCTCTCTTTTGACATAGGCACATATAGATATACACTTCTCTGTTAGTTCTTCTTTTGTATATTCTATAGGTTTTGGTATGTTGTGTTTCATTACCATTTGTTTCCAGACATTTTTCAATCCCTTCTTAATTTCTTCATCGACCCACTGGTAATTCAGAAACAGATCATTTAATTCCCATGTATCTGTATTGTTTCCAATACAGATTTTTATTAGTTTCTTCTTATTAGTTTCTAGTTTTATTCCATTATATTGAGAGAAGATGCTTAATATTGTTTCAACTTTTTATACATATGTAACTAACCTGCACATTGTGCACATGTACCCTAAAACTTAAAGTATAATAATAATAATAAAAGAAAAACAAAAAACCCTAGGAATCTTCTACTGAAGATATTAAAGAAGATATTATTAGCAATGCAAAAAAAAAATTTTTTTTTGTGCTAACATGGTCTATTCTTCAGAATGATCCATGTGCTGAGGAAAATAATGTGTGTTCTGTAGCTCTTGAATGAAGTGTTCTGTAAATATCTGTTAGATTTATTTGGTCTATAGTGCAAATTAAGTCTGGTGTTTCTTTATTGATTTTCTGTCTGAAAGATCTATCCAATGCTGAAAGTGGGGAGTTGAAGTCTCTAGCTATTATTGTTTTGAGGCCTATCTCTCTTTTCAGCTCTAATAATATTTCCTTTATATGTCTGGATGCTCCTGTGTTTGGTGCATATATATTTAAAATTTTTATATCCTCTTGCTGAATTGACACCCTTATCATTATATAATGGTGTTTTGTCTTTTCTTGTAGTTTTTATCTTGAAATCTATTTTTTCTGATATAAGTATACTGACTCCTGATCCTTTTGAATTTCCATTGGCATGTAATATTTTTTTCCATCCCTTTCTTTTTAGTCTTTATAGGTGAAGTGTGTTTATTGTAGGCAACAGACTAATGGGTCATTGTTTTTCTATCTGTTCAGCCCGTTAATGTCTTTTGATTGAAGATTTTAGTCCATTTACATTCAATGTTATTACTGATAAGTATAGACTTATTCTTGACATTTTGTTATTTGCCTTCTAGTTGTTTATTATCTCCTCTTCCTTCTTTCTTGTCTGTCTTCCTCTAGTGAAGGTTATTTTCTGTGTTGATAAACTTTGGTTCTTGCATTTTATTTTTTGTGTAAGCATTGTGTATTTTTTGCTTTGAGGTTACCATGAGGTTTGCAAATATTATCTAATCCAATATTTAACCTGATAACAACTTAACACTGTTTGCAAAATCAAACAAACAAGCAAATAGCAAACTAATAGAAACTCAACACCATAATTTCTTCCCCCCCCTGCCAGTTTTTAACATTTTATTCCTCCATTTTTATTTTATTGTACTGGTTGTGTCTTGAAAAGATGTTGTAGATATTTTTCATGGGTTCATCGTTTAGTCTTTCTACATAGGATAAAAGTAGTTTACACACCACAGTTTTAATGTTATAACATACTGTGGTTTTTCTGTTTACTTACTATTACCAGTGAGTTTTGTAACTTCAAGTGATTGTTTATTGCTCATTAATGACCTTTTCTTTCTAATTGAATTACTTTATTAAGCGTTTCTTGTGAGATAGGCCTGGCACTGATGAAATCTCTCAGCTTTCATATGTCTGGGAAAGTCTCTTAAGTTAGCAGATGATGAATGCTGTCAGGACTGGGTACTTTTCTTCAAGACAGGGGGTTTATTTCTGTCCCAGGGTGCGTCTAGAAATGTCAGCTGGGGGCTAGAGCCTAGAACAGGAGCCTCACAACTCTGACCAGTGTCCTATCCTTCTGTGGCTGAGCTGTTATCCAAGATTCAAGACAAAGGGCTTCCCACTTTTCCCTCTCCTTTCCTCAAGCAGAATGAAGGGGTCTCTTTTGGAGCCTCAAGCTGTGCAGCCTGAGGTTAGTGGAGGAGTGATGCCAGTGCTCCCTTAGCAATCCAAGCTGTCATCTCAGTATGTCGCATGCCCCCTCAGTCCACTATCTCTTTGCTTAGTTCAGCACTAGGACTTGCCTAAGAATTGCAGTCTTTATGGCCTAGACTGCTTTTCAAGTTGACTTGGAGACACATAATACTGTAGCCCTTAGTGGAAAGGTTTGCAGGCATTGATGTTTGGACTGCTGGGGTCGGCAATTATTCTTTGGCTTGGGACAATTTAAATGCTCTTTCTGTGTCTGCACACAGCATTAGCTGAGTTGGGTCCAGGTTTCCTTTCCACTCTAACAGAAAATTACCGAGTTCAGTGCCCCTTAATTGTTGTATTATTCATCCTTCAGCACCCAAAGACTCTCTCTGCACCATGTTGCCTCTGCTCAGGTGTGGGAGGGGGGGCATCAGTGACTAATGACTCTTTTTCTATGTCTTCATTGCCTCTTTCAGTGATATGTAGTTAAAACCAGGTACTATGAGTGCTAACCTAATTTTTGGTTCATATGAAGGTGTTTTCTCTCTGTAGATAATTGTTAACTTGGTATCCTTGTTGGGGGCATGATTGGTAAAGCTTTCTATTCTACCATCTTGCTCTGCTTCTGATTATTTCTATTACTTCATTTGCCTATGAATTTTGTTTGTGGTGCTCTGCAATCAAAATGTTAAATTTTGTAATCAAATATATTTATCTGTAATTTTATAGCCTTTGAGACTCTAGTCTTGGTTAAAAAGTTATACATTTGTCCTTTTATTTTCTTGAAAGATTTTATGAATTCATTACATATGAAAGTTATATTAGTCTGTTCTCATGCTGGTAATAAAGACATACCCGAGACTGGGTAATTTTTAAAGAAAGGAGGTTTAATGGACTCACAGTTCCACATGGCTGGGGAGGCCTCCCAGTCATGGTGGAAGGCAAAAGAGAAGCAAAGGTACATCTTACTTGGTGGCAGGCAAGAGAGCTTGTGCAGGGGAACTCCCATTTATAAAACCATCACATCTCATGAGACTTACTCACTACCACAAGAACAGTATGTGGGAAACGGGAAACCACCCCCATGATTCAATTATCTCTACCTGGCCCTTCCCTTGACATGTGGGGATTATTACAATTCAAGGAGAGATTTGGATGGGGACACAGCCAAACCATATCATAAGTATTTAATGCACTGGAATTTATTTGGGCATATGCCATAAGATGAGGATACATTTCCAACATTTTCTGTATGGATTGACAATTATAAAAGCAATGATAATTAAACAATTAATTCTTTTCTG
This sequence comes from Homo sapiens, assembly GCF_000001405.40. Taxonomy (NCBI): domain Eukaryota; kingdom Metazoa; phylum Chordata; class Mammalia; order Primates; family Hominidae; genus Homo; species Homo sapiens. The sequence continues at coordinate 143,203,806 of NC_000023.11, forward strand.
AAAGAATTTAACTACTTACCCCTTTCATGTGGTAAAATCTCATATACATTGATGTACATCTATGAGCTACTAGTATGTTCTAATGATCCGTTTTTCTATTTATTTACCAAATCCTATTTTTTTTCTATTATAGGGCCTCTATATCATGTTCTTGTATCCATTAAAGCAATTACTTTCACTCTTTTAAAAATTTTTCCTGGGCTATTGTAGAGCATATATAATCCATGTGGGAATAAGGTACTTTTATAAGTTTTCCAAATTAAATTTGTTAGGATTTTTATTGTAATTGCATTTAATTTGTATATTAATTTCATAAATGACCATATAATGGTTTTTAATGTTCTCCAAGGAAACATTGTCATAAAATGCATTTTTGCAGTTCAATATCTGTGTACCTACCTACCTACCTGTCTAGATTTTAAACTGGACAAATCCTTTAAAAATGTTGTCAAAAAGCAATACTTTTTCTTTATGTAATTTATTTTCAATTTTAAAAATGTAAAACTATATGTGCATATTAAAATATTTTTAAATGAATGAAAAATATGCATATCAATGAAACAAATTGCTGACCTCTGCAGGGGGAAAAAGGGAAGTAGGGTATTAACGACTAGGTTTAGTTAAATTTATATCTTAGTTTGAAAATGTTTGAATTATATAGCAAAATGTTAAAATTTGATCAATATAGATGATAGGTATACAGGTTATTATATTGTCCATAATTTTCTGTAGGTCTGAAATACCTTATAATTTACACATTACTTTTAAAATATTTTTTCTTTACCTTTCAGTATCAGGAATCTCACCAGTGTATTGCTGTTTGTTGTTTTTCTTTTACTCATCTTGGTTCTTGCTGTGTCTTTTTGATATAAAAACCAAAGCTTTTCTTCAGCTTGGGAATATGTTTTTTAATGGATTCTCCTTCATCAGTTCTTTCTTCTCTTTTTTGTTACTCCTATTGTTATATTTAGACCATCTGTCTCTGTCTCTATTTTCTATTTACCTTATCTTTTCACTCATTTTTCCGTTTTTAAATTTTGTTATTCTTTTGCTCTCTATTGTAAAATATTTCTTCCAGTTGATCCAGTTGATCTTCTAATGCAGTTCAGTCACCCTGCTTCTAACTGAACTTTGTATTTGTAAAATAATTCATGGAAAAATATTTATATTTGTATGATATCTTTTATATTTTTCACTTAGAATTTGACTTAGTTTGTTTCATCTTTTGATTTTCTCCTCTTTTCCTCATTAAATATGTTTCAATTCTGTACTGAATGTTTGGTTAGTTCAGTTTGATTCTACTTCCCAAAGCTGTTGATTTCCCTTATAGTTAAAACAATTTTTACTGCCTGCTCATATGTGGGCATAAACAGTTCCAACTGCCTGTTAGTCAACTTAAATGAGTTCCTTTAGTATCTCTGCATGCCAAGCTGCGAGAGCCTCTTTGGGCATTGGTGGATCACTAGCCAAAAACTGATGAGGAAGGGAAGACCATCTCCAATTGTAATATAGAATATTAGTTCAACTCAACTAGGAGATCATTTCAAGACCAGTTCATGTCAGCATTCCTTCTTCTATGGCTGGAAGCAGATAGTGGTCAGGAGTAATTCTCACTCAGCATTTTTGTGTGATAAAGAGATACATGCTGGCAATATGCTAATCCCCATCTAACAGTTTCAGGGTAGTGGACTCCTTCCAGATTCTCCCAGAGAGGTAGGCATCCTTACCTTCCCAAAAAACATATTTTTCATTTTTGTTCCACTTCTCAACTAAAATAAGTAATGAAATAAAATTGCCCCTCAATGAAACATATCTATTTAATATGAACAAGAAGTTCCGGAAGTATATCAAATTTTGTTGAGCTGCTTTAGTAAAGAGTTTACAAAAAGATGAATATGCAGATTTATTGTCTACCCTTTATTGAGATAAGTAGTTAATGGTATGAGCTAAAAAACACAATTCAAACGGTGATTTATGAGAATCTGGACGCAAACAGCGCTCTTCCAGGAATCAGGTCAAAAAATGTATCAGAGCTGATATCCACCTACAGGAAACCCATCATAGAACACAGCAACATTTGGGCACCTTGTGGACTTTTTTCTTTGAGAGTTTCTTGAATGGACCACACTTATAATATATTTATTATATATTAAAGTGAAGATAGATATACCCATGGAAGGTAGTGGCATTAGTGAGGTTTCTCTATGGCTTTTCTAGTAGTGGATGTGAACAAGTATCCTTTTAGTCCATTTCGTGTTGCTATAAAGGTAATATCTGAAGCTGGGTAATTTATAAAGAAAAGAGGTTTATTTGGCTCACAGTTCTGCAGGATGTACAAGAAACATGGTGTCAGCATGTACTTCCAGTGCAGGCCTCAGGAAGCTTTTAATCATAATGCAAGGTGAAGGGGAACCAGTATATCACATCACAAGAGACGGAGCAAGAGAGAAGGGAGGTGCCATGCTCTTTTTAACAACCAGCCTTCACATAAACTAATAGGTTGACAACTCACTCATTACCAAAGGGATGACACCAAGCCGTTCATGAGGAATAAGCCCTAATGACCCAAATACCTCCCGCTTGGCCTCACTTCCAACATTGGAGATTACATTGTAACATAAAATTTCGAGGGGGCAAGCATCTAAACTATATTAAGTAGGAAACAGAATAAGACAGCACAATACAGGTGGATGTTTTGTTGTGACTAAAGATACCAGCCAGCCACACTCGGTTGTTACTGTGTGTGATCTATCATTATTTGGGAACTTTAAGAAATAATTGAGGTTCTCTTTGGTTGAAAGGACTGAGGTCCTTGTTCATGTATGGGTAGAATATTAAGCCAATATTTATTTGAGTAGCATGGTAATAATAAAAATCAACAATTCCAAAGTGTTTTTTATTTGTCAGGAAATGTGCTAAATGCCTTTTATTTACTTGCATTAATTTATTTAATCCTCTCACTTACTCTGTAAATTGTTATGATTGTTGCTTGCTATTTTACAGGTGAGAAAACTGAGACTAAAATGGTGAAATGACTAGTCTAATGTCACAAATCTTTGAAGCCTATGTACTCCTAATCTCTACATCCTTTATTACATGCAGCAGCACTGGGCACTTCACACTGGGCAAATACTGAGGCGCATGACAAAACCAGGCTGTCAACAAATAGGCTGTGAAAAGAGTTTAAAAGACACAGAAATGTCACACACACAAAAATGCAGCCCATTAAATAAAGAAAAAGTTATCAGCGAGTTAATCAGAGGCCTTCTGGCTTCCACCAGAAGCCAATCACAGACCATTTATGTGGTCAGGTGATGACAGATTTGTGTGACATATTTTAAACATAACTGCAAATGGTTTTGAAGACACACCCATATGGTGATTCACCAAAGGATTTACCAGTTCACTCTTTTAGCTCAAGATGATAAACTAGACTACTGAATAAACTCAAGTTTCATCAGACAAGCACTTAATATATGCCCCAAAGGGAAAAAGAAAGGATCATAAAAGCAGCAAGAGAAAAGAAACAAATAACCTACAATGGAGCTCCAATACATCTGGTAGCAGACTTCTCAATGGAAACCTTACAGACCAGGAGACAGTGGCATCATATATTTAAAGCTGAAGGAAAAATAAATTTTATTTTAGAATAGTATATCCAGTGAAAATATTCTTCAAACATGAAGGAGAAATAAAGACTTTCCCAAACAAAAGCCGAGTGATTTCATCAACACCAGACCTGTCCTACAGGAAATGCCAAACAGAGTTCTTCAATCTGAAAGAGAACGATGTTAATCCCAGCCATCCCATTACTGGGTATATACCCAAAGGATTATAAAACATGCTGCTATAAAGACACATGCACACATATGTTTACTGCGGCACTATTCACAATAGCAAAGACTTGGAATCAACCCAAATATCCAACAATGATAGACTGGATTAAGAAAATGTGGCACATATACACCATGGAATACTATGCAGCCATAAAAAAGGATGAGTTCATGTCCTTTGTAGGGACATGGATGAAGCTGGAAACCATCATTCTCAGCAAACTATCCCAAGGGCAAAAAACCAAACACCACATGTTCTCACTCATAGGTGGGAATTGAACAATGAGAACACATGGACACAGGAAGGGGAACATCACACACCGGGGTCTGTTGTGGGGTGGGGGGAGGGGAGATGCATAGCATTAGGAGATATACCTAATGTTAAATGAAGGGTTAATGGGCGCAGCACACCAACATGGCACATGTATACATATGTAACAAACCTGCACGTGTGCACATGTACCCTAAAACTTAAAGTATAATAAAAAATAAAATAAAAAAAGAAAAAGAAGACATTATAACTGATACCACAGAACTTCATGGAATCATTAGAGGTACCTATGAACAACTATATGCCAATAAATTGTAAAACCTAAGAAAAAATGAATAAATTCCCAGACACGTACAACTTACCAAGAATGAACAATGAAGAAATCCAAAGCCTCAGTAGACCAATAACAAGTAATGGGATCAAAACTGTAATAAAATGTTTCACAGCAAAGAAAAGCCTGGGACGTGATGGCCTCACTGCTGAATTTTACCAAACATTTAAAGAAGAACTAATACCAATCCTATGCAAACTATTCTTAAAAATAGAGGAAGAGAAAATACTTCCAAATTCATTCTACAAGGTTATTATTACCCTGATACTAAAGCCAGAAAAAGACACATCATAAAAAGTAAAATTTCAGGCCAATATGTTTGATGAACATTGATGCAAAATACTATAAAACTGAATTTAAGAACACATTAAAACAAGATAATTCATCATGACCAAATGTGACTTTTCCCAGGGATGTAATGATGGTTGAACATACGCACATTGAACAATACGATACATTACATCAACAGAATGTAGGATAAAACCCATGTGATTATTTCAATTGATGCTGAAAAAGCATTTGATAAAATTCAACATCCTTTCATGACAAAAAATAAACTCTAAAACTGGGCACAGAAGGAATATACTTCAACACAATAATAGCCATATGTGATCCACATACAGCTAATATAATTTTGACAGTGGAACGACTGAAAGCTTTTCCTCTGAGACCTGGAACAAGGCAAGACTTCCCAGATTCACCACAATTATTAAACATAGTACTGAGAGTCCTAGGTAGAGCAATCAGACAAGAGAAAGAAATAAAGGACATCCAAATTGGAAAGGAAGAAGTCAAATTATCCTTCTTTGCAAATGATCAGATCTTATATTTGGGAAAATTCAAAGACTAAACACATACACACACACAGAAACCTACTAGAACTGATAAACAAAGTCAATAAAGTTGCAGGATACAAAATCAACATATAAAAATCAGTAACATTTCTATATGCCAAAAGTGAACAATCTGAAAAAAAATCAAGAAATCAATTCCATTTACAATAGCCACAAATAAAATTAAATACCAGAAATAAACTTAAGTGAAGAAGTAAAAGCTCTTTACAATGAAAACTATAAAACACTGATGCGAGAAATTGAAAAAGACACAAAAAATGGAAAGATATTTTATTTTCATGGATTAGAAGAATCAATATTGTTAAATTATTCCCACTACCAAAAGCAATCTACAGAATCAATGCATTCCTTAAAATACCAATGACATTCTTCACAGAAATAGAAAAAGACCCCAAAATTTATATGGAACCACCAAACACCCAGAATAGCCAAAGCAATCCTGAACAAACAGAACAAAACTGGAGGAATCACATGACCTGACTTCAAATTATAATACAGAGCTAAAATAACAAATACAGCATAGTACTGGCATAAAAACAGACACATAGTCCAATTAAATAGAATAGAGAACCCAGAAATAAATCCATACATCTACAGTGAACTTATTTTTGACAAAGGTGCCAAGAACATATACTGGGGAAAGGACAGTCTCTTAAATAAATATTGCTGGGAAAACTGAATATCCATATGCAGAAGTATGAAACTAGGCCCCTATATCTTGCTATATACAAAAATTCAATCAAAATTGATTAAAGACTTAAATCCAAGATGTGAGACTATGAAACTTCTGAAAAAAGTTTTAAGGAAACTCTCCAGGACATTGGAGTGGGCAAAGATTTCTTGAGTAATAAATACCCTAAAAGCACAGGTAACCAAAACAAAAATAGACAAATGGAATCACATCAAGTTGAAAAGCTTCTGCACAACAAAGGAAATAATCAGCAAAATAATGAGACAATCCAGAGAATGGGACACAGAGCTATCATATAATCCAGCAATCCCACTGCTGAGTGTATACCCCAAAGAGAGGAAATCAGTATATCAAAGAGATAACTGAACTCCCATGTTTATTGCAGCACTATTCACAACAGCCAACACTTGGAAGCAAATTAAGTGTCTATTAGTAGATGAATGGATAAAGAAAATGTGGTAAATAAACACAGTGAAGTACTATTAAGCCATAAAAAAGAATTAGGGTCTGTCATTTGCAACAACATGGATGGAACTGGAGGTCATTATGTTAAACGAAATAAACTGGACAAAGAAAGAAAAATTTGCACATGCTCATTCATTTGTGGGAGCTAAATATTAGAACAATTGAACTCATGGAGATAGAGAGTAGAATGATGGTTACCAGAGGCTGGAAGGGTAGTGGTAGGAGCAGTGGGAATTGTTAATGGTTACTGAACTATATTAATAGTTAGATAGAATGAATAAAATCTCATATTTGAGAGCAAACAGGATGAGTAAAGTCAACATTTTATTGTATTATTTATTTTTTTATTTCCGTAGGTTTGGGGAGAATAGGTGGTGTTTGGTTACATGAGTAAGTTCTTTAGTGGTGATTTGTGAGATTTTGATGCACCCATCACCTGAGCAGTATACACTGTATCCAATTTGTAGTTTATTATTATTATTATTATACTTTAAGTCCTAAGGTACATGTGCACAACGTGCAGGTTTCTTACATATGTATACATGTGCCATATTGGTGTGCTGTAACCATTAACTCCTCATTTAACATTAGGTATATCTCCTAATGCTATCCCTCCCCCCTCCCCCCACCCCACAATAGGCCCCGGTGTGTGATGTTTCCCATCCTGTGTCCAAGTGTTCTCATTGTTCAATTCCCACCTATGAGTGAGAACATGCAGTGCTTGGTATTCTGTCCTTGCGATAGTTTGCTGAGAATGATGGTTTCCAGCTTCATCCATGTCCCTACCAAGGACATGAACTCATCCTTTTTTATGGCTGCATAGTATTCCATGGTGCATATGTGCCACATTTTCTTAATCCAGTCTATCATTGTTGGATATTTGGGTTGGTTCCAAGTCTTTGCTATTGTGAATAGTGCTGCAATAAACATACGTGTGCATGTGTCTTTATAGCAGCATGATTTATAATCCTTTGGGTATATACCCAGTAATGGGATGGCTGGGTCAAATGGTATTTCTAGTTCTAGATCCTTGACTGCAAACTAGTTCAACCATTGTAGAAGACAGTGTGGCGATTCCCCAATTTTTAGTTTTTTATCCCTAACCGCCTTCCCACCTTTTCCTTCAAGTCCCCAAAGCCTATTGAGTTATTCTTATGCCTTTTCATCCTCATAGCTTAGCTCCCATTTATGAGTGAGAACATGATATTTCATATTCCATTACTGAGTTACTTCACTTCGAATGATGGTCTCCAATTCCATCTAGGTTGCTGTGAATGCCATTATTGCATTCCTTTTTATGACTGAAGAGTATTCCGGGTAGTATTCATATATATATATGGAATACTAATGTATGTATATATGTATGTGTTATATATGTGTGTGTGTGTGTGTGTGTGTGTATATATATATAACAATTCCTTTATCCACTCATTGATCAATGGGCATTTGTGCTGGTTCCATATTTTTGCCATTGTGAATTGTGCTGCTATAAACATGCAGCACAATTCACAACTTATACCAGTATCATGCTATTTTAGTGATTATGGCCTTCTAGTATAGTTTAAAGTCAGATAATGTGATGCCTCCAGATTTGTTCTTTTTGCTGAGTCTTGCTTTGGCTATGTGGGCTCTTTTTTGGTTCCATATGAATTTTAGGATTGTCTTTTCTAATTCTGTGAAAAATGATTGTATTTTGATGGGAATTGCATTGAATTTGTAACTTGCTTTTGGCAGTATGATCATTTTCACAATATTGATTCTACCTATCCTTGAGCATGGAATGTGTTTTAATTTTGTCATCTATGATTTCTTTCAACAGTGTTTTGTAGTTTTCTTTGTAGAAATCTTTTACCTCTTCAGTTAGGTATATTCCTAAGTATTTTATTTATTTATTTATTTTTTTGCAGCTATCATAAAAGGGTTTGAGTCTTGACTTGATTCCCAGCTTGGTCGCTGTTGGTGTATAGCAGAGCTACTGATTTGTATACATTAATTTGCATCCTTAAACTTTGTTGAATTTATCAGTTCCAGGAGCTTTTTGGAGGAGTCTGTAGGATTTTCTAGGTACACAATCGTATCATCAGCAAACAGCAACGATTTGACTCCTTCTTTACTGATTTGGACGTCCTTTATTTCTTCCTTTTGTCTGATTGCTCTGGCTAGGACTTCCAGTACTATGTTGAGTAGAAATGGTGAAAGTGGGCATCCTTGTCTTGTTCCAGTTCTCAGAGAGAACGCTTTCAACTTTTCCCCATTCAGTATTATGTTGGCTGTGGTTTATCACAGATGGCTTTTATTACATTGAGGTATGTCCCTCGTATGCCAATTTTGCTGAAGGTTTTAATCATAAAGGGGTGCTGGATTTTGTCAAATGCATTTTCTGTGTCTACTGAGATGATCATGTGATTTTTGTTTTTAATTCTTTTATGTGGTCTATTACATATATTGACTTGCATATGTTAAACCCTCTCTGCATCCCTGGTATAAAACCCACTTGATCACAGTGGATTATCTTTTTGATATGCTACTAGATTCAATTAGCTAGTATTTTCTTAAGGATTTTTGCATCTATATTCATCAGGCATATTGGTCTGGAGTTTTCTTTTTTTTTTTTGTTATGTCCTTTCCTGGCTTTAGTATTAGGGTGCTGCTGGCTTCATAGAATGATTTAGGGAAGATTCCTTCTTTCTCTATCTTATGGAATAGTGTCAATATGATTGGTACCAATACTTCTTTGAATGTCTGATAGAATTCAGCTGTGAATTCATCTTGCCCAGGAATTTTTCTGTCGGAAATTTTGTATTACCATTCTAATCTTGCTGCTTGTTATTGGTCTGTTTAGCGTTTCTGATTCTTCCTGGTTTAAGCTAGGAGGGTTGTATTTTTTCAGGAATTTATCCATCTGTGCTAGGTTTTCTAATTTATGCACATTAATGTGTTCATAGTAGCCTTGAATAATCTTTTGTATTTCTGGGGTGTCGGTTGTAATATCTCCCGTTTCGTTTCTAGTTGAGCTTGTTTGGATCTTCTGTCTTTTCTTCTTGGTTAAGCTTGCTAATGGTCTATCAATTTTATTTACTCTTTCAAAGAACCAGCTTTTTGTTTTATTTTTCTTTTTTATTTTTTGTGTTTCAATTTCATTTAGTTCTGTTTTGATCTTGGTTATTTTTTTTTCTGCTGCTGAGTTTTGGTTTGGTTTGTTCTTGTTTCTCTAGTTCCTTGAGGTGTGACCTTAGATTGTTCATTTGTACTATTGTACATTTAAAATTTTAATAGTATCTGTCTTTTTATTATTAGTGAGTCATATTTATGTAGTAGCTTCCTGAGAAAAGTGTTCTTATAAATACAGACACAGCAAATATTATTAGGTGTTACCAGGAGTTTAAAACTTTCTCTGCAAATGTCTAGATAGAAAATATTTTCAGCTTTGTAGACAACATACATTCTATGAAAACTACTCAACTTTGCCTTTGTAGCAAAGGAAAAGATAATATATAATTAGATGAACATGACTGTGTTCTAATATAACCTTATTTATAAAATCAGGTAGTAGGCCAGATTGGCCTATAAGCCCTAATTTTTTGACTTTGTGACTCCTGGTCTTGATAATTTTCAGGTTGGAATAAAAAAATTAGAAACAAATTTTAAGGTTAAGTGAGTTAATTTTAATGTTAATTTGTTATACATATTATATAAAATATATATTATATAATATATATTACATATTATATAAAATATATATTATATAATATATATTACATATTATATATTATATATATTACATATTACATATTATATATTATATATTATATATATTATATATTATATATTATATATTATATATATTATATATTATATTATATATTATATATTATATATTATATATTATATATTATATATAATATATATATATAATATATAATATATATTATATATTATATATAATATATAATATATATTATATATTATATATTATATATAGAGAGAGAGAGAGATGGCCTAAATATATTGGTATATGATACTGTGTGTACCTGAAATCTACATATTTATGGATTATAAATTGACGAGAGTAACGCTAAATAAGTGATGGCAGAAAGTTGTTGAATGGTGCTGCCAAGAAAGCCAATGGAAAATCTGTCTTCATATCAAGCTCATATTGTAAGTAACATCTCCCATCAAAGGATTATAAAAATTGTCTCTAATTGCTGGACTCCAGATAACTCTGGTCCCACAGAGAGCAATGGAGACACCAAAAAGGCCAAATATAATTATATAATATTCTATTTTGAAATACAGAAGTTCAGTGACATAATTCTACAGATGGAGTTAAATCTTTTATATCATTGAAAAAAAACTTAAAATAGCAATGTATTATGAGCCAGTACAAAAGCAAAACTCAGACTTATAAATAAGATACCTGAAATTCTTATTACTGAGTATAAGTGGGACAGGAGCAATGGAGAACAGAGAATGGGTCCCATATGAAACCGTAGCTTTTCCCCTGACCATACGCCTCAAGGGTTCTTAGCAATCTCTTACTGAGGAAGAGTCAGTAGATAAGAATGAAAACCATGTCTACTATGGTTGTCATTTCAAAACATGCCACTAACCATTTTCAACTGATATTTTTGTCATCTCCATAAAGTCCTGAGTAAAATGCCCATTTCACTGCCATTAAATATTGCTACTTAAATTTTTCAGATCCTACCTTATTATTACAGTTGAGATTCTGGTGCCCATAGACGCCAACTCTTATGGATTTTCTCTTATCCAGGATGAGACAATCTGATTATCAAAAACAATAATAAGTTCATTAGACTGATATTCATCAAATATATAAACATCTTTGAGTTCATCATAACACTAAGATAATCATAGGACACCATTGGAGATTACTGGACACCAACTCATTACTATGAAAATTGACAGATCGAGATAAAGAAGCAAGCACACACCTTGCCTTTTTATACAAATTCTATGGCAGAGTATCCGAATGGTTGAGGAGGGACTTTTAATTAATAGAAAGATTTGAGCTAATAAAGGCAAAATGAAAGATGGTATTAGGAAAAAATGATTTTGCAGCCCCAAATATTATCATGGATTAAGTCATAATCATCATGGTTGCTAAAACTATGAGGCAAAATATTGATGAGAGCTTAATGATGGATGAATCAAGTTGATACACCTGAAGGCATTGCTCAATCTTGACATCAATAAAAATGGGACAACCAGATACTAAATATCTTGAGATTTGTTGAACAGAAACTATGCAGAACCACCTAGGAAGTATTTTTACACAAAATACTATTTAAGTTGTATATAATCGTGCCTTCAGATCTAACTCAAGTTTGCTGGAAATACAGGTTAAACACAACAAAATCATACCAGCCAAATCCGAATGTGAGTCGTTTTACAGGACAAAGGGCGTATTTTCTATAACAAATTAATTGCATGATAAATGGGGATTTGGGAATTATTTTAGAGAAAATGAGACGAGATAAATCAGTCAAATGCAAACCACCTGTAAAGAGACAGTTTGAGACATCCATGGGAATCTAAACATGGACTAAATTTTAGATGATATTAAATAAGTATTGATTTTGTTAGATGTGATCATGACATAATGGATATGACAAAAATGTCTTTATAAGATAAAGATGCACACAGAAATATTTATGTTATATAACATGATGAAGAGAATTTAATTTAAGATACTCCAACAAAAGAAGCACGTATACTAGGTGACACAACAAAGCAAAATGTTGGTGACTGTTGAGGTTGAGTAATAAGTACATAGGAGTCTATTACAGTAATATTACTTATTTCACATTTGTGTTGTTTGACAATTTTGAGGACAAAGATTTAAAAGATGCTGGTGCCCAGACTGGCAAAACCAAGTAAGTTACACTCAACTCAATATAGAGGGCTAACATAATAAAACTGGTTTTGGAATAGATGACATTACATGCTATACATGTATACAACAAAGTATGCTATTTTTCATTTGAAATTACCTAGTATTTTGGCTCAATTTCCTAATCATTAATTACTAAGTAGGTAGTAATTAAGGCTTGCATTTTATAAAGTCATTTTCTGCTTCCCCATTATAAAGAAATGAATCTGTGTTTCATTCCATGTGTGGACATTCATGTTAATGAAATTATCAATATCTGTTTCAATATAAAGACAAGAACTGTTGATTATTAAGATGTCAGAGGCAGGTCAATGCAGTGAAAGATTATGTTTGTGCAGACATACATGTTTTCATTACCAAAACCTAAATGTGTAAGAAATATTAATAATATTTGCAGACAATGGCATAGTAGAGAAAGGGTAGTGATAATATGGAGCTCAAGAGAGATGCAGTTCTTAAGATGGGAAGATATTCCAAATGCCAAGACTAGTATCTCTTTAAGAGTAATACAACTTTGTACTGAGATAATAGATACATTTTATTTTCTTCTTTGATCTCCTTTGCATTTTTATTTATTTATTTTTTTTTTGAGACAGATTCTCCCTCTGTTGCCCAGGCTGGAGTCCAGTGGTGCAATCTCAGTTCACTGCAACCTCCGCTTCCTGGGTTCAAGTGATTCTCCTGCCTCAGCCTCCAGAGTAGCTGGGATTACAGGCGTGAACCACCACGTCCAGCTAATTTTTGTATTTTTAGTAGAGACAGGGTTTGGTCATGTTGGCCAGGCTGGTCTCAAACTCCTGACCTCAAGTGATCCGCCTGCCTCGGTCTCCCAAAGTGCTGGAATTACAGGCATGAGCCACTGTGCCCAACCACTGCATTTTTCGATTTTTAAACAAAAACATCATTTGTGAAATAAAAGTTAATCATAAGAAAATAAATACAACAATATGTGGCAAGATGTATGACAACTGGATGACATTTTGTGAATGTGAATTGAGTTGATGTATACCTGAAATACAAAAAAAAAAGGCAATAAAGATCAGAAAAAGATCAAGACACCAAGGCTTGTAAAAGTTTTGTTCTTAAGAAATATTAACAAATGAGATAATATAGCTACAGACAATCTTTCTGGAAGGGAGTAAGACAGCTTTTTTTGTTGAGATTGTATTACGAATCAGGTTATGTGCAAAAAACATAAATTTAGAGACCTTTGTCCTGTTTTCGTTAACTGCACCATCCCTAGGATTTAGAAGTATCTGCTGCATAGTTGGTCCTTAAATAATCATTGAAAAAAGAAATAAATGTATTTTCTCTGTCTCAGCAATGCTAGAAAGATTTGATAACTCTCCCAAGGTCACACAGCCAATGCAAACTGGAGCCAGAAGTATTTGAGTCTAAAACGTGTGCACTGTACACACAAGTTCACTGGAACTATATGTCTTGCGATATTATTTGTAGATAGGTTGCCAGTGAGATGAAGATATACCAGTAGGTATCGTTGAGAAAGAACTGATCTATTATACAATGCAACCAATAAACACTATAAAAGTTACGTTTACTCTTGCATATTGCAGCATGTTATAAGATTGTATGGAAACGGAGAATGTTAAAGTTGTGATAGTAAGCATAACCAAAGAGAGCTGTAAACAGAAGATCTAGAAAAAAAAATCGATGTAACTTGATTCTGTAGGTGCGCTAAATTGTGTAATACAAATTTTAAGACTCGAAAAACTTCAGAGAAGGAATAAGATTCCACAATGCTGAAGGAACTGACCTTTAAAGGTTCTGTTATTTACTGTCAGTAATAACAGCCCTTCCGTTATTACTGACAGTAAATAACAAAATGAAATTCCTGGTGAAGAGAACAAAATGAGTACATGTTGGAGGGCTGATAAAAGAATATTTGATTCTATTCTATCATCTTAGGGAATTTCTTATCACATCAATTTTCTCACGTCAAAAGAAATGGTTATGAGTACAGTAGACACATTTTTATTGGCTGAACCCTACACCAAACCTGTTGTTTTCTGAAAATGTCCCCTTCCCCACCTCCTCCCCACTCCTTTTTCTAATGTACAAGGTTAAAGAGACAGCAGCTAATAATAATAATAATAATAATAAGAGACAGCAGCGATGTTTCCCCAATATCTCCCCATCCTTTCTTGCCACAATTTTTGGCCAAAATTGGGCATCTGAAAAACAAAAATGAAAACCCATTCTCCCTGAATTTTAACTTGTATTACAAAATTTCAGTCTCAGTATGTTTGAACTCTGGAAGAAAGGAGATATAAAACACAAGAGTTTGGCAAAAAAGAGAGAGCTGGTATACATCAAGGAAAGGAATCAAGCCAACACAAAAAGTAGCAAAGGTGAGAGAAAGAGAGAATAGCTGGTTCCATAAGATGTCCCAAAATCCTTACAATAAATCTTTTCTCCTTTTCTTATCCAGCTAAAACAGAACTTAGTTATCTACAACAAAAGTTCTATGGAATACAATTAGAAAACATTTAAAGTTATTTTAGGGTTTTCTATTCTCGAATTGTGTAAGTTATTATGGTATAATTATGTAGCAGTATGCTTATAAAACGGATGCAAGTGTTGTTTGAATTTAAGCCCTAGGAGGATACAGATTCTTATTTTGTTCACTGGTGCATCCTAAGTGCCTAGAACAATGAGTTCCTGGTACACAGTAGGTGCCCAATATGTGCTGAATGAAAATAAAGGCGTAGAGAAAACCAGCGAGCCATCCATTTTCATATGTCATTAAAGAGAGATTATAGATAACTGAAAAGGAAGACCTGAATATAAATGTTATCTAGAAAGAACTAGGGCGTTCATGATGAATTAGCAATATAACAAAAGTCAGGTTTCAGAAAAAAATATTTCAAAGAATTTTCATTGATTTTAAGATAAATAGAAAAATCTTTGGAACTGACTATAAAAGCCCGCTTGAACTGGCACCTCACCACATCATCTACAAATCTCTCAGCAAGCTCTCTTTGAAGTCAATACTTAAGCCACTCAGGCTTTCTCTCATTTAAAAAAAACATATGCCAGGTGCACTTACACCACACAAAACCGTGTATGGTCTTCCCCCTACCTGGGAAAATATTTCATCCCCTTCTCCCTTTATTAACCCCTACTCATTCTTCATATTTTAGCTTGATTTTTACTCCTTCAAATATTTGCCTTGTCATCATTGGGGTTGAAACTGTATATTTGTTCATAATTGTTTTAAATGACATTCATCCTTCCCACTAGACTATATGTGGCAGGGGCTGAGCTTACTTTTACACACCAGAATATCCTCTGCTTTTAGAAAAATACCTAGCACACAGAAGCTGCTCAGTAATAACTCTTGAATTAATTAATGAGTGAATGACTAGACACAGTTCTGGCAGTTATATTGAAGATTAGAAAAAAAAAACTGTAAGACTGTGGTGCCATATGAGAGATATTGTTAATAACTGGTATGAAGGCATAACCTTCTAGACCAGAATTATGGCAGTAGAAAGGGGAGAAAGCTCACTGTGGGGCTATTTTTATTAGCTATTTTTTTTAACCACAAAACAATAGGTGTTTACTATAAAAACCTCAAACGTTTATCTGAGAAGCATAAAATATAAAAAAGTAAAAATTCTCAATCCTAGATCCATTTAATCCCACGTCCCCTGTATAATCACTGTTAACAGTTTTCTTTCTCACCAGAAAAAAATGTAAATATGTTTATGCACAAACATGTATGTTTTCTTCTCTTTGTATACACAAATAATATTGTACAAAATATCTCCTTTTGCCCCTATATATCCATTTTCCATCCTTCTCCACCCTGCTCTTTTTCTAGGCAGATTGCACTATATGGATTATATCGCTCATGGTCTCTTGCTCTCTGGCTTGGACTTAGGTGTGGCCAATGAGAAGTCCTAACATGAGATTAGATGGAGGGAGGCGAGATACATAGGGACAGTTAGCTCCCTGTTCCCTCCTTTTAAGGGTGCTTTGTACTTATTTTGTTCTTTCATTATGGAAACTGCTTCTCTCTAGACAAACTGTCCTAAATGATTTATTCTCCTTCCCAATCTTACTACCTTTTCTCTTTTCTCATCGCTGTAGACCTACCAGTGTCTACAGCTCAGATGTTGCCAGATGTAGGTTCCTGTGCTATTCTTTGTGGTTTAACCTATGCTATGGTCTGAATGTGTCCCTCCAAAATTCATGTTGAAACCTAATCTCCATTGTGGTGTTATCATGAGGTGGGGCCTTTCTGGGAAGTGATTAACTCATAAGGACTCTGCTCTCATGCATGGGATTAGTGTCCTTACAAAAGAGATTAAAGGACCTGCCTTGCCCCACTTACCATGTGAGAAGGCAGCAACAAGGCATCATCTGTGGAGCAGAGAGTGAGCCCTCACCACACACTAAATCTGCTGGCACCTTGATGTTGGAATTTTTAGCCTCCAGAACTGTGAGTAATATTTTCTGCTGTTTTTAAATTTGCCAGTCTATGGTATTTTTGTTATAGCAGTCCAAACAGACTGAGACACTCAATGAACCACCAACATTTTTGAAAATAACTGCTTTAAAAATAAACCTTCTTTACATTATCCTAATTTTGGTGGATCATCAATTTCCTGCTTGGAGCTGATTGATGTAGATACAGTGTTTGTGCTCTATGCAGTGTAGTGTTTTTGATTTTTCCACTTGCAACATTTCACTAAAGTTATAATGGAATTTTTTTACATTTTAATATATCTGTATTTCAGATACATGTTATAATTAATGTTCTATCACAGCTTAATTCTTAGTGTTTTGTTTCTCCCTTAGTGATACAAAAAATAGCGATGCCTCTTAAATTTGGTGAAATACAGTAATATATCTTTGACCTCTGTGTATATCAGTATAAAAAGATAGAATTCAGGACAACTAAAGGGAAAAATTATTTGCTGG
The DNA here is from genome assembly GCF_000001405.40 of Homo sapiens. Taxonomy (NCBI): domain Eukaryota; kingdom Metazoa; phylum Chordata; class Mammalia; order Primates; family Hominidae; genus Homo; species Homo sapiens. The sequence continues at coordinate 143,221,112 of NC_000023.11, forward strand.
GTCTCCTAAGAGAGGACAGAAATATGAACATGGATTTAAATTTAGATACCTGGGAGACCTGTGGTATCACTGGCTGATATGGCTTGGATCTGCATTCCCACCCAAATCTCGTTGAATTGTGATCCCCAATGTTGGAGGTGGGGCCTGGCTTAAGGTATCTATATCATGTAGGAGAGGGGTCCCCTCGGTGCTGTTCTCATGTTGGTGAGTGAGTTCTCAGAAGATCTGGTTGCTTAAAAAGTTTGTAGCACCTCCCCATCTCTTCCTCCTGCTCCAGCCAAGTAAGACGTGCCTGCTTCACTTTTGCCTTCCACCATGATTGTACATTTCTGGAGGCCTCCCCAGAAGCCAAGCAGATGGCCACCATCATGCTTCTTGTGCAGCCTGTGGAATCATGGAGCCAATTAAATATTTTTTCTTTATAAATCACCCAGTTTCAGGTATTTATTTATAGCAATGTGAGAATAGCCTAATACACTTAAAGAATCAGTGCTGAGCAGGAAAAGATAATTTACTGAGAAGGTAATACTAAGTTTATAAAAGTCCACTGGCTATTTCTCTTTTCTCATCACTGTATTATAAGGTTTAGGTTAGAAGACTTAACCAAGAATTGTTACATGCTTTTGAGAAAAAGCCATTGTCCTTGGTGCATACTTGATTTAGTCTGCTCAGACTGCCATGACAAAATGACATAGACTGGGATGGGTTAAACGATACGAATTTTGTTTCTGAAGCTCTGGAGGCTGGAAGTCTGAGATCAAGGTGCCAGCATAGTCAGGTTCAGGTGAGGGATGAACTGCCTTCCTGGACTGCAGATAGATGCCTTCTCACCACGTGTTCACATGATAGTCCTCCTTTTGTGCAGCTCTCTTGGATTAGGACCCCTCCCTTATGACTTCGTCCAAACTTCATTCTCTCCCAAAAGTTCCACCTCCAAATACCATCACATTGGGTGTTAGGGCCTCAACATATATGACTTTGGGGTAGGACCCAATTCAGTCCACAGCATTCTACTCCAGACCCCCAAAATCAATGTCCTTTGTGAATGCAAAACACATTCATTCTATTTCAATATCCCCAAGAGTATTAACTGATTCCAGCATCAAGTCTAAAGTCTAAATTCCAAAGTCTCATCTGAATGTCACTTAAATCAGATATGAGTGAGACTCAAGGTATAGTTCACACTGAGGCAAAATTCTCTACCTATAAATCTGTGCAACCCGACAAGTTTTGTGCTTCCAAAACACAATGGTGGGACAAGCACAGAATAGACATTCCTATTTTAAAAGGGAGAAATTAGAAGGAAGAAAGGGGTAACTGATCCCAAGCAAGTCTAAATGTAGCAAGTTAATTTCCTTTAGGTCTTTAGGATTAAGACAATTCTCTTTGGCTACATGTCTTGTGCCTTCCAGGTTCATTGGGATGGCAGCATCACCTCCACCCCTTTAGGTGTGGGTTCCTTTTCAGGGCTTCTGCCAGGCCAGAATCCTGTCAGGTAGTCCCATTCTCAAGGTTCCATGTGCTAGCCCTAGCTTTTTAACGTGGAAGTATTTTGGCACAGCTGCAAAAAAAAAAAAAATGTAGCTTTCAAAAATACCAAATAATCTGTAAACTAGACGACATCAACCAATTTCTGATACTTATATTGTCCTCTGTCTCCAAACTCAGGTGGGAAACAAGGATGGATAGAACACAAACATTAAGAAAAGAAAATATGTAGAACAAGAGTAAGCTATGAGGGAGAGTAAGGGATTTCTGTTGACCACCTTGTCTAGTAATTCAAAAGTGATTTTGTAGTTTGAAATTTTGTGTCTTATCAAAATGGTTGTGAGAAACAAGCATAATTAATTATTGTGGTTAGATCCTGGTTGACCACTTTACTCCCTCTCGGCCTAGCTTAAAGATTCACTTATTAAATCAACAGTTCAACAATTATATTTTCATATATTTTATGCGCTAAAAAAAATCTGAATTTTTTGATACAATCATAAATAAGAGAGGTGCTATCCTTATGGAGCTTAGACACTAGTAGGGAGTATAAACAAATGTACAAGAAACTATCATAAAGTCTGATGACGTTCCAATGGAAAATGGACCTATTTGTATGGGAACTCAGAGTGACATCGATCACAGAGTAATGTGTTGGCACGGGAGAGGATGGAGAGGGTGGGGGTTAATCAACAAAAGAGTGCAATGTTCTAGGCAGAGGGAACAGTGCATGCACAGGTTTTGAGTTCACAAAAAGAATGTGGAATTCTTGAGGAAATTAAAGATAATTGACTGATAAATCAATTACTGTATTAATTAATGGTACTCTTGGTCTAGAAGAGTGATTGTTAACTAGGGACGATTTTGGCTCTCAGCAGACATTTGGCAGTATCTGGAGCCATTTTTATTTATCTCAAGTGAGTGGGAGATGCTACTGGCATCTAATGAGTAGAGACCAGAGGTGCTGCTAAACATGCTACAATACACAGTACTGCCCCTCACAACAAAGAATTATTCAACCTGACAATTCCTGGACTGTCTTAACTACTCCTGTTGTTGCTCAAGTTAGCAATGTTCTCATGCATTACAAAACTCTATTCCCAACCCAGATCAGCCTCTGAACCTCAGAGTAACATATATAATAGAATAACATACACAACAAAATGCCAGCAGTGCCGAGAATGAGGAGCTCTGGGCTAGATCCTACCATATCCCAATAGTCACTTGTTACAAGCACAGATAATTATGTTATTAATGCTAAAATCATTTTTAAATGACTATCTTCTCTGAAACTCTATGAATTCATTGTTGTGTCCTCAGTGTCTAGCATAATTCTTCACACATAAGGCATACTCTGTAAGCCAAAAGTGAAATGAGATGTAGAAGAGTGCCATACCATGTAGGGTAATGTGTACAGGGACAGATTTAAAGGATGGCTTGGAAGAGGTGAAGCTTTTCCCTCAATAGGTTATTACTGCTTTTCCCAGTCTTCAATATTGAAATGATTTTATCAAAGTCTTAAAAAATGCTATGCAAAAACAATTTCAAGGTGGGACCACAAATCCCTGATTCTGAGCACATTACCACTATAATTCCCTCCTATAACTACAAAAGCATGTGTTCTCTACATAGAATTTCTGGAGGTGCCACTGGTCTTTTCCTAAGGGGCTTAGAATTTTTCCTGGGGACAGTGGGCAATAGCATGATCACACTATCTTTTTAGAACTCTGTTTATAGTGTTAAAATGGTTTGAAGGAGTTAAAGTGCAAGGGGAAGAGTTAGCAGACTTTGCCTTAATCCAACAAAAGACTGTGGAAGCCAAGACTAGGATAGAGGCAGTCAAGATGGAAAGAATTGAATATAATTCTAAATATATTTCAAAGAGAAAGGAGGAGGGGGAAGAAGGAGTCAAAAACTATTCCAGATTTTGTCCTAGGCAATTAGGTGGATATGACAGGAGAGAAACCGAAAGAGGAGCAGGTTTGGAGGTGAAAATGATTTGTATTTCAAATATGTTGAGATTCAAGTCCATGAAAAACATCTGAATAGAGATACCTGATATCCTGTTGTGTATGTTACTCTGAAGTTCAGAGGCTGATCTGGATTATGAATACAATTTTGTTAATTCATGAGAACATTGCTAATGTCAGCACCAATGGGAGTGGTTAAGACCATCAAGCGGAGACAGAGGAGACCAAAGAAGAGTTTGGGACATAGTCTGCACCGTAAGGGGAAAATCAAGAGTGTGTGTGGTCACCCAAACCAAGGAAAGAAAGATTTTCAAAAATGAGAGAGTAATCAACTTTGTAATCTATGGGATGAGAAATGGGATTTGAATTTTTTGGTCATTGGAGAAAATACCAAGAACACTCTCAGCACTCTCAGACAAATGATGAGCTACTCAGGAGTGGGTTGAGATGTGAATAGAAAGTGATAAAGTTGAACAGGTGTTTAAACTTCAAAGAGTTTCACTGTAAAAGTGAGGAGCAAGATAGAGCCGTATGTTGAAAACAGATTTTTTTTTTTTTTAAGATGAGAGCTACTTGAGTATATTTACATGCTAGTAAAGGAAGCCTGGAAAGAGTCAATGGAGCTGGAGCATTCATAGTCAGCAAATGGAAATGGGACTCTTCAGACCAGGAGAGGCAGGGACTGGCAGCTGTGAGGCAGGCCCTAAATGAGAGGGCATCGCAGAAGGTATTTCAAATATTCTTCACTTTACCCCAACCTCTTACCTTATTACCTGCACTTTCATCTAAACAGATGATACACTTTCCTGCCTAAAAAGGAAAAAAAAAAAAGGCTTTTCTAAGCTTATCACCTGAGCCAGAACATAAAAAGGAAAAGATCTAGCTACAAAACAATTCCAAAAGTATGTGTGGAGAAGGTTGATGTCATAGTTAAAAGGAGAGCTTCAAAGGGAAACGGATCTGGTTTAGCACCATGTGTCTGTGACTGACCAATTATATACACATGTGTACATATACACATATATGTATATACACATGTGTACATGTACACATATATGTATATATACACGTGTGTACATGTACACATATATGTATATATACACGTGTGTACATGTACACATATATGTATATATACACGTGTGTACATGTACACATATATGTATATATACACGTGTGTACATGTACACATATATGTATATATACACGTGTGTACATGTACACATATATGTATATATACACATGTGTACATGTACACATGTGTATATATACACACATATGTATATATACACACATGTATGAATATATACACACATATATGTTACAAGTGCAGATAATTATGTATATATATACATCCATATATACACATATATGTATATAGGTGTATATATACACATGTGTATATATAGGTGTATATATACATATATACATATATACACACACACACACACATATATATATTTCTTGTTGTTCTACCTGTAGACTAAATTGATTCGAAGAGTTTATAATGCCCAGAACACATATGTTTTAGAATTTAACTTTCTGTAGAGTTCAATATCTACATGCCTACTAAAACTAACAGGATATATAGAGAGAGTATATAGAGAGAGACAGAGAGAGAAAGAATATATATATATATATATATATATATATATATATATATACAATTTTTATAAATTGCTGAGTCTCCTCAATGAGTATATGTTAATTTTATAATTGGAAAATAAGATATATATATATAGAGAGAGAGACAGAGAATATATCTATATCTATATCTATAGATATAGATATCAATATATATATTCTCTAGAGGGACATATATTCTGTCTCTCTAGAGACCCCTGACCAATACATCATACAATTAATGTTACATAAAAAAAAAAATGTGAGATAGAAAAATGGACAGAGGCCAAAATAAGAACTATGATGGCCAGTGGATTTAGGAAAAATTATCTCTGACATTCATAAGCATGAATAAACCTTTATAAAAATATCTATGACAATCATTTCTATGACATTGAAAAGGTTTTAAGAAACAGTAATGCTTAGACTTGACAACGATACGGGGGAAATTAATACACTCACACATTCACTTTTTGTTGGACCATAAATTAATGTAATATATCTGAATTGATATATCTGAAAAGAAATCTAATATGATTTCTCAGTCTTTAATTCAGGCCCTTTGACCCACAAATTCCACAAATTCCACTTCTAGGATTTTATCCTAAGGAAAAAAATCGTTCCCTAACCACACAATTGCACACAGATGTTGGAAAAATGTTGTTTATCATAATTTGTGATAGAGTAAAAAGACAATCAACTTAACATCCTTCAATGGAGGATTGCTTAAACTAACCATAGTATATCCCTATTATAGAATACTGTATAGCTATTACAAATGATGATGTAATACATCTATGGAAATGTTTATGATATATTGAAATGTAACAAAACCAAGTTATCAAATGTTTTTTTCATATTTATATCATATGAGCTGATTTTTCTAAAAGTAAAAGCACATTTGTGAGTGTGTTTATGTATATTTTTTAAAAGTTTGCAAGACCAGAACATTAATGGAGGATGGATCTAGGTGATGAGACTGTAAATTATCTTTTTTTTTTTAATAAACTGCTGAGTCTCCTTAATGAGTACATGTTAATTTTATAATCAGAAAATAAGATATTTGAAAAAAGTCAACTCTATTATTAATTATCTGATTATTTAATCTGCATTGCAACAAAAATAGATTGACTTTGTTTCTATTGGAGGTGATGTGGGATTTTTGTTGTTGTTATTTTATCTATGGACTCAATTGATTCAAACAGTTTATAACACGAACAATACATATGTTTTAGAATTTAACTTTCTGTAGAATTCAATACCTACTAAAACTAGTCTTACAGTTTTAATTCTCTCTTTCTCTCCCCCCACCCACTCTCTCTTTCACTCTCTCTCACACACACACACACAACACACGGCATCTCTGAAAAACAAACACGTAGGGTGTGATTTGTGTCATTTCATAGAGACTTGGGAATGTCATTAACACATAAATCATTAATTTGTGGATAGTGCTTAAGTTACCTCCTAGCTTTTATAATGTATCTCTTTCTAAAAACTCTTTGTTGAATTGGAATCTACCACACACTGTGAGTTGATTGAAATTGACTCCTTTTCATGAAAGGCTACATGCAGTCAACAAACTGCTTTATTTGTTTTTTAAACAAAAGTTTACCTGCAGTTTCCCACAAATGAACAGTACAGCTTATGAACATCTGGGGGATGCAGGCTAGATGAAGAACTAGACTAGTTCTATTTGGAGACTTATTCTATGGACAACTATTTAGTCTGCAAACTATTGTGTCCGGAATTGGTGGGTTCTTGGTCTCACTGACTTCAAGAATGAAGCCGTGGACCCTCGCGGTGAGTGTTACAGCTCTTAAATTGGCGCATCTGGAGTTTGTTCCTTCTGATGTTCGGATGTGTTTGGAGTTTCTTCCTTCTGGTGGGTTGGTGGTCTCGCTGGCTCAGGAGTGAAGCTGCAGACCTTCCCCGTGAGTGTTACAGCTCTTACAGGCAGTGTGGGCCCAAAGAGTGAGCAGTAACTAGATTTATTGCAAAGAGCGAAACAACAAAGCTTCCACAGTGTAGAAGGGTACCCAAGAGGGTTGCTACTGCTGGCTCGGGCAGCCTGCTTTTATTCTCCTATCTGGCCCCACCCACATCCTGCTGATTGGTAGAGCCGAGTGGCCTGTTTTGACAGGGCGCTGATTGGTGCGTTTACAATCCCTGAGCTAGATACAAAGGTTCTCCACGTCCCCATCAGATTAGTTAGACACAGAGTATGGACACAAAGGTTCTCCAAGGCCCCACCAGAGCGGCTAGATACACAGTGTTGATTGGTGCATTCACAAACCCTGAGCTAGACACAGGGGGCTAATTGGTGTGTTTCCAAACCTTGAGCTAGATACAGAGTGCTGATTGGTGTATTTACAATCCCTGAGCTAGACATAAAGGTTCTCCAGGTCCCCACCAGACTCAGGAGCCCAGCTGGCTTCACCCAGGGGATCCCGCACAGGGGCTGCAGGTGGAGCTGCCTGCCAGTCCCGCGCCATGTGCTCGCACTCCTCAGCCCTTAGGTGGTCGATGGGACTGGGCGCTGTGGAGCAGGGCGCGGCGCTCCTCGGGGAGGCTGGGGCTGCACAGGAACCCACGGAGGGGGTGGAAGGCGCGGGCATGGCGGGCTGCAGTCCCGAGCCCTGCCGCGCAGGAAGACAGCTAAGGCCCAGCGAGAAATCGAGCGCAGCGCCGGTGGGCTGGCACTGCTAGGGGACCCAGTACAACCTCCGCAGCCGCTGGCCCAGGTGCTAAGTCCCTCATTGCCCGGGGCCAGCAGGGCCAGCCGGCTGCTCTGAGAGAGGGGCCCGCCAAGCCCACGCCCACCCGGAACTCCAGCTGGCCCGCAAGGGCCACGCGCAGCCCCAGATCCCGTTCGCGCCTCTCCCTCCACAGCTCCCTGCAAGCTGAGGGAGTGGGCTCCGGCCTTGGCCAGCCCAGAAAGGGGCTCCCACAGTGCAGCGGTGGGCTGAAGGGCTCCTCAAGTGCCGCCAAAGTGGGAGCCCAGGAAGAGGAGGCACCGAGAGCGAGGGAGGGCTGTGAGGACTGCCCACACGCTGTCACCTCTCACTATGATTCTTTCACTAATTCACTGAGTGACCCTGAGTAAATTATATCTCTTCCTGGGGCCTCAGTTTTCCTGTTTTTAAAATTATATTTCTAATTGAGAAATAATAGTTTATATTTATGAGGGACAATGTGATGTTCCAATACATGTATAGATTGTGGAATGATCCAATCAGGCTAGTGAGCATATTCATCACCTCAAGTATTTATCATTTTCTTATGGTAACAACTTTTACAATTCTATCTTTTAGCTATTTTGAAATATATAATACATTATTATTAACTATAGTCACAATGATGTACAATAAATAAACAGTACTTATTCTTCCTATGCAAATAAAACTTTGTACCCATTGACCAACTTCTTTCTTTTCTCTGTCCAATACCCTGACCCAGCCTCTGGTAAATATAATTCCACTCTCTACTTTCAGGGAATCAACTGTTTTAGATTCCACATGTAAGTGAGATCATTCAGCATTTGCATTCTGTGCCTGGCTTATTTCATTTAACATAATGTTCTCTACATTTATCTATTTTGCTGCAAATGACACAATTTCCTGTGTTTTTTAAAGCTGAATAGTATTGCTTGTGAATGTACACCACATTTTTAAACAATTGATTCATCCGTTGATGAGCAATTAGGTTGTTTCCGTATCTTGGCTATTGTGAATAGGGCTGGAATAGACATGGGAGAGCAGACACATCTCTTCAACATATTGATTTCAATTCTTTTGGGTATATACCCAGAAGTGAGATTGCTGGATCATATGGTAGTTCTACTTTTAGTTTTCTGAGGAATCTCCATACTGTTTTCCAAAATGGCTATACTAATTTACATTCCCACCAGTAGTGTATGTGGGTTCCCTTTTGTCCACATCCTCACCAACACTTGTTATATTTCTTACCCTTTTAATAAAAATCACCTCCAAATCGATTAAAGACCTAAACATAAGACATGAAACTTTAAAACTACTGGAAGAAAACATAGGGGAAAACTCCAAGATATTGGCTCTGGCAGTGATTTCTTGCATATAGCTTCATAAGCACAGGCAATGAAAGCAAAAATAAACAAATGGGAATGGATCAAGCTAAAAAGCTTCTGCACAGCAAATGAAACAATTAATCAAGTAAAAAGACAACCCGCAGATGGGGAGAAAATATTTGCTAATCATACATCAGATAAAGGGCTAATATCCAAAATATATGAGGAACTCAGACTACTCAATAACAAGAAAACAAATAACCCTATTGAAAAATGGGCAAAGGAATTGAATAGACAGTTCTCGAAAGAAGATAGAAAAATGGCCAGCAGATATATGAAAAAATGCTCAACATCTCTATTCATTAGAGAAATGCAAACTAAATCTACAATGAGGTATCACCTGTTTGTTAAATGAGGGTGGTGAATTAGATCATCTCTGAGGTTTCTTCCATCTATTATACACTCAATTATCTGATGACTTCTTAATTTACACCAAGAGAAAACTGTGTAATAATAGTCTACTATGTCAACTTTGAGGAAGCAAGGATGTACAAACTTTCCATGCAGCTACAATCTCTCAAGTAATCCTAAGTGAAAGTCTTGGAGTAGCCAGGGCCATCTTTAAACATAACAGTCACCTAGGGTCTCTGACGTGCCACTTGCTTTGCTAAGATTTATACTCGCTGATTTGCATGGATGCATTTTCAAAATTAACTCAATTTCATTGTTCCTCAAAAGTCAAACATTAAAGTTTTTGCACATAGGTATTTAATTATTGTACTAGCTGTCAATAGTTAAATCCACGTGTGTGTGTGTGTGTGTGTGTGTATGTGTGTGTGTGTGTGTATGAGGTAGAAAGATAATCATATGTTACCTAAAGTGGGTGCTTGGAAAGTCAAATGCATAGAGATGTAGGTCAGTAACAAGCCTGTTTAGGTGATGTTTTTCTTTGATGAAGTGCAAAAGTGCCTTACTGTACAAAAACTTGTGATACGAAAACAAGAAACAAATGGAGGATTCAAAATAGCAAGTAGAAAGATGTGTTTCAGATTTATGAAAATATATAACCAAACTGGTCACACCAAGACTGTTTCTTTATCTTTAATGCACTGCAGCCAGAGTAAGATGATGGAATAGAAGCCATCACCAATTTACCCACCAAAAGGATACAATTTTTACAACTATCTACACCGAAAGAAAGAAAAAAAAAGCACTTTCGTAAGAAAGCAAAATTAGACAAGCTCTCATAGTACCTGGTTTTATCTTTGCGTCACTGAAAGAGGCACTGAGGAGAAAGAAAAACAATCTTGAATTGCTGACACCACCCCTCTCCCAACCCCCAGCATTGGTAGCATGGTGCAGAGAGCATCTCTGGGCACTGGGGGAACAGAGCAACTGTAAATCACTGCACTCACTGCTTTTCTGTTAGAGCAGAAAGGAAAATCAGACCAAAATCAGCTGATGCCTGCCGAGGAGGGAGCATTTAAACCAGTCCTAGCCAGAGGGGAATCACTGAACCAAGCAGTCTGAACTTGAGTTCACACGAATCTTGACATTGAAGGCTAAACGTCTCTGGGTCTCTAAGTAAACGTGAAAGGCAGTCTAGGCTATCAGGACTGCAACTGTTACGCGAGTTCTAGAGCTAAAATGGGCCAAAAGACAGTGGACCGATGGACACACAACCTACCAAGAAACCAGCTGAGGCAAATAAGGGAGTGCTACCATCACCCCACCTCTAACTCCAGGCTACACAGCTCATGGCTCCAAAAAAGACCACTTCCTTCCACTTGAGGAGAGAAGAGAGAAGAGTCGGGAGGACTGTGTCTTGCCTCTTAGATACCAGCTCAGCCACAGCAGGATAGGACACTGGTCAGAGTCATGAGGCCCCAATTCTAGGCCCTAGCTCCCCTAAGACATTTCTAGACACACCCTGTGGAAAAAGGGAATCTGCTTCCATGAAGGAAAGGTCTCATTCCTGGCAGCATTCATCACCTGTAAATGAAGAGTCCTTGGGCTGCGAATAACCATCTGTGTTACCCAGGTACTACGTTGAGGGTCTTGGGTGAGCCTCTGAGACTTTCTGACTTCAGATGGGATTCAGCACATGATCAGCTGTGGTGGCTATGGGGCAAAACTCCTTCTGCTTAAGAAAAACGGGGAAAAGTAAGAGAGACTTTATCTTACACCTTAGCTACAAATAGGGCCACAGGGAGGTAGAGCCCACCAAGTGGGCTTTTGGGGTCCCTGATTCTGAGACTTGACTCTTGGACAGCATTTCTGGACCTGCCCTAGGCCAGAAGAGATCCCACTTTTCTGAAGGGTGAGTCCCAGGCCAGGTAGCATTTACCACAAGCTGATTTAACAGCCTTTAAGCTTTAAGGAAAACATTGGCAGTAGGTACTCTAGCAATACTCCCTTTGGACTGTAGTGGCAGTGGCTACAGGGTGAGACTCCTCTAATTTTGGAAAAGGGAGGCAACAGTGGAAAGAACTGCATCATGTAGTTTCAGTGCCAGCTTAACCACAGGATAATAGAACATGTGGTAGATTTCTAAGGTTTTTGACTCTAGTTTATGACTCCTGGATAGCCCTTCTGGACCAAGCCAGAGCCTGGGAGAACTCGCCACCCTGAAGGAAAGGACCCAGGCCTGGTTGGCTTTGCCACCTGCTGATCATAGAGCCCCAGGGCCTTGAGCAAACACAGGTAGTGGACTTGAAGTGGTTACAGCAGGCCTTGGGCAAGACCCAGTGTTGTACTGAATTCAGGTCTCACCCAGGGCAGTCCTAGTGGTGGTGGGCGTAGGGCTACATGAGTCATTACGTCCCAAGATTTAGGTGTCTCAGAACAGAGAGAAGGACTCCATTTGTTTGAAAGGAAGGGAAGAGAACAAAAGTCTCTGCCTGGTAATAGAGAATTATCCCAGATCTTGTCCAAAACAATCAAGGCAGTACCACTACAAGTCTGCAAGAACCACAGTACCCTCTAAAGCAGATAAAGCTTAAATCACAACACCTAATTTGTGTCAAATATCTGGAAAGCTTTGCACAGAAGAAGAGGTACAAACAAGCCCAGAGAGTGAAGACTACAATAAATACCTACCTCTTCAATGCCCAGACACTAAAGAACATCTGCTATCATCAACACCATCCAAAAAAACATGACCTCACCAAATGAACTAAATAAGGTATCAGGGACCAATGCTGGAGAAACAGAAATATGTGACTTTTCAGACAGAGAATTCAAAAGGGCTGTGTTGAGAAAACTCAAAGAAATCCAAGATAACACAGACAAGAAATTCAGAAATCTATTAGATAAAATTAACAGAGAAATTGAAATAATTTAAAAGGATCAAGCAGAAATTCTGAAGCTGAAAAACGCAATTGGCATATGGAATAATTCATTAGAGTCTTTTAATAGCATAATTGATCAAACAGAAGAAAGAATTAGTGAACTTAAAGACAAGCTATTTGGAAAAACACAGTCCAAGGAGACTAAATAAAAAAGAAAAAAACAGTGAAGCACACCTACAGGATTTAGAAAATAGCTTCAGTAGGGCAAATATAAGAGGTCTTGGCCTTAAAGAGGAGGTAGAAAAAAACATAGAGGTAGAAAGTTTATTTAAAGGGATAATAACAGATAACCTCTCAAACCTAGAGATAGATAATGATATCCAAGGACAAGAAGGTTATAGAACACCAAGGAGATTAAAGACAAGGAAGACTAACTAAAGACTTTTAATAATCAAACTCCCAAAGGTCAAAGATAAAGAAAGGATCCTAAAAGCAGCAAGAGAAAAGAGACAAATAACACACAATTGAGCTCCAATACATATGGCAGCAGACTTTTCAGCGGAAACCTTACAGATCAGGAGAAAGTGGCATGACAAATTCAAAGTGCTGAAGGAAAAAAAAACCAAAAAAAACAAAAAAACTTTTACCCTAGAATAGTATGCCTGGCTAAAGGAAAAAAAAAAAAAAAACAAAAAAAAAAAAACTTTTACCCTAGAACAGTATGTCTGGCTAAAATATCTTTTAAACATGAAAAAGAAATAAAGAGTTTACCGGAAAAAAAAAAAAAAAGCTGTGGGATTTCAACAGATCTGCCCTGCGAGAAATGCTAAAGGGAATACTTTAATCACAAGGAAAATTAATGAACACTAAGTAATAACCTGAAGGTACAAAACTCACTGTTAATAGTAAGTACACACAGGACAACAGACTATTATAACACTGTAACTACGGTGTGTAAGCTACTCTTATCCTAAGTAGAAAGACTAAACAATGAACAAATTAAAATTAATAACAAAAACAACTTTTTAAGACATATACAGTACAGTAAGATATAAATAACAATAAAAACTTAAAAAGCGGGGGAAAGGCAAAGTTGAGGTGTAGAGTTTTTATTAGTTTTTGTTTGTTTGTTTATGCAAACAGCTTAAAAGAAAGGGTTATAAGATAATATTTGCTGGCCGGGCGCAGTGGCTCACGCCTGTAGTCCCAGCACTTTGGGAGGCCAAGGCGGGCAGATCACGAGGTCAGGAGATCGAGACCATCCTGGCTAACACAGTGAAACCCCATCTCTACTAAAAATACAAAAAATTAGCCAGGCGTGGTGGCGGGCACCTGTAGTCCCAGCTACTCGGGAGGCTGAGGCAGGAGAATGGCGTGAACCCTGGAGGCGGAGCCTGCAGTGAGCTGAGATTGCGCCACTGCACTCCAGCCTGGGCAACAGAGTGAGACTCCGTCTCAAAAAAAAAAAAAAAAAAAAAAAAAAAAGATAATATTTGCAAGCCTCATGGTAATCTCGAACCAAAAAATATACAATGGATGAAGAAAAATAAAATGCAAGAAACTAAATCATATCACCAGAGAAAAATCACCTTTGCTGAAAAACAGACTGGAAGGAAAAAAGAAGGAAGAGGAAACCACAAAACAATCAGAAAACAAATAACAAAATGTCAGGAGTAAGTCCTTAATTACCCATAACAACATTGAATGTAAATGGACTAAACTTTCCAATCAAAGTTATAAAGAGGCTTAATAGATGAAAAAAAAAAAGACCCATTGATCTGTTGCCTGCAAAAAACAAAAACAAAACAAAACAAAAGAATATTTCACAAATATTTAACAAATGCTGGTGAGAAGATGGAGAAAAGGGAACCCTCATAAGCTGTTGGTGGAAAAGTAAATTAATACAATCACCATGGAGAACAGTTTGGAGGTTCCTCACAAAACTAAAAATAAAGCTACCATACCATCCAGCAATCTGACTGCTAGGTATATACACAAAAGAAAGGAAACCAATGTATTGAAGAGTATCCTTTCCCCAAGGTTTGTTGCAGCACAGTTCACCATAGCTAAGCTTTGGAATCAACCTAAGTGTCCATCAACAGATTAATGGATAGAGAAAATGTAGTACATATACAAAATGGAATACTATTCAGCCATAAAAAGAATGAGATGCTGTTGTTTGCAACCACATGGATGGAACTGGAGAGCATTATGTTAAGTGCAATAAAACAGGCACAGAAAGACCAACACAGCATCTTCTTACTTGTTTATGAGATCTAGAAATAAAAACAATTGAACTCATGGAAATAGAGAGTAGAAGACTGGTTGCCAGAGGTTGGGCAGAGTAGTGGGGGGCTGGTAGGGAGGAGGAGATGGTTAATGGGTACAAAAAAATTGAAAGAATGAATAAGGCCTACTATTTGATAGCACAACAGGGTGACTATAGTAAATAATAGTTTAATATAATCACTTAATTGTACATTTTAGAATAACTAAAACAGTGTAATTGAGTTGCTTGTAACACAAAGAATAAATGCTTGAGGAGATGGATACCCCCTTTCCATGTTGTGATTAGTATGCGTTGCATGCCTATATCAAAACATCTCATGTACTCCATAAATATATACACGTACTATGTATCCACAAAATTTAAAAATAAAAGTATTTTTTAAATTATTGTATATGTTGAGAGATAGGGATCTAATTTTGTAATTTCATTATTCTGAATATGGATATCCATTTCTCCTAGCACCAATTATTGAAGAAATTGTCTTTAAGAAATAATAAATAAAAAATAAGGCTGGGCGAGGTGGCTCACGCCTGTAATCCCAGCACTTTGGGAGGTGGAGGCGGGCGGATCACGAGGTCAGGAGATCGAGACCATCCTGGCTGACTCAGTGAAACCCCGTCTCTACTAAAAATACAGAAAATTAGCCAGGCGAAGTGGCGGGTGCCTGTAGTCCCAGCTACTCGGGAGGCTGAGGCAGGAGAATGGCGTGAACCCCGGGGGGCGGAGCCTGCAGTGAGCCAAGATTGCGCCACTGCACTCCAACCTGGGCGACAGCGAGACTCTGTCTCAAAAAAAAAAATTAAAAAATAAAACAGAAAGCACTGCAGCCACTCAGAGGTGAGGATCTCCTCTCACGCATTTGATATATGCCTTCCTTCCACATGTTTTAGAGAAGCTTGTGTTTCTGTGTACGTGTGCCTGTGCATGTGTGTGTGTACATGTGCATATGGGTATCAGGAGAGTGTTTCTGCTGTTGTTCATTATTTGTTTCCTGAGGTGATTTAGCTTGCCCAGAAACCTGAAGAGGAAACTTTAATTTTTTTTTTTTTTTTTTTTTTGAGACAGAGTCTCACTCTGTCACCCAGGCTGGGGTGCAGTGGCGCGATCTCGGCTCACTGCAAGCTCCGCCTCCTGGGTTCACGCCATTCTCCTGCCTCAACCTCCCGAGTAGCTGGGACTACAGGCGCCCGCCACCACACCCGGCTAGTTTTTTTGTATTTTTAGTAGAGACGGGGTTTCACCGTGTTAGCCAGGATGATCTCGATCTCCTGACCTCGTGATCCGCCCACCTCGGCCTCCCAAAGTGCTGGGATTACAGGCGTGAGCCACCATGCCCCGCCTGAAGAAGAAACTTGAAAACACATTACCATCTATGAATGAGTAACATTTGAAGTTACAAAAATAATTTTAATTCCTTCTTGGCACAATAGCTGAGCCTTCTGCTACTCCGCCTCCACACAAAATACCTAGTGACTCTTCATATTGATAGTGTGTGCCTAAAACAGAGAAGCAATATGAACATGACTAGTATGACAGAAGTAAACTGCACTTTATTGCTTCTCTTCATTTGGAAACTAGACCTCTCACCAATTCGAGTAATCCAGCACTAAGGCAGGTTCTATATTCAAGTCATTTACAAGAAGAATCAGAGTCAGTCAAGGAAAGCCACTATTTTTCTCTATCAAATCCATAAAAATAAATGTGTTAGTTTTCATCCTTCAGCTAGGAACAAAAATTTTCCTGATGTCACATAGATATAGATAGAAAACAACCAATTTAGCTATTACCCTATGATGGAATCAAAAGAATCACCAGATATTCTTTCTGACTAATCAAGTCCAATAACTACCTCAAGCTTAATTGCTGTATTTTTTTTTCAGAAAACGTTAGTTGAAATGTAATAATTATTCAACAGACAAATCTCATTCTGACCTAATTAAGTCAAATATTTTTAAGAAGCCATATATGTATAATTACCTTACTTTAATTCATTATCATTATAAGAAATGTTTAATTACCTCATTGGTATTATAAAATATTAAGTTGAATTTAAATTACAAACTAAAATGTCACTTGGTAGGCAATTAAGATATATTTAACTAACCTAGTAAAAATGTTTTGTGTTACAGAAAATCCAAATATCGTTTGACGTTTACATAGCAAAAAATAACATATCCAAAATGTTCGGTTACCAGAGAAAAAATAACAGACCAGACAGTCACATAGCAACATGGATAGATCTTAAAAATAATACCAAGTGAAACAGCAAGAAACAATGATATGTAACAACACATGCATAAATTTAAAATGCATGTCCGCATACTACAGTATGCATTTTATTAACACTCAGGCAAAAGAAACAATATGGATAAAATTTATTAGAGTGATTGACATTGAAGAGAAGGAGAGCACTGGGGAGTGGAAATAAAGAGAAATAAATGAGTGAATAAATAAACAGCAGAGAGTCCTGAACAATGAACTCAGAGAATGTGATTAACTGAGCCTTCTAGACTTGATGTAAAAACCCTCCACGACCACCCCAAACAGAAAGTTCTGGGTGGAGGGGAGGTAAAAAGTAATGACCAAAATTATTTAGAAATGCTGGTGTATAGAGATGATAATTAAAAAAAGACCAGCTCATACTGTTTCATTCTTCTATTAAAATTTGCTGTAGACAATGTTCCCCTCTATCGCCTTAATCGGGGTAGACCAATCCCACTGTTCCACCCTTGGTAGGCTACTGCTTTTCCTTAAACTTCTTAGCAAGGAAGTGTCCTAATTAGTGATGTATGGCCAGCAGTCACCATTATTTCAGTGTTTAGGGTTGCTGTCAATGACATTCACTAGGTTGACACTTTTGGTCTTTCTGAGGGCGTTTATGTGCTTATCCCATAGAGTGACATGCAATAAACACCACTATGAGATATGACGCCTGGAGGTAATTTCTTAGTCTGCCTTTTTGGGGGGATGGTTCATTGTCACAGAACACAAAACACATCTCAACACTGCCCTCCTCTCACAATGTGCACACATACAGGCGCACACACACACACACACACACACACACACACACAGAGTAATGCTGAAACAGCAAATCCCTTTCTTCTTTGCCTTTGGGATAATATGTTAAAGAGAAATGTCTGGCTAACTGTGGACCTGCTGCTGCTCTGACTGCAATCCTGCAAGAACTCACATCCCTCTATTCACACACTTCCCTTATCCCTTCCTCTCCCCATCCCCACCATCAGGGAACAGGAAGAGACGCACACATGTTTTTATATATTTCTGATTTTGTTTAAATTACCACCATAAACAAAAATAAGCAAATAGGATTGTATCAAGCTAAAAAGCTTCTGCACAGCAAAGGAAACAATCAAGTAAAGAGACAACCCCCAGATTGGGAGAAAAAATGCAAATCACACATCAGATAAGGGGATAATATCCAAAATATACAAGGAACCCAAACTACACAATAACAAGTTTACCATCTTTGTAACATTGGTCTGTAAGTGGTTGGTCATGTTTCCATAGGCTACTTTCTTTTGAGACTCAGAGGATAATTCTAGGTCTGTAAACATCACTAGAGGAGCAGTGAAATTAATTGGGATTTCCTGGTTATGCTCCAGCAGTGTCTTTCTCTTATTTTGATTCACTATCTTCAGATGGTGGTAACAGATGAATATTGCTGACTTTGTTTATGTCTTGTGCTTTCTTGATTGGGAGATAGATATTTTGGAGGATCTTTGGCCTGCACATGCTTGCAGGGGCATTTCTACCCTTTTGGCTATCTCATGTACCTGGAAAGGCAACACAGTGAGCATAGAAGGGCATTCATTTGGTAGAGGAGATTGAGGACTGGATGGAAACCCTGAGAAGCATGTGGTCTAGTGGGGGTACTTGTGCTAGGCAAGCACAGTGTAGGGGTCTTGGGTGGAGAATCTATAGGGTAGAAGAGCATGGGCAGGGTCATCTGATCTTGTCACTGCCTCTGCACTCACACTGGCAAGGAGTCATCCTCTCTTTCATTTCTTCTACAGTGCTTGTGAATGGTTGTTCCAAGGTTGAGTGTGGTTGGTCTGTGCTTATGGTTGGTTGTCCTCCATGTGTGGTTGGCTGTTCAATGTCTGTGCCAGACTATTTGCCAAGTGTCTCATCCACATTGAAGCCAAGCAGTGGTCCTCTCCAGGGTTCCTACCTTCCTTATTTATAACTCTTGTCTAGGCAATGAAGAACCACATTGTTAGGCTTTGTTTGGTTATCAAGTTTCTCCTCCAGACAGTGCAGCCCTGGAGTGGCTTACCATCCCAAAGCACCATTGCTGACTCCTCCATGATGATTGTGGGGGGTGCCGGTGAAGTGTGGAGGAGGCCAAGATTCTCTGGTTGGAGGAAAAGGAAGTTTCTTTAGAACCCCCGAAAGATTCATCCCAAAGTAACTGGAGACCCGTTCACATTTCCCCTGGTTCAATTCTGATGGTACACATAGCAGGAAGAGAGAGTATTCTCCAAGTCTCTCCCCATAGCCACCCCCATCCAGTTGTTCATTCTGTTCTCTCTCAGTCTTCGTCATTATCTAGTATTTTGAATGGCTTGCCAAAATCCTTCCAAGGCATTGTGACCATTTTTAAGCCTCCATGGGGGTATGAATCTTCCCACTCCTCTTCTACAAATTCCCCTTATTTGCCTTAAAGACCAGTCATTTCTTGGTTCCTAGCAGACAACTTTCCCATCCTGCCTCCTTTTTCCAATGTTCTCATAGCTCTCCTCAGCTTTTAGTTTTCAATCCAAAATCACTGGCTTTAGGCTGCCAAGGCTTCCATGAATAAACTTGCTCTACAGTGTATCCCCAACTTAATTCATATCTGGGAAATCTTGTTTATTTCTGTAGGTATAATATGCAGACTTGGATTTTACTACTACAGGTGAGGAGGGGGAAATATGCACATGCTGGGAGTTGTTCTGGGTTATTTTCATCAGGAAACTACAACCTTAGACTTACTAGTGTACCCAGGGAGGGGCTTACCTTAACCAAAGGTATGTGTGCCTCATGTGAAAGGCATTTCTCAGTATGCATCCTCAGACAGCAGACACATTTTTCATCATATTTTACTGCTGACCTTGTTAACATGCTGCCTTCCTTCTTTATCCTATGGCCTTCCGGAGAAATAAAGCAGGAAGAAGAACACTAGAAGAATAAATTTTTATAAACAATTTAAACAAGCTCTCACTCTCTGGGAAGATGTGAATAAGTCCTGTCCTGACCATTTGCCTCTAATTCAGGTTTTTAGCTTGGAAGGGAGTCATGGAGTTAACCACAGGCCTTATGTTCCTCATTTTGACAGCAGATTCAGTCACCTCTAGTCCTCACCTGAGCATGTGACCTTTTGCCATTATGAGTGCTTTGTGGGTTTCCTATAAAGCAATCACTTCTTGGCGTCACTGGTTGCTTACCTGTAGAAGATGTATTGATACATTATACTACTTACAATGATTATTTTAATAGAAAGCATGACAAACACAACATAAACACACTCAGATAAAAGGGACAAACTTGAAAAATTATTTGCAGCATAGATCACAGGTAAAGGACCAATATCACTAATATGTAAAGACTTTAAAATAGTGTGACAAGACCGAAAATGTGATGGAGGAAAAAATGGAAAAAAGAAGACATGATCAGAAAATTTATTTTAAAAATATAGAACTAACCCTTAGGAATCTGAAAACATGTTTAACCTCACTAAAGTATGAGAAATTCACATATAAACTACTCTGAGAAATAGAAACCATCTCACAACTGACAAAATATCAAAATTAATAGCCAAGAACATTAAAACAGTTATTATGACTGTATTCTGTATGTTCAAAAAGTAAAGTACAGATATGAAGACAAAAGAGTCATGTATAACTGTAGGAGATGAAAACTATAGTATTTCAGTTGGCAAATTCACTCGAAGGATTAGTGGCAGCTTAGACATGGCAGTAAGAAAGGATAGTTTGCTTTAAGGCATAACAGTTGAAGCCATCCAGAATGAGATAGAGAATCAATCAATATATGAAATGGATAATGTACCATGATAAAGTAGAGTTTCCCCTAGGAATCATGCTTTTTTAAACATTCTAATATCATCAATGAATTAAAAACAAACATATAATCATCTCAATAGATTCAAAAAACACATTTCACCAAATCCAACACACTTTCATGATAAAAAACAGTAAACTAAAAAGAGAATGTAAATTACAAGTGAAAGACTGGGGAAACAGCCTGAGCTGTACACTGGCCCCTTTTAGCCACAGCTGGAATGCAGGGCACCAAGTCCCAAGACTGCACAAAACAGCAAGGCCCTGGGCCTGGCCCAGGAAACCATTTTTTCCTCAAGGCCTTTGGGCCTGTGATGGGAGGGGCAGCCAAGAAGACCTCCGGCATGCCTGGAGACATTTTCCCCATTGTCTGGGTGATTAACATTTGGCTCCTTGTTACTGATGCAAATTTCTGAAGCTGGCTTGAATTTATCCCCAGAAAATGATTTTGTCTTTTCTAACGCATTGATAGGCTGCAAATGTTTCAAACTTTTATGCTCTGCTTTCTCTTGAATGCTTCCTTTTAGAAATTCCTTCCACCAGATACCCTAAGTCAACTATCTCACATTCAAAGTTCCCCAGATCTCTAGAGCAGGGGCAAAATGCTGCCAGTCTCTTTGCTAAAGCACAGAAAGAGTGACCTTTGCTCCAGTTCCCAAGAAGTGCCTCATCTCCTTTTGAGACCATCTCAGCCTGGACTTCACTGTCCACATCATTATCAGCTTTTTTTGTCAAAACCATTCAACAAGTTTCTAGGAAGTTCCAAACTTTCTCACATCTTTCTGGCTTCTTCTGAGCCCTCCATTGTATTCCAGCCTCTGCCTGTTACCCAGTCCCAAAGTCACTTCCACATTTTTGGGTATCTTTATAGCAGCACCCCACTGTCTGTGGTACCAATTTACTTTATTAGTCCATTTTCACACTGCTACAAAGAACTGCTGGAGACTGACCAATTTATAAAGGAAAATGGTTTAATTGACTCAGAGTTCAGCATGGTTGGGGAGGCCTCAGGAAACTTACAATCACGGCAGATGGTGAAGGGAAAGCAAGTCACCTTCTTCACAAGGTGGCAGGAAGGAGAAGTGTCAAGCAAAGTGGGGAAGAAACCCCTTATAAAACCATCAGATCTCATGAGAACTCACCCACAATCATGAGAACAGCATGGGGGAAATCACACCCATGATTCAATTACCTCCACCTTGTCTCTTCCTTGACACGTGGGGATTAAGGGGATTACAGTTCAGGATGAAATGTGAGTGGGTATACAAAGCCTAACCATATGATCTACCATCTATAGAAACATTCCAGGAAGAGAGGTGAGTAAACATAACCCTGAGAAATATTACAACCTACCCCCAATTTACAATGTGTCTAAAAGGAAGAGGATGTCACCAAATCCAGTTCAATGTGCAGAAAGTTCCATTATTTAAAAAGCCCAATCCTATTACCTTCCTCCTCTAACCGCAGTCCAGAAATATTGCTGGAATTTGCAGTGGCTCTCAATTTCCCACTGGGAGGATAGTTGAAGAGAAAAATTAGAAGGATTGTAAAAGCTCAGACTTAATTATTGCCAACAATAAAAAGAAATGCAGTCAAACAGAAGACCAAAAAGAAAATAAAACCCAAGGGAGTGGGAGTTGGGAGAAATGACATCTGAATGAGCAATGAGCCTTTAACACTTAATGTCTGCTCTCAGTGCGATGAGACCATAACCCAAAACCCCCTTCAACCTATCATTTTGCACTCTTTTTGAAGTAGTAGAAATGTGCCTTAAGATAGAAATGCTGCAAAAGAAGAAAATAAACTAGGAAAAGTTACAGGACACTTAAGAAGGCCTTAAAAGACAAGGCAAATCCTAAGTCTGGTAAACAGTTCTGCCCATGGACATAGATGATAGCTTTTTTTCCCCACACTTACTCATTCCTCTAGATGAGAGGAGACTTAGCTCCCAAATGGTGTCTCCCCATAAAGGAAAAAGAAAAAAATTACAACACAATGAAATGGGAGTCAAGATGAATCCATGTAAATTATATCAACAGAAATAGGCTGCTTAGTATAGCTACATCTGCCTTGTATTGCTGGATTTCCCTACTTGGCCTAAGAGGGTCCAATGAAGAAAAAAATATAGACTACTTAGAGCTCTCCACTTTTTTAAAATTATACTTTAAGTTCTAGGGTACATGTGCACAACATGCAGTTTTGTTACATATGTATACATGTGCCATGTTGGTGTGCTGCACCCATTGACTCATCATTTACATTAGGTATATCTCCTAATGCTATCCCTCCCCCCTCCCCCCACCCCACAACAGAACCCAACCTATGAGTGAGAACATGTGGTGTTTGGTTTTCTGTCCTTGTGAGAGTTTGCTGAGA
Source organism: Homo sapiens (assembly GCF_000001405.40). NCBI lineage: Eukaryota > Metazoa > Chordata > Mammalia > Primates > Hominidae > Homo > Homo sapiens. Next base: position 143,244,274 of record NC_000023.11, read on the forward strand.
ATGATGGTTTCCAGCTTCATCCATGTCCCTACAAAGGACATGAACTCATCCTTTTTTATGGCTGCATAGTATTCCATGGTGTATATGTGCCACATTTTCTTAATCCAGTCTATCATTGATGGGCATTTGGGTTGGTTCCAAGTCTTTGCTATTGTGAATAGTGCCGCAATAAACAGATGTGTGCATGTGTCTTTATAGCAGCATGCTTTCTAATCCTTTGGGTATATACCCAGTAATGGGGTGCCTGGGTCAAATGGTATTTCTAGTTCTAGATCCTTGAGGAATCGCCACACTGTCTTCCACAATGGTTGAACTAGTTTACAGTCCCACCAACAGTGTAAAAGTGTTCCTATTTCTCCACATCCTCTCCAGCACCTGTTGTTTCCTGACTTTTTAATGATCGCCATTCTAACTGGTATGAGATGGCATCTCATTGTGGTTTTGATTTGCATTTCTCTGATGGCCAGTGATGAGGAGCATTTTTTATTGTGTCTTTTGGCTGCATAAATGTCTTCTTTTGAGAAGTGTCTGTTCATATCCTTTGCCCACTTGTTGATGGGGTTGTTTCTTTCTTGTAAGTTTGTTTGAGTTCATTGTAGATTCTGGATATTAGCCCTTTGTCAGATGAGTAGATTACAAAAATTTTTTCCCATTCTGTAGGTTGCCTGTTCACTCGGATGTTAGTTTCTTTTGCTGTGCAGAAGCTCTTTAGTTTAATTAGATCCCATTTGTCAATTTTGGCTTTTGTTGCCATTGCTTTGGGTGTTTTAGACATGAAGTCCTTGTCCATGCCTATGTCCTGAATGGTATTGCCTAGGTTTTCTTCTAGGGTTTTTATGGTTTTAGGTCTAACATTTCAGTCTTTAATCTATCTTGAATTAATTTTTGTATAAGGTGTAAGGAAGGGATCCAGTTTCAGCTTTCTACATATGTCTAGCCAGTTTTCCCAACACCATTTATTAAATAGGGAATCCTTTCCCCATTTCTTGTTTTTGTCAGGTTTGTCAAAGATCGGATGGTTGTAGATGTGTGGTATTATTTCTGAGGGATCTGTTCTGTTCCATTGGTCTATATCTCTGTTTTGGTACCAGTACCATGCTGTTTTGGTTACTGTAGCCTTGTAGTAGTGTTGGAAGTCAGGTAGTGTGATGCCTCCAGCTTTATTCTTTTGGCTTAAGATTGACTTGGCAATTCGGGCTCTTTTTTGGTCCCACATGAACTTTAAAGTAGTTTTTTCCAATTCTATGAAGAAAGTCATTGGTAGCTTGATGGGGGTGGCATTGAATCTATAAATTACCTTGGGCAGTATGGCCATTTTCATGATATTGATGCTTCCTATCCATGAGCATGGAAGGTTTTTCTATTTGTTTGTGTCCTCTTTTATTTCGTTGAGCAGTGGTTTGTAGTTCTCCTTGAAGAGGTCCTTCACATCCTTTGTAAGTTGGATTCCTAGGTATTTTATTCTCCTTGAAGCAATTGTGAATGGGAGTTCACTCATGATTTGGCTCTCTGTTTGTCTGTTATTGGTGTATAAGAATGCTTGTGATTTTTGCACATTGATTTTATGTTCTGAGACTTTGCTGAAGTTGCTTATCAGCTTAAGGAGATTTTGGGCTGGGATGATGGGGTTTTCTAGATATACAATCATGTCGTCTGCAAACAGGGACAACTTGACTTCCTCTTTTCCTAATTGAATACCCTTTATTTCTTTCTCCTGCCTGATTGCCCTGGCCAGAACTTCCAACACTATGTTGAATAGGAGTGGTGAGAGAGGGCATCCCTGTCTTGTGCCAGTTTTCAAATGGAATGCTTCCAGTTTTTGCCCATTCAGTATGATATTGGCTGTGAGTCTGTCATAAATAGCTCTTTTTATTTTGAGATACATCCTATCAATACCTAATTTGTTGAGAGTTTTTAGATGAAGGGCTGTTGAATTATGTCAAAGACCTTTTCTGCATCTATTGAGATAATCATGTGGTTTTTGTCTTTGGTTCTGTTTATATGCTGGATTACTTTTATTGATTTGTGTATGTTGAACCAGCCTTGCATCCCAGGGATGAAACCCACTTGATCACGGTGGATAAGCTTTTTGATGTGCTGCTGGATTCGGTTTGCCAGTATTTTATTGAGGATTTTTGCATCGATGTTCATCAGGGATATTGGTCTAAAATTCTCTTTTTTTGTTGTCCCTCTGCCAGGCTTTGGTATCAGGATGATGCTGGCCTCATAAAATGAGTTAGGGAGGATTCCCTCTTTTTCTATTGATTGGAATAGTTTCAGAAGGCATGGTACCAGCTCCTCCTTGTACTTCTGGGGGAATTCAGCTGTGAATCCATCTGGTCCTGGACTTTTTTTGGTTGGTAAGCTATTAATTATTGCCTCAATTTCAGAGCCTGTTATTGGTCTATTCAGAGATTCAACTTCTTCCTGGTTTAGTCTTGGGAGGGTGTATGTGTCGAGGAATTTATCCATTTCTTCTAGATTTTCTAGTTTATTTGTGTAGAGGTGTTTATAGTATTCTCTGATGGTAGTTTGTATTTCTGCAGGATCGGTGGTGATATCCCCTTTATCATTTTTTATTGCGTTTATTTGATTCTTCTCTCTTTTCTTCTTTATTAGTCTTGCTAGTGGTCTATCAATTTTGTTGATCTTTTCAAAAAGCCAGCTCCTGGATTCACTGATTTTTTTGTAGAGCTCTCCACTTTAAATAGAATTAATTTTTTAATATGTTAAGACATCTATGTAAAACTTCTTTGGTTGAGGGTGGAGGAAAAATGGAAAAAAAAAGAACAAGCAAACACATATTTTGTTAAAAAGGAAATAAAAAGAATAATTTATCCAGAAAATGTTCAACACTATACTGAATACAATGAAATTTATTAAAACAAGAAATCAAAAATAAGATGATAAAGCATCAAAGTGAATCTTCAAATGAAAAGGAATAGTGCAAAGTGAAGGAAACAATTGAGGACTTAAACACTATTGTTATTGAACTAATAAATAATGTATAAACAGCAAGTAACTGAGCAGTCACAGATGAAAACCAAATATAATTTGTTATTCCAAAAGTAGAATCCCCAACTGGAAATGGAAATGAAAGTGAAATAAAAAGCATTACAAAAATAATTCAGAATCTGCAGATTAAAATGTCACACTATACCTTAAAAGATCAGATACAAAATTGTCAACATTTAGATAGTCTGGTTGTGTTATTTAATTTTAAGGAACAAACAGTTATTCTTTAGTCATCGAGGCAAATAAAACAAGGGAGGGGAGATTACACTGGCCCTAAAAGTGTCCACAGAAACCTTCATCTTATAAAAGGATGCTGTCTGCAAAATATTAAATTTAAAAAGTATAACCACAAAACATTGACTCAACTGTGGCAAAGGTAGCTAGTTTTTCATGTATACTTATTCTCACAATAATAGAGCTTTGTTGATCTTATGGGCATAAAGCTAAACTATACTTTTCCCACCCTATCTTTTCCTGAATTTGACTATAAAGTAGAATTAAGTACCAGCCAATGGATTATGAGCAAGAAGTGATGTTTTATTCCAGATAATACACATCAAGACATAGAACGTACTCTCTCATTTTACATTTCCCCATTTGATATGGTTAGGCTGTGTCCCCATTCAAATCTCAACTTGAATTGTATCTCCCAGAATTCCCACATGTTGTGGGAGGGACCTAGTGGGAGGTAATTGAATCATGGGGCCCAGTCTTTTCCGTGTTATTCTCGTGATAGTGAATAAGTCTCACGAGAGCTGATGGGTTTATCAGGGGTTTCCACTTTTGCTTTTTTCTTATTTTCTCTTGCCACTTCCATGTAAGAATCACCTTTCACCTCTCACCATGATTCTGAGTGCTCCCCAGCCATGTAGAACTGTAAGTCCAATTAAACCTCTTTTTCTTCCCAGTCTTGGATATGTCTTTATCAGCAGCTTGAAAACAGACTAACACACTGTTCTTTCTCACTAGCTCAAATGAAGACATCATGTTGGGCTCAATTGTGGGTTGAATTATGTCTCTCCAAAAAGATATATTCGTAGAAGAAAATGCCAGGTTAAATCTTCATGACTTTGGATTTGGCAATAGATTGTTAGATACGACATAAAAAGCACAAGAAACATACACAAAAAACAGATAAATTGGATTTCATCAAAATGAACAATTTTGGGGTATCAAAGATCATTATCAAGAAAGAAAAAGACAACACACAGAATGCAATATAATTGCATATCCCATATCTGGTAAGGGTCTAGTATCTATACTATATGAAGAACTCTTACAGGTGAACTAGAAAGAGACAACCCAATTTTTACAATAGACAAAGGATCTAAATAGACATTAATCCATAGAAGATATACAAATGGTCAAAAAGGACATGAAAAGATTCTTAGTATCATTAGTCATTAGGAACATGCAAATCAAAACCACAAAGAGGTCCTACTGCATATCCCCTAGTATGGCTACAATAATAATAATGAAAACAGAACATAACAAGTGTTCAAAAGATGTGGAAAAATTGAAATTGTAGTTTATTGCTGGTAAGAGTGTAAAATTATTCAGCCACTATGGTAAACAGTTTGGTGGTTCATCAAAAAGTGAAATATAGAAATACCATGTAACCCTATAGTCCACTCCTAGCTATATACTCAAATAAATTGAAAACAGGAACTCAAGCAAATACATGTACATATACGTTCACAGCAACATTATTCACAATAGTAAAGAGGTAGAAAGAGCTCAAATGTTCATCAACAGATAAATGGTATACCCATTTTTTAGGAGGGGAATCTGAATGCAGATTCAGGAAGGTGGCCATGGGATGCTTGAGTCAGAGATTGGAGTGAAAGCAGCTGCATGCCAAGGAACACGAAATATTGCTGGCAACCACCAAAAGGCAGGAAGAGATAAGAAAGTGTTCTTCCCTGGAGACTTCAGAAGGAGCATAGCCCTGCACACACCTGAATTTTTGACTTTCTGGCCCCCAGAAGTGTGAGAGTATAAATTTCAATTGTTTTAAGCTGTTGTGGTAATGTGTTACAGCAGTCCTAGAGAATGAACCCAGATGTGGAGAAGTCATCATAGATCACAGGATGTAAGCCTCCTGTTGAAAATGGCAGAGCTGGAGGGTCTGGGCACCTCATGTTGAAAATGGCAGAGCTAGAGGGTCTGGGCTTAAGCATTAACTATGAAAATAAAGCCTATCTGTGTTGAAAGAATATGGCTTAAGACATCATCAGAAACAAACCATGGTTAAAAATATGACTGGCATACAGAAAAGATACATGATGAAAAACTTAATGAACTATAAAAGGAAACTGAAATTTTAATTTTAAAAAAATGCCAATGAAATAAGTAATGTCACTGTGAAATACGGTTAAGTGAAAAGAAAAACCACAAGCATCAAAACATACAGATGGCAAGTATACAAAAGAGTGCCAATCCAGCATCATGGAAATTATGTGTCTTGAACAAAAATAAGCTGTTGCAAATGTAAGTGTCACCAGTAACACTTCGGCTCAGCATGTTAAATATATAACTAAGAACTTACAGGAAAAGGTATGTGAAATGCTAAATTATTTGTGATGTCTTCTATTTTCATAAATAAATGTGGATTTGGAGGCAAAATAAAAAATTATATTTTCAGAATATATGAAAATGAATTGATATTGTTCAATATTTTCAAAATGTATCAAAATGAATTGATACTGTTCAATATTTTCAATTCACATTGATAGTATATATCAATATCTACATATAAAAGTTGATGATGTGTTATAATCCCAGACTGAAAATAAGAAAGACAATAGAATATCAGAATGCTACTAATATCTCAAGTATAGTGACCCTAAACACAAACAAACATTATGCAAAGATTCTATCCATAGTTGGAAAAACTTACATTTGTTAATGGATAAGCTTGATGTCATCGAGCTGCCATGTGTCTGTGCTTTTTTCTGAGGCAGTTCACTCAGGCCTACAGATCACCCTCAGTGAACCCCAAGATTGTCTTCTTCCCCAGCTCCTCCCTAACATAACCTCAGCGCAATGGCTTCTGTTAGAACAGGTGTTTGTTACTCGATGTCTATGAACTTGGGTGGGAACAATTCCATATTTATTTTCACTAGCCTTTAACAAAAATTCAGACTTTCTTTCCCTTCTAAACGCAAGCCAAGAGCATTAAAAGTAGCTATGACGTTGTCACTAACAGAAGTCACAGATATGTCCTATTATATTAGAGTTATTGAAGATGTCTTTGATTGTTGTTCATATTTAGACCTGCTGCTTCATCTTGTCATGCAATTCACTGGAAAAAAATTTCCATATATTCACTCATCAAATTTTTCTCTGTTTAGATACTTAATGTATGGTGACTCCGTAGACTCCTTAGTAGCTATTTTATGTACCATGAAAGTAAAAAAAAGAAAAAACTGTTCTATTTATACTCAAATGGCATTTTTCCATGTGGTGCATAAAATTTTCTATTACCTTTAAATATAGCAGATCAGTATCAATAACATGGTCATCATTACATAAGGGACAGTGTAGAATTAAATGACTTTTCCATTGAGAAATTATACTAATTGAACAAATTTTCTTCAAAACTTCTTTAATCTGAAAAACTGGGCTATCTTGTGGGCATACTGTGATAGTTAAACGGGATAATATACACCCAGGATGGTATTTGACGTATAATGCAAATATAGCAGCTATTATTAAGAGTGTTGTTGTATTATGCACGTGTTTCAAATTAAGCTGAGTAATTCATGAGTCCTCTTTAGATTGATATAATCATACTTCCTTAAGTTCAAAAATCCAAGGTGAATTTTTAATACATGAAATGCTAAGTTCTTAATGTTTAAAATGAGCTCAGCTCTGCCAATATTTTGGAAGCAAAATACCCAAAGATTTATAAGGACTAATATTGAAAAAGAGACGTTTTGGTTTGTAATTAATTAAACTTCAGGGCTTCTTAAATTTCGATTTTGAATTATTTTCTGCCTTCCGTTTGAAGAAATGCCCACAATCTTGTTTTGGAAAAAAATCAAAATGAAAATATTGTTATGATGCTTTTATGCGATTTTCTTGATTCCCATGGTTATACATGGTTTTGGTGACTGTTGAGTAAAAGTCTTTCAAGTCAGGTAAAACACCAAGGTTTTCAGGATGCCAACTGTGAAAAATAAATACTGGCTTGCAAAGGCAATATTGGAAGGAAATTTATTTAAACTTTCACAAGACCCAGCTCTCCATTGGTGGGGATCCAATTTGTTCATCTTTGTATTCTCATCATCTAGAATGATATATGGCACAGAGTACTTAATAAATATGTGTTAAACAAATGAACAAACTAACTGTTGATTACTAGAGAAGATTAAAAGTAGTTATGAATTCCATCAAGAAAATAATCTTTAAAACACACAGATACAGAATATGAGCAGTCGACGAAAAATCTAGACATGCAGAGAGCCTGCCACAGGAAATTGGATCTTAGTTCAGATATATTATACATTGGTGCAAATCTCTTCATATCAGCCAGGGAATGAAGATGCAGGAAACATAAGAGGAGATACTGCTAGATGATAAGTGAAGGGAGGTGAGGGAGTACAGGGAAAGAAAACTAACAATATTGAGTTTCTTCTTTGCAAGAAGCACTACACTTTGGATGCTGTCTTACGGATTCTTCAAACAACTCTCATTCTCTGAGCTGGCTATGATTTACAAAATAAAGAAGGAATGAATGGAACAAGGAAGGAAGGAAGGAAGGGAGGGAGGGAAGGAGCAAAACCATGAAGTGCTCAAAGGCACTGTGCATATATCTTTTAGTTCTCAGCACTGGAATCACTTTCAAAAATGGCAAGAAGAGACTTAATTGGGCAACAAGAGATGTACATTCCCTCCTTCCCATTTTCTACTATCCCATTGCATAGTGCTTCATGTTCTTACATTTCCTAGCATTGAAAACTAAAAGCTCCCATTCTAGTTAACTGATAACAGTATTTACCTTTGAATCTACTATCCCCACTATTTTAACAAACATATACAGAACTACTTGAATGCGCTTTTTATTCAGCAAACCCTTATATACCAACCCTCAGCAGTAAAATCTTTGGATTCCTTTATCTATAATTTTCTAGCCCAAATTGTGTTATTTGCCCTTCACAAAATTGGAAGGGTAGAACCTGCCACCTTTGGAAATACTCACCTTTCCACTACGTTGTCTTAATCTAGGTCCTTTCTGTAGGACCCACAATTTGGACAATGATATTCTCCACCAACTCTCTCTTAAGTAGCAGGGTGAGAAGGTCCTTGCCTTGGCAAAGCTGACCTATTTCTGAACTCAGCTCCTATTGACTGATAACGTGATTTTTCTATCATGGCTCTTGAGGAAAACAGCATCATTTTTTTTTTCTGGTATTTTCCAGCCCCACTCATGCAGCCTTTTGTCTCTGAATCACCTAAAGAAAGTCTTTCTTCTGATCTATTCTGCTAGGAAATGCCTGTTCTCGCAACAATCTCAAATGGTGAGCCACAGACTATACCACGAATTCCCAGGCTGTGATAAATAAGTAGTGATTGCTGTCATCTATATGACTCAAATTTTATAGCTTAAGCTTATACATTTGGATATGTAAAAATTGCTACATACTTGGTTAAATTGGCTACTACATTTCTGTATCCTTTCATATTTCACCCTACATATACTATCATTCCCTGGAAACCAGAAGGGTTGCCTCTAGACCTTACTGCTATCTTTTTTTTTTTTTTTTTTTTTTTTTTTGAGACGGAGTCCCGCTCTGTCACCCAAGCTGGAATACTATGGCATGATCTTGGCTCACTGCAACCTCTGCCTCCTGGGTTCAAGCGATTCTCCCGCCTCAGCCTCCTGAGTAGCTGGGATTACAGGCACCAGCCACTATGCCTGGCTACTTTTTGTATTTTTAGTAGAGATGGGGTTTCACCATGTTGGCCAGGCTGGTCTTGAACTCCTGACCTCAGGTGATCCACCCACCTCAGCCTCCCAAAGTGCTAGAATTACAGGCATGAGCCACTGCACCCGGCCTCTGCTATCTTGCTTATATTTGTTGTGATGATTAATTTTATGTCAACTTAACTTGGCCATGGGCTGACAAGATAATGGATCAAACATTATTCTGAGTTATTCTGTGAGGGTATTTTGGGTTTTAGTTTCAACTTTTATTTTAGATTTAGGGGGTACGTGGGCAGGTCTGTTACAGGAGTATATTGCATGATGCTGGGGTTTTGGGTGCAATTGATTCCATCACCTAGGAAGTGAACATAGTACCCAATAGTTTTTCAAACCTTGCCCCCATCCATTCTTTCCCACTCCAGTATTCATCAGTGTCTATTGTTGCCATTTTTATGTACATGAGTACGCAATATTTAGCTCCCATTTATAAGTAAGAACATATTGTATTTTATTTTCTGTTTCTATGTTAATTCACTTAAGATCATGGCCTCCAGCTGCATCCATGTAACTGCAAATGACATGATTTTGTTCTCTTTTATGGATGCATCGTATTCCAATATATATGTTACCATATTTTTTTTAATCCAATCCACTGTTGATGGGCACTTAGGTTAATTCCATGTCTTTGCTCTTGTGAATAGTGCTGCGATTAACTAGCAGAAGAAAAGAATTAACTAACATCAGAGTGGAACTGAACTAAATTGAGGCCCAAAACTCTATACAAAGAATCAATGCAACCAAAAGTTGTTTTTCTAAAAAAGATAAATGTGATGGTTAATACTGAATGTCAAGTTCATTGGATTGCAGGATACATAATATTGATCTTGGGTTTGTCTGTGAGGGTGTTGCCAAAGGAGATTAATATTTGAGTCAGTAGGCTGGGAAAGGCAGACCCACTCTTAATGTGGGTAGGCACCATCTCATCAGCTGCCAGCATGGCTAGAATATAATAAGCAGGCAGAAAAATGTGAAAAGAGAGACTGGCCTAGCCTCCCAGCCTACTCCCATGGTAGATGCTTCCTGCCCTCAAACATCGGACTCCAAGTTCTTCAGTTTTGGAACTCGGACCGGCTGTACTTGATCTTCAGCCTGCAGATGGCCGATTGTGAGACCCTGTGATCATTTGAGTTGATTATATATATATATGATTATATATATAGGAGTTTAAGTATAGTGGATTCAAATATATACACATACATATATATGTGTATATATATACATACATATATATGTATATATATACACACATATATATATATTCTATTAGTTCTATCCATCTAGAGAACCCTGACTAATACAATAAATAATATAGATTAGACCACTAGCTAGATTAACAAAAAGAGAAGATCCAAATAAATTCCATCAAAAAATGACAAATGTCAATTTACAACCAATCTCATAGAAATATAAAAGGTCTCAAGAGACTGTTTTGAACACATTTATGCATACAAACTAGAAAATCTAGAGGAAATAGATGAATTCCTGGACATACACAACCTCCCAAGATTGAATCAGAAAGAAACTGAAACCCTGAACAGAGCAATATTGAATTTTTTAATTGAATCAGTAATAAAAAAAAAAAATCTATCAACCAAGAAAAGCCCTGAATCTGAAATTTTAGCAGGCATACGAAGAGCTGGTATTAATTCCACTGAAACTATTCCAAAGAATTGTAAAGGGACTCCTCCCTAACTCATTCTATGAAGCCAGCATCTTTCTGATACCAAAACCTGACAAAGACACAATAAGAAAAGAAAATTACAGGCCAGATTAACATTTAAATCAGCAAACTAAGTAAAGCAGATTCCCCTCCCCAATGTGGATAGGCCTCATCCAATCAGATGAAGGCCTGCATAGAACAAAAAAACTCAGTAAGACTTCAACATTTTCCTGTCTTCAGAATGGGACTTAGACTATTGATTACCTTGTTTCCAAGGTGTTTAGGCTAGGACTGAATGTATACTATAGAATTTTCTGGTTCTGCAGATTGCTGATTCACCCTGCAGGTCTTGGTACTAGGCAGTCAGCTTCCATAGTCACATCAGCCAGTTCCTTATTACCTACCTATCTATCTACTGATCTTTATTCATTCTGTTTATCTGGAGAACCCAAAAGAATGTACCTGTCTTCTCTACACTCTAACAGAAGAGTGAGTGCGTTGCCCTCCAAACACATGAGCTTTTCCCTTAGGTACAGACTGTTAAAAAGCCCTCTGTTTCCCCCTGTTCCTGGAAATATTTAATGCTATGAACTTGACCTGAATGGTCTGAGTGTAAATAGTAGCATTTTGATGTAAATAAATTTTATCCTTGCTCATTTCAATCTAACTGAGTTTGTCAGTTTCTGTGTCACCACTTCTTTCTGCACAGGCTCCTAAAACAGAGTCACATTACGATGATAAGAAAAATTAGAATTCAAGGTCAAAAGCATGAAGGCAAGAGAAGTTTTTAAGGAAAAGGTAAATGTTATAAATATTTAGTTGAATATGATTGCACTGAAATATATAAAGTAAAATGAGGTCAGAAATATACAGAGAAATTCACAAAAAGCTAACTGAAGTATAATACTTCAACATATCTAAGTAATTTTCTGACTAATTAGGCAAAAATTAAAATTACAGAAGACATGACTATTAAAGTTAACAAGGTCAATTTAAAAGCTGTATGTCATATGAGCCAAATAAAGAGAAATTATACCTTTTTTCCCAAGGCCTCTGAATCATTTACAAAAACTAAGCAACATTAAGCTAAAATTCCTCACCTGAATAGATCTCTAAATTGAGAAAGTGTATAGGCCACAATATCTGAACACTATAAAATAAAAATATTAAGTAATAAAAATACAAGCAAATAAACCACCACAAAATAGAACTTCTTATAGTTTAAAATTGCTAGTTTGATAATATATCATGTAGAAGAATTAGTAAAAACTACGCATATGTAATATTTAGAAGTAGTATGTGAAAATAGTCCATATTAAAATAGATGAGATTTAATATTTTTCTTATAAACTAACAAAATTTCAGTGAAAATAAGTCAGCATTTACTTTAAGTTAAAAAAGAAAATACACCTAAGTCAAGAATGAGGAAATAATTAAGAAGATAAAAAGACAAAATTAGTGGAGTTGAAGATAGAAAATTAAAGAATTAAAAATAAATGCAAAAGCTATTTGTTGGAAACAAAAAAATAGAGCAAGATACTCTCTCACCAGTCTAATCATTCAAGGAAAGGGGAAAAAAGCAAAGATCCTTGCTCTTTATCTTTTCTGCATGGGTTATTTATGTTGCCTTACTTCGGTTTTAATGTGTTGCGTTTTTTAAAGCAAACACGTTTAACCACACATATATTCAACGACTTATTAAAAGATTATATCCTGGAAAGAGCACATGCAAACTAAAATCATCGTACATCAAATCAATTGTCCGTTATGAAATAACTGTAAATAATATTCTCACATCCTTTCTAGAAAGCTAGCTGCTGCATGCTGTTGTTAACTGCTCACTCTGGTATTAACATAGGGAAATACTGAGGCCCTGTCCTGCTCTGGCCCAGTAGTGGGGAGGAGTAACTGTCATTTATCTGATGGAGAAGAAGTAAAATGTCCCTGCTTCTCACTTTTGAAGAAAAGTCAGTGAAAAAATCACCTATATTTTACCTCAAAGCAGAATGGCCAAAGGAGTTTTAAGAACAGGAATGATTAAATATACCATTTAAAGTTGTTTGCTTCATTACTGTGTAAACAGCTATGACTTCCCCAGACATCTAGGAAAATCTGCTAAACACCTAAAAAGTATGTGTGGAAATAACAGGGCTAAATTCCACATCTGAGACTTCCCAATGCAGACCAAAAACAGCACAGTGGCTTGGGTGACACGATTTCCCCACAACCAAGCAAAGTATATGAAGTGAAAGCCACAAAAATCTTAAGAGAACAATGGGTGTTTTTCAGTATGTGTAACATGTGATTCAAGCCTATCCTAAGATGATTGTAAGGGACTAGGGAAGCAATTAATCCAGGGCTATCTATAATCTATTGATCTACTTATCTATCTATCTATAAACTACCTGTATCTATCACTTAACTGTCTATATCATCCATATATTTATTTCCATCCTATATTGTAATGTGTGTGTCACTGATGGCAGTATACCCAAAGTACCTCAGGGAAATTAATGTTCTTACTAATATACTTACTCACCAAACTTATATTCTATAGACACTATCCTAGTCAACCACCCTGAAGATTATAAGTATTTTGATAAAGAGAGTTCATTAGTTTTACCACAAATTAGGTCAGGAATACTCCAAATTGTTCTCATATATGGAATCAAACTCAAAATTGAAGGCTTATTGAAATAAAAATATGTATTTCTGTTCTGTACCATGTGGCTTATCATGAGGATAATATTTTACAACTATTTGAACAAGATTAAGCTATTTTTTCTGTGCAGGCACTTCCATGATACCTAAGATGCCAGAGACTTTTAAAAAGCATTTTATTTAAAGGTTCCAATCACAACTACCTTACTGGTTTGTGTGAGGCTGTTCTTGCATTGCTATGGAGAAATATCTGAGGCCAGGCGTGGTGGCTCATGCCTGTAATCCCGGCAGTTTGGGAGGCCGAGGCTGGTGGATCCCCTGAGGTCAAGAGTTTGAGACCAGCCTGGCCAACATAGCAAAACCTTGTCTCTACTAAAAATAGAAAAATGAGCTGGGTGTGGTGGTGGGCGCCTATAATCCCAGCTACTCAGGAGGCTGAGGCAGGAGAATCACTTGAACTTGGAGGGGCAGAGGTTGCAGTGAGCTGAGATCATGTCACTTTACTCCAGCTTAGATGAAAGAGCCAAATTCTGTCCAAAAAAAAAAAATACGAGGATGGGTAATTTATAAAGAAAAGACATTTAATTGGCTCATAGTACTGCAGGCTGTACAGGAAGCATGGCACTGGCATCTGCTCAGCTTCTAGGGAGGCCTCAGGAAGCTTACATGAATGGTGAAAGCAAAAGGGGAGGCACATCCCATGGTAAAAGTAGAAGCAAGTCAAGGAGGCAGTGCTACACATTTTAAACAACCAGATCTTGAATGAAGTGAACTCACTCACTATCATGAGGACAGTACCAAGCCACAAGGAATCTTCCCCCATGACCCAAACACCTTCCCCCAGATCTCAACTTCAACACTGGGGATTACATTTTAACATAAGATTTGGGCAGGGAAGAATATCCAAACTATTTCATGGTTTTCAGAAAAATAATGACCTACTCTTTCATGCAGAATTTTCATGTTACATTAACTTTTTCCATTAAATATATCCGCTTAAATATTTACAATGCAAGGCCTGTATAAATTGTGTAATTCCTAAATTATCACCATTATCTTAAAGCATGGGGTATAGGCATCACTATTGTGAGTCTGAAGACATCTGCTTGTGGCTTGAATTCTAAATGATACTTAATTGTTTGACATAAATTTAATTATCCAAGAGCTATGGGATTAGAAATTGTTTTCTAAGTCATTTTCATTTTCATAAAATTAATACAATTAGCCAGTCTTTCTTACTCTTTAAACTTATATGGTTCACTTTGAAATGAAGCATCACATGGAGGCAAGTTGTAAAAACTGAAAAAAAAAACAAATAATTGTTCTTGGTGAGAGCTAGTTCAAAATTCACATTAGCATTGGCATAAACGATATACTTTAGTGACTTATTTAGTGGCACAAACATATTCAACATTCAGTATTTCTATTACTAATAGGTGGTGTTAATTTATCAAAATCTGTCAGATGATCAGTTTATAAAAACCGCATAGGCATCTGTTTGCATACTAAAGTAGCACTAGATCATTTCACACATGTAACAGGGAAGCCTGTGAAATAAAGGTCAGATAGCCTTTTTTCTCTACACAACTGTGAATTACCTATATTCATCAGCCCATTGGTAATGAGTAAAGAAAGTTGTTCACTATTTGAATGGGCTTCTCAGAGTAATCCATTCTTCCTACCCAGGGTTCTTTGGTGTTTGTAAACATTTTTCTGTGGGATGCTTCAAAAATAAGGGAGTAAAAAGAAGAAACCAATATTTTAATTGGATGAAAAATGAGGGGCAATCATAGTAACACATTATGTCCAGTTGACATCCCTATGTTTGTGCTGTTTACGTTAGAAAGCGATTAGGAAAAGAGCACTCCATCTCATTCTCAAACATTCTTTTTTGTTTGTTTGTTTTTGTTTTTGTTTGTTTGTTTTTTTGAGATGGAGTCTCGCTCTGTTGCCCAGGCTGGAGTGCAGTGGTGCAATCTGGGCTCACTGCAAGCTCTGCCTCCCGGGTTCACGGCATTCTCCTGCCTCAGCCTCCCGAGTAGCTGGGACTACAGGCGCCCGCCACCACGCCCGGCTAATTTTTTGTATTTTTAGTAGAGACGGGGTTTCACTGTGTTAACCTAGACGGTCTCGATCTCCCGATCTCGCGATCTGCCTGCCTCGGCCTCCCAAAGCGCTAGGATTACAGGCGTGAGCCACCATGCCTGGCCTCAAACATTCATTTTTTACTGGAAACTCAAAAAGCAGATGGAGAGAAACAGAAGAGACCAAATGTTGGAGAGGATTATAAAATGTTACATAAACAACGTTATCTCAGATACACAATGCTATTAGTATTGTTAATGTCACAAAGCAGATAAAGGAATGAGACAAGTTACAGAATCCCATTTTTCATGAATAAAATCAAAACAACATGTTAATGGCAAGGGGGAATTAGAATCCTAGTCTAACCCTTAAGTCAACACCCCCCCCCCCCCACACACACACACACACACACTTTTCTGTGTTGGTTTTTGTTTGGTCATTGTTAAGTATAACAAAAATAGAAGATAAGAGAGCTTAAGTATGTTAAGTCAAGCGTATATATATTTTCACTCCTTGTGAAGAACTTTTTTCTTTTACTATCTTTAAACAAATAGTTACATTTGGACTTGATTCCAAGCAGGTGAGTTCATTTTATTCTTCTTTACAACAGATATCTAAACCCGTCAGTATTAACTATAGTGCTGAGTATCCTCTGAGGAAAAGAGTTCAATGCATCTGCAGTTACCTGAGAAAAATAATAAATATATTAATAAGATTGTGGAAATAAAACAATTCTCCAAGGTGATAAAAATAAAAATGAAATTTCACTTAATCAAAAATTATTGTATACTTAATGTGTTCTTTTATTGTGCTAGGTCATTTGGGAGGTAATAAATTAAATTTCACACTTGATTTAATGCCACTAGTTCTTAAGTGTGCAGATGTATTCAAATTGGCTGCTGTCTTCTATTAGCTACCAAACTATCAAGGTAGATAAGCCTATAAGCAGATGAATGGGAATATTGTGGTAAATGCTATAAAAGATGTTTAAACAAATTGTTATAGGATGAAGATTAATTTTGATGGGGAGATCTGCGAAGATTCTCAGAGCAAGTATGAGCTGAGGTTAGTGCTATCCAAGCTAATGGATAAGATTTGGTAAGAAGAAATGAGGAGGGGGTGGTATTTCAGACAGAAGGAGAGCTTTAGCCAAGTCCTGGAAGTCAGATAATGAAGGACATATTCTGGAAAGTAAAGAATAATGAGAAGAGGCGGGGCGCAGTGGCTCACGCCTGTAATCCCAGCACTTTGGGAGGCCGAGGCGGGCGGATCATGAGGTCAGGAGATCGAGATCATCCTGGCTAACACGGTGAAACCCCGTCTCTACTAAAAATACAGAAAATTGGCTGGGCGTGGTGGCACATGCCTGTAGTCCCAGCTACTTGTGAGGCTAAGGCAGGAGAATCGCTTGAACCTGGGAGGTGGAGGTTGCAGTGAGCTGAGATCACACCACTGTACTCCAGCCTGGTGACAGAAAAAAAAAAGAAGAAGAAGAATGAGAATAATAGAAAAGGTGGAGTATAATGTGTGTGTGTGTGAGTGTGTGTCTGTCTGTCTGTGTATCTGTGCATTTGTTCTGGAGGGAGATGTTAAAAGATAGGAAAGAAAAAATAAAGTTTGTTTGTGTTTTTGAGAAAGATAGAACATTATCAGAGCAAACCAAAAATTATCTCTACATCAGTCAGAACATCCTAGGCCTAATGTTAGATGTTTTATCTAAACCTAGATTTTTCTTTCCCCTCTATAGTCATTACTGGATGGAAAGTGAAGAAGGAATCAAATGCCGTGGTCTCAAAACATGCAACTTTCCACTGACCCAAGTGGGCGGTAGTACCTACACAAGTTTGATACATTTCTACTTATGATAATGCTCTACAGACCTAGAGAAAAGACCAATTGGTGACCAATAGTGGGCAGTGAGGAATAAGTGTGGATCAGAAGATACTGCTAATCAAAGAAACAAGAAAATAGTAATCACACAAATGTATAGTAAACCAGTTCTTACTACTGTGGTTCTCATGTATTAAATGACACCAACATCAATTTAGTTGTCTAAGCAAAAAACATAGTTAAGTCATGATAAAGTCTTGTCCATCTATCTTTAAAATACCTCTCTATTCAATCCATTTTTCTCATTCACATTGGCACTGTTCTAGTTCCAATTAACATTAGCTTGACTACTTCAACAGCTCCCCCGAATTCATTATTCCACCATTCCCATACCAGTCTCTGCACCATAATTTGTCTAAAATGAAAATTTTTATCATCAATTAACTTCCATGCTTAAAACCTATTCATGGCCGGGCGCGGTGGCTCACATCTGTAATCCCAGCACTTTGGGAGGCCAAGGCAGACGGATCGCAAGGTCAGGAGATCGAGACCCTCCTGGCTAACATGGTGAAACCCCGTCTCTACTAAAAATACACAAAAAAAAACCCTATTCATGATACCCCATTTTATCTAAGAATGAAGGGAAAAAGTCCTTAAATGGTTTAAAGCTCTCTTCTTGATCTAGTCACCGCCTGTCTCTCTAACCTCATCTCACTCTTCTCCTCAGCATGCATTCTGCACTTCAGTCATACTAATTCATTTGCTATTTTATAGATAGGCCTTGTTCACTTCTATCTATGCATCTTTTTTTTCCCTCCTCCTGGAATCCCACCTTCCCATGGGTTGTTAGGAGAACTCTGTAAGATAGAGCTGAGCATCTGCTCCTCTTTTTGTGTCTTTCATCTGTTAATGAAGCCTCTATCCATTAGTCTCAACACTCAGAAATTAGTGATTCATCCTATAATTTTCCCCCTTTCTCACCTCCCACTTTTCCATATTCTGTAGATTTTAACTCTTCAGAATCTTTCCTTCTTTCTTTCTTGTTGTCTCTACTTCCTTGTCTCAGCTTAAACTCTCATCAAATCTGACACCTGGATTCTAGCAACAACCACTTAAGTGGTCCTCTGATCTCCCCATTCCCTTCTAGCACTCCCATATCCTACAAACAGAGAACGATAGGTTCCTTTACTTCAAATCAGCCTGGCAGGATCAGCTACAGAGCAGCTGGGATCAAAGCAGCTGTGCTTCAAAGGTCTTAACCTTCATCAACTGCAACTGCAACCAAGGAGCCAGATAGCAACCTTTCTCGTGCCTTCATTATGATGGATCCTGCCCTTGCCACCATGGGTAGGCTATAAATGCACACATCTTGCTACCCCTGTGATGTGATTCTAGTTCTTAGCACTTGGGATTGACACAAAAGAATGGGATACCTACAGAGCATAATCCATTGTCAAGAATACAGAATATGGCTTCCTGATGTATGGTGATTACAGAAGAAATGAAGGAAGTGCATGCTAAGAGAACATAGGAAAAGTCAGTAGGTCGGCACAGAAATTGAATCTGCTAAGAGAGTGGAGGGTCAGAACATAACTATTACTATTGCCTAGGTTTCTTCCTGCCAGCTCTGCCACTAAATAGATGTATGTTCTTGGGAAAGTAATTCAATCTCCCTGAGCCTATTTCCTTATTTTAAAAATTGGAATAATACCAAAATCGACCTCACCCTTAAATGACGTGATGCGAATAACGCATGTAATTTTGCACATAGTCAGTGTTCAATAAATGCTTCTTCAGCATTCACAAGTCCCTTACCACATTTACTCCCAGGTTTAATTCTTGTTTTGTTGCTTCCTCTCCCTCAACCTCTCTAGCAAATTAAAATCAACAGTACGAGATGACCAGGCCATCAGACACAATATGCTTCTAATTTGCGCTTTGCTGAAGTAGTGGTAATGCATCAGTCTATCAGCTGGAAAACTAGCTTAATTAATTGGCTTCACTGCGCGGTGGCTGCTACAGTCCATAAAAATTTCTTAGGATACCAATATCCATGGGTAGGAAATCAAGCACTTTGTCCAAAAAGAGGTAGATCACAGCTCCTGCTGTAATGAAGGGATAAGTATGCTTTATTTTAGGCTCTGGGGATTTCCAGGAGCTCTCCATATAATCCTTTGAACCTCCCCACATGCCTGAAAACTGTTAACAAATCTCTGACAGAAGGTTTGTCATGCAATATTGTAAGAGCTTGTTGTAAAGATCTTATATTGAGCTTTCACTGGGCTACGTCCAATGGACTTGAGGTTCCTCCCAGCCTGATTTGTAAAGTGATTTTCATTATTAGTGAACACGCATGACAAGACAGCCACGAGGAGGGATGGAAAAGAAAAGAGAGAGCTACTGGAGTGGAAATTCCCAGGAGGTGTCGGGGGAGATGCATGGTAAATGAGAAGTGAAAGGCTGCAGGGAATAGAAAATTGACTGTGAAAAGAAAATCAAGGGCTAGATTTCAGAAGAGAAAACAAAAACATAAACAAAATCACATTAGCCTTGTCCCATAGACTTGATCATCTCACATTAGGTGGAAATATAAAAGTCAGAAGTTAGGATGAAATTCTTAATAGAATTTCTAAAATAATCAGAGATTAGCTATTTTTTTCAAGATCTAATTTTGTGCAAGAGGGGAGATGTATCAGTTAGAATTTTCCATAGAAATAGACCCAATAATCAATTATGTATGTATATTTACACACAAATCATACACGATTTGTATTAAGGAATTGGCTTACGATTGTAGGGGCTGGCAAGTCTAAAATTTGTAAGGCATGGCGGAAGGCTGGAAACTCATGCAAGATTTGATGTTGCAGTCTCGAGTCTAAAATAAAAGGCAGGCTAGCAGGCTGGAAACCTAGGCAGTATTTCTACCTTGAGGCAGAATTTCTTCTTCTCCAGGAAACCTGTTTTTTCTCTTAAGACTTTAACTGATTTTATGCGGTCCACCCACATTATCAAAGAAAATTTTCTTTACTTAATGTCAACTGATTATAAATATTAATCACACCTCCAAATTACCTTCACAGCAACTTCTAGCCTAGTCCTTAAGCAAACTGGGTGCAGTAACCTGGTCAAGTTGACACATACATTTAACCATCACGCAAAGAAAAAATTACCAAGCAATTAAAAAAAGTAGCTGTAACACAAGTATGGGGTACACTGGGGTAATGATGGTGATGCAGGCTAAGAGAGGAATAAAAACAAACAAACAAAAAACACCCCAAAACCTAAGTTATATTAAGAGAAAGATTGTAAATCTTAATAGCTATGTTCTAATGAATGCAAAAACTATGTTGAGGGCTTACATAAATTATCTCAGTTAATTCTGACAATTCAGTAAGGTAGCTACAAAAATTATCCTCTTTTACAGAGGAAGAAATCAAGATTTGAAGAGTTTCTGTGCTTATCCTGATATCACACAATTCATAGGCGACAAACCTGCATCTGGAAGTCATATCTATCTGACTATGAAATCTTTGTTTTAGTCACTGTGAAGAGTCTCAGAGCAACAAATTGAAAAGATTTGCATTCCAGACTTAATAATAAAGATTGCAGCTCCATGGGCTGTTGCTTTGCAGCTTACCATATTCTAGACACTGTTCTAAGAACTTTACATATATTAGATCCTTAGAACCCAGCAATAACCCTGTGAGATAGTCACGGTTATTATGCCTGTTTTGCAGATGAGAAAACTGAGGCTCATGCCTTGCCTACGTAGCAAGTAACAGGAATGTTCAGAGCAAAATGATAAAATAGAAAGATGTTTCCTTTGTCGCCCAAGCACTTCATCTGCCGGGATGCTCAGTACATTTATGGTGGGCATTGGTAGGGTCCTGTATAGCGCTAACAGGAGGACAAAACTGAATATCAAAATTCCTGAGTACTAGCCTCTGTTTCACCACTATTAACCGCTCTCTAGGCCCCAATTTCCCAATCTTAAATCACAGTGTTGACTGCATATCATCCTGGGCTCCAAGTACTTTGTCCCTGAGGACCTAACGGTTAAGACCAAGGGCAGCACTGTAACTATTACACATAAACAAGATAAAAGATATTATGGCTAGAGCTTTGTCTCTAGGGAATTCGCCAAAACAATATGTGCTGAACAAGTTCTTAGAGGTTTAAATCCTAACATATCAGTTGGCATTAGATGCAGTTGTGTATAGCAGAAACTAGACTATAGTGACTTAAACAAAGGGCAATTTTTAATATGACAAAGGTCTGGAAATTCACAGTCCAGGGCTGGTACAGTTCCTCCACAAGGCTCTTTCCAGCTTTCATCTATGCCTTCTGCCAGTTTTTGGCATGTGGCTTTTTTCTTTCAGGTATTGAGGTGGTTGCAAAGATGGCTATTCTACCTCCAGGTATTATTTTCATGTTCAAGCATGAAAAAGTATGTGTCAACTAAGTCTGACCCTTTTTGTCAAGATAACTCCAGCTTTATTGGAAACCTCACTCGATATATTTCTGATTACATCACACCAGACAGAACGGTGTCACATATATAACCAAAGTTCCAAGGAAGCATAGGAGGTTGAACTTTTAGCTGGCCAAATTTCTACCCTGGGGGAAAAATGATTCTTTAGTAAAGAAGGCAAGGGAGAACGTACATTCTGTAGATGAGTAGCAGCATCTGTCACAGCCAATTTCACTACCGACCAGCTCTGCAATCTTGAGTGGGTTAGGTCACTTCTGGAAATATAGACATGAAGTCAGCCAGCCTTAGCTCAACCAAGGCTTACCTTTGTGAACCTAGACAAATTACTAATCACCTCAAGTATAATAATTATAGGATATAGAACTGATATAGGTTGGATATTTTCCCCTCTAAATCTCATGTTGAAATGTGATCCCCAATGTTGGCAGTGGGGCCTGGTGGGGGTGTTTCACTCATGGAGGTGGATGCCTCATGGCTTGGTGCTGTCCTCACAATGCTGAGGGAGTTCTTAGGAGATATGCTCGTTCAAAGATCTGTGGTGCCTTCACCTTCACCTTGCTCTCATTCTCACCACACGGTATGCCAGCTCTCACTTCACCTTCCACCAGGTTTTTAAGCTTCCTGAGGCCTCCCCAGAAACTGAGCACATAAATGCTTCCTGCAAAGCCTGCAGAACCATGAACCAATTAAAACTCTTTATAATTTACCCAGCCTCCGGTATTTCTTGTATTTCTTTGTAGTAACTCAAGAACACCCTGACACAAGAAATCATCATTATCCTCGTTTTACAGATGAGGAAACTAAGGCTCAGAGAGATTATGAAATTTGTTCAGAATCACACAGCTCATCAATAGCGGAACCAGAACTCAAACCAAGGTCTGCCTTAATTTAAAGTCTTTGCTTGACAGCGCTGCCTATATCATACACAATCCCTGGTCAAATCATTTGGGCAGTTCACTTTCCCAGTTCACTGTATCCTTCCCAAAGTAAAGTGAATCTGTTGAACAAGTGAGGCAACACGATCATACAAGCACATGATTTATCAGCTACACTGACATGACCAGTCAATGGAAGAAGCAACAGGGCTGAAGTGTCCCAGAAGTTCTCACACATAGGCATAAAAAAAACTTATTGTCTTTTTTGTTCTTTTTCTTTTGATTCCACCCAAGTTGCCAGAAAGTTCTGCTGTCAGCACAGTCCCACAGTGCTGCTTCCCTTACCAAGTTAAACTTATGTCACATTTAACCAGCCTGTCATGACACTATGAGTTATGGTCAAGTGTCCTTGTTTAGCAGTCGGCTTCGGTCCTTCCTGAGTGATAACCTTGATGTTAATTGGTTCTCTTCCAAGGGCATGCAACCATATTTTGCTTCTGGATAAAAACAATGCAAATGACCAGATGTTTGATTTTCTTTATAACTTACAGTCACCAGTTGGAGATAAATTGGCTTATTTTTCCATCACCATTGCATTTTCGGTTCTGATTATATGCCACAAGCCTATACTTTCTCAAAGTATTAACCCTACTTATTTCAAAAAGCTTATTTGACAACCATGTACATAGTCATATATTTTATTATCAATTTTCTCTCCAGCATTTTTCTCTTCAACACAGGCAAGCAAAGTCCTCAAGCTCAGAGCTTATTAATAATAGAGTGGAAACTAGGAACTATTCCTCATATTCCCAGTACACCTTGCACTATTTTGCAATGTATTCTTAGTGTAAAATCCAATCCATCCTTCCAATCAATCTATTAACCATTTATAAATAATGCAAGTTACCTCTCTTATGCCAATACTTCATAAGAATTTTACAGTGTCCCTCTGTATTTTAATGCCACCATAATAAAAATTAGCAAGAAATCTCAAATATATTTATGACTGTTAGCATCACTTGCCTTTGATTGAAATCTTATGTGAACAACATTGTTTTCTGACTCTATTGACCAAACAAAAATATAGCCTTTGATTGTGTATGTAAAACAAGTTATCAGTTTAGAGAAGTGAAAGGAGTACCTTATACTAAGGCTTCTGCAAGTACCCAACAATGTGAACGGAACCAGAACAAATGGTCACTTTTAGTGGGTTTAGATGAGAGAATGTGAAAGGATGGAGAGCTTGGCCTTCTTAATTTGGTCTCACATCTCTAACCTGGTAAGTCGTTTTCATCATAATAAGAGGTAATAAAAGAGTATTTTTCTCCTTCAGCAATAGATCCAAAAAAAAAAAAAAACCAAGCTATTCACATAAGATTTTAATTTGCCATCAAGATGGCTGCAAGGTTGACAATTTTGCAGTACAATCATTTTTTTTCAAAGTATTCCCATGTATATTCAATATATGGTGAGTATTTTTCATTGCTAATACTCAGTTGTGCCATTATTACACTCAAATTTAATTCTTGAGAGAATGTTTTCAGCAATTTATGACTGAATTGAAAATGAAAATAAAGTATTTCTTTGTGATGAGAAGTGAAATTCAGTCAAATTCAAGTCTGGAAGAAAAATGGCACTGCACCACAACCATAAACTTTTAGAGAAAGACAATTTCCAACAATGTGATTTATCGTCATAACATTCTAGAATTCTGTCTTTTCCAACAAAGCTTCACAATAATTTGGGGATGGCAGGCCTGGAACGCACATTATTCTCTAAACATAGCATTGCTCACTTGTATGCCACTGTAAATAAAGAAGCCACTGCGCTGCCTGACATGTAGGGTGCCAGAAGGCAAGTTATCTTGAAATTAACTTCTGTCTAATATGATTAGCAGTTGGTAGCTGCAGGTGACTCAGCACCTCTGACACTCCAGGAAGACCTAATTGCTCCTCTTTGAGAAGAATATGCGGGGACTTTGCCCATAGGGTTATTTTTTAGACTATTCATAGGATTTCTGAATTTCTCAATTCTCTTCAAGGAAAATAATTTAACAAAAACAATCTCACTACAATACATTCACCACATGGTAGCAGGAATTTCCTATAATATTATGTTTAAAAAGCATGATATAAAATTGTATATACAGTATGATCTCAAATTGCTAAGACATGTGCATAGCCAAAGCACTGAGAGTAACAAATCAAATATTAGCCATGGCTTTTCTTTAGGCAGTGAAACTGTCAGAGATTGTCATTTTCTTCTTTGGACCTTTCTGGATTTTCAATGTTCCTTTTAGTTTTAGCATATAATACATTTTTAAGGAAAAATAAGGCACCATTTAGAAATGGTCAATTAGAAACTTGTATTCATACTGTTGACTTTTATTTCCAGTGGTTGGTTCAATATTGAAGTTCTCAGTTGGGCGTGGTAGCTCACCCCTGTAATCCCAGCAATTCGGGAGGCCCAGGTGGGCAGATTGCTTGAGCCCAGGAGTATGAGACCAACCTAGGCAACATGGCGAAACCCCTTCTCTACATAAAACTATAAAAAATTAGACAGGTGTGGTGGCACATGCCTATAGTCCTACCTACTCAGGAGGCTGAGATGGGAGAATCACTTAAGCCCCTGAAGTCGAGGCTGCAGTGAACTGTGATTGTGCTAGTAGACTCTAGCCTGGGCCACAGAGACGTATACATATGCGTGTGTGTGTGTGTGTGTGTGTGTGTGTGTGTGTGTGTGTGTGCGCGCAAAGTTCTCCTTTCTTTAGCCTAACTAAAGAAAAGGAAGATTTTTTTTTAAAAAATTCCCTGGGTTTCTGGGGTGTCAGAGGGCAAGTTATCTCAAAACTAACTTCTGTCTAATATGATAATATGTGGGTTGAAGATGCTACAGTGAACTCCTCTCACAAATTCTTCTTGCATTTGATGGTTCTGGTGCCCATTCATTTAATAGGGAATTTTGAAATCTGATGAAGTATTTGCTCCTAGATTGTCTTGAACTCCAAATACTTTCATGATGAAAAACACATTTTACAAAATAGTGGAAGAGTTACTCCCCTCACTTTTGCTCTCTCATTTATTTAGAAATAAGATTTAGTGTCAGAATTGCTTTCAAGAACAAAGAAGAGAGTAGGAATCACTTCCTGGAGAAGCTCCCAGGAATAGGGAGGCAATATTGAGAGGGTGGCACTGATTATCCTGACCACTGTCTCTCTATATATATGGGTCCTGTTGCACTATGGTCCACAGAATCACCTAGGCTCCGTCCCCAACCTGCTGAATCAGAATCTCTAAAGGTTAGATCAGTAATATGCAGTGTTAGATAAATATCTCAGGCCAGTCTAATGCAAACTAAAGTATGACAGCTATTATACTAATTCAGGAAGTTTTTGTTATCTATATTATTGTAGCAACTATGGGTGGGATCACCTTTTATGATGTCACATCCATAGCTAGGAAGATGTAAAAGCTTATGCTGAGTCTGACCCACAGACCCTGGCTGGACGACAGATGAACAAATGCACTCAGACACAGGTATCCAGTGAAAGAGCGGGCTAGAGGACCGGGCCACTCACAGAAAGAGTTGTAGCAGCTGCAGCCTTGACAAGCCAGTGCTGCGGGCATTTATTCAGTACAGATTTACTGACAAAGGCCTTGAGTCAACACACTTGTGAGTAATTAACATGGTAGCGCCCTCCCCCCAACCCAAACAGAGAGCAGTCCTGCGCTTGGATGATTAAAGGCCAGATTCTGAGGCCTAAGAAAACTAACTTATCTAGATCAGTTTCTTTACATCCCATTTTTATCTGACCTAAACTTTCAGGCACTGGATAAGATAATCTGGCTGCCTTCAGCCATATCCTTTTCTGAAGCTTTTGTAAAACTTCCCGGCCTTCCAAGAAGGTTTGCATCTTTCTACAATTTTTCCCACCACCCTGACTGATCTACAAGCTTATTTTGGAGTCATCATTAATTATCACCCATTTTTTCTGTATTTATGATAATGACCTATTGGATCAAGGAATAGAGAGAGTAGAATTTGCTCTCATTCGCTCAGGTAAGAAGATGGAGATAATTTTTCTTACTCATATCCTAGTTGAGTGGCCCTTTCCTTACAACACACTTATGAAGAAATGCTGCATAATTTTTATTTATTCACTCAAGAAAAAAATTTCTGAGCATCCTTTATGTGCTTCCTCTTCACTTTGCTAGCTATAGGAAATGCAGCAGTGAATAAGACATGGCATCTACCTCGTTTAGTTTCCTATTGCTTGTGTAACAAATTACCACTAACAATAGCTTAAAACAACACAAATATATTACTAGAAATTTATGGAAATTTGAAGTCCAAAAGTGGTCCTCACTGGACTAAAATCACAGTGTCAATAGGGCTGTGGTCCTTTCTGGAGGTCCTAGGGGAAAATTGGTTTTCTTGCATTTTTTTCAGCTTCCAAAGTTAGCCTGCATTTCTTGGTCCATGGCTCACTTTCTCCATCTTCAAGGCCAACAAAGTTTCATCTCTCTGACAATTCTTGCATTATCATGTCTCCATCTTACCACAGTCAAAAAGGGTCCTCCAATTTTAAGGGCCCATGTGATTAGTCAGGATCATCTAGATAATTCCAGATAATTTCTCTCTCTTAAGGTCCTTAACTTTAGTCACAGAGGCAGAATTCCTTTTGCCATGTAAGGTAGCATTCATTAGGATTAGGATGTGGACCTCCTTGTGAAGGCATTATTCTGCCTACCATACTACTCAAAGCTCAGTTCTGGCATAGAGAAAAAAAACATATGAATAATCACAGATTAATGTGCTGCATGCCATAATGATGACATGTGCAATCTCCCATGGCAGCATAAAAGAAAGAACCACAAATTTGGTCAGGGAGTAGACCGGGTAGGTTTCTCAAAGAAGATGGTGCTTAAGCTGAGGTTTGATGGCTGATTAAGGAAAGAGAAAATGACAAGGAGTGTTACACTTTGGTTTAAACCACAGCTCCATCACATATGAGCTATGTGATCATTGACAACTTTATTCTGAAACCAGTATCCTCAGTTATATTTATAGAATGAATTATTTTTTTCTTATACTTGTTGTATGTATTAAATTAGTTAAAGGTGATGAAAGTGCTGTTTGCAAGCTGTGATTTCCAGTAAATGGAGAGTTCTGTTCATTTGTGTGGCTTCTTATGAGGTATAGTAACTAGATATTGCAAATAAAAATAAAAGTAAGCCAGTTACATCAAACAATGAATAACTTTTGGTATAAGTATCCTTCATGCAATATTTGAGATATACAAAAACATTATTTACTGTTCATATAAATTATGATTATTTAAAATTCATTTATTCATTTTTAATTGACAATTATGTATATTGATGGGTTATACAGTGATGTTTTGATCTATGTATACATTATGGAGTCAATTAAGCTAATTAACATAAATTTAACTGAACAGCTCACATTTTATTTAGCAACCCTTTTAAATATTTTATTTTATTTAAAATTGACAAAATTATATAGTTATCATTTACAGAAAAACAAACACTGCATGATCTCACTTCTATGTGGAATGTGAAAAAGTTGGTTTAATAGAAGCAGAGAGTAGAATGGTGGTTACCAGGGACTCGGGTGGTTGTAGTGGATGGGGGTTGGCAGTATGTTGTTAAAGGTATACAAAATTGTAGTTACATAGAAGCAATACGTTTAAGAGATCTACTGTAAACACGTTGAGTATAGTTAAAAAAGCATTGTATTCAGCAACCCTGTAAATGAGGTTGGAAGCGCTTTGTACTATTGAGAGGGCATTTTCCAGTTATGCTTAGTCCTTTTTGAAAAAACAAATCTAGGAAACCCTCTTTGTTATGCAAGAGAGAAACCATTTAAACTAAAGCAGTGTGAGAATGTATAAGGAACACTGGCTTTAGGGTCTAAAGGTCATGAATGCATTCTACAGAAATAAGAAATGACATCAGGGCAAATTCTTCTACTTCTCCAAGTTGGAGATGGTGTAGTGGAGAGTAGATTATGGCTTTTGGAGTAAGAGAGCCCTGGGTTTCAAACTCAGCTTATGCCTTTAGAAACTGAGAGGCACTGGATAAACTACCTAACCTCTGAGCCTTAATTTTCTTGTCTATAAAGTTGAGCTAATCATGTACTCTACTTCACACAGCTATTTTAAGTATTAAATGAAGTCATTTAGGTAAAGAACTTTAGCATAGTACCTGTGAATCACACTGCACTAAAATATCAATATAACAACAAGTACTGAGGAACTTTATTTTTTTTTATTTATTTTTATGTTTTTGAGACGGAGTTTCACTCTGTCGCCCAGGCTAGAGTGCAGTGGCACGATCTCTGCTCACTGCAAGCTCCGCCTCCCAGGTTCACGCCATTCTCCTGCCTCAGCCTCCTGAGTAGCTGGGACTACAGGTGCCCGCCACCACGCTCGGATAATTTTTTTTTTTTTTTTTTGGTATTTTTAGTAGAGACAGGGTTTCACCGTGTTCGCCAGGATGGTCTCGATCTCCTGACCTCGTGATCCACCCGCCTTGGCCTCCCAAAGTGCTGGGATTACAGGTGTGAGCCACTGCGCCCGGCCGAAGAACTTTATATTCTTATGACAGAATTTGGACTGTAGCTAACTTTCAATTTACAAGCAATAATGTCTCTAATATTGCTGTGAGATGTAAAGACCTCATCATTCCCCCATTATATGAATTCTCATTGGGCTAGGCATTTGGATAGTCCTAGGGAAGAAAAAAATAGGGAAACACACAGTACTTACCCTCACAGAGCTCAGTTTAGATGGAGTTTCAGACAAAAGAACAGTTGTACTGAATATTAAAACTTGTCATCATTTTTACCCCGTTCTCTGTACTCTCCCCTGAAGTGCAGGAACTGGAAGCCTGGGAACTCCATTACCCACACTTCTTTGTCAGAAGGTTTCAAAATACAACTTAGGTGTTGCCAGTGCAAACCCCAATTTGGCATTTGTATGGCAGAAGAGAAGCAGAAGCAATACTGTTTTATCTCTGGGAACACCAGGCAGATAGATACCTAGGCCTAGACAAAGTTGAGATTTTGCAGCAGGCTTTAGGTATTTCTTCAGAAGTAACCTACTTTAATGCTACATGGCAGTTGTGGCTGTATTTACTGGTTCCTTGTTACTTCATGACCTTGGAGCAAAGTTGGAAACAGGAACTTCTTAAACTCTGAAATCTAGAAGTGAAACTGAAGTCTAGTATCAGCCTCCTTGGCTTTTTTTCTCAAGCTCTTTCAATTGATTTGTAAGCACCTAATTTCTTTTGTTAAATACCTTTCTTCTTGAATTACTTGCAATGATGCCTGTTTTCCTGGTAAACCCTGAATGATTGCAAAAGGTGATTGCAAAAGGTGACACGATTGCAAAAGGTAGTCTGGAAATATATAATATTGGAACCTAATAGGTATTTTAGGACACAAGGAAGTTTAATTGGAAGCAACATACAGGTCATGAGAGGACATAGCTCAGTATGTCTTTATCCAGCGACAAAGGGGAAGAGTGGTGAAAAATTAGGCTAGAGAGGTGGGGAAGGCAGACAGTGATGACACTGCAAAGGGTTCTGTAAGAAAGTGAACTACTGCATGGTGGTAGAGCAAGTGAGATTGAAGGCATATGAAGATGGATGATGTAATCATATCTAAGAAAAAAATATTCCAGCTTCCGTGTAGAGAGTGGTCTGTATAGTCTAACAACAGAAACAGAACCAGTTAGAAAAGTATAGTGGCAAATCAGGTGAGAAAAGACAGTACCTCGGACTACAAACATAGAAATAAGGCTGAGGAAAGTGGGCAAATTCAAGATATATTTTTCCTCTAGAACTGACAAGACTTGTTAATAGATAAAATGTCATTGGTGAGGGAGATGAAGGAGTCTAGAATAATATCTATGTTTTTGGCCTTAGCAACTGGATAGATAGAGGTGTCTTATACTAAAATGTGCATGCCTAGGGACATACACCATTTAGAGAAGAAAAATTCAGACTTTACTGTTGGACATAGTAAAGGGGAAGTGCTTTTGAAGCATCCAATTGGAGATAACCAACCAGCAGTTGGAAACAGAGGTCTAGACAAACACAGTCATGGGTATCTAAGAGGATAGACGTCTAAATTCAGGAGAGTCATTGGCATTTAGATGATAAATAAAATGCATTGGCTATGAGAGATAACCTGGGGAGGTGTAAAGTAAGAACTAAAAGATAGTTTAGGACAAATGTCTGAAGAACTTCAAACTTAGGGGCTTCAAAAAAGGGTATGGTCAACTGTGATAAAAGCTGTACAAATATCAGGTATAATAAGATCTAAAGGGGATCCAGTGGATTAACCAATATGCACATTATTGATTACCTTAACACCAGTTATTATGTATATATATATATATGTATTAGTGATCTATGATCAGTGAGCTTTGATGTTACTATTATAATTGTTCTGAGATGCCATGAACTGTCCCAATATAAGATGGCAAACTTAACTGATAGTTGTATGTGTTCTGACTTCTCCACCCACCAGCCATTCTGCTGCATCTCTCCCTCTCCTAAGGCCTCCCTATTCCCTAAGTTACAACTATATCAAAATTAGGCCAATTGATAACCCTACAATGGCATTCCAAGTGTTCAACTGAAAGGAAGAGCAATCCATCTCACTTTAAATCAAAAGCTAGAAAAAAAATGAACTTAGAAAAAACATGTTGAAATCCAAGATAGGTGAAAAGCTATGTCTCTTGTGTCAATCAGTTAGCCAAGTTCCCAAAGCCAAAGGAAAGTTCTTGAAGGAAAGTAAAAGTGCTACTCCAATGAATACACTGATGATAAGAAAAAGGAACAGGCTTATTGTTGATATGGAAAAAGTTTGAGTGGTCTTCACAGATAATCAAATGAGTCACAACATTTCTTTAAGCCAAAACCTAATTCAAAAAAAAAAAAAGGTCCCAACTCTCCTCATTTGTATGAGGCCTGGTAGTTGACAAAGCTGCAGAAGAAATGTTTGAAGCTAGCAGAGGCTGGTTCATGAGGTTTAAGGAAAGAAGCCATCTTCACAACATAAAAGTGCAAGGTGAAGCAGCAAGTTCTGGTGGTGAAGCTGCAGCAAGTTATCCAGAAAATCTTGCTAAGACGATTCATAGAGCTAGCTAGACTAAACAGCAGATTTTCGATGTAGACAAAACAGCCTTATATTGGAAGAAGATGCCATCTAGGATTTTCATAGCCAGAGAAATAAATCGATGTCTGGCTTCAAAGCTTCAAAGGACAGGCTGTCTTATTAGGAGCTAATGCAGCTGGTAACTTTAAGCTGAAGTCAATGCTTATTTACCTTTCTGAAAATCCTATGGACCTTAAGAGTTATGCTAAATCTACTCTGCCTTTGCTCTATAAATTGAACAAAGCTTGGATAACAACACATCTGTTCATAGCATGGTTTACTGAATATTTTAGCCCCACTGTTGAATCCGACAGCTCAGAAAAAAAAGGTTCCTTTCAAAATATTACTATTTTTTTCTATTTTCATATATATATATATATATATATATATTTATTCTACTTTAAATTCTAGGGTACATGTGCACAAGGTGCAGGTTTGTTGCAAAATATTACTATTGACAATGCATGTAGTCGCCAAGAGCTCTGAAGGTGATGTATAAGAAGATTAATGCTGTTTTCATGCCTACTAACATAACCATTCTTAAGTCCACGGATCAATGAGTTAATTTCTAATTTTAAGTCTTAATATTTAAGAAATACATTTTGTAAGGCTATAGCTGCCATAGATGGTGATTATTCTGATGAATCTGGGCAGAGTAAGTTGAAAACCTTCCAAAAATGATTCGACATTCTAGATGATTCATGATTAATGGGAAGAGGTCAAATATCAATGTGAACAAGAGTTTGGAAGAAGTTGATTCCAACTCTTACAGATGACTTTAAGGGGGTCAAGACTTCAGTGGAGGAAGTAAGAGCAGATGTGATAGAAGTAGCAAGAGAACTACAAGTGGAACCTGAAGACGTGACTTAATTGTTGCAATCTCTTTTAATATCTTTTTTAATTTTTAATTTTTGTGGGTATATAGTAGGTATATATTTATAGGGTCCATGAGATATTTTGGTTTGTAACACAAAGGATAAATGCTGCAAGCTCTTGATAAAACTCAGATGAGGAACTGCTTCTTATTGATGAGCAAAGAAATTAGTTTCTTGAGATTGAATTAATTCTCAGTGAAGGTGCTATAACCATTACAATGATAATAGAGGATTCCCAATATCATATAAACTTAGTTGATAATATAGTGGCAGGGTTTGAGAGTATTGACTCCAATATTAAAAGAAGTTCTACTTTCCTTAAAATGTTATCAAACAGCATTGCATGCTACAGAAAAGTCTTTTAGGAAAGAAGAGTGAATGGATATGGCAAACTTCATTGTTGTCTTATTTTCAGAAATTGCTATAGCCACGCAACCTTCAGTAACCACCACCCTGATTTGTCAGCAGACATAAACATTAAGGCAAGACCCTCCACCGGCAAATTGCTGAAGGCTCAGATAATTGTTAGCATTTTTTAGAAATAAAGCGTTATTATTTAAGGTATGTACATTTTTTGACATAATAGCACTTCACACTTAATAGACTATAGTCTATTATAACTATATTCTATGTGACTCATATTATTATGATATTTTCTTTATTGCAGTGCTCTGGAACCTAACCTGCAATATCTCTGAGCTATGCCTGTATCTCTCTTAATCCATAATCCAAGCAGGGCCATCGTTTTTTTTTTTTTTTTTTTTTTGAGATTCCTATTTATATGGAGATATAAGGTGATATACGAAAAAAGTTTCTAACAACCATGTTCGGCACCATCTTTGCCAATGGGGAAAGGGAAGACGGTCTAGCTTCCCTGATATTGAAAATATTGGAATAGAAAAGTTACCTGTGAAAGGGAGAAAGGTACAATGCTGATTCTTTCACCTGAGCAAATAGATTAAGCCATGGCTAAAGAAAATATCTGTACTTTTCAATTCCATGATACATTAAATTAATTTATTCTCTCAATTTAGTTTTCTGTCACAAACTAAAGGACCTGATATGGTTTGGCTCTGTATCCCCACCCAAATTTCATTTCAAATTGTAATCCCTGTGTGTGGAGGGAGGGACCTGATGGGAGGTGGTTGGATCATGGTGGAGGCTTCTCCCATGCTGTTTTTATGATAGTGAGCGAGTTCTCACAAGATACGATGTTTTAAAAGTGTTTGGCAGCTCCCCGCTTGCTCTTCCTCTCTCCTGACGCCTTACGAAGAAGGTGCTTGCTTCTCATTTGCCTTCCACCATGATGGTAAATTTCCTGAGGCCTCTCCAGTCATATGTAACTGTGAGTCAATTAAACCTTTTTCCTTTATAAATTACCCAGTGTCAGGTAGTTCTTTATAGCAGTGTAAAAATGAACTAATACAGACCCCAACTACAAAGCAATATGAAGTACATAGAATTTACATCTGGTTGGCTGAATTATAGCCATTCCTAGAGTAGTAATGCTAATAATGGTGTCAAAACACACATTTTTTTGTTGCTGTGTTTTTGGTTTTTTTGTTGTTTTTGTATATTGTCACAGAGAAAAGAGAAGGCAAGGCTGCTAGTAGCTTCCTTGATCCAGAGACAATGCAAAGAAGGCACAGAAAAAGAATTGAAGATGCTTTCCTGCTGTTCTGGCCAGATTTTAATGACAATGTAACAAGCACGTCCTGCTGGTAGGCAATATATAAAGGTATACTATTTATGGAGAAATAAACTTCTTTCAGGCTATCGTGAACTGTAAATGAACCAATATAATGAACATATTAGCACACTAAAGAAATACTGCATTTGATATGATCAGGCGAATGTCAAAGTTAAAAAAGATAACTGAAACAGAAAATATCATGTAAGTAATTATAAAACTCAACCAGTAAAGTAAAGGGTGATTGGCACAATGCAAATTATCCTAGAGAAAGGCTAAATACAGTAGTAAAATGGAGCAGCAGGAGTGCTAAAACTCTGAATAGGAAGGAAACAGGTACACCTGAAAGATAGTATCAAAGATAAATGACTGGTGGAGCAGTGGGTCTATGTGTGCTCATTGTTTATCAACACTAGTCTCCGTGGGGTCCAGGTGCAAGCTGAGTCAGATAATAAAATCTAACTGTTGTCTGAAACTCTCTTCAAATGGTATAGGGATCACACTGTTAGTTCCCTTCTATGGTATGGCTGTCATTACAATGACATTTATATATTTTTCCATTCTCAAATCACCTAAGAAGCCTGTAAAGAATCAGAACATTATTTCACTATTACAGAAATTAAACTCTGACAAGATGACTACTGATTAGTGGGATACTAGAATTTCACTACAGCCACCACATTATTTTTTCTATAAAATGTTCTTCCTTTAAATGCCTGCCTCTTTGTCGGTCCAGTTTTTGCAGTAAATAATCTGCAAGAAACTTATTTTGTCTTTATTCATCAATTTGTTAGATTGCCTTTCAGCTCTGTTTTTAGGCAAAATCAATAGATGTTGAACTGAAAAGTTTCTAGGAATACCTAGGGACAATTGCACTAGCAGGACAGGAAACCAGAAACTCAGTTCTAAGGAAAGCCACTCCTTTTTATCTTCTTACTAATTAATATAGAGCTCCTGAGTGTAGCAGTACTTCAAAAGCACTGTTAGGTCAACCAAAACCCCTTCATCTCAGCTCCTCCTTGATAGTGCTCACCTCTTCAAAACATTGTCATCGATATTGTCAAAAATTATCTGCCCAGTTCCTAAATGAGGATGAAATTTTGGTACGCATAAGAACAGCGGTCTTTACTCCAAAAACGCTTTTCTTTGTGATAATGGAAACTAGCATAAGCTATAATGTTTCCTGATTATTTTTCAGATTTAACATCAATTCATTGATATGTCTAGTAGTATGTGCCAAGTGTTTTTAATAATCAAGTAACGAATATTTATTGAATGCTTATGATGGGCCCTTGTGCTATATAATATTTTGCAGAGATTATTTCATTGAATCCTCACTAAAGATCCCCTGAGATAGTTATTATAATAATTTCAAGGCCTTTTTCAAAAAATGAAAACTGTAAAGGATAACTGCTTGTCACATAGTTAGCATTGGTAGACCTAAGATTACTAAACTAAAACCCTTTCTTCTTTTCAATGTACCACGCCACCTACCTAGAAATTTGGGGGATGTTTTCTAATATATGTGTTGAGTGCATTCTAGGACTCAGGGAGAATAGGTGGTAGTCAAGAAATCCGTCCTGACACTATGAGTCCTTTTGTCTCCAGATCTCTTACCCAATCCACAAATGAGAAACTGACAACCTCATATCACTACAAGTGCCCTAGTGCCACCACCATAGTCGTGACATAATAACTTCTTTCTTGGATTGTTGTGATTACCTTATAATTGATATCTTTGTCCCCATTTCCTTAATCTTTAAATTCATCAATGTCATACTTCCAAATTAATCTTTCTTAAATAATACTTTGCTTAATCTGCTAAGATTAAAGGCCAAGCCCTTAGAACCATGCAAACCTAAAATTGGGTTCATCCCTAAATAAGATAAATCTAAAATTATACAAGTTTTTAAAAAGGAAGATATATATTTCTTACTAACATAAGATAAATCAGTTATGTGAATATCTGTCACATAAAATAAATGCAGGGACAATACGGTGACCACAAAATTCACCAGGACCCAGGAACTTTCCAAGTCAACATTTTACCATCAATAGATGTGATGGTTAATTTTATGTGTCGAAGTGACAGGGACATGGGCTTCCCAAATTAAACAATGTTTCTGGGTGTGCCTGTGAGAATGTTTTCTAACAAGGTTGGCATTTGAATTGATGGGCTCTGCAAAGCAGATTTCCCTCTACAATGGGGGTAAGTATCATCAAATCTATCAGGGGCCTGAATAGAACAAAAAGCAGAAGAAAAGAGAATTCATCTCCTTCCTCCCAGCCTGCTTGAAATGGAACATCGGTCTTCTCCTGCCTTTGGACTGGGATTTACACCATTGACTTCCTTGGGTCTCAGGTCTTTGGACTTGGACTAGAATTATACCATGAGCTTTCCTTGTTCTCTGGCTTGCAGATGGCAGACAATAAAACTTTTCAGCTTTTATAATTGCATGAGCCCATTGTTTTTGTTTCTCTGCAGAACCCTGACGAATACAATAAGGTATGGCCTATGTTCTCATGGTCCAATATGGCTACCAAAGCTACAGTCATCATATTCAACTTTAATACTACAAGATGATGGAAAGAAAAAAGGTATCACCTCAAGTTTAAACAAGCTTAAAAAAAAGTAACACAGCACTAGTGCTTCTGTTTCATTGACATACGTTTAGGAACAAAAATTTGATCACTACAAGCTTATTTGTCAGTGTGGATACGCACTCTTTCAGCTGTGGAGTGGTGTGCCTCAATAGAAGGCAAGATTCTTGTTATTGAGGAAGAAGTTATAAACAGATACTGGAAGACAAACAGCAGTCTCTATGGACATTCCATAAAGTCTTCATGACTGGTCCTTGCCTACCTCTCCTACCTCAAGTCAAATTTTAAAATATGGAAAAATAGTTTCTAAAATATTTACAGAGTTCTTAGGATTGCTGGTACTAAGATATTGAAAAGGAAAATGCTCAAAATAAATGTGCAGCCATTAAAAACAAAATTCTGACACTGCTATAGTAAATAATTATCATGAGAATGAATAAAAGAGTGAACAAAGAAGAGCATAAAGCTGCAAATTGAGCCCCCTGAAGACTGTCCTCTAATGGGTTAGAATTGTGAGAGAACAAAAAATGCAAGTGAGTCCTGCGTAACTAAAGGTACACCCAGAAAATAAGACCAAACCTGTAATAGTGTTGACAAAAGACTCTAAAATGCCATTTAAATTTACATTCAGGGAAACAGAATAAAGAAGGTACTTGTTCTCTACTGAGAGTGTTCTCAAATTTTATTCCTTTTCTGTTATCTCAACAAAAGTAGTTTTTAGGCAGGAAACAATGAAGAACATTTTATTTAAGAAAGGATTTAAGGCCAAACAAAGGGAAGGCATTATAAGAGAAAAACCTAAGATGGTTCAATGTTCTCTCATTAAAAAAGGTATTTGGCTTGCAGTCCTTTAAATAATTTCTTGCAACATTCTATAACTGAGGAGTTCTTTAGATTCTTGTTCTTGTATTTCAGGGGGTGGGTGCCATCCTATACCATCATACATCTGTCCACAGCCACTGGCTTTGCTCTGGTATAACTTTTGCTACCATGGATCCCCACATGGAAGTCAAGTCATCATGAACTAGAGATTATAGATTTGTTATCATTTAGCAAAGAGAAGTGGATTGAAAAGCACTCATCTTTGTTGGTTAAAAGAGAGTAAACTGGCCAGGTGCAGTGGCTCATGCCTGTAATCCTAACACTTTGGGAGGCCGAGGTGGGTGGATCACCTGAGGTCGGGAGTCTGAGATTAGCCTGACCAACATGGGGAAACCCCATCTCTACTAAAAATACTAAATTAGCCGGGTGTGGTGGCGTATGCCTGTAATCCCAGCTACTCGGGAGGCTGAGGCAGGAGAATCACTTGAACCCGGGAGGCAGAGGTTGCAGTGAGCCAAGATCGTGCCATCGCACTCCAGCCTGAGCAACAAGAGGAAACTCCATCTCAAAAAAAAAAAAAAAAAAAAAAAAGAGAGAGAGAGAAAGTAAACCTACCAGTCTCCACTCTGCCCCACCATTTACCTCTTGGCCCAGAGATTCAAGATCTATACTAGTGAGGGATCCATAGCCAGAACTATGATTGATCTTAAGATTTGTAATATCTTAGAGTGAGAACGTAGGGTGGGTTGAAGATCATAAGAATATAATGATGAAAGGAAACAATCAAAGGCCTTCATCGGAGTAATGATGCTGAGGACGGTGACTAACCCAGCACTCTGACTCTACTGTTCATTTAAAATGTGTTTGTGCGAATACAGCTGAAAGCACTAGTAAAGAGAAAATGCGTGAGTTATCGACAATACAATGTAAACAAATCAATAAAAAAGAATAAAAGGAAGTAGAGTAAGATGAAGTCAGGGAGAAGTACAATGCATGGTATAGATCAGTTCTCAATAAATGTTAGCTATTATCATATACTTGAAGTAGATGTTACTGTGTTTTTTCAATGTAGAACTTAAAGAATATACATATTGATGTATGTTTTTGAAAAATAATAGAACTGAGAAAAATAAAAATACCATCTAAATCTCTAAAGAAAAATTCAAAGAAACATAGTCCTTGTAAGAAAAGCCAAGAGTAGAATGATGGTTCCTAGATGATGGGGGAGGAGGTGTATGGGGAAAGGGAAGATGCTTACCAAAGGGTACAAAGCTTAAGTTAGACAGGAGGGGTAATATTTAGTAATTTATTGCAAAGAATTTTGACTACAATTCTGACTATAATGCCTATATATTTCAAAATTGCTAATAGATTTTAAATGTTTTCAATACAAAAATTTATTATGTGTAGTGATTAATTTGTTAATTAGGCAGATTTAATCATTCCACATTATAAAGATATAGCAAAACATCACATTATACCCCACATATATATACAGTTATTACTTATGAATTTTATAACTGTATATATAAATTAAAAATAAAATTTAAAAAAGGAAAAACAAAAGAGAAGTATACAAACAGAATGTCTAAACCATGTAAGTCAAGTGACGGCAATCAATGCTGGACCAGCGGGGCAATTTATGGTTAGTTTCTTGGGCATTTCACTTTTAATCTCTGCATTCTCCAAAGCCACTGCAATCTACACAGCCCTAATATCAATAACAAACATAATATTTGTATGAATATTTGATGTTCTCTAATCTCATATAAGGTGTCAATGAATATCTTTGGAAGACTTTGCCTTTTTATTGATTAGTAAACACCTGAAAAAAACAAACCTGTGTCTCACTACGTCAACATGACTTTAAGATAAGTGCTCCAGCCCTTTCTTACAACTAGACACTGCCCGTGAGGCTTAGAGTCTATCTATACCAAAATTCTGGAAGAGTAAAAATGTTATTAAGTGATGTTATTAAAATTCAGAGACTCATATTTACATAAAATGTAGAATTCAACACTACATCATGTAAAAAATACAAATCCAACCCAAAAGAAAAATAACATTTTGAGTTAAAGAATAGGCAAACATTTACCAAGCAAAACAGAAATATAATGAGAACAGGAATAACAATATAAATTGAAAACTAAGTAAATTTCATGGCAAAAATAAATGAGATGAGAATCATTTTTGGTACCGGCAGGAAATCCATACAGATCTGCAGCAACCTCAATTCCTGCCTCTTCAGAAGAAAGAATTCGAGTGAGGGGCATAAAGCAGGAGGAGAGACCTAGGCAAGTTTTAGAGCAGAAGTGAAAGTTTATTAAAAAGCTTTAGAACAGGAATGGAAGGATGGAAAGTACACTAGGAAGAGGGCAAAGCAGGTGACTTGAGAAATCAAGTGTGCAGTTTGACCTTTAGACTTGAGGTTTTACCTGTTGGCGTGCTTTTAGGTTCTTGCTTCCCTTCTTCCCTGATGCTTCCCTTGGGGTGGGGTGTCTGCATGCACAGTGGCCTGCCAGCGCTTGGGAGG
The DNA here is from genome assembly GCF_000001405.40 of Homo sapiens. Lineage (NCBI taxonomy): Eukaryota > Metazoa > Chordata > Mammalia > Primates > Hominidae > Homo > Homo sapiens. The sequence goes on from NC_000023.11 coordinate 143,284,588, forward strand.
GGAGTACACACAGTATGCAGTGTTTACTGGAGTTGTAGGCATGCTCACTTGAGGCATTCTTCCCTTAGCCAAATGTCCGTAGGAGGTCGTATACCAGTTAAACTATGCCATTTTGCCTCCTAATGCACATGCGTTGAGCCCAATCGCTCAACTCCTGAGAGCTTATCAAGAAGCTACTGATCAACAGTTTCAGGTTTTTCCTATCTATAGGGAGCCTGCCTGTCCCTGGTGCCAGCTGCAATCAATTATTATTTTAGAGAGACAGTTAACAACCACCTGACCATCACCTGATAGCCTGACAGTCCAGGTTGGTGTGGGGGGGTGGAGCTTCTCCTGCCTTGTTCCTGCCTGACTAGCTGCCTACTTTAACATTTTTAACGATAAAGGTAAGAAATTTTCCTTTAAATACAGGTTTTCTGCATCCCATAGGCCTTAATAGGAAGATGTATGGTTACCCTCTTGACACAAGGATGATTTAGGTGAGTGTCCCTTTACATTTCCAAGTATTTTTGATATCACTTAAATGTGTGTTAATAATTTTTGTTCAATAGTATTTCAGTGAGAAAATGTTCTTACTCACATTCTACGTTTTTGAAGTTACCAATCAAATGCAACTTTACTTAGTTACTTATACTATCTCTTTGTAGAGGACACAGTTTGATATAGACCCATTCCCTCAATCATATTAGCTACATAATTCAGATTCTCAATGCCTTTGTTTGGCTATTCGATTGTTCAAAAGCTGAGAAAGACAAATTAATGTTTCCCTAAACAATGGTATTTCTGTAAGATTTTTCTTTTATTTCTAAGTGATTTTGCATTGTATTTTTTTCTGGTTATAGCGGGCTTATTCATTTATTTTCTGTGAATACAAATCCTTCTATGTTATTTCTGTAAGATTTTTCTTTTGTTTCTAAGTGATTCTGCACAGTTTTTTTTTTCTGGCTGTAATGGGCTTGTTTGTTTATTTTCTGTGACTACAAATCCTTCTTTGTTATTTCTTCATGATAAAGTGCTCCATACACAAAGAACATGAGGTCTGGGAAAGCACTGAGAGGAAACAGGCTGTGATCCAGGCAGGCATATAGCACAAGTAAGGTCCAAACTGTGGGAACAGACATGTTTGCAATCGTCCAAGAAAACATCTTTAAAGCATCCACCAGCCTCCATTGTGTGGAAAAGCTGGATATATAGAACAAAGTGGACTGCAGTGAGTCTGGTTGCAGGTAGAAGAATGGGGTAGAGGTGACTGCTGAAAATAAATAAGAGCCTCTAACACAGTGGTAACAGGGTACTAGATGGACATAAGCCCGTCTTTTAATTTACTTTAAAATACTTCTACATATCTGTGATACAGCATATATTTGTTTGTTAATTTAAGTTATACTTTGGGTGCCGTCAGGAACCCTAAATAAAAATCCCCATATAAGAGACTGCTCAGATTCCATTCTAATCAGAAAGGCATATTCCACACAAGGCTAGTAAAGCACTTCTGGTAACTTTGTCTCTGGTCAACACCCGAGGCATCATGAGTTAACATAATAGAGATTAAAAATGGGCTTTCGTTATTAAAATTAGTTGCATTCAGGATATGACGATCGAATATAATAGTTTATAGATTATGCGTCCATATTCATGAGCTGAGTTTAAGAATCTAAGGATGTCTGTGGCTTCTCCAGCAGTGATTCTGTCTGGTCCTGGCCCCAGGTCCTAGTGGGGTTTCATCAAACAAATTATTTCACTTTCTGGGACCCAGTAACACCATTTACTTACTCTTTTGGCCCTTCAGCCCAAGAGGTTAGTGACCTCTTTCTTACTAATCACTGGGTTGTCTCACTATCTACTTTGGCATTTCAGCTGTTCTATCATCTGTGTAACCAAATCTCTGCATTAAAACATCTTAGTTTAAATAACTACAGTGCTTTCTGTTTTCCTAAGCGGACTTTTCCTCTACAATAAAGTTGCATCTGTCTCCAGTGAACCATTTAGGCAACGTATAGTCAGAGAATATAAAAGCACAGCTACTTGGGATTTCATTGAGCTCTTAAAACAGGTGGTATTAAGTGATTTGTACATGCTTGGTAGTAAGTGTTTGTTTAAAAAATATGGGTGTATTGGCAGAATGTAGTCTAATGTAAGCTTCCATTATAAGCTGAAGGTTTTGGGGTGATAGCCAACCCTAACTTACTTCTAAATACTGCTGGACATTGTTATCCACCAGAAAATAGCCTAAGGGGTGTACATAAATAAACTGGCTTGAGTTGGTTGACAGAGTGGGTTATCAAAGCAAGGACACAGTGATATTGGAACCAGACACTTACCTGTGACTCTCTGAATTTTCTCTAAATAGAAACAGAGCCTGGAATGAGAATAAACTTGAGAGTGGGACCAAATGACCTCAGCTGTTGAGTGTAGAAGGATTCAGGCAGAAAACAAGGAAATCATCACATCTGCAATCTCTGTTTAAGTCAATAGCATGGTGCAGCTGCCACAAGATTAATAGGAACTTATTTTCCAGAACAAGGCATATAATAGTCACGTTCAATTTTGCCCTAGTGAGGTAGTTTACTTTGTATGTATTGTGCTCAGTTGTAGGTGTTAGGGACTAAAGCAAATAGAGACAAACTGGAGTTTACCCAGAGAAAAATATCCTGACTGTGGAGGGCCTTTGAAATTCTGTTGTATTCAGGACTGGCTACATCATTTATGAGACCAGTGAAAAGTGAAAATTTGGGGCCTCGTGTTCAAACATTGTCACAAATTTCAAGATGGTGATGTCAGAGCATTAAATCAAGCATGAAGTCTTTCTGAGCATGAGTCCCCATGGGACTGCTTAAATGATATGCCTATGAGGCTAGCCCAGATTGTATGAGGAATAAACTGTTGACCTTGGAGATGAGTTTGAAATATAAAGGGGAGCAGAGAGGGGGGCATTGGATTGATCTTCAGCTATGTGTAAAATTGCCATATCAAATAGGATAGTGTTAGATCAAGTTATGGAAAAGTAAATCTTGTGCTAACGTAAGAACATTCTTGAAAATTAAAGTCTTGGAACAATGAATTCCTTGTTAGAACAGTGAGCACTCTACCATTTCTTCTTAGGCCTGGTGCTGCATAAGAAATTATTACGGGTAATTTGTTTAAAATAATACACATTATTAGTCCTGAATCAGATGAAAAGGGGCCCACCAGTCAGCTACCTGAGGTGTCAATATATAAGGGACACACTTAGGTATTAGAACATCACATGGACTGTAAAGAGATGGAGACAGTTAGGTTTACCACAACTTTCCTGAGACAGACTGCTTTCTGTAGTTTAAAAACAACAACAACAACAACAACTATGCTTTGGTATGCTTTTCGAAATAGGTGCGTTAGGTACCCAGTGGGCTATCTTCAAGTATCAATAGCTGGTCACTTAAGCTTTCTTTGGATGATAGTCAACTAGCTGTAGAACTTCCATTTAGATGAATGGGAAATGCAGTTTGGGGATTAGGGCAAATGTTCTTGGGCTAATCCTAAAAAATCAGACATCCTTTGCTTTTCTCCATGTTCTACTAACAATCTTTGAAGACATATAAAATACCAGTTTTAGGGGATAAAATTTGATTAGCCTACAAAGTACCCCACTTGGCGACCTTTGGCTTTGCCTTGGCCTCACCTTAAGTGATTGATCCAGTAGGTCTGCAATGGTCCATCCATAAGAATATGATTTTAACAAGCTCTCCAAAAGTATATGGTGGACAGCAAGTGTTGAACATTATTGCTGTTTGTATACATGCAGCCCCTGAAAAGGTATACATGTGGCCCCTGATAAACCACATTTTCAGGACTTAGTAAATTATTCTAACTTGATAGTGAATTGGAAGAGAAGGGCATCATAAATGAACATTTTAAATTGAACACGCATTGATTTTACTAATGTACTATTAATTGAAATGAAACATGTTCTTCAGGCCAAATTGGTCCTCAATATTTCCCACATGTGTGTGTTTCTACTTCTGTGCTTTTCATCTGTCATTCTCCACCTTTAAATTTCCACCCCATGCCTTCTTCCTTTCACCCTCAGTCAAGGCTAATGTCAAGTTCCACCCTGGCTTCCAAAACATGCCAGTTCTCACAGACCTCTATCAAGGAATATTTGTGGTCCTTATTATCTATAAAGCTTATCAAAAACTTAGCTTACATTACCTAATACTGTTACACCTTTTTTATAACTTTGGCTCATTACACCAACTATTTGATGATCTTGTTGGAGAAGATAATGCTCCCAAATACCTACCACAGTACCCTGAGGAGGGTAGTGCTTGATAAATGCACAGCCTTTTGTCAATTATGTTGATTAGGAGCTGATTATACTTAGACTGAGTTTTCAACACATATTTGAACGTGAGGTCTGAGTGATAATTTTGACATCATATCAGCTTCAAAGGAGTCGATCAGTGTCATTTGCCATACTGATATTTATTGGAAAACTCTCCGTTTTCTCATCAGATAAATGAATTGGATTAGTCCATTCTTGCACTGCTATAAAGAAATACCTGAGACTGGATGATTTATAAGAAAAGAGGTTTAACTGGTTCACGGTTCTACAAGCTTTATGCATAGCACAGTACTGGCATCTGCTTAGCTTCTTGGGATGCCACAGGAAGCTTACAGTCATGGCAGAAGGCAAAGTGGGAGCAAGCACATTACATAGTAAAAGCAGGAGTGAGAGAGAGAGTGGGGTGGGGCAGGTGCCACACACTTTTAAATGACCAGATCTCACTATCAAAAAGACAACAAGCCATGAATAATCCATCCCCACTATCCAAACACCTCCCGCCAGGCACCACCTCCATCATTGGGGATTACAATTCAACATGAGATTTGAGGACAGTGACAAATATTCCAACTATATTATTCACGTTTTATTTTTAAATAATAATTTATTCTGTACTACTCTCTCAAGAGGCTATCAACCCAGTTAGGGGATAGATTATTATATTATTACAACACATATTGGTCAGTAGGGGCTAGGTTATACGGCAGTAACAAAGAGCCTTTAAACCTCAATGGCTTAAAAAGCAAACATCTGACAGACAATCCATGTCCATTTTGGGCTGGCCAGGAGTGTGATGTACAAGGTTCTGTTCCATGTTATTCTTACATAGCAACAGAGGCTGCAGAAAGCTCCATATCCTTGCTTTTATGAAGAAAAAAAGGAAATGCAGTGAAATATGCAATAGCTCATAAGGATTCTTTCTGGAAGCTTATATTTAACTGACTAAAGTAGATCACTTGATTGTCCCTAGTTTTGAACAGGCTGGAGAAGTACAAACCAACCATGTGCCTAGCAGGAGGAGAAATGAAATCTTTGAGAACATCTCCAATGACTATCAAGAAGAACTTTGTTCTGCATAACCAATAGGTTTACTTGTTTCTAATGGCTGCGACTTTTTTTTTTAATTTATTTATTTTATCCTTATTCCTTTCTCTCAGTCTCTGGATGTGACTTTTTAAAACATGGAATATATACTGCTATAATTACTGAGATTTTCTCCCTTTATAGTTAACTACTCAATCTTTCTCTTTTGATTAAAAGTAGGATGCATCTCTGTTCGTGCCAATACTGCCGGGTCAGGTTGGCCATGCAATTAAACATATGAATGTAGTCTAACTACTGATGATTTTTGGATCTCAGATCTCCCTGTAGATATAGAAAACTATGTCTAATTAAATCTTTCATCAGATATTTATTGAATTTTTACTATGTGCCAAAAATTATACTGCAAATGAAATAACTCATATTTCTGACTGGTACACTCTAATAATCTTAGCCAATGTTATGTAGTAGTAACATAGTCATAAAGCCTTTGCAAGATTCAGGATAATAAGTCTCCTTCTAATTTACAAATTGGAGCTTTTTTTTTTTTTTTTTTTTTTTTTTTTTTTGGTTTGAGATGAAGTCTCATTCTGTTGCCCAGGCTGGAGTGCAGTGGCGCGATCTCTGCTCACTGCAAGCTCCGCCTCCCGGGTTCACGCCATTCTCCTGCCTCAGCCTCCCGAGCAGTTGGGACTATAGGCGCCCACCACCACGCCCGGCTAATTTTTTGTATCTTTTTTTTTCAGTAGAGATGGGGTTTCACCATAGCCAGGATGGTCTCGATCTCCTGACCTCGTGATCCGCCCGCCTCGGCCTCCCAAAAGTGCTGGGATTACAGGCGTGAGCCACCATGCCCGGCCTACAAATTGGAGCTTTAAATGTGATTCCGATTTTTTTTTTGTTTGAAAATTTTTAGCTTGGAAGCGAATTATTACTTTGCAAGTATATGTCTATCGCTACCTTTATAATTAACCCTCCAAATAATTTTACATATGTGTGTATACATTTATATGGATATATTTTCTAACAAGTAAATTATACAGACCATTTGAAACAGAAAAGTGGATCAACAAAATCTCATTGAAAATCAGATAAAATATTTAGACACCAATTTTTATTTTCTTTTATATTTTTTTCTTTTTTCATTTGTGTGAATAGTTGCTCTGAAATCCTGAGGTATAGAAAAGTAAAAATTTCACAGGCTAAAAGACAGCAATTTCTACGTATATGTCATGTTTATATAGTATTTATTTCTGATCTATTTCAGCTAAAAATGTAGAGTTCAAATTCAAGGAGCTATTAGAATAATAATAGTCTGGGCAAGGTGGCTCATGCTTGTAATCCCAGAATTTTGGGAGGCTGAAGCAGGTGGATCACTTGAGCCCAGGAGTCCAGTCCAGGCAACATGTTGACAGCCTCTGTCTACACAAAATATAAAAATTAGCCAGTCATGGTAGCCCCAGCTCCTCAGGAGGTTGAGGCAAGAGGATCACTTGAGCCAGGGAGATTGAGACTGCAGTGAGCCGTGATCGCACCACTGCACTCCAGCCTGGATGACAGAGTGAGACCCAGTCTCAAAATAAAATAAATAGAATAATAGCAATGTAAGGACTGAAAGTGCTGTGAAATAACAGAGAAACTTAAGGACAGAATCTAATAATGTTACAACTACGCTATTGAATGGGAGCTGAAAGATCTCGTCACAATAGAAGAGAAGATATCAGATACTATATTTATCAGATCTCCCTCCCCCTACCATTCTTGAGGGAGGAAGCAGTTACTTTTATTGAGTGCTTACTCTGTGCAACACAAGGTGATAAGCGCTTTGCATATAATTTGTTAGTTTTTCAGTATATGCTGCTCTAGGAGATAAACAGTCTTATTTCCCACCTTTTGCAGATAAGTAGAGTGAGTCAGAGAGGTGAAATGACTTCTCCAGTGGCCAAGAATTAGCTATTGTAACGGTCTTAAAATTTTGCCTTGTATTCCAAAACCTAGGCTTTTCCCCCTGTACCATGCTACCTCTAGATAGGAATTTCATTCTGTCTGCAGAAAGCTAAGCAGAAAAGTCATGTCTTAAGTGTATTCCCCTAACAAGCCATCCTTTCAAGACTGAAAATTCATTGAAGGAGAAAAGCAATATCACCACTAGCATATTTGAAAAGGTACTCCTTATTACAGCAAAATATTTAATATAGTTTATGATTAGTTATTTCTTCCTCTAATGTCTTACTTTGAATAGAAATGGTCACTAATGATGAGTATCTTTCTTGTGACATTGTAGACCTTAAGTGATTTTCAGTAAATCCAAATTTTGAGAGACTACCTTCTCTTCTGTCTACTAATGTTGGCAAAGTTAAATATACACAGAAAGTGACAAGCGTTTGGAAATACATCTGATGAGTCATTGCTGCAAATATGTTGTGATATATCTGTGGAACTAATACTGGGTTTATGAAACAATTAAAAGTTTTCATTTACTCATACATCAATATTCAATCAACATCTCATTCTTATTGTATTTATCTATTTTAATTGCACATTTTTACAAAATTGCAGAAATTCAGACCTCAAAGCTCTTCAAACTACGTATGTCATCTAGAACACTGAAAAGGCAACAACATTTTTGCAGTACCATAAATTATTTATTTAAAGGTATTATTCTTATATGCAACATAGAAAAATAGATTTTGATATTCAGTTTTGAAACATAGATGAACCCATTGTGAGATTTACAATCAAATTGACTTTTTTCATTTTATGGAATTATCTTCATTGGGGGCCAGGCATGGTGACCACGCCTGTAAGGGCTGAGGCAGGTGGATTGCTTAAGCTCACGAGTTCGAGGCCAGTGTGGGCAACATGGCAAAACCCTGTCTCTTCAAAAAATACAAAAATTAGCTGGGTGTGGTGTGGTGTGCACCTATAATCCCAGCTACTTGGGAGGCTGAGGTGGGAGAGCAGCTTGAGCTTGTGAGACAGAGGCTGCAGTGAGCCCAGATCATGCTACTGCACTCCAGCCTGGCTGATAGAGCCAGACTTTGTCTTAAAAATAAATAAATAAATAAAACACAATACAATAAAATAATTTTCTACAATGGAAAAGTTGATGTTGATGTCAAAAGACTGCAATTTTTAGCATCTATAATGTATTGTCATAAACATCATAAACTATGTTTTCAAATGTTTTGTTTTAAATATTTTGCTGCATTCAAGAGAATTATATAGATTTTTGGTTTCTGCATAGGTGTCCTTATAATATTGATTTTATTTGAAACACTATAACAAATTAGTATTAAATAAATAATTTTAAAACTAGACGTTTTCAAAAGTATACTTTTGGCTGAAATCCAAAAATGTTTGTCACTATTAATAGAATCAATAGTGTCTAAAAAAGCACAGCATAAGTCTCTAATTGAAGGTTTAGTGGTATGATGGCATCAACTCAAGTTTCCCATTAAGTATTTGACAATGGCTTCAAATTTATGTGGGGTAAAAGTTCTTCAAAACGCCTCCACAGTCACTGAAACTAAGAACTGGCTGTCTTGTTTTGGAATTATAGTTTTAAAATCAGTAGTGTCAAGAGATATTTACTATTTTATTCACTTTAAGGAGAAAGTGCATAGGGAATATAGAATGCTTTAGAATCTAGACTTTTTTTTTGCAATATAATCTGTTACAACTCATTGTTTTCTGTACATAATTTAAAAATTGGCCAGGCACAGTGGCTCATGCCTGTAATCCCAGCACTTTGGGATTCCGAGGCAGGTGGATCATGAGGTCAGGAGTTCGAGAGCAGCCTGGTCAATATGGTAAAACCCCTTCTCTACTAAAAATACAAAAATTAGCCAGGCGTGTTGGTGTACACCTGTAGTCCCAGCTACTTGGGAGGCTGAGGCAGGAGAATAGCTTGAACCCGGGAGGTGGAGGTTGTAGTGAGCCAAGATTGTACCACTGCACTCCAGCCTCGGCGACAGAGTGAGACTCCATCTCAAATTATTGAATTCCTAACCCCTCAGATAGTGTTTATACAACAGTACATGAGTTTCTTTTTCTCCACATCCTCATCAACACTGGCTATCTTTTGACTTCTTAATAATGGCCATCTTAACAGAAAACTTCTTTGCTCTAATAAATGAATTTAATGAAGTTGCAGGATACAAAATTGATAAAAATCAATTCATTTATATACTCTAACAATGAACTATTTGAAAAAGATATTTAAAAAACAATCCATTTTACAATAGCAACAAAAAGATTAAAACACTTTGGAATAAATGTAACCTAGGAAGTAAAAGACTTATACACTGAAAACACTAAAATATTGTTGAAAAGATGAATAAGACACAAATAAATGAAAAGACATTCCATATTCATGGATCAGATAATCTAATTTTGTCAAAATGTCCATACTACCCAAGGTAATCTGTGGATTCAATGCAATCTTTGTCAAAACCCCAACGGTATTTTTCCACAGAATTAGAAAAAACAATTCTCAAATTCATATGAAACCATAAAAAAACCCCAAATAGCTAACGTAATATTGAACAAGAAGAGCAAAGCTGGGGGCATCATACTTTCTGACTTTAAGTTATATTACAAAGCTATAGCAATCAAAGCAGCATGGTACTGGCATAAAAATAGACACAGACTAATGGAATTGAAAAGAAAGCTCTTAAATAAACTCATGCATATACAGTCAACTAATCCTTAACAGAGGTAGCCAAGAAGACCCAATGGGGAAAGGATGGTCTCTTCAATAAATAGTGTTGAAAAAATTGGATATCTACATGCAAAAAATAAAATGGATTCCTGTCTACTACCAATACGAAAATCAAATCAAAATGGATTAAAGATTTAAATATTAGACCCAAAACTGTAACACTCCTAGAATGGAAAAACTCATGACATTAGTGTTGACAATGTTATTTTTTGGGTAGGACACAAAAACACAGGCAACAGAAACAAAAATAAATGAGACTACATCAAATTAAAACTTTTCTGCACAGCAAAAGAAGCAGCCAACAAAATGAAAAGGCAGCCCACAGGGGTGATTGCAGGGAGTGTTAAGCAAAAAAGGGAGTGACTGCTAATGGGTACAGAGTTTCTTTTCTGGGGTGATAAAAATGTTCTAAAATTGATTGTGGTGAAGGACACATAACTGTAAATATACTAAACACAATGTATTGTATAATTTAAATGGATACATTGTATTGCATGTGAATTATATTTCAATACAGCTGTCAATAAAAAAGTTAAAACTTTTACATTATATGCCTTCCAAAGTACCCTGATTTTTTTCCTACAAATTGTCTCTCTTCTACAGCTGAATTCAATTTTGAATGCTGAAGCCTACTATTGATGTAGATTTTACTTTTTTGTTTTGTTTTGTTTTTGAGAAAGGGTCTCACTTGGTCGCACAGGCTGGAGTGCAGTGGCACGATCTCGACTCACTGCAACCTCCAACTTCCAGGTTCAAAGGATTCTCGTGCCTCAGCCTCCAGAGTAGCTGGGATGACAGGCGCCCACCACCATGCCCAGCTAGTTTTTCCTTTCTTTCTTTTTGTATTTTTAGTAGAAGTGGGGTTTTTCCGTATTGGCTAGGCTGGTCTCGAACCTCCTAGGCTCAAGTGATCTACCCGCCTCTGCCTCCCAAAGTGCTGGGATTATAGGCATGAGCCACTGCAGCTGGCCAGATTTTACTTTGTTCACATTTCCTAAAAAATACTTGCACCCAGTTGTTTTTAATTGATTGTTTCAACCCACAAGGAGTTTGAAATATAGACAATATTAAATCTTTCAAAGCAGAATAAGTTAACCAGTATTTAGTAATTTTCTCCCCTCTACCATTTGGGAGAATTCATGTAAATATGCTTCTGGAAACTTCCTACCCTATTCAAACTTAAATTTTCTACCTGAACTAGATAATTTTCTACAAGAGTGTATTATCATTGAAAAAAAAACTATGTAGTCATGTTCTTGAATTACAAATATTAAATTTTTGTTTAATGTATTCTTTTGGTTTATCTTATCTGCTTTTTCTTGAAATTCATCAGGTATGCTTTACATGTATTTGGAACATATCTTATATCCTGCTTGTAGTGAAATAATTTTATGTTGCCTTGGCATCCATTCTGAATATAGGTTTAATTTTCTTATACCAGAAGCAGGGATTAGTCACCTTTGACACAGTTTCCAGTTTTTCATCTCCCAGTTGCTCAGTGTGGTCCACCCACATATCTGCTTTGTACAGCCACCTCCTGGTAACGATCTCCCTGTAGGACATAAAGATACAGCACGTTTGACTCACCCCACTTATTCTACCCTCAACAGGGACTGTGCAGATAGGCTGCAGTGACCATTATGTTACAGTGCAACCCCAGGGAACTCATGCCTGCTTTCTCTAACTCCACCAGTTGGAATGGAAATCTGATTTGGTAGTATCCTGGGCCCCAATCAATGCCTTACTGTGTAGGTCTTCTCTATTTGTCACTCCCCTCTCACTGGTTTGACAACCTGCCCGTGGGTGCCCCTCTTCTCTCTGGGATCTACGAATAATGAACTGCTTTTGTTTCTTCATGTGTTTTTGTTGTATTGTCTTCCCTGTGCCTCACCTAACTGATACACATAGACCTAACTTTCCTCCCAGTCAAAGCTCTCCTAAAGAGTGGCTACCTTGGCAGGAATAAACTGAACAGAAGTCACACAAGAGCCTCAAGGGCAGTTGCCAGTATAAACAAGTTTCCTATGAAAGGGACATCTGGCATGGGTCAGATTCCTAGGCATTAGGCTATCCGCAAGGATAAAGAAGTGTCTTGTGAAAGGCACAGTGTAAATAGCCACATACAATGCCCTGGAACCTAATCAGGGCAGGGCTAGAGTTTACACTCCCTCTGCAGAGAAAAAATCTCAAGATCACATTAAACAGAAATACAACACTGATCAATCAGATACATATTCTGCTGGAAATTGTAGCTCTAAATCCATTTCCTATTCATTTTCCTCATAATTTATCTGTTTTCTCTAGCATGTTATTCTATGATCCAAATAACTTTCTCTTATCAATGATTTTTGATGTCTGCTTATTGATCATAATATAAACATTTTAAAAATTTTTTCTAACTTCTGGGGAAAAGAATATAAATAATAGATCAAGATTTTTACTTAAAATTCATGGTATTTAAAAGCAATGTATATGAAATGTACTAAATTTTAACAATAAATTTTAGTGTTAATTTAAATAACATACAATGTCTATAATATAGTGAATTATTTAAAAAATCTCTAATTTATATCTATGTAGCACAGTTTATTAACTGTAATGCATGTTATTTATTAAATAGTATTTCATGTTATAATAGAGGTACTTTTTAATTCAAGTTGTAGGCACAGCAATATCATTTTAGTAGGGTGACCATCTGGCCAATTATATAAATGGGATTATAAGTCAAGTTCTGATTTAATATGAGTGAAGCCCAGGAATCTGTATTTTAACACATTTTGCAGACCATCCTGATATGTAGCCAAGGTTGAGAACCATTCAACAACTCCACTGGGTTGGTGGTACTAAACTGTCCTGACTGTTCTGGACCTGTGGGACTTTTCAAATAAAAATTAGAGTCTGGGGTAGGCTATGAAGCTCTCAGTTTCCTGGACATGCACACTAGGCATTTTATTTTAGTCCCCAAAAATTACCTTTATAATTCGATGGCATCCTATACTTCTATATTCTAGATTATGACATGACTTGGTTTAGAAAGGTTAATAGTGGACCAGGAAAGGACTGAGCTATAAAACCAGGAGATCCAGTTGTAGGTAGTAGAAACTGGAGAGGAGGGTTTAGTAGCGTTATAGTTGAACTATCTACAATGATCATGGTATTAGGTCTTCACAGTAGAAAATGTACTGGACTTGCAATTAGAAGTCCTGAGTTTAAATCAAAATTTTTATACTGGCGTGCTATGAAACCATGCATATAATAGTATGCTTATAATAAAAAGAAAGGATCTAGAACCAGCTGCCTAAAGTTCAAATGTTGGCTCTATAAATTGCTCTTTCTCCAAGTTACATGACTGCTATATGCCTCTATCACTTCATTTGTAAAATGGGAATGATATTAATAGTATCCAGCTCATAAAATTGTTATGAGGATTAGATGGGATGACATGCACAAAACATATAGACCAGTGCTTAGCACATTCTTAACAATTAATATTAGCTGTAGTTATTATTGTTCTCATTCATTTATAACTGGAATAACATCTATTCCTAGGTTGTTGTCAGGATTAAATGATTTGTTGTTTATACGTTCATTGGTCAATATCCATTATGTACCTACTACATGATGGGCATCATTCAAGATACAGTGTATAATATCAAGATGATGTGGACATGCCCTCCAGAAGCTAATAGAGGAGAAAAAACAAACACATAGTATAAACTGGTAGAATGCATGGTAGAAAGGGACCATGTGATAAAACAGGTGCAGATGAAACACTTCAGAAGTTCAGGGAAAGAAATGGTTACTTCCCAACGGAGCTATCAATAGTGGCTTGATGGATGGGCTAACATCAGCTTCAGGGCCTAAAGGGCTGCTAGGATTTGGAAATAAAAAATATAGAGGGAAAGCCAAAGCTGTTCCTGGCGGTCAGACAATGTGAGAAAAGTATGAAGGTAGGTAACAGACTGTGTACATAAAAATCATCATGTAAACTATAAAGTGCTCGTCATCACATTGTAAGGCTTTAAACTCGTGGATCCCACAGGAAAAAAAAAAATCATGGCCATGACTGCTTTCCAAGACAAATAGGAAACCAGAATATTGCATACTGGTTTCTGTAAGAGAGCTCAGATTTGTGGTTCATGAAGCACACTCAAATAGTAACAGTAGGTTATCAACCCAGACCTAACCTAGTTTGCCTTTGTTAACTGGGCCAATTCCCACAGTAGAGAGCAGGAGTAGAATTTGCTGACCTACGTGCTACCCATGGCCCACTCAGGCACATTAAAGGATGGGCATCCATTTTCAGTATTCCTAGCTGAGCTGCAGTTTACATTAGAGAGGAGAGAAAACTGCAGCCACTGTATTTCTTGGCAAGTTGCTTGAATAAAAATAGAGATCTGCTGACTAAGTATTCACTATATCTGCAGACATTTCCCAGCTGGGGAAATAAACTTTTTTCCCTAATTTTTCCCTTTTTGAATGTTTACTTAAATTAGAACCTCAACCTTCCACCTTCCAAAGAAAAGATAAAATTGGGGGGAGGGGGAATTGGTGTTTTTAAAATACATTCATACTTAAATTTTAAAAATTCTGTATTTGTTCCAACTGTTCTTGACTGTTAATCCCAAAATATCTGCTTTCATTTTCAAGATAAAACAAGGGCTACATTTATTAGTCCTTGAATCTACACATCAAAACATTTTTTTAATTATGAAAAGAGAATCTGAGCTCATATCATTACTTAATAAATATATTCTGGAACCATTGAAGATTTAGAACTATCTAGAAAGATTTTTGAGAGAAGGTATATTTTATTCATTCCACTAACACTTAACCACTTACTCCTTTCAGACTTTATTCTAAAACCTCTGCATATATTAAATTCCTTAATTCTCAAAGCAGTCATGTGAGATTGGCCTTATTACTATCCTCATTTTGCAGCTGAGAAAATTGTGGCATAGAGAGACTACATAACATGTCCAAGGTCACACAGCCAGTGAAGCTGCGTTAAGATTCACACCAGGCAGTCTAGGTCCAGGAGCCACACTCTTAACCACCTTACTATGCAACTCCTCTGTAAAAATGATGGTGTTAAGAACTGACGTACATTTACTTTAGAAAAAAAGAAACATCAATTCCAAATGGAGCCATAATCTCAGATTTTCTACTTTTTTTCTTCTGTCTTAATTCATGATAAAAGTACTGACCTTTCTGCTTAGTGATAATATCATGCCCCAGAGGAGAGATATAAAATGCTCTTGCCTCCAAGTGACAGTACTATTAACGCACTCTAGGATAACAACAGCCCCCAAACTAACAATAATATTGCAGATAAGGCATGTGTTTGTTGCACACATTCAATGAGATAACACAAGTGGACTTTCTTGTCAAACAGAAGGCAATTCATTCACATTAGCTGAATTAAAAGAGATTACAATACACGGTTTTCATAGTCCTTTTCATCTAAACAATTCCTTCTTTGCCAAGAAAAAAAACAAACAACCAACACACAAATAAAACTTTCATTTACCCAAACATGTATACTTGGATGCAGTGTGCTTAATTTCCTTATTATAAGAATGAGAGATACTGGGCATACCAAGCTCATAAAATTATAGACTTCAGTGATAATTTTCATGATTGTAGCATAGAGAGCAAGTATAATCTAGTACTTAAGAACATGGACTCCAGAACTCAATGGCATAAGTTCAAATCCAATTGGTGCATACTAACTATGCAGTCTAGCACAAGTTACCCAACTCTGTGCTAGTTTCCTTGTCTGTAAAATGCAGCTGATAAAAGCACCTACTTCATTAGTTTGTCCTGAGAATTAAGTGCACTAATCCATGTAGAACACTGAGAACATTGCCAGATACATAGTAACTGCTATATATACATCACGACAGCTACATGAAGGTTTTCTATTACTATAAATAAATGTGAAAAAGAGTAAGTCTATAAATCATCAAAGCACTTATAGTCTATTGAAAGAAGAAAAATTGGTTATGTGCTGGTACCTCCCAAGCATGATGGCTAAGTACTGAGACTTCAAAAAATGGAATAAAATTTCTAGCATTTGAAAGTGCACAGCCCTTGAGGGAAGTGAGCAAGCACAATGGAGAAGGAGAATGGTTACAGCTACTTTTAAGGGAGCAGGACCTTTTAAATTAAGGTCCTTCTATGTAAGGCCAGTAAAGGGATATGTAATGGTGGGACAGGAACAGCTACAGCTGAGGCTGAAGAAAGCATTCTTGTTCTGTATTACATCAAGAGAAGAATGCATGATCAACAAGTACAACTGGGAAGGCCAGAGGAGAAGGCAGAGCTCAAGTTGTAGCAATGGTGCACGGACTTTTCTTAAGAACATGGGTAACCAATATTCTAAGTTATCTCCACACTTGAAAGGTAAATATCTGCACCTCATACAACCTCCGGTGAAGTCTGATATTCACAGAGAAATGCCGCGTCTCTTTGTGTTTTCTTTGCTCATTTTGAAGAAATTATGGAAAGGGCTGAGCACCACATCCAGGATGATTTGTCATGGAACAGAGATAACACACATAGGACAATGAAACAATCTTGACTTGAATTAATTCAATGGAAACAAGGTAACAAAAACGATAGTTGATCAAGAAAGTCCTACATAGTAGGCCCTGAACAAAATTTTACTGCTTGATGAATGAGTCAATGAATTCTGTATATTTTGCATGCAGAATCCTGAGGGAAGTATTGTCTATTATTTTAGAGACAAACTACTTGGAGGCCTTGATTCAGAAATATGACTCAAGAACTAATATGGATGTGAACTCTGCTACGGCTTTAGGAAACGTGGTAATTTTCCATCACAAGGACATATTATATTTGGTTTATATTTTGAGAATTTAAAATGTTTCCAAGGATTTTATGAAGTCCAACAGCATCTTTGGAATGGATATACAATAAAGAGATGAAGCTGGAACACATTTGTCCAGGTCATTATTTGAGGTTATTTATTCTTGAATCATGACAAACTGATAAAAGAAGAACAATGAATCACTTAGGTCAGGTCACAGAGTAAAACCTCAAGAAGGTCAAAATGGCAGTTTATTCATCTGACTAGTACAGGCAGCCAGTCTAGACAGGTCTAGATCTGAATATGGCTTTTGTTCAGAATTTCTGAAAGTAAGCTGGGTCAATACAAATTTCAAACTGGACAATTTATCAAATAATAAATCAGAGAAGTATAATATTTTACTGAGCTATTAAAATGTTTTAAAATATGAGTTCCATGAACACATGGTCACATATAGTAGCAGAAAAAGCACTATGATTGAAGTCAGACAAGTCAGATGTAGGGTTCTGATTCTGCTACCTACAACTGCATGGCCTGAGGGGAGCTGCTTAATCCTTTTCTCACTCCTTTCTCTAATCTGACAAAACTAGGACTACTTCATAAATACATGACAAAGGTTGTCATCATGTTTTTGTCATGCTCTGCTTCAAAATTAACAACAAAAAACAATAAGGCATACGGACATTGTAACTCTTCAAAAACGGTTTAAAACCCTGGTTAAGGGCATGATGACTCTATCATTGCAAAGATTATGGAAAAATTCTGAATATTACTTGAGAAAAAGGTCAGTGGATTTCTATGAAAAATGAGTATTTTACGTGTGTGAATATTTTTGATTAAAAAAATCTATTAACTCTCTCTTTGACCACACAGAAACAGCAAAACAACTTTGACGACTTTCTGCACATAAAACTTATACATGAGGCATCCAACACACTGTCAGTTGATGCCATTTAATGTCTAATGAAAGTCAAACGTTAGCCAAAGTTTACTTCTGGCCATATGACATAAAAGTAATTATAAACAGTAACAAAATCCTGCTGAAGTGCTTATTTGTAAACATAATTTATAGCATAACATTTCCCAAACTCTACTTTGTTCATCTCCTTTCCAAGTTTTCGTTTTTATTTTCCCAATTAAATAACCCAAACCAGTTCCTACATGCTGAATTTGGAAATAAATATAGATCAGCCCCAGGACCTGCATGAAAATTAAATTCTTACATATTCACTTCTGTCATTGAGTTTAAATATTTGGTGTTGCTACACAAAATGCTTTTAATGTTTAGTTTTTATGAATTTTCTATTCGCATTCCAATTAATCAAACATGATATTATGAAAGGATTCAATAACTGTGTAATAGCATATAAGTTGTAGACTTCATATGTGGATGTATCTAACTTAAGGCCTATGGTTTCTAATAAAGACACCAGATGCTGTACAGCTCTATCTGAATACCGTCGTTTTTTTCACCTTTTTCCCAGAATGCAACTCAACCAATTAAAACCATTCTTGTTATACATTAAATTACAAATACTAACACATCATAGCTTTGAGAACTTAAACAAGATATCACCATGGCAAGGTTACCAAGTAAAAATGCTCAAGTAATATGTTTCAGATACACCAATGCACAGTGTACAGAAATGTCCCAGATTTCTTTCTTCCTTGATTATTCTATAACTCACAATGAAAACTTGTTTATACTTAAATTCTCCATTATGGTATATATAATGACAGATAAGTAAAGAATCTGTGAGATCTATTTCAACCCCTTCATTTTATGAGTCAATACAGACCCAATCCCCACAATTAAGCAATATAACCATGTAACAAACATGCACATGTACCCCTGCATCTAAAATAAATTTAAATTTTTAAAAAACCTATAGCCAGGAGCTACAACTTGTCTTCTGTTTTTCCATGAAACCATTGTTAATTTCCATACAGATTTGATGAGAAAATAGTCAATAAGGACATGGAATAATAACATATTTTTCAATGAGACATTATTCAGCTTTTAAATATGATAAAGAAGGGGCACTCAATAAATGAGCTCTTTCCTCCATTTTTAAAAGTCATTGTTTCAAGTACTCTATCTCATGTCCTGCCACGTCCCACCAAGAATGTTGGTGCAGAGAAGTAGAAAGACTTGGGAACAAATTAGTTCTTCCAGTGAAACTTGTAAAACAGTGAGAAGGAGAGCTACGTGGCAAAGTGTTCATGGGTATGGTTTCCAGCAGTCAAATCCATGCTTTTCTGAGAAAGAGAGAGACAAGCACTCCCCTACATCTTCCTGACTCAAGTCAGTCAGTCTCAGCTGCAGTCACACAAACCTCACATTCACGTCCAATAGCCATTCCTATAGTGAGCAAAAAGCTGTAGCTGAGTGTGGGTCAGTGTAAAAAAGCAAAAAAAGGAAATCTTCATAGAAGATTTTACAGATGAGAAATTTACAACTTTCTCATGGGAAGAAAGAGAAAATCCTATGAGTTAGGGGAAATTTCACTAGGGAGATAGGTCTAAAACTAATTTTTGAGCCCTAAATTGCTGGCAGTACCTTTCAGTTCTATTAATTTCAGTAAATTTTATCTGCAGTTGGCAGAATCATTGCTGCTACCCATTTGATGGTTATAGTTGCTGTGGGTGACATTAGCCCATTGCCATCATAACAGATGTTAAGCTGCCTGAGAATGCTGTCATTTCACTG
This sequence comes from Homo sapiens, assembly GCF_000001405.40. Classification (NCBI taxonomy): domain Eukaryota; kingdom Metazoa; phylum Chordata; class Mammalia; order Primates; family Hominidae; genus Homo; species Homo sapiens. Next base: position 143,304,218 of record NC_000023.11, read on the forward strand.
GAAACAGATCACTCATTACAAGGCAAGGAAGAAAACATAGATTTTGCTCTGTTAAGCTTCTGGGTAGTGAAAGACTAACAGTTCCCAGAGTGCTAACAAAACAGCTAATACAGATGCGACAAGAGTACTTCTGCATAGGAAGTATTACAATCCATCTAAAGTAAAAGAATGACGGTCTACCAAGCTTCAGACACATGCACAATGGTTGAAAAAAAATGCCTTACTGGGCTATGGCAGGAGGTATAATCATTGATACTAATTGCGAGCTTGAAGTTCACTGATAGCAAGTCACTAATTTAACACAGATCAATGTAAGGATTTGTAGTTTTTGCCCTTGAGGATATGACCTAGTAAAAAAAAATAATTAAAACTTAACAGTAACAGAGTGAAGTTCCTAGTGAGGCAAATAAGAGAAGAGAGCAATCTCTAAGGGTTAGGTTAGTCAGGGAAAATTTCCTGGAGACGCTGCTGTTTCAAGCACAGGTTGGATTTTTCACAAGCCTAGGAGAACAGGGAAGATTCCAAGGCAGGGAAAGTAGCATAAACAGAGGCAGTGAAGACGGGCAAACATTGAGTGTTCAGAGTACAGTGAGTAGACTTGTTTAGCAAGAGTGAATAATTCATATAGGGAAGCAGCAGGAGCCAGTGGGAATAGAAAATTCATGCTGGATTATGGAAGTCCAGGACTGCCAGACTTGGTTTGGAAGAATGAATTGTCCAAATATATCTTAAGGCTGAGAGTTCTGCATGGATGGCATTTGTTTAGGTTTATCTGAAGGAGGTATTAGAGTTCAGGACAAACAGAACACCTGTAAATGCTGATATTATGTTTGCTCTGTTCAGAGAGGTTAATAAATTCTGAAAATGAAAACGCCATTAGCTATTTGCCCAAATAATTCTTAGAAATATATATATAATTTTTATTGCCGGGCATGGTGGCTCATGCCTGTAATCCCAGCACTTTGGGAGGGTGAGGCGGGCCGATCACCTGAGGTCTGGAGTTCGAGACCAGCCTGACCAACATGGAGAAACCCCATCTCTACTAAAAATGCTAAATTAGCCAGGTGTGGTGGTGCATGCTTGTAATCCCAGCTACTTGGGAGGCTGAGGCAGGAGAATCGCTTGAACCCGGGAGGTGGAGGTTGTGGTGAGCAGACATCATGCCATTGCACTCTAGCCTGGACAACAAGAGCGAAACTCCATCTCAAAAAAAAAAAAAAAAGAAAAGAAAAAAAAAAAATATATATATATAGTGTGTGTGTGTATTCAGAATTAAGACTATGTAAAATATTTTTCTCTCTAAATACTTTATTAAAACATCATTTATTTTCAGAAACAAACTGAAGTTATAAACACTGAAGGAAAAGTTGATATATGCTTAGTTAAGATTCTAAGTAAAACTGTCCTAAAATTTCTTTAGGAAGGCCTAGCTACTGACAAAACAATCAAAAAGAAAGTGAAAAATTAGTCACTTAAACAATAGTTTGAAAGACTATTTGGCAAAAATGGAAACATTTATGATATAAATTAATATTAAAATGCAGCATAGAAAATGATACATATACAACTGTAAAAATATTGAAATGCAGACTAATACTAAAAAGGAATGTATACATTTAGAAGATAGAGTTATGGGACTATAGACTATCTTTGTGTTTTAAAACAGATCTTTTCCAGTTATTTTTTTCTATAATTTGAAATAATAAATCAAGACAAATAGGTTGATAATTTTAATCATCATGTTGGAAAATGGACAAAGGATCTAAAGGGACTTAGAGTCTAGTCCCTAGATTGAGAAAACAAAGCTGTCTGTTATGGTTATGTGGTTTGCATACCACTGCTCCCAAGGCTGCACCCAGGACAGACATCACTAATCAAACTCGACCACCTTTCCTTATCTTCACAGAATTCCCAGGAGCTACTATCCATATCTCACAATCTTCTCACAAGATGAAATCCCTGTGGCATCCACAGCCAATATATAGCTCTCTGTAGCAGATACTGGGGAGAATCTCTGATTAAAAAAAACAAAACAAAACAAAAAAAAACAATAAAAGCAGCAGATACCAAAATCCCATTTATCTCTGAATCCAGAGCTTCATTTCCCTTAGACCAAGACTTGTCTTAAATAGATTTGTCAAATTCCTTTCTGGGCATAATTAAGCTAAGCAAAATTCTGGCAAGTACAAATCTAATTTAATTTTAAACATTTTGGAGAAAATATAATGAAAATACAGTAAGGACTGCTTGATAAATTCTATGTTTCATTTGCTTTGCCCATATAGCTTCCATTACTTCAGTGAACAATTTATTCAGGTAAAATATGCATATGCAGTTATCACTGACATGATATTTAAAAAGCATTTGAAAATTTCTTCCAATGTGTAAATATCTGCTAATGGACGTTGCTTCAATGTAGGGGTAAAAAAAAATCTTCTTTATTGTTGTTGTTGTTGCTGTGTGTGTTTAACCTTTAAAACTACCCTGATATATTTAACACTTTTTGTTCAAATACCTTGAGTTGATTTGTTTTGCCTGAGCTGAAAATCTCATCCAGGAGAACAGGAGGTGAAGGTTGCTTTGTGTGGTGGCCAGGACACATTTTTTTGCGGGGGAAAACAATGACTACATTCTGTCCTGATTATTGCTACCTGCACTCCTACTCCCCTTCCACTGTTCCCACAGGATCCCCTTGAACCATGTTCTTGCAATGTATCTGAATGTTCTGTCCAATGTTATTAAGCATAAAGGCAAGAATTACGGATGAGTGAAAAGACATGCCTGGGTGAAAATCCTTGGTGAAATTTTCTTTCTTACTATAGGAGGGAAATACTGCAGGGACCAAACGTAGACAGCATTCAACAACAGCAACTCTCTAAAACACAATTGTGCCTTCATACCAGTGGATTCGCTCTTCACAAGGCCTAATATGAGTGGTCACTCTTTGAGGTGCTGGATCGGCACTTACTCATTTTCATGGCTCATACTTGCTACCTCTATTGCCGGGTCTATGCCGCAGACCCTGGCTGATGGATGAAATTAGTACTCAGACACACGTATGCAGTGTAACAGCAGGTAGATGACTGCCTGGCTCTAGTGGTCTGAGAGCAGCCCCGAGAAGCTGCAGCTGCTTGCTTTTATTCAGTGCAGGCAGAATGCCAAAAACCTGGAGCCAACACAACCTGTAGGTAATTAACATTTATTGTTCCCCTTTCAGGTGTGCAGATGATCAAAGGTCAGTTCCTGGTCAGCATAAGTAAACAAGCCTGTTTAAGATAAATTCCCCCACATTCCCTTGTACCTACTCCTTGCCCTCTGCCTCAGGGTTATAGAACAGCTGCCTTCAGCTATTCTCCCCTGGGGCTCTGCAGACTCTTCCCACCTTTCAGAAGGTTTCTGTCCTTTCCCTGCAGTTTTTCCCACCACTCTGACCGATGCCCCACACACTATACTATCCGCCAAGAGCTTCTCACACAAATTTAATTGTTCTTCTCCTTCACCTCTTTGCCTTTTGGTGTTTGCCTCTGTTATAGCCCTTATCTCAATTCATAAATCACTAGTATGCAAATTCCTTGAAAGTAGGGAATGTATTTCAGTAATTGTTGCAATCCCAGCAGACTGCACAGTGCTTAGCACATAGTAGACATTCAATAAATTTTCATATATTGATTAAGGAATTACATTTATGGGTCATATATGAAAATTGGCAGAGCTCCCTTAATGGGATATAGGACCCAGGGTACATGGTGCAGTGTTCCTCCAAATGTTTATACTCAGGTGAAATCAGAACTATGGAGGGATAACAAGGGAAACTTTGAGTAATACATATTATTAAAGAAAAAATTATTCAAACACACACTTGACAAACTGGAGGTATGGGATAGAGAAGGAGGAAATGAAGATATGTGTGATAAATTCCTACAGTAGACTGGAAGTATATGTATGTGTGTAGATGTTTTTGTGTGAGCAAGTACCTGTAGGATTGGGGATAAAATGGAAACTTGAATATTATTCTATGAAACTTAGTTATAATTTCATGGACAATAAAAAGGTTGTGAAAAATTTGTAGCTAAAGAGTAATAAGCCCAGACTATACTTTAAACCACTGGTTCTTAAGTAGGGATGGTATTGCCTTCCTTGTCCCCTCACCCACACCTCAGGGACATTTGGCAATGTCTGAAGATATTTCTGGCTGTCACAAATGGGAGTGTTGGTGCTACTGGCATCTAGTAGGTAGAGGTCAACACGACTGCTAAATATTCTACAATGTACAGGGTAGGTTCCTTCCCATAAAGAATTTTCTAGCCCAAAACAGTATGTGCTGAGGTTGAGAAACCCAACTTTGGACCAACGTTTCACAGAAAAATATTCATAAACATTACTCCCTTGAAATGTAACTTGATAAACTGTTACATTTAGGCAAAAGTGAAAATGCTGTTTACAATTTATCATTTTTTTTCATTCAAACTATATTTACGAAGCAACTTCTATTTGATGGACACTGTGTGCCCATTCCAGAAATATAACAAAAAAGGCAAATAAAATTATTACCACATGTAAATTTTATATGGAATTTTCATAAAGTAAATTAACATGCTATAGGCTGCGAAAAGTCCTGTCATAAAGAGATATATTTTAGTTTGTTTAACCCAGCATTTCCTAATAACATTTCATCACAATTCCCATTAAAAAATTTCTTTTATTAACATTCCTCAAAATTGTCAGTATTTAAAACACAGTTCAAGGGACATAGCTTTAAGCCTATGAAGTGGGTATCAGTATACAAGATCACTGGACAGCCTGAATCCAGAATGCAGAGAGGTAAGCGAGGGCATTGTAATAGTTATAAAAAATAATAGCAATGGCCTACAAATAGAACATTAGTGGTGGAAATGTTGAGGAGAAGATGGATAGAAAAGATACTTCAGAAGTAGAAGCAACAGAATTAAATGGCTAGGTGGCAAGGCAGAAATGAATAAAAGATGATTCTGAATATTTTAGCCTGGAACTTTAAGTCCTGTTTTCAACATTTTGAGATAAAAAATACACAGACAGTGAAAAATATAGGCTTGGAGATTAGGAATAGAGATTTGGAAAATATTTATAATGTAATCCTTGGCTTTAAATTTGATTTTCCAGGGTGAATGGGTAGAGGATTAGATATAAGACAAGCAAGATCAGAACATTAAGGGGCGCTGACATTTAGAGCGTGGGTGAATAAAAAGTCGCTGAAACAGTGAAGAAACAGACAAAGGAAGAAATCTAGGGAATGCTGTGCTGTAGTAAAGGATCTTGGTAGATTCCTTTCTCTTTGTTCATGAATGATGACATGGCAGAAGTAAGGCTTATATCTCTGACTTTGTTTCAACTGCATGAAGTGGCTCCTCCCTGGACCCTGCTGTTGTGTACTACTGTTCTTATAGTGTACCATTCAGTATTACACGGTTCTTCACTATAGTGTTTATCTATGTCTTTTTTTCCCCAGATTTTCAATATTTATGTTTAAAATAGTTTTTCAATATATTTTAAATGACAAATCATAGTTGTATATACATTTATGGTGTACATTGTGATGTTCTATGTATACAATGTAGAATGGCTAAATTGGGCTAATAAACTTATGTATTACCTCATATTCTTATGTTTATATTATGGTAAGAACACTTAAAATCTACACTCTTAGAAGCTGTCAATAATAAAATACATTATTATTAACTATAGTAACCATGTTTTACAACAGATCTCTTGAATTTCTCTTATCTAACTGAAATTTTGTACACTTGGACTAACATTTCCCCGGTCTCTTCCCCAATGCGTGCACCCCACTTCCCCAGTGGCTAGTAACCATCATCCTACTATTTGCTTCTATGATATCAAATGTTTAGATTCTACATATCAATGAGATCATGCAGTATTTGTCTTTCTGTGCCTGGCTTATTTCACTTAGCGTAATGTCCTCCAGGTTTATCTATGTTGTCTCAAATGACAAGATTTCCTTCCTTATTGTAAGGCTGAATATTATTCTGTTGTGTACACACACCACTTTTTGAAATCTATTCATCTGTTGATGGACACTTAGGATTTAAATTTGATTTTCAAGGGAAACTGGGTAGAAAAATTGGAGACAAAACAAAAACGATCAGAAAATTAAGGGGCCTTGACATTTAGGGTATGTACATCTTGTTCTTTTTTTCTCAATATGCATTACCCTGCATCTTTCTTAAGCCTGGTACGAACACATACCCAGGCAGTTAGAGAAGTTTTCTACCAACTGCACTACTCTTTTCTTTGACATTCTCGTTTTATTCCATTTTCACTTTCCACAATTTTGAACCTTCAGTCTTCCTCGAGCTAGTTCAGTTTTAAGGGGACTACATCTGGCTTGTCAGCTTAACGCATGTTCTGTTATCACAGTTTAAGTATGGAAGAAAATATTAAGCGCAACTGTTAACTTTGGCCTGTGTTGAAAGGTTATCATTTTCTTGGCCTAGCTGGAGCACTCAAAGCTGTTCATTTGAATTTTAAAACATTCTTGATAGTTGTCTTCACTGAATAAGCCCTGAGTCACACCCAGTCTTCTTGTAAATTAGATTGTTGGTGTTGCTGTTGTTTTTAAAATATCAAATCAAAATTTATATTTGACCATCTATGAGCCCCATTGATCTCATCTGTAAAATGCAGATTGTGGTTTGATACAAATACCTACTTCCAAGAGTTATAGAGAAAATCAAACAAAATTATATATGAGAGAGGGCTTTACAAATAGAAAAGTATTGTAAAGCCTTACTTGTTGATAGCATCTTCATTATCATCATCATTTTACATTTATCTTAACTGTGATCAAGTTCATGTTAATTCTAGTCACATAAGTGAAAATGGAACTTCAGAAAGTTCACCCAGTACATAGTGTACACTCAAGATCTAGCAAATCTGATTCCTGAGATTACACCAGTACTTCACTCTATTAGGGAAAAAAAAAAAATCTGTAATATAGGTCCTGATATGCTCCTCTATAGCCAGGGACTGCTAGTTGGCTACAAACTAGTCTTAGCCTCCTAGGACATTTAAAGGGAATGTTTTTTTCCTTTCAATCAATGAATTTGTTATTTTCTCAAGTACAAAATAAGCTCATGCTTGCTTTTTACCTGCCCCACTGAAAAGCACAAATTTGGGAAATCAGAGACCAAGACTAACTAGAATTAAAAATGAGTCAGAATATTCTACCACATACTAGTTGAGTGAACCTAAACAAGTAACTTAATCTCTCTGTGCCTCAATTTTGTCATGACCATGAGCCTGATGACAACACTTACCTCAATAGGTCATTGAGAAGATCAAAATGATTATCAGGCATATGGCACAATTTCTGCCTAATGTTGACATTTTATATTTGGTAATAGCAATATCATTATTTTAAAAAATGAATTTGATTCCAGAACCTCCTCTGCTGTTGCCTGCTCAAACAAAATACCAAAATTAAATTTTATTGTCATGTCTGCCACATTACCTTTCCATTTCTTCCTACTACTTAGCAATTCCTTCCAGGCCGAGTCTCTGTCGTTATACACTAGACTTGAGCTTACACATAGATACACACATATTAAGCTCATGTTGGGCCCAGAGCACATTTCCCTATCTTGTTAGTAAGCATAACAAACTTCCTGGGTAAAGGAGTCCAAACTTTTGATCTATAGTATATAACTTTTCCAAATGATTTGCTTCTCCCACACACAGTTACATTATTCCTTTGCTCTATGCTTTCAGAAATTTATTGGTACCTATCAATGGAAAGGGCATATTTTACAAAATGACACATGCCAAGAGCAACTTTAATTTTGGAAAGAGATGTACTTTTTGCCCGTAACATTGTGCTATCACAAAGGACAAGTTGCAAATACTTTTATTTAGGAATCATCACTGTAAGAACTAGAAGCATGCTTCAGAAATATTTGCCACTGGAAACTGCAGTGGTGTGTCTAAGAGCAGAATTTCTATGTGTTTTAAATTCTCCCTTGAGGCTGGACAGAAAGAAAAATTATTCATAAACTTAGTTTTTATACAAAGGGATATACAGTAAAAACATTGAATGCACTTTACAGAAATGTTAAAATGCTAAATTTTAAAAAGCAACAATGGATAAACTATAGAAACACAGCATTGCAAGATAGTGAATCATGCAATTCATATGTGTTTTTTCAAAATAAAAAAGAATTTAAGACTATAAAATGACATTTCTGTATTCTACAGGCATTCTATGAATTATTAGTGGTAAGCTTAGTACTAAAATCAAGTTTATTTCTCAATTTAATGAATCGGTCACCTGCTATATATTGTTGTCATTTTATAACTCAGGGAAAATGGCTTTTAAGATTTGCATATTCAAATAGTTAGACAAGCTGTGATATAGTAATGCAATAGATGAATACCTAACTCTTAAATGACAAGAAGGTGAATAGTAGATTACATGGAAATTTCTATACAAAATAGTAGCCACTGATGGAATAAAAATACAACATAATCCAGAAACACTATGTACACCATTCAAAAAACATGTTTTCACATTTATAAAGATTGGAAGATTATGCTGGAAAAGTTTTGCATTTGACATTTTCAATTCTTTTGATAGATCACTGCTTTGCTGCACAATTTATAAATGAAAACTAATTTGTCATCTTTGAAGAAAATTATAAAATCACAGGATTAAAAAGTAATTTTAAGATTATCTAGTCAAATATCCCTTTACCCACTTCAAACCATAAACAATCAGCTTTAGTATCCCACGTGTCACAGGTGATACAGGAACATAAGCACTAATCTGCACTATATTAAAAAATAAATTCTGACCACTATAATGGGAGAACGAATCTTGATGTGCTGCTCTCAAGAAAATGTAGACATGGGTCCATTTGAAAGGAAATAGAAAAGAAAAAGATCTATAAAATCATTGGGATTGAGTGACTGCAAGAATTTAGTAAAAAGATCAAAGAAGAGATAACAGATGCATCTGACTAAATAATGACTAAGAAGCTGCTGTGCAAACTGTCTACAGGAATTAAAATTCTAATAAGATTTGGAAATTATAGAGGCAATTTGAATGGTATAATGAAAAATAATGGGATTAAATTGGGAAAGGTACATTGGTACCTGAAATAGAAAATAAGCCCCCAATTTTCAATGGATGAACTATATCAGAATGGGAAGTAATATTAGGGAGGCAGTAAGATCCTTTAATGCCCAGCACGCGTCCACATGATATAGTTCAAAGCTCCAGAAAACAGAAGCACTGTACAGTTTGAAAGGGGACAAAATGACCTGGGACATGTTTGATCTTCCTTTTCTCTAATTCCTTCTCTTGAGTAACCCATTTGTCTAAAGTGACCACAGCTATCTTTTCATTTTGTCTTTCATTGCCTAACCTATCTGGAAAAAGCAGATATCCCTTTCTGACTCTGTGAACAAACAAGCAAACAAAACTCAGAAGAGTCAAATACATCGTAGAAATCAGAAGGTAATTTAACTAAAGCTTTTCTTTTACCTACAGCATGGTATTCTTCCTTAAATTGCTAATAATCTTTCTATTTCTCATGTATAAGATGAATATACGAATTCTTCACCATCAAAGCTCAATGAGTATAATAGTCACCCTATTTACTGAATGCACTAAAATGCTTTTAAGATATGCCAGGGGTTTGCTAGTTACCTACCACCGAATTCATTCTCCCCTTTTTCCTAACAGGAAAGAATCTCTTGTAACTAGAGTTGGCCAATGGCATTTAGATAAAGTTGTTGAGTGGTGTTTCTGAGAACTAACTTAATAGGGAAGTATTTCTGTCTGCCTATTCCCCTATTGCAGTGTTTCAGCCTAGAATGTCAGTATGATAGCTAGAACTGCAGAAGCCATTTGGGAACAGGAAATTTGCACAGTTGATGTAATACCAGTAATCAAGTATCTTAACATTGCTCATAATATGAAAAAAAAAAAAACTTTTGCATGTTTTAGTCATTGCAATCAGTACTGTCACCGGCAACCAAACACAATTCCCAACGACTATACTAGGACTACTACATAGTTATCATCCTGGGGTTTATTCTCATTATAATCATTAGTTTTACACTTCTTATGTCCAATATCTTCTTTTTTCATTTTATTGTGGCATAATCACAAATAATTTTTCATCTTAAAAAATAATTTATGACCAAGACCTTGCATTTTATCTTTTATTTTTCTTAGTCTTATTTGTCACTTTGGCTGGTATTGACGGCATTAAGATGATTATTTTGAGTTTTTCATTAGGCTGTTTAGAGATCTCCATTTCTCTAGGGTCAGTTACTGAAAATATTTTCATTTCTTTGGTGGTGTCATGTTTCACTGATTGTTTGTGATACTTGTAGCCTTGCATTGGTGTCTGCACATTTGAAAAAACATGCACCACTTCCAATATTTAAAAAATTGGCTTCAGCAGATAAAGTCTTTCAATAGTCAACCCGGTCAGAGATTCTGGGTGGGATAGCTGGCAAGATCAGGGAAGGCAGGACCAGTGCCAGGCTCTGCATGTAGGCAGGCCTGGTGCTAGGCTGAGAATTGACTTCCAAATCCAAAATCATTGTCCTCAAAACGTTAAGATATTGTTCCATTGTCTTCTACAATCCTATGTCACTGTCTGGAAGACTTATGCTAAATGTTTTATTATTTCTTTGTAGATTTTTTACTGTTTGGTTTTGTCTCACTTTTTTTTTAGATACCTCTTGATCATCTCTAAATTCTTGGTATAATGACATCTTATGAGAATTTGCCTAGGATTTTATGTCGCTTCATCCATCATGCTCAGAACTCAATGGGCCCTTTCAATCTGTGAAGTTTTATCTTTCTTCAACACTGGAATATATTTTTTTAATTTCTTTGCTACTTTCTATCCTTCCCCAGCTTCTCTGTTCTTTCCGGAGCTCCCAATTAGATGACTGTTGGTTCTTATAGATTGGTTTTTAATGTCTTTTACGTTTCCTATAATATATTCTACTTCATTTCCTGTTTTCTCTATGTTCTGAAAGATTTTGTCAAATCTTTCTCCAACTTTTATATGGAATTTAAAAAATTTTTGATAATGTATTTTTAATTGTTCTGAGCTGTTCCTTGCCTCTGATTTTTCTTTTAACCTACATGCCTACTCCTATTTTATGAATGCATGTCTTATCAAATCTTTCTGAAAAAACAAACCAGACGTTTTTGAGTTCTCTTCTCTTCCCTGAAAAATATGTGCTTCTTATAGAATCAGATGTTTTCTTTATCTTGGTCCCTCTCATCTGTTAGTTTTCTAAATTTCTTGATGATTGTTGGTTTTCTGCTTATAGAGTTTTGAAAGACTTGTTGGTTAATTCAGATGATAAAAATCCCCTTCGTTGTCTGCAGTCACTATTATGAAAGAGTGAACTAATGCCCATTTCTATTCATGTGGGCAGACTAATTCTCCGGCAGGCAGGGAAGAGTAGATTAAACAAGGTGGTTGTTTCTACTTTCACCAACTTCCCACTGAGAACTCCAGCCCCTGCTAGAGATAACTGATTAATGTCTTTGAAGAGTATTTATCCAGGTTTACTTGAGGGCAAATGTCATTACTTAGAGAAGGAGCAAGGCAGTGAGAAGAGGGGTGATAACATGAAAGGCAGACCAAACTACACATCTTTTTGCAAGCAGCTCTTCAGTCGAAACCCTTGACTTATATTCCTCTTCTCACTTCCATTGTCCGTTACTACTGATTCTGGAGAACTGCACTGGGAAGAGGAGTCCCCTCATCCACTGGTACCTTCTTTCGTGAATGCTCTAAGCCAAAGTTCACTCTACTCAGTATATGTGCTGCCGAAGCAAGCACGAAGTTCACTCTACTCAGAATTAGCTGTCAATATGATCCCCTGGCCTTCTCATTCTCCCAAAATTTAACACCATCTTTGTTCACTAATTCCTCATTTCCATCTAAATGTCTACCATATTCTCATTGTCTTTCTTCAATTCTTTTTTATTTTTATTTTTTTCCCATAAATTATTGGGGTGCAAGTGGTATTTGGTTACCTAAGTAAGTTCTTTAGTGGTGATTTGCGAGATTTTGGTGCACCCATCACCCAAGCAGTGTACACTGCACCAAATTTATTCCTTTTATTCCTCGCCCCCCTCTCACTCTTCCACCCAAGTCCCAAAAGTCCATTGTATCATTGTTAAGCCTATGCATCCTTATAGCTTAGCTCCCACATATCAGTGAGAACATACAATATTTGGTTTTCCATTCCTGAGTTACTTCACTTGGAATAATAGTCCCCAGTCTCACCCAGGTCACTGCAAATACTGTTAATTTATTCCTTTTTATGGCTGAGTAGTATTCCATTGTGTGGGTGTGTATATATATATATTCGTTTTTGACCCAATGCTCTTTTAGGAGCAGGTTACTTAATTTCCATGTATTTGCATGGTTTGGAAGGTTCCTTTTGGAGTTAATTTCCAGTTTTATTTCACTGTGGTCTGAGAGAGTGCTTGATATAATTTCAATTTTCTTAAATTTATTGAGGCTCATTTTATGGCCTATCATATGATCTATCTTGGAGAAAGTTCCTTGTACTGCTTAATAGAATGTGTATTCTGCAGTTGTTGGATGAAATGTTCTGTAAATATCTGTTGAGTCCATTTGTTCCAAGGTATAGTTTAAATCCATTGTTTCTTTGTTGACTTTCTGTCTTGATGACATCTCTATTGCTCTCAGTAAAGTACTGAAGTCCCTCACTATTATTGTGTTGCTGTCTGTCTCATTTCTTGAGTCTATTAGTAATTGTTTCATAAATTAGGGAGCTCCGGTGTTAGGTGCATATATGTTTAGAATTATGATATTCTCCTATTGGACAAGGCCTTCTACCATTATATAATATCCCTCTGTGTCTCTTTTAACTGCTGTTGCTTTAAAGTTTGTTTTGTCTGATATAAGAATAGCTACACCTACTCACTTTTGGTGTCCATTTGCATGAAATGACTTTTTCCACCCCTTTACTTTAAGTTTATGTGAGTTCTTATGTGTTAGGTGAGTCTCCTGAAGGTGGCAGATAGTTGGTTGGTGAGTTTTTATACATTCTACAGTTCTGTATCTTTTAAGTGGAACATTTAAGTCATTTATATTCAATTTTAGTATTGAAATGTGAGGGACCATTGCATTCATTGCTCTCTTTATTGACTGTGTACTTTGGCTTTTTGGTTTTTGTTTTTGCCTTTTAACTTGTATTTTTGTTTTATAGGTCCTGTGTGATTTAAGCTTTAAAGAGGTTCTGTTTTGATGTGTTTCCAGGATTTGTTTCAAGATTTAGAGCTCCTTTTAGCAGTTCTTGTAGTGGTGGCTTGGTAGTGGCAAATTCTCTTAGCATTTGTTTGTCTGAAAAAGACTGTATCTTTCCTTCATACATGATACTTAGTTTTGCTGGATACAAAATTCTTGGCTGATAATTGTTTTGTTTGAGGAGGCTGAAGATAGGGCCCCAATCCCTTCTAGCTTATATGGTTTCTGCTGAGAAATCTGCTGTTAATCTGATAGCTTTCTCGTTATAGGTTACCTGGTGCTTCTGTCTCACAGCTCTCTTTCCTGTCTTAACTTTGGAAAACCTGATTACAATGTACCTAGGTGATGATCTTTTTGCAATGAATTTCCCAGGTGTTCTTTATGCTTCTCATATTTGGATGTCTAAGTATCTAGCAAGGCCAGGGAAATTTTTCTTGATTATTCCCCAAAATAAGTTTTCCAATACTGTAGAATTCTCTTCTTCCTCAGGAACACCAATTATTCTTAGGTTTAGTTGTTTAACACAGTGCCAGACTTCCTGGAGGCTTTGTTCATATTTTCTTCTTCTTTTTTGTTTGTCTGTTGAATTGGGTCAATTCAAAGACCTTGTCTTCAAGCTCTCTGAATTTCTTTCTTCTATTTGGTCAATTCTATTGCTGAGACTTTCCAGAGAATTTTGCATTTCTATAAGTGTGTCCAATGTTTCCCGAAATTTTTATTGCTTTTTCTTTAAGCTATCTATTTCCTTGAATATTTCTCCCTTCACTTCTTGTATCATTTTTTGGATTTCCTCGCATTGGGCTTCTCCTTTCTCTGGTGCCTCCCTGATTAACTTAATAAATAACCTCCTGAATTCTTTTTCAGGCAAATCAGGGATTTCTTCTTGGTTTGAATCCATTGGTGGTGAACTAGTGTGATTTTTTGGGGGGGTGTCAAAGAGCCTTGTTTTGTCATATTACCAGGGTTGGTTTTCTGGGTCCCTCTCATTTGGGTAGGCTCCGTCAGAGGGAAGGTCTAGGGCTAAAGGCTGTTGTTCAGATTCTTTTGTCCCATGGGGTGTTCCCTTCATGTAGTACTCTCCCCCTTTTCCTATGGATGTGGCTTCCTGTGAGCCAAACTGCAATGATTGTTGTCTCTCTTCTGGGTCTAGCCATCCAGCAAGTCTCCTGACTCCGGGCTGGCACTGGGGGTTGTCTGCACAGAGTCCTGTGATGTGAACTGTCTATGGGTCTCTCAGCCATGGATATCAGCACCTGTTCTGGTGGAGGTGGTGGGGGTGGGGAAGCAGGGAGGCGTGCAATGGACTCCGTGAGGGTTCTTAGCTTTGGTGATTTAATGCTCTACTTTTGTGCTGGTTGGCCTCCTGCCAGGAGGTGGTGCTTTCCAGAGAGCATCAGCTGTGGTAGTATGGAGAGGGACCGGCAATGTGTGGGGCCCTAAAACTCCTAAGATTATATGCCCTTTGCCTTCTGCTACTAGGGTGGGTAGGAAAGGACCATCTGGTGGGGACAGAACTAGATGTGTCTGAGCTCAAAGTCTGCTTGGGTGGGTCTTGCTGTGGCTGCTGTGGGCGTGAGGGGTGGGGTGGTGAGATTCCCAGGTCATTGGAGTTGTATACCTAGGAGGATTATGGCTGCCTCTGCTGAGTCATGCAGGTTGTCAGGGAAGTGGGGGAAAGCCTACAGTCACAGCCCTCACCCAGCTCCCATGCAGACTGAAGAGCCAGTCTCACTCCCACCATGCCCCTCCCTCCCCGCCAACACTCCCAAGCCTGTTTCCCGGCAGTGGGTAAGCCAAGCTTGAAAACTTGCCCAGGCTACCTGACTCCCACTTGCGAAAGAAAAGGGCTTGGTTCCCCAACCTGTGGAGTCTACACACTGGATTCACACTCTGCCCTGAGTTCTGGCCAGGAGGCTTCTCTCCCCATTCAAATTGTTAAGCGGTTCAGCTAGAGATTTCCTTCTCCCTATGGAGTTTTACCCCAGACTCCTCTGGCCACCCTCCGGATGGATGGATCCCTGTGGTGCCAGGCAGGAATGGCCTACTTGGGGGCCCAGTGAGCTCCAAGAGCCTTTCTGCTGCTACTTCTACCCCTGTATTTCACTTGGCTAACTAAGTTGGCTCAGCTCCCAGCAAGTTCAGAAACTTCTCTCACAAATAGACCTTCATTTTCTCCAGCGGGGGTGTGTGTTTGGGGAAGGAGGCTCTCCCTTTCCCACTTCTGCATTTGGGGCACTCACCGTATTTGAGATGTCTCCCAGGTCCTGCAGGAGCTGTCTGCTTCCTTCAAAGCGTCTATGGGTCCTTTCAGGACTGTTGGTTTTTTCTTGCAGTCAATCTGGAGCTAAAATTCACGATGTGAGCCTCCACACGCTGCTCTGTCCAGAGCTGCAGTCTAGTCCTGCCTCCCATCTGCCATGGTAATCCTCCCCTCTTTTATTTGTATTTAATGTCATTTCAATGGGTTTAGGAAAGGAGAGAGGAGGTAAAATGTCTTCCATCTCCAATAAGAAGGCACAGATATCTGCTTTTAAGAATATTTGTGGGGCTGGGCGTGGTGGCTCACGCCTGTAATCCCAGCACTTCGGGAGGCCAAGGTGGGTGAATCACGAGGTCAAGAGATGGAGACCATCCTGGCCAACATGGTGAAACTCCGTCTCTACTAAAAATACAAAAAAAAAAAATTAGCTGGGCATGGTGGTGGGCGCCTGTAGGCCCAGCTACTCGGGAGACTGAGGCAGGAGAATCGCTTGAACCTGGGAGGCAGAGCTTGCAGTGAGCCGAGATCACACCACTGCACTCCAGCCTGGCGACAGAGCAAGACTCCGTCTCAAAAAAAAAAAAAAAAGAATATTTGTATTATATTCATGTTTTATGCCCAATTACATAATCTATTGTCTTCAAATATATCAGAAAACATATTTAAATAATGAACCTAGTAATTCTATTAATCAAAATCAAGTGTTTCCTGAAGCTTTTTTATTGTAGTAGATTTTGGCAATATTTATTAATAATTTCAAGATTTGTATAAATCTTTGTATAATACAACACATTTTATGCTTTATTTCATATCATTTAAATGTTTCGTTCTCACAACAGCATTTTCAAATAGCTTTCCAAGAGTAACCAACACATTCTCTACATAGCAGCCTACGCGACATCTCTAAAATAGCAGGAAAAGCTAAAAATCAGACCAAACACTAAAATTCACAAGAGACATTTTTCCTAACATTTACCTCATTAACTCTAAAATTTATTGAAGAATAAATCAATCTGGAAGCTTCAGTGAATAGTTTTAAAAGCTGCTGCTCTGAGCACATTAATTGGTAAGGTTAAGCCTCTGAACTGAAATGTCAAAATGAAAAAAAGGAATTTTTAAGATGTAACAACTATATACTTGGCAAGAGAGGAAACAGGTTTTCCCTGTTTTCTGTTTCCAAAATTTAGGACTCTAGGAAGACAAAGGAGTGAAACTAGCCCATTTTTTTCACTCTTAAAATGATGAATTCTCTCAAATAACAGGTAGTTTTTATAAGTCCCTGGTTGAATTCAATGAAACAGCTGCCCCTGTGTATCTTTATGATGCCATGTATACCACCTTTACCTTGAGTGATGACTCCAAAACCTTGTATAGGTTAATGTTAGTTCTTGGCCTAAAAGCCAATTATCTGGAGAACGATGCTTTAACAATGTGCATATTAAGAAGGAAGCAAGACATTGAATCCCACAAATCATGAGAAATTATTGAAATATGACTTGACTTTAATGTGTTTGGTGGAGGAAGAAAGATGGATCTTTGAAAATGTCATAGTTCAGGTGAGTATAGTTAAATTCTTAGAATAGTAAGAGTGACTCTGAACCACTTGAAAGTGCAGGGAAATAGCTGAAATATGAACATCTCAAAGAGTAATTTCAAGAATATTTTAAGTGTGCTGCAAGCATTCTATTCTTATCTATCAAAGGAGGAGGGAACCTAAAAATTAGCGACACCAACCTTTACTGCAAGCAGTTTTAATCACTTTCATTTATATCTCAACATGATGTTTCCTCGCTCTGGGTGACAGTTTTAAAATTTTAACATATCAGTATACCTACAGGAAGAGGATATTGTTTTCAGTCATCTTATTTCCCATAAATGTGTAGCAATTACCAGTAAAGTGAATTAATTCATCATACTGTTATATTGAATTAAGTAGACACTATAGAAAAACTACAAATCTATTTCCATTATTGAAAGAAAATCTAAGGTTATCTGATATACTCCAGTCATATTCTATTTGGGGGTGTATTGAGTAATACCTAGTGAGACAGCAATTATTCTTGACGGTAATGACAAAAACACTTCCAATATTCATTAAAGATAACAAATGCATAGACATATATGGCATGTAGAAAATTTCCTGCTAAAAATTATTATAGCACCATAAATCACCCACCATGTAAATAAAGTTGATGGGGAAAAGCAAAGGAGAATTTAATCCACCTAGACAAGTACAGCTCTGTGAAAGAAGGCACTGAGGATTTAACATCAGATCTCAAGGAGAGAAAAGGGTTTCATTTCTAGAATCACATTCTCCATTCATTGAAGATGAAACAAAATGTAATGTTTTGAAATATAAAAAGAAATTTAGGTGAAATGTAATCCTGTTTTATTGTTATTTACTAAGCCCTTCGTAGAAAAGAGAAGGTGACCTATCTTCAAGGTGCTTTGTAGCACTTAAGTGCAGAAGAACAGAACAAAGCACCCTTGCTTGACACATTTAAATAACAAAAGTATGTGTGTTTGCCCAACATTAAAAAATTGTCAGGAGATTATACAGTTAGCTGGGCATAAAGAGATGGATGGAACTTACATTAGTGGAGAGAAAGAGAATGAGCAGTCCAGGTAGAATGAACATAAAACTATGAGAAAATGGAGAAATGTAGGATTGATGCCAATCTAAATGAGGATTTTTGTTGGGATGCAATGGAAGTCATGATATAGTAAAACTCTCTGTAATTTCTAAGGATATATATTGTGTATTAAGACATTTTCATACATATAATCTCATTTTATCTTCATACTATATTTATGCTTTCTTGTTAGATGAGGAGAGTATATTTCAGAAAAAAATAATTATGACTGAGGCCTCATGTTTAGGGGGTGACAAATTGAAGACTCCAACTTATTTTTCTCTAGTAAGATATGACACTATGAGGAAGGTTTTAAAGCTAGAGAGAGGAATAATTTAATCTGCATAATCATGGATGTCTTGTCACAAATACAAAATAATGATGTAGGGAAACAAAGATCTTACTGATATCAGTGATTGCATCTCATCTTTGCTGGAAATATTTAACCATTAGCCAGTTTTCTTAAATTAATTAACCTTTGGAAGCCATATTATTGGAAAATTAAACTTTTTGAAATCAAAACTTGTTATCTTTTTTCTGAAATCTTACCCTTCCAATTGAATTCAGTTCAACTTAATCCATAATACCACTATCTGGTTGGTCATTCAGATACACATAGTCACATTCTATATTCTCTTTCCTACACCCAACACACGTATTCCATTATGGAATATTCTTGTCTCTCATATAATAGGTCACACATATCTCTTTTTCTTCAGACCTGCAGCTATTATAATATTCTAGGCTCTCACAAATATTTTCTCAGAATATTAGACTGAAAGTAAAAAAAAAAAAAGAAGTAGGGAACAGTATATCTTTTCATCAGCTGTTACATAAACAGTGGGAAGAAAATCTTCCTTACAGAGTAATTAAATTGTCTAGTTGCTATTGTGTGTTATATTAAATAATAGTACCATTAATAATAGAATTCTACAACTCAATATGACTTTTAAATTTATAATGGAAAAATAATTATGGTGGTTTGGTCGTTAAGAAAACAGTTCTGTAGTCAAACAGACCTGTTATAAAGTTTTGACAGTGTCATTTACTAGCTATATGATCTTGGGCAAGTTACTTATCTTTTCTGAAACTCACCTTCATCGTGAATAAAATTAAAGTATTAATATTTTATATGGTGCACTTCTAGATAGATCAACTGAGATACTGAAGGTAAACCATCCACCCTAATATTAGGTTAACTTTTCACAGCAAACACAGAAGATGACTTCTTACAAAACTATGAAATAAGCTGCTTATTATCATCATATCAGTTTGAAAGAGGAAGAACGAAAAAGTTACAGATACGTAGTGTCCTCAAAAAACTCATTTTGAAAGCATTCAATAATGGGATAGAAGAAAAAGCAGTCTTTTGAGTAAAAACCCTAAGATGTCTGAATGGGAAAAAGGGTATAAATTGTAAAGAGCTGTATGTAAAGTAGCATTTATCATTTATTTGAGAATGGCAAACCTCATTGAACATTTACTGTATGTCAGGTATTGTTTTAAGTAATCTACATGCATATCTCATTCAATCCTCTCAGTAACCTTACAGGTTTGGGACTATTAGTTTCCCATTTTCTTTGGATGGGAAACTGAGGTTCAGAAACTTTGAGTAATTTTGGCCATCCCACTCATCTATTAAGTGATAGAGGTAGACTTGAACACAGGTTTCTCTTCACTATTAACGACTAACAAACAAAGAATGAAGTGTTTGTACACCAGTGTGTTGTCATATGCCTGAACACAAATCTTAAACACAGAATTGTTTTTTTCAAAATTTCCTCTGCTTGCTGTGACAAATAATCCAAATTAAGAATATACTAATAAACAGTGGCTATAAACATTTAGGAAGAAGCCCTTCAAAGAATTTGTTTATATCCAAAGTGCCCCGAAAAAAGTTGTTGATATCCAAAGTGTCTTCATACAAGAAGTCAAATATCCTTAAATCAAAAAATGTTGATCACTTAATTGTTTCTAAAAACATGGATAAAAGACAACCTAATAAGATGTTGGCCACATACTACACCTAGAAGCTTAGACAAACACACTCAAATAGAGAAACATTTGTTCAAATGTAATTGCTTCACCCAGAGGCAAAACCACGAATTAAGGTGTCATTTCTCATTCTCCAAAATGTTATTAATGTTTTCAAAGAGTTCTCCAAATGCAGGGTTCCACCCCTCATGCTAATGCTATAAATTTAGAGACCCACACAAAGATGTATACCCGTCATTGTCTCTAAATGCCCTTCATATTTTGACAAAGAACCTTAATTAAGATGTTACACCCATTCAATTATTCCCCTGCACTTGGAGAGTGAACATGGAATAAATAGTTGTTTTTTCTTCAAATTTCTGTCCTGTATGGCTTTCTTAAAAAGTTGTTTCTGTGTTAACTGTTCTTGCATGCTTGGACAAAAAGCCCAAAGATGAGGTGTTATTTACCAACAAAAGTCCCTGATAGCTTGGATAAATAATCTCATTTAAAGTAGTGTATGCCCTGTCAATGTCACTATGAATAATTACAAGTAAGGAAGACGGGGCAATTTGTTCCCTAATTGTACCTATACACATGACGTAACGTGAAAACTCTAAGTGAGGACTTAGTTTTCTCAGACTCTTTGTATAAATTGATAAAACAACCACAGATAAAACTGACATCGTCACCATGTTAGCTCAATGCTTAAATATGGAGCTGTGTGTTCCAATTATTTGGTCATAGTCTCCCTCAAACAGAAAGTAAGGCCATATTTTTCCCCAGAATATCCTTGCTTAAATGGTAAAACACCATAAATAAGGTAAATATTAGTAAATCTTTAGCCAGTTAATTCCAAATAGGGAGTTATCTGTTCACAATTAGTACTTACCAACATATAGCAACAATTTCAAATAAAGAAATGTTAGGCCAGGCACAGTGGCTCATGCCTGTAATTGCAGCACTTTGGAAGGCCGAGATGGGCTGATCACGAAGTCAGGAGTTCGAGACCAGCCTGACCAACATGGTGAAACCCTGTCTCTACTAAAAATACAAAAATTAGCCAGGCATGGTGGGGGGCACCTGTAATCCCATTTACTCAGGAGGCTGAGGCAGGAGAATCGCTTGAACCCGGGAGGCGGAGGTTGCAGTGAGCCGAGATCGTGCCACTGCACTCCAGCCTGGCAATAGAGCGAGACTCTGTCTCAAAAAAAAAAAAAAAGTTAGGCTGGGCGCGGTGGCTCATGCCTGTAACCCCAGCACTTTGGGAGGCCGAGGTGGGTAGATCACTTGAGGTCAGGAGTTCAAGACCAGCCTGGCCAACATGGTGAAACCTGGTATCTACTAAAAATACAAAAATTAGCCTGACATCATGGTGGGCGCCTGTAATAGCTACTTGGGAGGCTGAGGCAGGAGAATTGCTTGAACCTGGGAGGTGGAGGTTGCACAGTGAGCCGAGATTGCACCACTGCACTCCAGCCTAGGTGACAGAGCAAGACCCTGTCTCAAAAAAAAAAAAAAAAAGAAAAGAAAAGAAAAGAAATGTTAGTCCTCAAAATATCACCATACACATATCAAGGAGATGCTGAATGATAAATATTTTATTTCCTAAATTTACCTGAAAATACAGGCAAAGAGGCTTAAGAGTTGTTAGCTTCTGGATTGCTTATAAATTCTGGATTAGCAAAGCCCCAGTTAGGATTTATTCATTTCCAAATTGTCCCTTAACATGTAGAAATGTATTACCTCAAAAGGCTTTTCTTGAGAGGAAGAAGCCTTTAAACTGTTCTGTGTTCTAGGGCAATGAGCCCTAAGTAAGAAGCTATTTGTCCTGCAACATCTCTGTATTTAATAGAAAACTACCAAAGAATTCATTTTCTACAAAACAAGACAGTAAGTGCCAAAGTAAAAGACACATATATCCAAACTAACCCTATACTTGGTTGACAAATATCTACTTATTTGTTTTTCCTGTCCATATAAATTCTTCTTTGCTGTCCATAGTAAGATTTGTTTTTTTTTTTCTTCAGGCAAAAATGCCACTTTTCTTCACAGTTGCAAGGCAAACAAGGCATCTATAGAGCCTATTTCAATCCTCTGAAGTAAGATGGTTGCTCCAGAAACTAGGGGTGGATGATCAAGACAAAATTCGCCATCAGTAGATTGTCATTAGTATAAATCCTCCTTGCTTGATTAATATAATTTCTCTGAGTCTCTTGAGAAACAAAAGCCTGACTTTTCAGTTCCCCTCAAATTGATGTCATATAATCTACCTCTATAATATGTATGATAAATAAATCAATCTCTATACCTGAATCAAGAGTCATCCTGGTTAATATAACATCCACCATCAACTGATTTAAATTGCCTGCCTCCAAAACTCCCACTCCCATGAGCAAAGCAATTCCAAACTAAGAGAAATATGCATAATTTCTGTAAGATAATGTACAGGTGCAAGTAGATTGGAGGAAGGACAACATTCAAAGCAAAGTCCCTCCTAGGAAATAAGTGGAGGAAAATCCTACAAAAGAATACTAACACCCCCCAAATTCTGACGGGTAGGTACTGGGGCCAAATGTAAGATGAAGGACAGTCATTGCAGGATAAACCCTAAATCTATAAACATCTCAGAAAGGGTGCATTCACTGGTGTTGAGAAAAACGAACCACCAAAGCTCACACACATCTTAGAATCTGTATAAGTGGTATCATAAGTAAAGCTGGACACACTTTCATGGCTGTTCATTAACAGGTCAAAGTTTCAAGGGTATAAAGGTGTGAAAAAGGCTGAAATCAGATTAAATTAAGAAATTTTTTTAAGAAAAGGAAAATCATAATGTTGTATGGCTTCCTTTACTTTTGGTTACCTTTCCTATAAAATGCAAAGCCTGGTAACAAATTTTAGCTCTTTCACTCGCTAGTTCTGTGACTTGGGCAAGTAACTAAACTTTTCTATGCCTCAGTCTCTCCTCACCTGTAAAATTGGGATAATTGCAGTTCCTATGTCGTGGAGTTGCTATGAAAATTCAATAAATATTTAAAACCTTGCAGATATGGATGGAGAGAGACAGAGCAAAATAGCAGAATAGAAAACTCCATTCATCAACTCCCCACAAGGACACCAATTTAACAACTATCTACATGGAAAAAATAACTTCATAAGAACCAAAAATCAGGTGAGCCCTCATAATATCTGGTTTTATCTTTGTATTACTGAAAGAAGCACTGAAGAGATAGAAAACACAGTTTTGAATTGCTGATGCTACCCCTCCTTCACCCCTGGACAGCAGCAGCATGCTGGAGAGAGCATCTCTCGGTGCTGGGGGAGGGAGAGCACAGCAACTGTGAGGCACTGAACTCAGTACTGTCCTGTTAGAACAGAAAGGAAAACCAGACCAAATTCAGCTGATGCCCACCCAGGAGGTAGCATTTAAACCAGCCCTAGCCAGAGGTCAGTCACCAATCCCAACAGTCTTTACTTGAGGGCTATAGCATTCTGTGTCTCCAAGTAAATCTAAAATGCACTCTAGGTCATAAAGAATGCAACTCTTAGGCAAGTCTTAGTTCTGAACTGGGCCCAGAAACACTGGACTGGAGGGGAGGTGACATACTGAGACACCAACTGGGTTACACAAGGGAGTGCTGGCATCACCCCTCCACTAAACCTAAGCTGCATAGCTCATAGCTCTAAAAGAGACTCATTCCTTCCACTTTATGAAAGGAGAGGGAAGAGTGAGGATGACTTGGCCTTGCATCTTGGATACCAGCTCAGCCACAGCAGGATAGGGCACTGGTGAGAGTTATGAGTCCCTTATTCCAGGCCCTAGCTCCCAGATGACATTTTTAGGCACAACCTGGGCTAGAAGGGAATGCACTGCCTTGAAGGAAAGGACCTAGTCTTGGTGGCATTCATCACCTGCTAACTGAAGAGCCCTTAGGCCATGAATAACCAGCAGCTATACTCAGGTACCACATGGAGGTCTGATATGGTTTGGCTGTGTCCCCACCCAAATCTCAGCTTGAATTGTAGCTCCCATAATCCCCACATGTCATGGAAGGGACCTAGTGGGAGGTAATTGAATTATGGGAGCAGGTTTTCCCATGCTATTCTCATGATAGTGAATAAGTCTCATGAAATCTGATGGTTTTATAAAGGGCAGTTCCCCTGCACATGCTGTCTTGCCTTCTGCCATGTAAGACATGCCTTTACTCCTCCTTCACCTTCTACCATGATGGTGAGGCCTCCCCAGCCATGTGCAACTGTGAGTCCATTAAACCTTTTTTTTTTTTTAATTTATTTACAAACTACCCAGCCTCGGGTATTTCTTCATAGCAGTATGAAAATGGACTAATACAAGGTCCTTCTGTGAACCTCTGAGACTTGCTGGCTTCAGGTTAGACTTAGCATATTCCCAGCTATGGTGGCTATGGAATAAAACTCCTTCTGCTTACGAAAAACAGAGGGAAACGTAAAGGGGAGTTTATCTTACATCTTAGGTACCAGCATGGCCACAGGAGAGTAGAGCACCAAATGGGCCCTTGGAGCCCCTGATTCTAGTACTTGGCTCTTAGACAGCATTTCTGGACCTGCCCTGGACCAGAGGAGACCCCACTGTTCTGAAGATTGAGTCCCTGGCTTGGCAGCATTTACTACAAGCTGATTTAAGAGCCCTCGAGTGTTAAGGGAACATTGATGGTATTCCTAATAGATAATCTGTCACTAATCCCTGTGGCCTGAAGTGGCACTGGCTATGGGATGAGGTTCCTCTGCCTTCAGAAAGGGGAGGGAAGAGTATGAAGAACTTCATCTTGTGGTTTGAGCGCAAAGTCAGCCACAGTACAATAGAACACCAGGTAGTCTCTGACTCCCAGATGGCACCTCTAGACCCACCTGGGGCCTGAGGCAACTTGCTATCCTGAAGGGAAGGACACAGGCCTCGCGTCTTTGCCACCTGTTGATTGTAGAGCCCCAGGGCCTTAAATGAACATAGGTCAAAGCCAGAGAGTTGTTGGAGCAGGCCTTGTGTGAGGCCCAGTGCTGTGCAGGCTTCAGGTCTGACCCAGGGCGCTCATACTGGCGGTGGCCACAAGGATGCTTGTGCCACTCCACTCCCAGCTTAGGTGGCTCAGAACAGAGAAAGTGACTCTGTTTGTTTGTGAGACAGTAAGGGACAAAAACAAAAGTCTCTGCCTCGTAATCCAGAGAATTATTGATTTGTCCAAGACCTTCAAGGTGGTACCTCTATGACTCTGCAAGGACCACAGTATTACTGATCTTGGGATGCCCCTAAATAAGACAAAGCTTAGAACACAACACCTAAGTCTTTGCAAATATCTGGAAAACTTTCTCAAGAAGGACAGGTACAAACAAGCCCAGACAATGGAGACAAAAATAAATACATACCTCTTCAACGCCCAGACACCGAAGAACATCTACTAGTATTAACATCATCCAAGAAAACATGACCGCACTAAATGAACTAAACAAGCTATCAGGGACCAGTCCTGGAGAAACAGACATATGTGACCTTCTAGACAGAGAATTCAAAATAGCTGTGTTGAGGAAACTCAAATTCAAGATAACACAGAGAAGGAATTCAGAATTCTATCAGCTACATTTAACAAAGAGTTTAAAATAATTAAAATGAATCAGGGAGAAATTCTGGAGCTGGAAAAAAAGGAATTTGCATGCTAAAGAAAACATCAGAGTCCTTTAGTAACAGGATTTATCAAGCAATAGAAAGAAGTAGCGAGCTTGAAGACAGGCTGTTTTAAAATACACAGTCAAAGGAGACAAAAGAAAAAGACAAAAAAAAAAAAAAAAAGGAAAACAATGAAGCATGCCTACATGATCCAGAAAACAGCCTCAAAAGAGCAAATCTAAGAGTCATTGCCCTTAAAGTGGAGGTAATAAGACAGCCAAGTGTAAAGGGGTTCCCAGAAAAACTCCAACCTGCCTGTGCACTGAGAGTGCACACTAGGGTGGAGCCACAGAAGTTCTCACAATTTGCACGTGGGGAGAGGCCTGGCCCCTCCTCTTCCTGGGTGGAACCTAGAATTCAATCTGCAAGGTGGGAAGCACATACTAGCAGGACTCTCACTCTGCTGAGGATCCCTGTTTTCCCTCTTTTTTCTTTTTGCCCAGTAAATTCCATTTTTCTCACCTTTCAAAGTGTCTGCGAGCCTAATATTTCATGGCTTTGTGACAAGGATCCTGTCTTTAGCTGAGCTAAGGAGAAAGTCCTACAACAGTAGAGAAAAATATGAGAAAGTTTATTCAAAGGAATAATAACAGAGAACTTCCCAAACCTAGAAAAAGATATCAATATCCAAGTATAAGAAGGTTGTAGAACACCAAGCAGAAATAACCCAAAGAAGGCTATCTCAAGACATTTAATAATCAAACTCTCAAACCTGAAGGATAAAGAACGGATTCTGAAAGCAGCAAGAGAAAAGAAACAAGTAACATACGATGGAGCTCCAATACATCTGACAGCAGGCTTTTCAGCAGATATCTTACAGGCCAGGAAAGAGTGGCATGACATATTTAAAGTGCTGAAGGCAAACAACATTTACCTACAATAGTATGTCTGGCAAAAACTGGAGAGCATTATATTATGTGAAATAAGCCAGGCACAGAAGGACAAACATCACATGTTCTCACTTATTTGTGGAATCCAAAAATCCAAACAATCAAACTCCTGGAGATAGAGAGTACTAGGATGATTACCAGAGGCTAGAATGGGTAGTGGTCGGGGAGGATGTGGGGGAAAATGCAGATATTAATAGGTACAAAAAATAGTTAGAAGAATGAATAAGACCTAGTATTTGATAGCACAACAGGGTGACTATAGTCAAGAATAACTTAATTGTACATTTTTAAATAGCTGAAAGAGTACAACTGGATAGTTTGTAATACACAGAGTAAGTGTTTGAGGGGATGGATACCCCATTATTCATAATGTACATATTTCACATTGTATGCCTATATCAAAACATCTCATGTACCCCATAAATATATAGACTTACTATGCATCCACAACAAATACAAATAAAAAAATAAAATTCTTGCAGACATGAAGGGGCTTAGTACATATTAATTTAATAATGATTATGTCTTAATGCTTATTACTGCCTATTGAATATCCAGGGAAAGCAAATCATATGAAGCTAACAAATTTGAAAAACTCAGTTTCAAGAAGAATGTATTTTCAAAAGGCCTACCCTCACTTATAGTTTCAGAGGTTTCTCCATACCCTGGAAATTTGTGTTTAACTGCCATTCTTAAACAGTAGTCCTCATTCTTTCATTCTCTTCCTGGTGTTCTGGCAGCATACTTATTTTTAATCCTTGAGCCCACTACCCCTTTACTTATGTCTTTATGCCATAAAGCATTTAAAGCAACATGAACGTTGCTTTAATTTTATGAATTAAGATGTTCGTAGCTGCAACAAAGGAAACCTAACTCATTTTTAAAAGGTTTCTTCTCACAGTCAAGAAGACCCCAGGTAATGAGATTCCACATTGCTTAATTCAGCAAATTCACATCATACATGCCCTGATATTTTAAATATTCTGCTGTCCCATCCTTAACTTGCCAGCTTGTCCTTAATTTAGTCTCCTTAAACTGCAGGATAGATGCTGTGATTCCAAGTGTCTCATGTGGACGTGACAACATACAATGGAAGAAGATAAACTATATCTCTTTTTAACAGTGGGTGAAATTTTCCCAGAAGCCCTCCCTCTCAGGGGATATTTCTTCAATTCTCATCTGCTATAATTGGATAAAATATTTCTGCCTAGATAAATTCCTGGCAAGGAGAATGGGACTGCCATAATTGACTTAATCCAAATATAGATTATCTTCTGAAGCGGAGAATGGTTTCCTCTGCCCTTTTTATGAAGCATGTGGTCACATGGAGGAAGTTGGCAAATTGAAAAAAATATATATTGGGAGAAAACACCTGAAAATTACATATCTGATAAAGGATATGCAACCAGAATCCATAGAGAACTCTCAAAACTCGATAATAAGAAAATAGAAAATGCAAATTTTAAAATGGACATATGATTTTTATAGATACTTCACCAAAGAAGGCACACAAGTGGCTAATAAGCATAGAAAAACCTCAAACATCATTATTCATCAAGAAAATGCACATAAAAACCACAATAAGATACCCCTGCACATCTATAAGAATGGAAATTTTTGGTAAAACTGTCTGCAACAAGGTTGGAGAAGATATAAAGCATCTGAACTCTCTTATATAATGCTAGAAGAAAACAGAAAATGGCACAATTATTTTAGAAAAGTTTGGCAACCTTGTTAAAAGCTAAACATAAACCAACTGTATTATCCATACTCAGTGTTTACCCAGGAAAAAAGAAAACATACTCCACACAAAAACTTGCACAGGATCCACAGCAGCTCCATTTGTAAATCCCAACTGGAAGCCCCTCAAATGTCCATCAATAGATGAATATGTAAATAAAGTGTGGTGCACTCATACAAGGGGATACTACTAAGCCATAAACACAAATGAACGGTTGATATATGCAAAAAAATGGATAAATTTCAAAATGATCATGCTAAGGAAAGAAGACACAAGGCTACAAACTGATCCCATTTATATAAAATTCTGCAATCTATGCTGACAGAAAGATCAGTGCCTGCCTGGTAACAGGAGCTAGGGAATGTGAAAGGGGCAAGAAAGGAAAAAAGGTAAGGATTACAAGGAGCATAGAGAAATTTTGTGGGGTGATGGATATATTTAGTTTCTTGATTGTGGTAATGGTCTTATGAGTATATATACAAATTAAAATGTATCACATTTTATAATTTAAATAGGTAGTTATTTGTATGATAATTCTTCCTTTGTCAAACTGTCAAAAAAGAAATACAGGTAAATATTCAACTCATGAAGGACTTTCTAAACAAGATATTAAAGAAGATAAATCATAAGAGACATAACCAATAAAATGGAATACATGAAGTTAATACCCATCACTCATTATAAAACACATAGACAAAATTAATATAGTACATAAATCCCAAACTAGAAAACTGTTTACAACATATACACTGAAATTATAATATTCCTAATAAATAACCATTACAAATCAGATTTGATTTTTAAGGAAATAGATACACAATAGAAAAATTCAAAAGAAAATAGGAAATGAGCAAGCAATTCACAAAAGAATAAATAATGATGACAATACATGTTTTAAAAATGTTCAAATTCAGTAGTAATCCAGAAAATGCAATTAAATAATTTTCTTCTGTAAGACTGACAGATGTAAAAAAGAATGATAATGCACATTCTGTTAGACTTATTTTTTTCAATTTCTTTAATTGTTGAGTATCACATAGATTTGAAAAATCACAATGTGTTATTGACATGAAATGGTAATCAGGACAATTGTTAAGTAGAAAATAAGGTTCCAAATCTACTCATGCACATATACACACACAAACATGTAAAAATGCAGAGGATAAAGAATAAAATTGCATTGATATTTGTATGTGCAGTTTCTATTTTCTTGTTTATGATATTTGTATTTTATTATTGTGAAAGTTCTGATCACACACACATTTACATATATATATTCACGTACAAATAAAGACTATTTTTAGCAAGGGAAATAAACTACTACAGAACATTTATGGAATGATGCTATTTTGAAATCAACAGCATCTGTAGAGATTAGAGATAAACAGAGAGGGAGGATGAGAAGGAGACTATGTCTGTATATTAACAAAATTCTTAACACTGCTATCTCCTTATAGTGGGATTCTAACTAATATGTTTGATTATCTATGTTTTCTATATTTTGTGTAATGATCATGGGTTACTTGTGTTATTAAAAGTAAAAGATCAAAATCACACGGTAAAAAAAAAATCTAGGCAAAGGACACAAACGGGCAATTCATTTAAAAAAGACATGTAGCTGACTGATCGATATTTGTAAAAATAATGAGTTATTTTATAACCAGTAAAATAAATGTCATTTAAAAAACAGTGGGTTGTTATCCAACTAGAAAATTGGCAGAGTATTTTTAATAACATTTTTGTTAGATATTAAATAAAAAATAAGCACATACACATTGTTAGTGGAGATATAAATGAGTACTTCCTTTCTGGAAGGCAACACTGCAGTAAGTGTATCAAAATACTTTTGCTCACTGGCTGTGAACTTCTAGTTCAAGGAATTCATCATAAATAAATAATTAAGCAAGTTAACAAAGATACAACTACAGTGCCATTTAATGCATTTTTTAATTAAATCAAAATAGTACAGACAACTTTGTAGCCTACATTATTTGTGTCTGTTCAGCCCTCATACTTCCTTTGGGAAGCTGTTTATTTTCCCTTCTTTGAGGAGCTATAATGATACATCTTCCCTGTCTTGGCCATAGGGACACTCACATGACCCAAGCTATTTTTTGATTTTCATTGCTTGAACCTCTTTATTTTCTGGACCTCTTTATGTGGGAGATCCCCAGATATCAGTCCTAATAACTTCTATTTTTACACTTACTCAGTTGAGAAGATTTATGAGGACTGTGAAGTTGAAACAGACTGAGTAAAGGAAGATATCTAGAAGATGAAGTCAAGAGAGGTAGCTGGGAGACCAGATCAATGGGACCTTATTTTCAACCCCTCCAAGGGAAATCTGTTCTCTCAGTCTTCTCCATGTTAGTAAATGACAACTGCATTTTTCCAATTGGTAGGGCCAAAAATCTTATGACCAGTCTTTGCTCCTCTCTCTCTTTCACATCCCACATTAAAACTATGAGAAAATCTTGATTTTTGTCTTCCATAATCTGACCATTTCTCAACACTGCTTTTAACTTGGTCCAAGTAACCAAGGACTAGTGGAAGAAACTTTCTAATTAATCTCTTTGATTCTTTTTCAGCTTCTAACAGTTTGTTCTAAATCTCACTCAGAATAAAGCCCAAATTCCTTTCCGTAGTTTCTTCCTGATCTGGCTTTCTACCACCTCTCTGATCTCATCTCACACCATTCTTCCCACTCTCAGTTGGCTTGATTATGTTTTTGACTTGACTTTCTGGAGTATATTTTCCAAATAGCACATGCAGTAATTCTTTAAATCAAAAATCTGATTGTATTAACTTTTGGCTTGAAACATTTCAATGACTTCCAAACACATTTAAAACTAAATCCAAAGTCATTAATAAAGCCTGTAGGGCCCCATTGATCTGATTCCCCAGCTACCTTTCTGACCTCATTTCCCAGCTATCTTTCCTTACACTGTTCCAACTTCACTGACCTCCTTGCTGTTCCTCAAACATGTCAGTCTTATTTCCATTTCAGAGCCTTTGCACTTCCTATTTCCCCTGTCTGAAATTATCTACCCTTGTAAGTCCACCTGGCTTATGCCATACTTTTTTTCAGTTTTTTGCTCAAATATTACCTAACTGAAGAAATCTTCCTTGACTATGTGAAGTAAAATAGCAGCCTCTGTCACTGCCTATTCCATTTACTCTGTTCCATTTTTCTAAAAAGCACTTATCACCATCAGACTTAGCAAATATTTTATTTATTTATCTTTTTATATCCTCTCCTATTTGACTACTAAAATGTAAACTCCTAAACGAAAAGACATTAAGGGTTGTGTTCATTCCTAGAGTACTGACTGTTATAAGTATTCCATATTTATTTAAAAAATATATGAATGTCTCCATTTTTATTATAAATATAGATATAAGTATGAATAGATCATATGGCTAGAAGGGGGAAGTATATATATATATTAAGATATTAAAATGTGATTATCTCTGTATGGTAGAATTGTGGGTAATTTTTATTTTCTAATTTTTCTTATTTATAGTTTCTAAGTTGGCTACACCAAATGCACTATGTTGGAAAGAAAAGGAATCATTAAATTATAATTATGAAAGAAACACTACTGAGTCATACAAATAGCTTGAATGTATTTCACCATGCTGCATTTTATAAAGAACAAAAGCCTTATTCTTATCACAACTGTTCTGATTTTTAACATATGTTGGAAAAGAGGAGACTGTCATCACTTCCTTTACCCAACTGCCAAAGAGAAACCAAAGCTGCACAGAAAAGTGGTAAAACACAGATGTATTTGGGAACTAACGCAATAGGGGGAAAGAGACTTCAATATAGAACTGGCATCTATTCCAAATATAGCACTGGACAAGTGGAGATTTATAGCCAAAAAGCAGGGTGACAATTAGTGAATAAAAAAATTCCTAAGAAGAAACATCAGGAGTTGGTGGGGCAGGTGCTGGCTAAAGAGATCTAATAGAATTTTTGGTAAAGACAGGCCAAGGTGATCAGATATCACATAGGGAATTATGGGGGATGAGGGTATATTTGATAAGATATTGAAAGTGATCAGATACTGAGGGTGGAGGATTCTCACTAAACCGATTTAGCAAGATTGTTGCTACAACTGAGTGATGCAGGTCAGACAAGCATGGATGCCAAGGTCTAATCCTAGAGGGTTTAGAGGAGCCTAACTAGAGTTTGTTAAAGAAGAGCACCTTTGTTACACCCCAATATTTAATTTTGTTCCCCCAAAAGGATGGGAGGAATAATGTGCAGTATAATGAGGATTCATGATTGTGGAATATATTAGTTTTATATTTCTGTGTAACAAATTACCACAAACTTAGAGGTATAAAAGAACATCCATGTATTATGTCACTATTTCCATGGGTTATGAGTTCAGAATATTTTAGCTGAGTTCTCTGCACACGACCTCACAAGGCTGAAATCTAATGTTAGCCATGTGTGTCCTCTGCAAGCTTGGTTGGGCGAATATCTGTTTCCAAGCTTCCTTAGGTTTTTTGTAGAATTAATTTCCATTGTAGTTGTAATATTGAGGTACTTTTTTTTTTTTTTTTGCTGGCAGTAGATTGAAGACCACCCTTAGCACTTAGGACACTCTCAAATCCTTGCTGTAGGATCTGTTCAAGAGGCTCTCACACTTCAAATCTCTCTCACTAAGAAGAGCCCTAAAGAACACTTGACCTTATATCAGGCCCACCTTGTAATCTTCTATCTTAAATCAAGTGATTTAGTACTTAAATTATATCTGTAAATTAAATTTACATCAGCACTTATGTTAGTGTCTAAGTAACTGTACGAAAGTATGTTAACAACAGGAGAAAGAATCTTGGGGGTCATCTCAAAATTGTTCTGACTATATGAAAGTTAGTAAAATTCGTAATTGCCTGATGCTTAGAAAGAGTGGCTCACAGTTAAGGTACTTCTCTTTTTGTTAGTTGTCGGGCACTCATTTTCTTTTAAATATTCATATTCTGAATGGGGACAATGTGGCCCCCATTGGTAAAAATTGGTTTTAGGGGGCAGGGGGAAAATCTTAGATATTACAATGATTTGGGCCTTCCAAAGCTCTACTTGACAAAATTTTATTCCTTAGAATTTAGTTTATCTTATTAAGAAAAATTTAAATTTAACTTAATATAATTCATTTATTGAATTAATTTTATTAGTTTATATAGAACTTGAATTTTTTTATATTTTTTTAGCTAGAGATATGTTTAATGTTTTAAGAAACTGCCAAACTATTTTCCAAAGTGGTTCTACCATTTCACACTCTTACCAACAATGCGTGAGAGTTCTGGTTGCTCCATATCCCCACCAACATTAATTCTTTTTACTGATTCTATTGGGCACTTAGTGGTATTTTGTTATTTTAACTTTTAATTTTTTAAATTTATTTTACTTTAAGTTCTGAGATACATGTGCAGAACATGCAGGTTTGTTACATAGGTATACATGTGCCAGTGTGATTTGCTGCACCCATCAACCCGTCATCTACATTAGGTATTTCTCCTAATGCTCTCCCTCCCTTTGCCCCCCACCCCCCGACAGGCCCTGGTGTGTGATGTACCCCTCCCTGTGCCCATATGTTCTCATTGCAGAATTTGAATTTTATTCAATTTCCCCTTGGAGGATAATAATAAAACAAGGTTGAGAAACACAGCTTTTATAAGACAACTCTGTATACTGATTTCTGGAACTGTCCCAGTTGCCTCTGTAGCTTTTCTACTTGCACAGTGAGAGAAAAGTCACTTGCTGCCAGGACTACTAAATGGATGTATCATGATAACTTAAATATCCTTAAACATTGGTCAATTAGTTTTTTCATCTGCTGAAAACTTCAATTATAACCTCAGCAGAAGAATTCAAGAACACAATATCAAAACTATTAGAAGCCAAAAGAATCTGATCTATCTTTGAATTGTCCATAAACTAAAAATAACTATTTCCTTAAGGTTTAAATAATAAATTGTTTCCCTGGGATACGAAAATTTAGGTGTTCTATACATATGTATCATGAGGTTTAAAATTGGTTATATCTTTTTCCCAGAGCAGTAATTTCAATTCTAGTAATTTATTCTAAGGGAAATTTTAGACGTACAAAGATTTATGTAGAAACATATTTATTTCAACCTCATTTATAATAGAAAAGTGTACAGAAATAGGGATATGGTTCAATATATTCTACATCCATACAATGATATATTAATCTAACATTAAAAATGGTGTTTACAGTGTTGTAGAAAGATATTGGGAAATGCTCAAGATATACTAAGAAAAAAAAAGAGATTGCAAAAATTCTAAGTACTGTTTTACCTTTATATTATTTTATATGCATATACATAGAAATGAAAACAGATATAGTAGTGTCATTATGAGTAATTTTATTTTATTTCATTTATTGTGTATATTTGTATTTTAAACATTTCTCATAATGTAAATGTATTGTTTTTATAATTAGTAAAAGAAACCTTCCAAAATATGAGGAGTCCTAAGTTAAGAAATGATATAACTTCAGCATTCTCATTAAACGAACACAGAGGCTCATATTATCCAGTTAAGCACTGTCTTCTGCTCTTTATTGCTGTCATCCACCAACTTCTACTTGTTAATTGAAACTTTTAATTCCTGGATTGCTGTCTACTTCATTCCAAGACTCATTATCATGTCAAGGAAATTCAGTATCCGAGACGATTACCCATGCAATAACTTGATTTCTCAGTTAATTTACGTTCTTAGCTCCAACAACATTTATCACCAAGCAACCACAGCCAGCCCCTCCCATGGTCACATTTTAGATCTTGTTACCTTTTGTAATTGTGTCACTTTTAAAACTATAATTTCCTGAATTTCCCTCTCTGACCTCCTATACTTCTGGAACACTTACTCTAGAACATAATATGATGACTCTTTTACCTTATTGAAACCTCCAGATTATTAACCTCTATAGACGTTTGGTCAAATCCCATTTGTAGGTGAAGCGAATACTGCCTCTCCGTATTTGCATTTAACTAGATAAATGTTATTGAAAAGTGTATACATATTTACTGATTGTTCCATATTTTATGTTTAAAATGTCAAAATGGTATTCAGCACTGCCTAGAAATCCTAGTGTGTTTCCTTACTAGGTTCACGTTGTCATTCCTTCAGACAACTATTACATACCTTCTTCTCAAATCACTCCCCCATACCCCACACTTAACTGATAACCTCACATCATTGAGAAAAGAGATGCCATCAGATATAAGGTCATCTATTAAATCTGATATATCCCTCTTCTTACCAACATTTAATTTACAGAACTACTTGCATCTAATTCATGGCCACTCACTTTCCATCAAGCTTATTTTCTGAGTTTCAGTTCCTTGTGTCTGCTCAGCTTTCCCCCATCTCCACTGCATCATCAACCCTACTTCTCACTGGATCATCATCATTAGGATACAAGAACATTTTAATAGCCCCTCTGTTACAATACATAATGACAGTTGTTCTTTAAGCCCCGAAGCTAACACAGTATTTCTCTGTTCCTTTCAATAGCCAAAAATCTGAACAGAGTTTTCCCATAAGTAAGGAAAGCCCTGACATTACCAGAGTTGGTTTAGACCAGGGGGTCTCAAAGTGCAGTCCAGTGCCCCCTGGAGGTCACTGAGCCCTTTGCATGAGATCTGATAGGTCAAAACTGTTTATAATATTAAGATTTTATACACATGTTCACTGTGTTGAAATTTGCACTGATGGTGCAAAAGCAGTTGTGGCAATAAACTGTACTAGCAGCCTTTGCATTCTTCACTATTACATACACAGTAGAAAGAAAGAGAAAGAAGAGGAGGAGGGGCCAGTTTTGGTTAAGAATATCCTTTTCATGTGTCTTTTGGCTGCATAAATGTCTTCTTTTGAGAAGTGTCTGTTCATATCCTTTGCCCACTTTTTGATGGGGTTTTTTTTTTTTTTCTTGTAAATTTATTTGAGTTCATTGTAGATTCTGGATATTAGTCCTTTGTCAGATGAGTAGATTGCAAAAATTTTCTCCCATTCTGTAGAGATACCATCTCACACCAGTTAGAATGGCGATCATTAAAAAGTCAGGAAACAACAGGTGCTGGAGAGGATGTGGAGAAATAGGAATACTTTTATACTGTTGGTGGCACTGTAAACTAGTTCAACCATTGTGGAAGACAGTGTAGTGATTCCTCAGGGATCTAGAACTAGAAATACCATTTGACCCAGCAATCGCATTACTGGGTATAGACCCAAAGGATTATAAATCATGCTTCTGTAAAGACACAAGCACACATATGTTTATTGTGGCACTATTCACAATAGCAAAGACTTGGAACCAAGCCAAATGTCCAACAATGATAGACTGGATTAAGAAAATGTGTCATATATACACCATGGAATACTATGCAGCCATAAAAAATGATGAGTTCATGTCCTTTGTAGGGACATGGATGAAGCTGGAAGCAATCATTCTCAGCAAACTATCGCAAGGACAAAAAACCTAACACCACATGTTCTCACTCATGGGTGGGAGTTGAACGGTGAGAACACATGGACACGGGAAGGGGCACATCACACACCGGGGCCTGTTGTGGGGTGGGGGGAGGGGGGAGGGATAGCATTAGGAGATATACCTAATGTTAAATGATGAGTTAATGGGTGCAGCACACCAACATGGCACATGTATACATATGTAACAAACCTGCACGTTGTGCACATGTACCCTAAATCTTGAAGTATAACAAAAAAATAAAAAATAAAAAATAAACATTTTTAAAACTGAAAAAAGAATAGCCTTGATGCAGCAGCTTAAACATGTTAATTTTATTAATTTTAGACCTGACCTTTGAATGCCTCTCTTAATATTGTATGTTACAAAGTGGGAAATACATATGAAGCCCATCTTCCTTCTGCATTTTGAAGTCTAAGGGCTACCTGGAGCAAAAGCACTTGTGTAATTGGGTTACGAACTAGTCAGTTTTTTCATGGAAATATATTTTCACTTAAAAGAAAGTCTGACAGACACACTATGGCTACTCAGACTGAAGAATTTGTCAGAGGTTTTTTCTGAAAATGAGCAAACTGAACTTGTCATTACCAGGAAAATAAATGATATGTTGTTGATGATATAAATTAACTTTTGAAATGAAAATTAGAATGTTGGTAAATTTTATCTGCCACCGTGAGCTTAACAGTTTCCCAATATATATGAGGACTTTTTTGATTAAATTAATGTTGATATTAATGAATGTGATTTTTTTTGTTATAACGAAATGTCAATATTTGGAAGGGCTGCTAAACTCCACGGGCCAGTATTTCCCAAATAACCAATGCATCATAGTACAAAATCAGATCTGTTCAAAGTAAAATAAAATGAATTCTAGTGCAACTGATTATGAAAAATTTATCAATGTGGTTTCAAACCCTACATTGCAACTGACCCATAAAAAATTACCCATTGCTAAATTTTGGTTTAGTATTAAAGAAAATAATCCACAATGTCCCCAAAATCATATTAAAAACTCTTTCCTATTCCATCTGCATATTTTTATCGGGCCAGATTTTTCTTCATATAGCTCAGGCAAATGCCATATTGTAACATGTTAAATGCAGAAGCAAATATGAGAATCTAGTTGCCTTCTATTAAGCCATACATTAAAGATACTTGAAGAAATGTAAAACAAAGCCACTCTTCTTACTAAATATTTTCAGGGAAAGTAAAGGTATTTTCCCTGAAAATATGTTATTTATATAAGCATGTAATGTGGTTTATTATTTGTATTCTAAAATGAATTTATACATATTTTTAAGTTGTCTCAGATATAATTTCTATTATAATTAACATGTATAGATAAGCTCACAAACAAAAGTTCATTGGTGTCTTTGATAATTTTTAAGATTGGAAAGCAGTCTTGAGACCAAAGAGTTTGAGAGATACTGGTTTAGATTTTAAAAACCCATCAGTACTTTACCAAAATTCATCAAAGTCGAGCTCCGTTGGCCACAAAGAAGAGGATGAATGGCTGTTGAATAAGCAAGCGATAGTGTCTGCCACTCCTAGGTCTTTCCAGCAGTACTCTGAGATTTGTTTTCCCCGTGTTCACTCTTCTTTAGACTCTATCCCCACCCCTCTTCCCCATATATCAGCTGGAAAGGCTTCCTTACAACATAGTTTAGATTAAGCTACCAAGAACTGCTGAATAGCTATCCATTACATTTACAATCCAACTCAAATCCTTTGTAGTGGCCTAGAGGCCCTTTGTCATCTGACCATTGTCTGTGAGGCCATACTATGTTTTGGTTTAGAGTGTGTGCTCTGAAGTCAGACTACATGGATAAAAGTCTCAGCATCATTCTTTACAACTGAGTAACCTTATGCAAGTTACTCACACTCTTCATGTATTCTTTTCCTCATCTGTAAATGGGACTAATGATGATAATACTGAATTAATCAGTTTGCTATGAGTATCAATGGAGATAATCCATATTAAGTGCTTAAAAGAATTGCTGGTCCAAGTAAGCTCTCAGCCAATGTTAATTGCTGCCTGTGTCTCCAATATCATCTTATACCATCTTACACCACTCTCCCCTTGAGTTTCTGTTCTCTAACTAAGTGTAAGCATTACAAGTTCTTCCCTGTCCAGAAACTCTTCACATATTTTTCCCTTGACCCTAACAACCTTTCCACTGCCCTACAGATAGCTAGTATCTTCTTCTTTCTGAGGGTGCAGCTGACATGCCAGTCCTTAGGGAAGCTTTTGCTGACCACGTATTCTCAATCAGATTTCTTCTCATCTCCTCCCCACCTCTCATGGTAACTCTATATTACAACAATCTGTTTCCCTCTACTACTAGGCATGATTTGTAATATTTATTGCTCTCTTATTTTTTATCTCCAGCATTGGACTGTAAGTGCCATGACAGCAAGGAATATACTTGTGTTCAGCCTGTTTCCTCAGTGCCTTGATCAGTGGCTATCATGTCATAGACACTCAATAAATATGTGCTAAATTAATGCACAAATGGATTAACCCATTTCACACCTGCCCTGAGAATACTTGCCAGTGGCACTTGTGCCTGCAACATTTACTCCTAGATAACTCACAGGTAGACATCATTCTATTTAAAGCATTCTAGTTTTAGCAGTGATATTTCCATTTACAAAATATAGTGAATCTCAATAGCTGAAAATGTCAAATCGTATAAAAAGTAGCATTCCTACATGTGATGTTAATTCAGTGGTGAACTTATGGCTCTGAAATGATGTGACAAGAAGGAAGTGAAAATGTTGTCAACATTCCACAATGATACCGTGATTGAAGTAGACAACAGAAATGGAAAGGAAACTAAGAAGCCATTTGTCATTGAGGATTATAATGAGAATGTGGGAGCAGTGGACTTGACTGATCAGATGCTCATTTCCTATCAAACTGAGCCCAATAGGCACAAGATTTGTATGAGAAATTCTTTCACCACCTTCTAACATTACGGTGCTGAACTCCTACACCCTGTTCAAGAGGAACAATTCTGGGCGCATGATTAGCCATGTAAACTTCAGACTGATGTTGATTGAAAGAATGCTGGAAAAGCATCACAAGCCAGGGCAGCAATGCCTTCGAAGTTTTCTATGCTCTAATAATGTCACACCTCTTCTCCCGACTGGAAGATATTTTCCCAAGACCATACCATCAACATCAGGGAAACAGAATCCAACTGATCGCTGCAAATTTTGCTGCTCGCACAATGCCAAGCATGGCAAGACGATCCCGAGAGAATCGCGATATTTTTGTGAGGAATGTGATGTTCCACCTTGTGTTGTTCCATGCTTTGAAATTTACCACACACAAAAAAATTATTAGGCCGGGCATGGTGGCTCACACCTGTAATCCCAGCACTTTGGGAGGCCGAGGCAGGTGGATCACCTGAGGTCAGGAGTTCAAGACCAGCCCGACCAACATAGTGAAACCCCGTCTCTACTAAAAATACAAAAATTAGCCAGGCATGGT
Source organism: Homo sapiens (assembly GCF_000001405.40). NCBI lineage: Eukaryota > Metazoa > Chordata > Mammalia > Primates > Hominidae > Homo > Homo sapiens. The sequence goes on from NC_000023.11 coordinate 143,344,748, forward strand.
GGTGGGCCCCTTAGTCCCAGCTACTAAGGTGGCCGAGGCAGGAGAATCCCTTCAACCCTGGAGGCAGAAGTTACAGTGAGCGGAGATCGTACCACTGCACTCAAGCCTGGGCAACAGAGTGAGACTACGTCCTAAAAAAAAAATTCAGTATTGATCATCACTTATATTTCTGTTACATTAGGATTAGAGACAAGTTCTGTTTAGAAATAACTCCAAGAACAGTTATTGTATTTTATCTTAACCTCGAAAATCAGTCAGGTTTTCTTCAGCCTCAAAAAGCATGTTTACATAAAACGAAATGAGCACTGGCAGTGAGCTGCACTTTTTCTAAACAGAAAATGGGTTAACGAATGAATGGGTTGCCACAAGATGCAATCCACAGCCATAATTAGTTGGACTTGCTGGTGTCAAAAGTCCAATAAATTCAGGGAAAATATAATAAACATGCAATTAACAAAAATTACATGTAAAGTCTAAAGGTTAGCTACTGCCCATGAGAGGGCATAATGAAAATAAAAGCATGAACTACGACTACTTTCTCACTTCATTGAAATCATGTGTCATTTATATGTGAGTACCCGAGGGTGTTGATGAAATTTTTTTTTTGGCTCATATGAGAATCAGGACATAAATAATTTAAATGTCTTGAAAATCTGAAATCTGAGCTCCTAGAATCTTCAACCTGAATGGAACCTTTACTATCATACAGTCTGATACTCTGATTTTACAGACAAAGTATTAAGTCCTAGAGACTTAATGTGACGTGTCCAAAAGAACACAACTGGAATTGAAATGTAGTCATCCTAAACTATAATCCAAGCTCGGAAATTCTCTCATCACTATCCCTGAGTAAATGCAAATTTTTGTGTAATGCCTACTAGAAGTCATTATCAAGAAGGCAAATGTATTTGACCAAATATATTTTGGAATAAATGTTGAAATGGAAACATAATTTGTGGATTTGATAATTGATCACCTCTGCTGTGGAAGCTATATCTTTGCATACAGACCTAAAATATCGTAGTTTTGAAATGTGCATTGAGGGAAAGCTAAGGATTAGCCTGGTGGCATAAAATATGGGCAGCAGCTGGAGGTGAAGTTTCATGGAGTAAATCAGTTTTAACTTGTGAATTATTGTAATTGGAAAGTGATCTGGCAATAACTTAAATGTAAGCCTTTTAGGGATAAAATGGAACATTTGCTTTGTGTTAAGAGTTTGTGCCTCAAATCAATATTTTGTAGGTAAATGGAGACTTCAGGATAACCGAATGAATCTTAGAAGAGTAAAAAGCTGTGCCTTCTTTCTCAATAAGTCAGTGTCTCAATTCTTAAACACTAAATCAGCACTGACTCTAGAAAACTATAGAAAATTGACATCCTGTGAACCTGAGTTAATCTGATAATGAGAGATGCATCTATGTATCTGTGTATAATTGACTGCATATATTTTATTCTACTTCAAGTTCTTAGCTCTATGCGTGTCTAATGATTTTACTCCTTTAAGAGTAATTATAATTAGAATGAAGAAAGTATATGTAAAAAATTATTTTTAAAAAGCTGGACCTTACTGGTACTGTGAATGCTGATGCTTTTGGTTCTCGTCTATTCTATTGTTCTTCGATTCTATTACATTTTATTTTATGCCATGTTTTTGCATAAAATATTTTTTATAAAAAATAATTTTTTTAAAAAAGCACAGACGTTACCAGTACTGTGAATGCTAATGCTTTTGGTTCTTGTGTATTCTATTGTTCTTTGATTCTATTACATTTTATTATATGCCATGTTTTTGCCCTCTATGGAAAAGGCTACGATTTTTAAATCAAAACTACACACATTGGGCAATCTCTTTTTACAAGAATTTTATTTTTATTTTAAGTTCTGGGGTACATGTGCAGGATGTGCAGGTTTGTTACACAGGTAAATGTGTATCTTGGTGGTTTGCTGCATCTATCAACTCATCACCTCAGTATTAAGCCCAGCATACATTAGCTATTTTTCCTAATGCTCTTCCTCGCCCCACCCCACCCCACCAACAGGCTCCGGTGTGTGTTGTTCTCCTCTTTGATTTAAAAAAATGAGACTTAAAAAGTGAGAGATACAAAGAGAATCTCTCACTTTTCAAGTCTCAGTTTTTTTGTTAAATCTGAAAAATGGGTTAATGATAGTATCACTTGCATTCAATGGGGCTATGATAAAGGTCTGATGAGATGATTTGCATAAGCATTGAGCACAATGCCTCATATGCAGAAGGCATCCAACACATGTAAACTTGTTTTCACCGTTGGTTGTAGTATTACTAGATCATTGTCAGACTATTCAGTCACTGGCCATCTCTTCTTCCCTGCGTCCGTTGAGCAGAGTTCTGTGTATTCACGTATAGAAAAGGAGGCAGGAGAAACTTTCTTGGGCTCTTTTTATTGATGGAATATGTAGAAGGCAGAAAACAATCAGCTTTTTGTTTGAAGACAACTTGAAGGCTAAACTTTTCTTGCTTTTCTTTATAATGAATCAATGAAATCAAATTTATTTAAAAAGTTAATGTAAAAGGATACCAGCTTCTATTCTTTCTCACTTCATTTTTCATCTGGAAGTTTGAAGCTAAAATGATTTTGTGGATCTAACACATGATCAACACTAATGTTTAGTTAGCACAATCTATGGCTCTCTGCCAGGTTTCCAGGGTAGATATCAAATGAGAAGGAAAACGCTTTGCTTCTGTGACCAACGAAAATTTATTTTTAAAAGGATAAAGGTGAGAAATCCCCAAAGCTACTGCTGTGTCTAAAGTTTTGAATACTGAGAGCCTTGAATTAATAAAGATTCATATGAATAGCTTTATCGAGTACATCTTATTGAGTAAAATGTCTCCATAGGGCTAAGTTAAATTCTCCCTAAAACTTTCCTAGAGTAATAAAGAAAGCATTATTTTATACTTTCTTAGAGTAATAAAGAAAGTATAAAATCTGGTGTGGATTCTAGGTGATGTCTTATACTTGGGTGCAAGCTCCAAGTATGGGAGTAGAGAGACAAAGTTGGCTTATAGACTTCATATGAGGAAAAGGTTGCTTTTAAAAATTCAGGGTGTGAGTGAGAGAGGCAGAGAAGGGGGAAGGATGTGAAGGCACAGAAGGAAAATTGGATGAGAGACCTAAGAAAGCTTTCTTTTCTCGTTCAAGCATAGCAAAATGCTGGGCGGGGCGGGGGGGTGGTGGTGGAAATATCACTTAGTACTTCCTACAAAAAATATAATAATGCTTTACCAAATATTTTATCCTTTCCAATGAGTGGCTAAATTTAAAAAAAAAAAAATCCTGAAGCTGACATTGCAAAATATGAGTATTGCTGAAGGAGTTCTGCTGGACCAGCAGTTTCGCTTTTCTAATCTTCATCCTGGAAAAGTTCAACTGTAGTCTGGTCCTTCTTTGGTCTTGGAGGAATTTGAGTAAGGTGAGGGTGCAGAGAAGGGATGTTGAATTTTTTTTTTTGTTTTGTTTTTTAAACAGAAAATTAGTCAAACCTGCTTCTTGGCACCATATAAGATTTCAAAAGCCTACTTGATTTCCCGAATTACTCCATTAAAAATTAACTCACCCAGTTTGTAGGAAGGTAAGCCTTATTCTAAGAGATGACTACCTCAATTCCATTATAAATCTTGTAAATATGTAGGCTGACAAAAGGAAATAAATAAACCATCATCTTTGGTGTTTTATTTCTTTCAGTTGTTTTTTATGTGATTCATTAAAGATTTTTTTAACTTTTTTTCCTCAGTTGAAAAATTACATGTATAAATCCTGACTTTAGAACGGCAGAAACATGCACAGCTGCTGGTTTAAGTTTACAAAATCACCAAACAAAACAAAACACAACTTGGCATAGAGCCATGTTTAAACCTTTTGTAACTGAATTTAATGAGGATGAAAGTTCAAATTCATTTTATACAGAAAAATAATTTTTTTCTAGTCCTATAGAAAAAATTCTAGTCAAATAATTTTATTCTAGTCATGTAAACATATAAATTATTCTCTACATCATAATGAGAGAGCACATTATTCTTAATCTCATAAAACAGAAAGGAAGCTTGATACATGTTTGTGAGAGCATATTGCCTTGACATAGGTATTTACTACTCATAAAACATTATTTTCATCTCATTGGTTTTTTATAATCTTGGAAGCCCTTTATTATTTTGTATTCTGGTAATCTCCAAATTTATTTTTATTAATTGGCTTTTTGTTGGTTTCTTTAATAATTAGAAAACAGTAAAATTCTCTCATAGAAGGCCTACTAGGTTGGCCAGTCTTTGGAAAGATGAACAAACAAACAAAAACTTACAAAGTTCTGTCTAAGGTTGTAAGTAAAAAGAAATGGGAGTGTCACATTTCTGAATTATAACTTGTTCATAGGCTACAGCATTTTATATTTATTCATCTCAGCTGAGGCACCAACATCCAGTGTTCTTTTCAATTAGATTTTTCTGAAGCAATTAGGCTTCTTGCATCCATCTATCATGTTACAAGGTCTATGATCCAAATGTCCCAAACACATCTGAATAAAGAAAACTCGGTTTACTTTCATGTAAAGCGAGTGTTGGCAATGTGTGTCAGGCATAGAGGCCTAACAGAAATAATCACCTGATACAATTATAGATAAATGCACCTGCATTTATTTAATATACTTTCATAATAAGGCAGCCACCCTTTCCAAATCTCTAACAGGTACCGTCCAGTCACATAAAGAAAAAGTATATTAGGATGTGGAGTTCAAAGGCTTCTATGTACTTGCAAACCCTTGCAAACAGGGTCAGGGAGAGATTAAAGGTTGAGAATTTTCCCCAAAGAAATTGAATTTTAAATAGCAAAGGCAAATACTCATGGCAAATCTGAACTGTGATAAGCTACCAATAATTATTAGGTTCAATTGTGTAATGTCACCCCAAAACTTCAACTTTTATACCAAATTTTAGATGGACAAAGTTAAATACAACTGAAAATCGAATCAAAGTTGTTAGCTACAATAATAATCTGATTAGTAATTATATCAATTAGTTCAACATTTTTAAAATTTGCCTGTGTCTTTTATCGAATAAATGTGTGCATACCTGTATTAGTTCATTCTCATGCTGCTAATAAAGATATGCCCGAGACTGGTAATTTATAAAGAAAAAAGTTTTAACTGACTCACAGTTCAGCATGGCTGGGGAGGTCTCAAGAAACTTCCAATCATGGAAGAAGCAGAAGCAAACACGTCCTTCTTCACATGGCAGCAGCAAGGAGAAGTACCCAGCAAAAGCGGGAAAAGCCCCTTATAAAACCATCAGATCTCATGAAGAACTCACTGACTGTCATGAGAACAGCAGCATGATTCAATTATTTCCACCCCCATGATTCAATTATTTCCACCTGGTCTCTTTCATGAAACATGGGGATTATGGGAACTACAATTCATGATGAGATTTGGGTGGGGACACAGCCAAAAAATATCATTCTGCCTCTGGCGCCTCCCAAATCTCATGTCCTCACAATTCAAAAGATAGTCATGCCCTTCCAACAGTCCCCAAAGTCTTATTCCAGCATTAACTCAAAAATCCAAGTCCAAAGTTTCATCTGAGACAAGGAAAGCCTCTTCTGCCTATGAGCCTATAAAATCAAAAGCGAGTTAGTTACTTCCTAGAAACAATGGGGGTACAGGCATTGGGTCAATACACCCATTCCAAATGGGAAAAATTGGCCAAAACCAATTCCAAAATCCAGTAAGTCCAATGTCCAATAGGGCAGTCATTAAACCTTAAAATTCCAAAATGATCTCTTTTGACTCCATGTCTCATATCCAGGTAATGCAGATACAAAATGAGGGCTCCCATGGCCTTGGGCAGCCCCACCCCTGTGGCTTTGCAAGGTACAGCCCCCCTCCAGCTGGCATTGAGTGTCTGTGGTTTTGCCAGGTGCACAGTGCAAGCTGTTGGTGGATGTACAATTCTGGGGTCCGAAGGAAGGTGGCCCTCTTCTCATAGCTCCATTAAGCAGTGCCCCAGTAGGGACTCTGTGTGGGAATCCAACCCCATATTTCCCTTCCACATTTTCCTAGCAGAGATTCTCCATGAGAGCTCTACCTCTAAAGCATCGCAGGACATCCGGGCATTTCCATACATCCTCTGAAATCTAGGCAGAGGTTCCCAAACCTCAATTCTTGACTTCTGCGCACCCGCAGGCTCAACACCGCATAAAAGCTGCCAAGGCTTGGGGCTTGCATCCTCTGGAGCCCTTCCTGAGCTGTACCTTCACCCCTTTTAACGATGACTGGAGTGCCTGGGACACAGGGCACCAAGTCCCTAGGCTGCACAGAGCAGGGTGGCCCTGGGTCCGGCCGATGAAGCCATGCTTTCCTCATATGCCTCAAGGCCTGTGATGGGAAGGGCTGTCTCAGAGGTCTCTGACACGCTGTGGAGACATTTTCCCCATTTTCTTGTTGATTAATATTCGGCTCCTTGTTACTTATGCAAATTGCTGCCATAGACTTGAATTTCTCCCCAGAAAATGGGTTTTTCTTTTCTATCGCATCATCAGACTGCAAGTTTTTAAAACTTTTATGCTCTTCCTCCTCCTGAATGTTTTGCTGGTTAGAAATTTCTTCTGCCAGATCATCTCTCTCAAGTTCAAAGTTCAAGTTCAAAGTTCCTCAAATCTCAAGAACAGGTGCAAAATGCCTCCAGCCTCTTTGCAAAAGCATAACAAGAGTGACCTTTGCTTCAGTTACCAACAAGTTCCTCATCTCCATCTGAGACCACCTCAACCTGGACTTTATTGTCCATATCACTGCCAGCATTTTGGTCAAAGCCATTCAACAAGACTCTAGGGAGTTCCAAACTTTCCCACATCTTCCTGTCTACTTCTGAGACCTCCAAACCGTTCCAAACTCTGCCTGTTACCCAGTTCCAAAGTCGCTCCACATTGTTGGGTATCTTTTCAGCATCACCCCACTACCCAGTACCAATTTACTGTATTAGTCCATTCCCATACTGCTATAAAGAAATGCCTGAGACTAGGTAATTTATAAAGGAAAAAGGTTTAATTGCTCACAGTTCCACAGGGCTGGGGAGGCCTCAGGAAACTTAAAATCATGGCAGAAGGGGAAGCAAACACGTTCTTCTCTACATGGTGGCAGGAGTGAGAAGTGCCAGCAGGGAAAATGCCAGAAGCCTATAAAAACACCAGATCTCATTTATTGATTTGCATATATTGAACCAGCCTTGCATCCCAGGGATGAAACCCACTTGATCACGGTGGGTAAGCTTTTTGATGTGCTGCTGGATTCGGTTTGCCAGTATTTTATTGAGGATTTTTGCATCGATGTTCATCAGGGATATTGGTCTAAAATTCTCTTTTTTGGTTGTGTCTCTGCCCGGCTTTGGTATCAGGATGATGCTGGCCTCATAAAATGAGTTAGGGAGGATTCCCTCTTTTTCTATTGATTGCAATAGTTTCAGAAGGAATGGTACCAGTTCCTCCTTGTACCTCTAGTAGAATTCGGCTGTGAATCCATCTAGTCCTGGACTCTTTTTGGTTGGTAAGCTATTGATTATTGCCACAATTTCAGAGCCTGTTATTGTTCTATTCAGAGATTCAACTTCTTCCTGGTTTAGTCTTGGGAGGGTGTATGTGTCGAGGAATTTATCCATTTCTTCTAGATTTTCTAGTTTATTTGCGTAGAGGTGTTTGTAGTATTCTCTGATGGTAGTTTGTATTTCTGTGGGATCGGTGGTGATATCCCCTTTATCATTTTTTATTGCGTCTATTTGATTCTTCTCTCTTTTCTTCTTTATTAGTCTTGCTAGTGGTCTATCAATTTTGTTGATCCTTTCAAAAAACCAGCTTCTGGATTCATTAATTTTTTGAAGGGTTTTTTGTGTCTCTATTTCCTTCAGTTTTGCTCTGATTTTAGTTATTTCTTGCCTTCTGCTAGCTTTTAAATGTGTTTGCTCTTGCTTTTCTAGTTCTTTTAATTGTGATGTTAGGGTGTCAATTTTGGATCTTTCCTGCTTTCTCTTGTGGGCATTTAGTGCTATAAATTTCCCTCTACACACTGCTTTGAAAGTGTCCCAGAGATTCTGGTATGTTGTGTCTTTGTTCGCGTTGGTTTCAAAGAATATCTTTATTTCTGCCTTCATTTCGTTATGTACCCAGTAGTCATTCAGGAGCAGGTTGTTCAGTTTCCATGTAGTTGAGTGGTTTTGAGTGAGTTTCTTAATCCTGAGTTCTAGTTTGATTACACTGTGGTCTGAGAGACAGTTTGTTATAATTTCTGTTCTTTTACATTTGCTGAGGAGAGCTTTACTTCCAACTATGTGGTCAATTTTGGAATAGGTGTGGTGTGGTGCTGAAAAAAATGTATATTGTGTTGATTTGGGGTGGAGAGTTCTGTAGATGTCTATTAGGTCCCCTTGGTGCAGAGCTGAGTTCAATTCCTGGGTATCCTTGTTGACTTTCTGTCTCGTTGATCTGTCTAATGTTGACAGTGGGGTGTTAAAGTCTCCCATTATTATTGTGTGGGAGTCTAAGTCTCTTTGTAGGTCACTCAGGACTTGCTTTATGAATCTGGGTGATCCTGTATTGGGTGCATATATATTTAGGATAGTTAACTCTTCTTGTTGAATTGATCCCTTTACCATTATGTAATGGCCTTCTTTGTCTCTTTTGATCTTTGTTGGTTTAAAGTCTGTTTTATCAGAGACTGGGATTGCAACCCCTGCCTTTTTTTGTTTTCCATTTGCTTCGTATATCTTCCTCCATCCTTTTATTTTGAGCCTATGTGTGTCTCTGCACATGAGATGGGTTTCCTGAATACAGCACACTGATGGGTCTTGACTCTTTATCCAATTTGCCAGTCAGTGTCTTTTAATTGGAGCATTTAGTCCATTTACATTTAAAGTTCATATTGTTATGTGTGAATTTGATCCTGTCGTTATGATGTTAGCTGGTGATTTTGCTCGTTAGTTGATGTAGTTTCTTCCTAGCCTCAATGGTCTTTACAATTTGGCATGATGTTGCAGTGGCTGGTACCAATTGTTCCTTTCCATGTTTAGTGCTTCCTTCAGGAGCTCTTTTAGGGCAGGCCTGCTGGTGACAAAATCTCTCAGCATTTGCTTGTCTGTAAAGTATTTTATTTCTCCTTCACTTATGAAGCTTAGTTTGGCTGGATGTGAAATTCTGGGTTGAAAATTCTTTCCTTTAAGAATGTTGAATAATGGCCCCCACTGTCCTATGGATTGTAGAGTTTCTGCTGAGAGATCCACTGTTAGTCTGATGGGCTTCCCTTTGAGGGTAACCCGACCTTTCTCTCTGGCTGCCCTTAACATGTTTTCCTTCATTTCAACTTTGGTGAATCTGACAATTATGTGTCTTGGGGTCGCTCTTCTCGAGGAGTATCTTTGTGGCGTTCTCTGTATTTCCTGAATCTGAATGTTGGCCTGCCTTGCTAGATTGGGGAAGTTCTCCTGGATAATATCCTGCAGAGTGTTTTCCAACTTGGTTCCATTCTCCCCATCACTTTCAGGTACACCAATCATATAAACAGAACCAAAGACAAAAACCACATGATTATCTCAAGAGATGCAGAAAAGGCCTTTGACAAAATTCAACAGCCCTTCATGCTAAAAACTCTCAATAAATTAGGTATCGATGGGACGTATCTCAAAATAATAAGAGCTATCTATGACAAACCCACAGCCAATATCATACTGAATGGGCAAAAACTGGAAGTATTCCATTTGAAAACTGGCACAAGACAGGGATGCCCTCTCTCACCACTCCTATTCAACATAGTGTTGGAAGTTCTGGCCAGGGCAATTAGGCAGGAGAAGGAAATAAAGGGTATTCAATTAGGAAAAGAGGAAGTCAAATTGTCCTTGTTTGCAGATGACATGACTGTATATCCAGAAAACCCCATTGTCTCAGCCCAAAATCTCCTTAAGCTGATAAGCAACTTCAGCAAAGTCTCAGGATACAAAATCAATGTACAAAAATCACAAGCATTCTTATACACCAATAACAGACAAACAGAGAGCCAAATCATGAGTGAACTCCCGTTCACAGTTGCTTCAAAAAGAATAAAATACCTAGGAATCCGACTTACAAGGGACGTGAAGGACCTCTTCAAAGAACTACAAACCACTGCTCAATGAAATAAAAGTGGATACAAAGAAATGGAAGAACATTCCATGCTCATGGGTAGGAAGAATCAATATCGTGAAAATGGCCATACTGCCCAAGGTAATTTACAGATTCAATGCCACCCCCATCAAGCTACCAATGACTTTCTTCACAGAATTGGAAAAAACTACTTTAAAGTTCATATGGAACCAAAAAAGAGCCCACATCGCCAAGTCAATCCTAAGCCAAAAGAACAAAGCTGGAGGCATCACGCTACCTGACTTCAAACTATACTACAAGGCTACAGTAACCAAAACAGCATGGTACTGGTACCAAAACAGAGATATAGATCAATGGAACAGAACAGAGCCCTCAGAAATAACGCTGCATATCTACAACTATCTGATCTTTGACAAACCTGAGAAAAACAAGCAATGGGGAAAGGATTCCCTATTTAATAAATGGTGCTGGGAAAACTGGCTAGCCATATGTAAAAAGCTGAAACTGGATCCCTTCCTTACACCTTATACAAAAATTAATTCAAGATGGATTAAAGACTTAAATGTTAGACCTAAAACCATCAAAACCCTAGAAGAAAACCTAGGCATTACCATTCAGGACATAGGCATGGGCAAGGATTTCATGTCTAAAACACCAAAAGCAATGGCAACAAAAGCCAAAATTGACAAACGGGATCTAGTTAAACTAAAGAGCTTCTGCACAGCAAAAGAACCTACCGTCAGAGTGAACAGGAAACCTACAAAATGGGAGAAAATTTTGGCAACCTACTCATCTGACAAAGGGCTAATATCCAGAATCTACAATGAACTGAAACAAATTTACAAGAAAAAAACAAACAACCCCATCAGAAAGTGGGCAAAGGACATGAACAGACACTTTTCAAAAGAAGACATTTATGCAGCCAAAAAATACATGAAAAAATGCTCATCATCACTGGCCATCAGAGAAATGCAAATCAAAACCACGATGAGATACCATCTCACACCAGTTAGAATGGCGATCATTAAAAAGTCAGGAAACAACAGGTGCTGGAGAGGATGTGGAGAAATAGGAACACTTTTACATTGTTGGTGGGACTGTAAACTAGTTCAACCACTGTGGAAGTCAGTGTGGGATTCCTCAGGGATCTAGAACCAGAAATACCATTTGACCCAACCATCCCATTACTGGGTATATACCCAAAGTACTATAAATCATGCTGCTATAAAGACACATGCAGACGTATGTTTATTGCGGCACTATTCACAATAGCAAAGACTTGGAACCAACCCAAATGTCCAACAATGATAGACTGGATTAAGAAAATGTGGCACATATATACCATGGAATACTATGCAGCCATAAAAAATGATGAGTTCATGTCCTTTGTAGGGACATGGATGAAATTGGAAATCATCATTCTCAGTAAACTATAGCAAGGACAAAAAACCAAACACCGCATGTTCTCACTCATAGGTGGGAATTGAACAATGAGAACACATGGACACAGGAAGGGGAACATCACACTCTGGGGACTGTTGTGTGGTGGGGGGAGGGGGGAGGGATAGCTTTAGGAGATATACCTAATGCTAAATGACGAGTTAATGGGTGCAGCACACCGACATGGCACATGTATACATATGTAACTAACCTGCGCATTGTGCACATGTACCCTAAAACATAAAGTATAATAATAATAAAATAAAATAAATTTAAAAAAACACCAGATCTCGTACGACTCGCACATTATTATGAGAACAGCATGGGGAAAACTTCCCCCATGATCCAAATATCTCAACCTGTTCCCTCCCATGACATGTGGGGTTATGGAAACTACAACTCAAGATGAGATTTTGGTGAGAACCCAGCCAAACCATATGAATACCGTAATCAACCCTTGCCTGGACTATGGTAAAAACCTTGCCTGCAGCTCCTGTGATGATGAGAATCTATATTCGGAAAACATTCAACATATGACACTCTCCTAGTGGTAACCTTTTGACTCCTCATTGCCTTTATGATAGATTCCACACTCCCCTGTGTAGAGGTCAAAACATCTTATTTGTCTTTTGTCAACCTTTCCTACTTCTTCTTCATTACTCCCCTACCATAAGCATTTGCTTTATGGCAGTGTTTCTCTATGTTAGGGTATTTTGGGTAGTTTCTGTAATTTGAGTAATTGAAGTTGTGGTTGTGCAGAATTTTTATCAGAGACTAAATGTTGATGGCTCCTCCCAGGAATATTGACAAAACAATTCCCCACAAATTTCTACATACCCACTATGTGGACAGTACAGCCTCAATGTGAGAATCACTGGGCACACATGGTCCACTGTTTTTATCCTGAGAAGGTCTGTGGTTGTGCTACCTTCTGAGCTTGGGATGTGAATGCTTTCTACATTGTTGTCTAGTCTAGGTCTTAGTTTCCATATAAGACTTAATAGTAGTCCCCTTCCTAAACCTGGTTCACAGTGGTCCATCATCATTCCTGTCATCCCTAACCACTGGTTTGGCACTTTTTAAAAAACTACTGGTTTGGCACTTAGTCTGTTCCAGTGTATGGTGTTTTTCTTGTATATTAATGTCTTCCCTTCTCTATGAAACAGAGCTACTGGAGGGGAGGAGCCTTCTCTGAATTGCTAACAAGTAGCACAATAACCTCTTAGCCTCCCTCATGTAGTGAGCTTTTTTATAACTCTCAGCCTTTCATGCACTATTACTACTCTCTGGAATATCCTTGGCTATCACTTTTACCTTCAAAACGCCTCCTCTTCCTCCAAGAGATAGCTCAGCTGTCACCTTTTTGGGGCAGTCTCCTCTGACCCCAGAACCCATGATGGGTCCTTCCATGTTTTCTTATGGCATAAGGCAAGTACTTCCATCTTAGCACTTGTCACAGTGTAATATACTTGCCTGGTAAAGCAAGTGTATCTCCTCAACTCTTTAGGGAACTCCTTGAGGATGAGTTTTTATGTAAATATGTTCCTCCAGTCTCTATCATACACCTGTCACACATGCTGCTCTTGTTAGTTTTATAATCTTCCACTATCTTGGCTTTGTAGGGCAGAAGAGCTAATTTGTTTTCAGTGCCAAAAATACACTAGGGATCATTTTGCCTATGTCAATAGGGGTCATTTTGATGCTTACAAATAAAATAAAACTCTCTCATTCCCCAATAAAAGTTATTTATATTTGGAGAAATAGAAGAAAATGAATAAAACTGTTTCAGGATTCTTGAATATGAACAAAGTATTATATACTTTAAAACATTATCACAATGCACACATAAATACACATGCAACAATAGAAGTAGAAGAAAATACAATATTTATCTTATTATCTTCCAATTCCAAATGAGAAAAATAAGGTGTAAGAATTGTACCCAAGATCATATGACTAGTGAGTGGTGAAGTATTTGAGTCTGGTCTGTCTGATTCTGATGGTCATACTTATTTACCTATGCCAGAAATGGCAAGCATAGCATGTATAAGCCACAAGTGACAAGATACTATGCTAAATATTTAAATATAACTGATATAACTGAATTTAGGATTATTACATGAAAATGTTGTTTGTCAGCTCAAAAATAAATAGGTAAGAGGAGACATATTGAGTAAAAGGTGGGAACTGCAAACTGGAGGGAAGGAAATATGTTTGCTGAAGAAAATACCTTTTCGGCGCCAATACCCCATTTTAAAAGTGCAACAAAATTAAATGAGCAAACAACAAAACTCACTGAGAGAACAAATGATTAAGAATCATCAAATTTTGAAACTAGAAGGAGTCTTAAAGGACATCTAGCTGACCTAGCTCACTTTCCCAAGGGTAAAACAGGCTCAGAGGAAGATGTCAATGAGTGAGACCAGTCCACTCCACAATGGTATACAAACTTCAGTGTAACTTAAAAGCACTGCAGATCTTGTTAAATAGACAGATTCATGGGCTACTTTTACAGTGATTCTCATTTGGTTAGGGTGAGAGGTGGGACACGGGAATATGCCTTCTTAATAAGCTCTTCATGTGTTCTGATGAAGATGGTCCTTCTTCACATCACCTATTTCAGAGCAGGATTATCATTGTGAAAATGGATGGTCATGAAGAAGCTAACGTACATGCAGTATGTGTAATATTACATAATGATAATTAGCTCAGTCTAGGAGACTCTTATGGTCAGGGGTCCCAAGAGGTAAACCTTAATATGTCATTATATCCCACAAACCCCTAGGATCATCATCAGTAATTCATTGCTCAGTCGCCTGTGAATCTAACAAGATCTCCTATTTCCTCAAGCACTTCAACATTTTAATCTTGGGGATAAGAATTTTGTTGGATTTACTACCTACGGGAGCACTTCTGAAAAATGGGAAACAGGCTGGACATGCCCCAGCCCTCCGACTTGGTAAACGTTGTAGACACATAGTGGTCTCAAAGTCTTAGAGATGAAAGGATTTAGAGGCCACCCAGTCTTCACTCAGTGAAAGAATGTCACATGCCATTGGAAATTTTTTTTTTCAGATGTTTCTTTCTCGACAAGATCCACACTACCTGACCACCTTTTTGAAAATTACCACCCCTTCTCAGCATTTCCATTCCTTTAATCTGTTCTACTAATTCCTTTTTCATCAAACTTATTACTTTGTAAAATAACATATAATTCGTATTGATTATGTTTCTTTTCTTTTCCTCTCTATATAGAATGTGAGTTCCATGAGGAAGAGGGCAGGGATCTTGATTTTGTTCCCTGCTGTATTCCCAAGGTGTAGAATGAAGACTGACACATAGTAAGTTCTCAATAAATATTTGTGGAATGTTGAATTATTTATTTATATAGGGTTGCAAAGTCTCTGATTAGATCTTCGCAGTGACAGGTTTATTTATAGTTCTTGTCTGATTGCTCTTGCAAGTATTTACAGTATTGTATTGAATAGAAGTGAGAAGAACAGGCATCCTTTCCTTGTACCAGATCTCTTAGGAAAAGCTTTCAATCTTTCTCCAATGATTATAAAATTAACTGTGGGATTTTCATAATTGGCCTTTACTACATTGAGGAAATTTCTTTATTTGCGTATTTCATTAAGAATTTTAACATGAAAAGATGTTGAATTTTTTTAGATGTTTTTCCTGCATCTGTTGAGATGATCATGTTTTTAATTTTTTATTTTCTTAATGTAATGCATCACATTGATTGATTTGTACATGTTAAGGCAATCTTGCATCCCAGCGATAACTCCAACTTGGTCATCATGTATAATCTTTTGGATGTGTTATTGAATTCAATCTGGTAGTATTTTGTTGAGAATGTTGTATCTATGCTCAAAAGAGCTATTGGCCTGTAGTTGTCTTTTATTGTGATGTCACTGTCTGGCTTGGGTATCAGGGTGATTCTGGCCTTTAAATGGACTTGGAAGTATTTCCTCTCCCGCATCGCCAAGTCAATCATAAGCCAAAAGAACAAAGCTGGAGGCATCACGCTACCTGACTTTTGGAAGACTTTAAAAATAATTCATATTGATTATTTTTTGAATGTTTGATAGAATTCAGCCATGAAACCATCTGGTCCTGGGCTTTGCTTTGGTGACAGGTTTTTTAGTATTACCTCAATCTCTTCATTTGTAGTTTGTTCAGACTTTCTATTTCTCCCAGGTATGTTGTGTGTCTCTAAAAAATTATCCATTTACTCTAGGTTATCCAGTTGATTGGCATATAATTAATCACAATTGTCCCTTACGATTCTTTTTTCTGTGAGGCATTTATTGTAACATCTCCTTTTCATTTCTGATTTTATTTGTCTTCCCTTCTTTTTATATTTTAGTCTAGCTAAAGGTTACTACATGTTGTTTATATTTTCAAAAAAGTCATCTCTTAGTTTTATACATTTTTTCCTAGTTTTTGTATACACTGATTTTTTTTTCTGATCTTTATTATTTTCTTTATTTAAATAACTTTGGATTTAGTTTGTTTTATTATTTTACTAGATTCTTGAGGCATAAAGTTAGATTGTTTATTTGACATCTTTTTAAATTTTTAATTCATGTGGTACATATTAGGTGTATATATTTATGGGATACATAAGATGTTTTAATATAGGCAAACAATGTGTAATAATCACATTATGAATAATGGGATATTTATTCCCTCAAGCATTAATCCTTTGTGTTACAAACAGTCTAATTATTCTCTTTTAGTCATTGAAAATTTACAATTAAATTATAATTGGCCATGGCCACTCTGTTGTGCTATAAAATAGTCAGTTTTATTTGTTATTTATAAGTATACTTTTCGAACTTGTTAAGCATCCCCACATTCTCCCATCCTCCTACAACTCTTCCCTGCCTCTGGTAACTATCTATATTAATCTGTTCTCAAACTACCATAAAGATACTATCTGAGACTGGGTAATTTCTGAGGAAAGAAGTTTAATTGACTCACAGTTCCACATGGCTGGAGAGACCTCAGGAAACTTAAAATTATGGCAGAAAGCAAAGGGGAAGCCAGGCACGTCTTACATGGTGGTGGGAGAGAGAGCTACCACAGGAGGATCTGTGACTTTTAAACCATCAGATCTTGTGAGAACTCCCTATCATGAGAACAGCATGGAGGAAAACCGCCCTCATGATCCAATCACCTTTCATCAGGTCCTGCCTTGGACACATGTTGTGGTTTACAACTCTAGATGAGATTTGGGTGGGGACACAGATCTCATCCATGTCATTCTTCCTGTGGCCCCTCCCAAATCTCATGTCCCTTTCACATTTCAAAACCAATCATGCCTTCCCAACAGTCCCCCAGCCAGAGTCTTAACTCATTCCATCATTAACTGAAAAGTCCAAGTCCAATGTCTCATCTGAGACAAGGCAAGTCACTTCCACCTATGAGCCTGTAAAATCAAAAGGGGTGATCCAATTTGCCCAATTTTGCTTTGGTTGCCTGTGCTTTTAGAGTATGGCTCAAATATTTTTTGCACAGACCAATGTCCTAGAGAGTTTCCCCAATGTGTTCTTGTAGTAGTTTGACACCTTGATGTCTTAGATTTAAGTCTTTAATCCATTTTGATTTGTTTTTGTATATGGTTAGAGAGAGGAGTCCAGTTTGATGATTTTGCATATGGATATCCACTTTTCCCAGCATTATTTCTTGAAGAAACTATCTTTTCCCTAGTGCACGCTCTTGGCACCTTTGTCAAAATCAGTTGACTGAAAGTGTTTGAATTTGTTTCTGGGTTCTCTCTTTTGTT
Organism: Homo sapiens; assembly: GCF_000001405.40. Classification (NCBI taxonomy): domain Eukaryota; kingdom Metazoa; phylum Chordata; class Mammalia; order Primates; family Hominidae; genus Homo; species Homo sapiens. Next base: position 143,362,130 of record NC_000023.11, read on the forward strand.
GCATTGGTCTAAGTGTTTTCTTTTAATGACAGTACCATGAGATTTTGATTACTGTATTTCTGTAGTATTATTTGAAGTTGGGTATTGTGATTCCTCCAGGTTTGTTTTCTTTGATTCAAATGGCTTTGGATATTTTGGATATTTTGTGGTTCTATGTAATTTTATTTCTGTGAAAAATGTCATTGCTATTTTGATAGGGATTGCATTGAATCTCTAGATTGCTTTGGTTAGTATGAATATTTTGACAATATTGATTATTCCAAACTATGAACATGGAATAACTTTCCATTTTTTGTGTCCTTTTCAATTTCTTTCATCAGTGTTTTATAGTTTTCATTACAGATACTTTTACTTTTTGGTGAAGTTAATTCCTAGATATTTAAATTTATTTGTGGTTATTGTAAGTGTAATAACTTTTTAGTTTATTTTCCACATTGTTCTCTGTTGGCATATACAAATGCTACTGGTTTTGTATTTTGATTTTGTATCCTGCAACTTTACCAAATTTGTTTTTCAGTTCTTATAGTTTTTTGTTGAGTCTTCAGGTTTTTCCAAGCATATGATCATATCGTCTGCAAACATGGATATTTTGACTTCTTCTTTTAGGGTTTGGATGGCCTTTATTTTTTCTCTTGTCTGATTGCTCTAGCTAGGACCTCCAGTACTATGTTTAACAACAGTGTTTAAACTGGCATCCTTGTTATGGTCCAGATCATACAGGAAAGGATTTTAGTTTTTCCCAATTCAATACAATACCAGCTCTGGGTTGGTCATAGATGGTTTTTATTCCGTTAAGGTATGTTTCTTCTATCCTCAGCATTTTGAAGGTTTTTATCATGAAGGGATGTTGAATTTTATCAAATGCTTTTTCAGCATCAATTGAAATGATCATGTTTTTTTGTCCCTCATTCTATTGATATATCATATTGATTGACTTGTGTATGTTAAACCATCATTGCATCCAAGGGATAAATCCGACGTGGTCATGATAAGTAATCTTTTTAAAGTATTGTTGAATTCATTTTGCTAGTGTTTTGTTGAGCATTTTTGGATCAATATTTATGAGAGACATTGGTCTGTAGTTTTCTTTCTTTGATGTACCTTTGTCTGGTTTTGTTATCAGGGTAACACTGGCCTCATAGAATGAGTTTAGAAGTATTCCCTTTGCTCTGTGCTTCTCTTTCTTGCCACCTTGTGAAGAAGGTGCCTTTCTTCCCCTTCACCTTTTGCCAGGATTATAAGTTTCCTGAGGGCTCCCCAGCCATGTGAACTGTGAGTCAATTAAACCTCTTTCCTTTATAAATTACCAAGTCCTGGGCAGTTCTTTACAGCAGTTTGAGAACGGGCTAATACAACCTCTTTGTTCTCTGTAGTCCGGAGAGACTCAAGAATGCAGAGCACTGTCAATTCTTAGAGCAAGGTGATTTTGTAGCCAAGACTGTAAGTGACAGCTGCAAACATTGGAGCATGTGTTGTGTACACAAACTATTTCCAGGACAACCTAGAGAACTGGATTTATCACTTGAGTGAACAAGGAGCAAAGGCATGGAGAGTGCCATACTCTCTTTCAGGCATGTGGATGTCTATTGTTTATCTGCCCTATTGGATTCCAGATGTAGGCTGACCTGACCCTCCAACAGCTGTTGGAAAAGTGTGTCGACATACCCCTTTCTAGGGAGAAGCTATGAGCTGAGTGTTTTAATCCATTTTCTCTGCACTCATCCTGGGTGCTACAGCCACTAGAAATACTCACATGCCCCATTCAGAACTACTTCTTTATTCTCTATGGTCCAGGGAAACTCAGGAATGCAGAGTCTCATTCACTCCCAGAACCAGGTGATTTAAGAGTCAAGACCTTTAGGGAGGATTACAAAAGTTGTTGTGTCATATGTGTGGTTCAAATGCATCCCTCCTCAGGGAAAAGCTGGGATTCGGGGAATGCATATTTTAAAAAGATAAATGGTCTAAGTATCATTTTATTTGCATCTGATTTTTCATACATATTTTAATTATCTAAATTCTAGGCCTATACTAGGCAAATTTGGATGGCTGCCCAGGTCACAACAATTTCCCCAGGGGCTATGTCATTGATGCACCCACATACTTCTTTAGAGAAACAATTCACCCTCCCTTGTCCAATCATATAGGCCCAAATGGAAGCTCTGTGACCCCATGTCCATAACCCCAATGATTGGGCTAATTAATGGGCACCTTACCACACCCCTAATGCATTGATTAGTCCAGAGGGTGGACATAAGACTCAACCTGTATTCACTGAGGATTTTCAAACTATAAATTAGAGGAAGAAGCCCAGTTTTGTCTCTGTCACAAGTATGTAAGAGCACAAACACAAAAGTTGATATTGGAAAAGTTCTCAACCATATAATGATACACTGAATGAACAAAGCTTGCACTGATAAGTCATGAGATGGCCAGGCTGACTGATAAAGTTGTGATAGCAGATGAATCTCTACTGTAACTCAGTCCCATTCTCCAACTTCTTAGTTAATTGAGCCTTGGTTACTTTGATATTTTAAACCAAAACCAACAATCCAAGGAGTTTTGACTATTTTGATGGAAAAAATGAAGTTTCTCATTAATTATATGCATACTGTCCTAAGCAGTTGAAAGCCTTTCTCTTAACATTTTAATTGTGACTTGGTTGAAATTGCATAGACACAGCCAGAGGATTTGCATCATGATATTGTTTTTTGTCAAGCTATATTGGATGTTGACCTTGACTTATCCAATGTGTGAATGTGTCCATAACAGTTCCAATTTCTTCACAGAAGAATGTTTTAATTATGTAGACAATTTCTTAGTTAAAAATTAATTTATCTTATAAAGAACAGTAAAGTATTAGTTAGTGGAATATTATTATTTGAATAGTAAAATTTGAAGGGTGGGATCTAGCTGGTAGTATGACATAGGGTAAGCATAATGAATAACATTTATTTTTTCTTGTAATAAATTGCTTTGGCATAATTAATGTAATTTTTGCATGTAATAATAGAATGCTATGATTGTTGAAGTATTCATTATTATAGGCACTGACTAACGGTGTGACATCACAAATAACTATCAATGACTAATAAAAAGTGAGAAAAATTTTTAGATAGTTTTCTAACGGGACATTTGTTTTTATCCTAAAAAAAAAAAAGCCACAAAAAGCAATCACACCACAATACCACCACCACAACTATACTGCTGAGCAGGTCCCCCACCAGGTTCTCACAGTGAAAATCAAAGAAAAATCCTCTCCTACTTTCAGCAGAGGCTAACCACTTAGAAATCTGAAGTGTTCTATTCTCAGTCACAGAGACTTACTCCCAAGGGAAACTACTTTACCAGAGACAGTTCATTATAAGGAAAGGTCAATTAGTCAACTGGACCCCCTCTAGCCTTCACATATTACATAGAAGAGATAAAAATGTAAGAAACTCTTCTGAAGGTCAGCTTAGGAATTCAGGCCCACTAAAAGAACTCTAAAATTTAATCGCAATATTATCAAACAATTTCCTTTTGGAGTACCTTGCCATCACTTAAACAGGGCACCAGTATAAAACAGTAGTTTACACCTGAGAGATCTACAAAAAAAACAGACATTATTTAAGAAAGAATGTCTAAGGAAACCCAAATCAAACAGAAAAGACAATAATAAGTACAGCAGGTGAAATGGAAGTCTCTGATGCATACAGCTACATTGAACATTAAACACAACCTAACTTTTGACCAAATAAACATGAAACTTTACACCAAAGGCCTATTTACCTTAGTTCCTATTATTTTTTGTGTCATGATGGGCTTTCAACAACAATAAAAAAATTACAAGTCACATTAAAATGCAACACAAACCACAGTCTGAAGCAATAAAACAAGGATCAAAACCAAAACTAGATATGGCAGAAATTTTTAATGGTCATAACATGAATTTAAAATTACTATGATTAGTAAACTAAAAGCTCTAAGTAAACAACATGCAGGGAAAAAATGGGTAATGTAAATACAGTGCCATAAACTATTGAATGAGTCAAAAAATAAAAACAAATGCCAGAAAATTTAAAAAGTAACAGAAATAAGCAATGTTTTGATGTTTTCATGAGTAGAATGTACTCAGCTGAGGAACACTTCAGTGAGATTAGACATGGCAACAAAAACTTCCAACACTGAATATAAGAAAAAAATAATTTTTAAAAAATAAATGGAATATCCAAGAACTGTGAAACAATTTTAAAAAGATATTAGATAGGTATAATAAGGATATCAAAAGTAGAAGAGAGATAATAGCAGAAGAAATCATTTTTTCCAAAATTGATGACAGATATGAAACCGTAAACTCAGAATGTTCAGAGAACACCAAGAAAATTATATATATATAATTATATATATATATATATATACATACATTCACACACACATACACACACAAACACATATCTAAGTATATCGTATTTAACAAAAAAAAACTTGAAATAAATCAAAGTGAGGGAGCAGATTAACCATAAAAGAACAAAGACAAGAATTACATTCACTTCAAAAACATGCAAGCAAGAAGAGAACAGTGAAAATTAATTGTGTTGAAAGAAAATGTAAAGCACCAGTCTATAATTATATACCCAGTAAAATTATCACTCAAAAGTGAAGAAGAAATAAAGACTTTTTCAGATAAGCAAAAACTGAATCAATTTGCTGCTGGTAGTATTGCCTTGCAAGAAATTTTTATAAAAATATTCTTCAGAAAAAAAGGAAAATTATATAGATTAGCAACTCAGATTTACTTGAAAAAGGAGAAACATTAGAAAAGAAATAAAACTAAAATTAAATATTTTTATTATTCTTAGTTGGTATAAGAGATAATTGTCAAAATGATAACAAAAATGTACTGAGAGATTATAGTTTACAGATAAGTAAAAGGAATGACAGCAATATTATGAGAGACAGCAGGGAGGAAAAAGAAATACTCTGTGATGAGGTGTCTGTGTTACTCATGAGGAAACATGGTACTATTTGAATGTGAAATTTGATTAGCTTCAAATGTATATTGATAGCTCTAAAAGTAGTTTGTAATGTAAACTTTATAGACTAAGAGAAGAGAGAAAACAGAATAATATTAAATGTTCCATTAAAATTAGTGAAGGTAGAAAAGGGAGAAGAACGAGAACAAATGCAATAAACAGAAAACAGTAAGAAATATGATAGATAATAACCCCAAATATCAACCATCTCTTTGAATGTAAATTGTATGCACATATAAATTAGACAGAGAGAGAAGATATAAAAAAAATCAAGATCTAGCTATATGTTGTTTACAAGAACCCAACTTTAGATACAATGACACAAATCAATTAAAAGTACAAGGATGGAGAAATATATATCACTCTAACACCAACGAAAAGAAAGCTGGAATCACTATATTGCCTTCAGACAAAGCCCATGTCAGCACAAGGAATGTGATAAGGGATAAAGAGAGGTATTAAGTAATGACAAAGAAACCAATCCTGCAAAAATACATGATAATCCTTAATATGCATGTACCTAAATAGAACATCAAAATATGGAACAAAAACTGGTAGAACGTTAGGAGGGATGGACCAATCCATTATTATAATTGCAGTCCTTAACAAATCTCAATCAGGAATTCAAAGGTATAGCAGGCAGATAGTCAGTAAGGATATAATTTTATGAAAAATTACCATCAATAAACTTGATCTAGCTGACATTTATAGATTAGTTCATTTAACAACACCAGAATACAGATTCTTCTCATACTCACATGGGACAGTAGTCACTCAGGTAGACAACATTCTGGGCCATAGCACATACCGTAACAATTTTAAAAGAATAGAAATCACATAGAGTGGGCTCATGGATCACAATTGATTTAAACAAGAAACAAACAATGGAAAGATAGCCGGAAACTCACAAAATATTTAAAAGTTAAAAAACACCACTCTATATAATACATGGGACAAAAAGGAAGTTTTGAGGGAAATTTACAAAGTAAACAAGTATTTTTCGACAGAAGAATGGATGAATAAAATGTATATATTCACAATGGAATACTATTCAGTCATAAGAAAGAATGAAATCCTGTAATTTGTAGTAGCATGTGTGGAACCTAAAGGTCATTTTGCTAAGTGAAATAAGCCAGGCACAGTAAGACAAATATCACATATACTGATTCATAAGTAGAAGCTAAAAAATGTTGATCTCGGGGAGGCAGAGGTTGAATGATAGTTTCCAGAAGCTGGAAAACCTGTGTGTTTTGGTAGGGAGATAAAGAGAGATTTGTTAGTGAATACAAATATGTAGTTAAATAGGAGAAATGGGTTCCAGTGTTCGAAAGCACAGTTGGATGACTGTAGTTAACAATAATATATAGTATATTTCAAAATAGCTAAAAGAGCATATTCAAAATGTTCTCAATGAAAAGAAATGATAAATGCTTGAGATGATGGATATTCTAGGTACCCTGGCTTAATCGTTACACATTGCATTGTATGCATGTATCAAAATATGGCATGGACCCCATCAGTATGTACAAATATTATATATCCATTAATCTTTTTAAAAAGTGAAGTAAATAAAATACAACTTCTTAAATTTGTAGGATGTTCCCCCACCCTATAATAAAAAAAAATTTGTTGGATGCATAAAATAAGTACATAGAGGAAAATTTAAAGGTTAATTTATGGCATTGAATTAGTCTTTTGAAAAGGAAGAAATATCTAAAATCAATAGCCTAAACTTCCATTTTAGGAAACTATAAAACAATGTGTAATAGAAACTTACAGCAAACAAAAGAATAGTAAAAATTACAGCAGAAGTCAGTGAAATTAAAATCAAGAAAACAACAAAGAAAATCAGCCAACAAAAAGCTGGTCCTTTGAAAAGATCGGTAGAATGTATCGACCTCTAGGTAGGCTAACAGAGGAAGAAAAGAGAGAGAACACAAATTGCTGATATCAGAAATGAAAAATGCGTTATCACCACTGATCCCATGAACATTTAAAAGGATAACAAAGAAATACTATGAATAACTCTAAGCCTACGAATTTGATAACTTAGATGAAATTTACCAATTCTTTAAAAGACACAAGCAAAGAAAACTCCCTCAAGGAGAAATACATACCATTTAATACTTTTATAATAATATTTAATACATCTATTAAATAAATTGAATCAATAACTAATAACCTTTCAAAGAAATAATCAGATCTGGATGGTTTCACTGGTTAATTCTAGCAAACATTTAAGCCAGAAATGACACTAATACTCTTCAATCTCTTCCAGAAAATAGAAGCAAAAGGGATACAATCGAACACATTCTGTGAGTCCAGCATTACACTAATACTAAAACCTAGTAAAGATATTATGAGAAAGGAAAATTACACACTAATATTTCACAAACATAAATGTAAAAATTCTGAAAATTATTGGCAAATCAAATCCAACCGTGTATTGAAATAATTATACAAAATGACCAGTGGAGTTTTCTCCCCAATATGCAAGGCTATTTTAACATTGAAAAATTAATTAATGTAACACATTATATTAACATAATAAGAAAACGCATATGATCATATAAATAGATGCAGAATAATCCATTTTTGATTTTAAAAATCAGCAAACTAGGAATGAGAGGAATATCCACAACCTGAGAAGGAACATCTACACAAAAACTGCAGCTAATACTACACCTAATAACGAGAAACTATACCCTTTCTCCCTAATATACTGAACAAGACAAATATGTTCCCTCTCATGGTTCCTATTCAACATTGTACTGCAAGTCTAGCTGATGCAATAACACAAGAAAAGAAAATGAGATATATACAGATTGGGAAAGGAGAAAAAAAACTATCTTTGTTCACAGATAGCATGACTATCGATATAAAAATTCCCAAATAATCTGAAAATAAAACACCCCCTGGAACTCATAACCAATTACAGCAAGGTTTCAGGATGCAAAGTTAATATATAAAAGTCAATTAATTTGTTATATACCAGCAATGAAAAAGTGTAATTTGAAATTATAAATACAACACCCTTTACATGATAACCAACTCTTTCCAACGTGATCTGTAGATTCAATACAATTTCATGTAAAGTTTCAGCCAGTTATTTTGTGGATACTTACAAATTGGTTCTAAAGTTTATATCAAAAGGCAAAAGACCCAGAAATAGCCAACTCAATACTGAAAAAAAAAATAAATGAAGTCTGAAGACTTCAAGCCTTACTATAAAGCTATGATAATCAAGACAACACGGTATTGGCAAAAGAATAGACACATAGATTAATAGAACAAAAACGAGAGCTCCATAATTGACCCACCTAAATATCATCAAGTTATCTTTGACAAAGATGCAAAGGCAGTTCAATGGAGAAGGATAATCTTTTCAGCAAATGGTGCTGGGAAAACTGGACTTCGACATAAAAAAATTCTAGACACAAATCTCACGCTTTTAACAAAAACTAACTTAAAATGGAACACAGACCTAAATATAAAATTTCTAAAAAAAAGACCCAGGCAAAAATATAGGTAACCTTGAATTTGGCAATGACTTTTGAGACACAACACAAAAAGCATCATCCATGAAAGAAAAAAAAATAAAGAACTTTATTAAAACTAAAAACGTATGCTCTACGAAACACATAATTAAGAGAATAGAAAGGCAAGGCAGTAACTTAGAGAAAATATTCGCAAAACACATATTTCATAAAGTACTTGTATACAAAATATTCAAAACACTCTTAGAACTTAATAAGAAAATAAAACAAGTTTTAACGTTTAATTAAAATAGGTATAATTGTCAAAATCAGAAACAAATTACAGTTTGAACAGCAGATTACACTCAGCCAATGACTGAATTATTGATCTGGTGATATAACTGAATAAATTATTGAGAATGAAACATGGAAACCTAATTAGATGAAAAAAATTGAAGAGAGAATACACAGAGTAAGAAGGACTACTATATGTTTATATAAACTTACTAGAAAAGCAGTGGATACAAAGCAGGATACATTAAAAGAACTCCACAAACATTCTATTATTGTAATAAAACTTCAGAAACTCGAAGGCAAAGAGAGGGTCTTAAAAGCAGCTGAGAGTAAAAATGAGTCAGTGGGATTGGATATGGAAGAAACACATCAGTAGTTTCAACAATATTAAGTGGTGGTTTCATGAAAATGCTTCATTTTTATCTTATCTATCTGCACTCTTGCACTGCTAAGAAGTGCATACTAAAAACCATTTTATGTTGCTTTCCATACATAATTTTATGTTATTTTCCTGAGTGTATGAGAAAAGTTTTTCACACTTTATAGTGGGGAAAGTGAGCTACATTGATTTTTCCAAAGTCACATACTGGGTAAATAAGGAGGTGAATATAGAACCAAGTATTAGGATTTCTTATGCGGTATGTTTTCTATTAAACCACATTACCTGTCAGAGAGATATCATGTAAAAGAGATAATTTTTTGCCTCCTGCCTCTATATTCAAATTCCTAATAAATACATATTTACAAAACTGACTAAAAGGAAATATACTCATTCTGGCTAAGACCTGACACAAATTCTTCATTCAGAAGCTCTATTAAAGCCAAGTAGAAAACCTTATTAAATTAAATTATGTTAAATGTGGGGACATAGCCATAACTACATCAACTATTTGCTTAATTTGAATGTTACTCTAATTTGGCTAAGAATTAATATGTTGTGGAGAATTAATTACAAAAATAAAGGCACAATTGGAGAGTCTTAAAAAAATGTAAAATCATTGTTATAAATGACACTGCAAAGTAAATAGATTTAAAAATAACTTAATACCAACTTTTATACATGTTTTAATTCTTATTTCTCTTAAGTGTTTATAGAGGCTTATCTGCACATACTTCCACTTCTAATCACACATCTGGTGAATGGCAGACTTATATTCAATATAAAATTGTAGAATGTTGGCAGTCTGAATTCTAGTTAGGATACTTCCTTTTGTGCTTCTCTACTAAGAAACAACTTTATTTTTTCTTTTATTATTAGGTGTTTAGTGGTGACTTTTCATTATGATTAGCATTGGAAACAACAGTTCTACTTCTCTATCTGGCAAAAACATTTTGAGAAGTCAGAGAAAAGCAAGCTTCTTAAGTTTGTAACAATTCTTAAATCACCTGCAACATTTCGGTTTTAATGGAATTTGAGGTTGTATCTATCAAGACAAAATAGTCTGAGTATTAAAATAAAGCAAATTAAATTGTAATTTTGAAAATAATTCATAAAATTACCTTAATCAATTGTTAGCCACTTACTCGAAAACATATTTTACTTAAATCTAATGAGTAAGTGTAGAAACAGATAAGTAAATTTAGCATTATTAGTTATCCTTCTTACTTTATCTCAGAATAGGGAATGTTGCAGACATTGAGATACCCAACAGGCTAAATGGTTTAATGAAACACACATAAACCATCACACACATACACACAAGTATAACATCTCTTAAATAGCAGATTGTATCTTTTAAAAATCCTAAAAAGACAGGGACGAATATGCTTAAATTTTCAAAAGACTGAAGGCAAAATTCAATCAAATTCATGTTAAGACTAGAAAATTTCAAACTTATAATGTAAGGGATGATTGCTTGGTTCTAGTTGTGAAAATAAGTTGGTCCTTCAGGCAGTTATGTTCTAGACCCAGCTCTAAAATCAAGCCCAGGTAGAGAGAGTTTGTAAATTAAAAGGTGACCCTTAGCCAACATTCATTCGGAAACTGTGGTGCCTCATAAACAATTTTATTGTATAGAAATCACTAAAAACCCAAAAAATTTACCTGTAATAAGTTAATTTACATTCCAATGAGATATGCATTTGGAGTTCAATAAATACAGATTAAACTGATATCCAGAGCTATGATTTGCTTAAGCATTGTCAGCACCTTTAGAGTTGTTAATCTGGTGTTATGGCATCTATAGTCAGTTGGTAGAACAACTCCACTAACAAAATATTAACTTATAATATTAAGAATAGACAGTAGGCCTTTATCACTAATACTTTTTAAACACGATCACTATAGCACTTTGCATTTGATTTAATCAAGGTGGATAGTGTGAAGGCTTGGAAATAATGAGTTAAAAGACCTAAATTTATGTTTGGAATGATTTTTTTTACTTGCTTTGCATGCTTTAGGAGAGTCATATGAAATCTGCATCTCAATTTCCTCATCAGTAAAATTGGAGTAATAGCCGCCCTTAAAGTTTACATATAAAATCATGAAAATGAAAACACTTGAATAAATGAAAATTTCTACTCAAATGTAAACCATCATGATTATCAGTTATGTTATCTGTGCTACATTTACTTTATTTTTTGATGCTGTATCCGACTTAGACAACAGCGCGACACAATTTGGATGCGACGCACACTAGATTATTTAGGAGAAAAGAAACGGCCACTATCATGACATTTTCTGTAACTGGGCCCTTTAAAATATCACTAACTTCTCTAATCAAGCAGTACAGTGAATTTCTTCACTTCTTCAATCTGGGATGGCCTTGTAACGCTTAAACCAATAAACAGCGGTGTTCTGATACATGATAAATAATCTGCTCTCCCCAAAAGTCTTGATTGGTAGCACTTGCTGATTTCTAAAATGTAAATATTCTCCCATGGCCAACTTCAAGGTACCTACATGTCCTCAGTGGATGCATAGTTGTGAAGAGATGTGTACTATCAGCTCTCATGGTTTGATACAGGATAGCACCAGTATGCTACTGCAAATAGAATGTGGTGGAAATGACAGTGTTCCACATCGACCCCAAACTTCAAGAGGTATTGACAGCTACTGCTCCCTCTCTTGGAACTCTGCCCAGCTGTCATGTGAATAAGCCCAGTAAAACATCCTACATGAAGAAAGACAGCTTACCCAATTACTCCCATTGCCCCAGCCAACAGTTGATCAGTCTCCAGTGCAGAGCCACCTAGCTGATTTACAGATGACTGCAAATTTATAAGGGAGCTTTAATACAACCAACAAGCTGAGCTCATCCCCAAATGTTAATCAGCAGAATGGTATATTAATAAATATTTGTTGCCTTAAGCCGCTGAATTTTTTTGTGTTTTTTTACACATCAATAGATACCCACACATATATTATTGAATATTATTTCATAGCAATGGGGATCAGTTTCTTGTACTCTTTGATCTTGGGAATAATTTATCGATAAAATATATATGTATATGAGCTGCGAGCATATTTTGAGTACTGACATAGATATTTAAACCTGAAATCCATCTTTCAGCTTGAACATACTGATAATAGAATACTTACCAGTTATATATTTCTGTTGAATATTTTGATGTAAAATATAAACGACTAAAAAATACTAAAGATCAAATAAAATATACTAATAAAGAACATCACATAGAGCAACACTCTTAATTTTTTGTATCCTCTTTCCAACCCTAAGAGTTGACAACTGGATGTGATAACCACTCTACCCAAAGGTATAAATGGAACCTTTTAAAATAATGAATAATTAAAAACTAACTCTATAACCAAACCAAGCATATGTCTCCATGGAGCTTTCCAAGCGCAAATGCTTAAAAAAGAAAATATTCAATTTTTCTTTATAAGGTACACATTTAAAAATAGACAAAAGTGTACTTTTGCTTTTTTATTCCTGGAGTTATATAATTTACAAAAATGTTTAGAAAGATTTTATACTGTGCTGCCAAGCTAATTTCAGAGATTCTAAATTTGGTGGACTTTTGTTCCAAAGAGTTAAAATTACCTGATATAGAACTAATTTCTAATCATTATCTTTTTCTTCTCTAGCATAGTGACCTTGTAAGGAAAGACGTTTTAAAAAAATTATAAAGGTAGTTTCTCTCCCATATACTAGAAATGCTAAATGATATTGCCACTTAAAACCAACTGGTTCAAAGTAAATACCATTGTTTATACACATCCAACAAATTGTGCCTCTACTCATAGACCTGATGGAGCCGTGTAACATAAGTAGCCAATTAGAGGCAAGATGTCGACACTGAATGAACTTTTTTGGGTTACACTGTGTATAATTACCTAACCATTTATTCATAACATTAACTGAGTGATAACTTAGTAGTAACGGTAAGCAATTCCTTTTAATAAAATATGTAATGATATGATGACATGGATTAGTCATATTAGGTATTGTTTTAATTTATTTTCACACTGCTATAAATATACTACAGACTGGGTAATTTATAAAGAAACGAAGTTTAATTGACTCAAAATTCTACATGGCTAGGGAGGCCTCAGGAAACTTAAAATTATGGCAGAAAGCACAGGGGAAGGCAGGCACGTTTTACATTGAAGCAGGAGAGAGAGGGCACAGGGGAAACTGCCACTTTTACATCATCAAATATCATAAGAATTCCCCCACTATCATGAGAACAGCATGGAGGAAAACTGTCTCCATGATTCAATCACCTCCCACCAGGTCCCTTCCTAGACACATGGGGATTACAATTTGAAATGAGATTTGGTTGGGTACATAGAGCCCATCCATATCATTCTGCCTGTGGCCCCTCGTATATCTCATGTCATTTTCTTATTTCAAAACCAATCATGCTTTCCCAACAGTCCCCCAAAGTCTTAACTCATTTCAGCCTAAACTCATAAGTTCAAGTCCAAAGCCTCATCTGAGACAAGGGAAGTTCCTTTCACCTAAGCACCTGTAAAATCAAAAGAAAGTTAATTACTTCCAAGATACAATGGGGATATAGGCATTGGATTAATGTTCCCATTCCAAATGGGAGAAATTGGCCAAAACAAAGGGATCGCAGGCCCCATGCAAGTCTAGAAGCCCGGCTGGGCAGTCATCAAATCTTAAAGAAGCTCCAAAATCTCCTTTGACTTCATGTCTTACATCCAAGGCATGCTAATGCAAAGGGTGGCCTCCGAGGCCTTCAGCAGCTCTGCCCCTGTGGCTCTGCAGGGTACAGATCTTGTGGCTGCTTTCATGGGCTGGCACTGAGTGCCTGCAGCTTTTACAGGTGCAAGGTGCAAGCTGTCAGTGGATCTGCCATTCTAGGGTCTTGAGGACAATGGCCCTCTTCTCACAGCTCTACTATGCAGTGCCCCAGTGGGAACCATGTGTGGGGGGCTCTGATCCCATATTTTCTTTCTGCACTGCCCTAGCAGAGGTTCTCCGTGAGGGCGCTGCCCCTGCAACAAACTTCTGCCTGGACATCCAGGTATTTCCATACATCCTCTGAAATCTAGGTGGAGGTTCCCAATCCTCAACTCTTGTCTTCTATGCACCCACAGGCCCAGTGCCAGAGGGAAGCTGGCAATGGTTGGGGTTTGCACCCTCTGAAGCCACGGCCACAGCTGTACCATGGCCATTTTAACCATGGCTGGAGCTGGATTGGCTGGGTGGGACAGAGGGTACCATGTCGCAAGGGTGCACAGAGCAGCAGAACCCTGGGCCCAGCACACAAAACTATTTTTCTGTTCTAGGCTTCCAGACCTGTGATGGGAGGGGCTGTTATAAAGAACTCTGAGATTGCCTGGAGATGTTTTCCCCATTGTCTTGGAAATTAACATTAGGCTTCTCATTACTTATGCAAATTCCTGCAGCTGGCTTGAATTTCTTTCCAGAAAACAGCTTTTTTTTTTTTCCTTTCTACCTCATGATCAGGCTGCAAATCTTTGAAACTTTTATGCTCTGCTTCCCTGTTAAATAAAAGTTTCAACATCAAACCATCTCTTTGTGGGCACATATAAGTGTATACTTTCAGGAAAAGCCAGGTCCCCTCTTGAATGCTTTGCTGCTTAAAAATTTCTTCTGTCAGATACCCTAAATCATCTCTCTCAAATTCAAAGTTCCACAAATCTCTACAGCAGGAGCAAAATGCCACCAGTTTCTTTGCTAAAGCATAGCAAGAGTGACCTTTGCTCCAGTTCTCAACAATTTCCTCATCTCCACCTAAGACCACTACAACCTGGACTTCACTGTCTATAACACTATCAGCATTTTGATCAGAACCATTCAACAAGTCTGTAGGAGGTTCCCAACATTCCCACATCTTCCTGTCTTCTGAGCCATCCAAACTGTTCCAATCTCTGCGCATTACTCAGTTCCAAAGTTGCTTCCACATTTTCGTGTTATCTTTACACCAGTACCCCACTCTGCTCTGGTATCATTTTTCTTTATTTGTTCATTTTCCCACTGCTCTAAAGATACTACACACTGGGCAATTTGTAAAGGAAAGAGGTTTAATTTACTCACAGTTCCACATGGCTGGGGAGGCCTCAGGAAACTTACAATCATGGTGGAAGGGCAGGCTAGGCACCTCTTACACGCTGGCAGGAGAGAGAGAGAGCAGAAGGGAAACTGCCACTTTTAAACCATCAGATCTCATGAGGACTCCCTCACTGTCATGAGAACAGCATGGGGGAAACTACCCTCATGATTCAGTCACCTCCCACCAGGTCCCTCCCTTGACACATGGGGTTTACAATTCGAGATGACATTTGGGTGTGAACACAGAGCCAAACCATATGAGATATTGTTTATAATTTATAACACCAGGTCAGGTCAACCGGACATCTAGAGAACTTTGGCTATGTGAGTACTACTTTATTGTAATCATGGCTAAATAATATGCTTTGTCCAATAGATTTTAATTTGACTTTGCATGTACCTAAGAAACTCAAATACAAGATAGCAAGGACTCCCACAAAACAGTTTTAATAATCTATGGTGAGGATAAATGGAGTCATCTATCAGAGATACCTAGACCTATTCTGAGTAATATTCAAATTTATTCTGGGTTAAGTGACATTCTTGAGTATCTATTATGTTCTAGGCATTGTACAGAGTGTCTTTCCACCTTCCATTTAGCAGAAACTCTGCTTGTCATATTACAGATGAAGAAATTGTGGTTCAAAGAGTTAAGTGTCCGCTAAGTTTAAGTATGGACACATTTATGGATCGCAGAAACTCGTCTGAATGATATCTTGCAGGCCTCTTTTCATTTACTGGCTGCTTTTTGTGTATGGGGGGAGTCCTAATGAAAATAAACATATGTAGATACTAATAATTTCCAAGCTAGAAAATAAATTGATCTAATCAGCAATCCATGTTCAGCAGATAATACAGGAAACTTTTTTCCTCTACAGAAAACCATGCCTATCATGCAATTACTTATATACTTAAAATGTATAGACTCCCCTATTCCATTTTTCACCATTAGAAAACCTTGAAGCAGAGAAAAAAATGGTAGATTGATATTTGACAGCTGCCTATAGAACAAATTTTTATTGAAAAATTATAATTTTTTTAATAAAAAATGTATCTGGGAATAATGAAAGCTTGATAGGTTTGGTGACTAAAATTTTTAGGCTAGTCATCAAAATTGCAAAAGAGTTTGTATATTTCTTGGAGTGCTCCCTAAAAACAGTTTATTTTGTCCTTCTGTTATGTTTCATTAGGAGGTGGACCAATGATTCAATAAATATGGCATTAATATCACCAATTGTTCCTCAGGCTACAGCTATGAATTCAAAGCAACAAGAATATGGTGAAGCCAAAAAACAAACAAACTTCTCTCTTCTGAGCGATCAGTGGGGATCACTGCTAAATAAATATGAATATAGACATTGACATGGATTGTGAGAGCAGCTGCAAAAGCTTGATAGATCTGCCTGGATGGCAACATGTAGCCTATGTCTGTGATACAAAATTCTGACTGAAAGTTACAAACTTTGGAAAGTATTCAGATGCTTTGTCAAAACAGCATCAACATTTCAAAATTCAGAAAACTTTTAATTGCTTACACTATTAGCCAACTTAGTCTCATGATCTTTAAGATAAAAGAGGAAGACAGAGTCCCAGTTTGATTGCCAGATATATGTAACCACAATACCCTATTGTTGATACATACCAGCTTCCATTACAAGGCTTAGCAGTTACACAACGGTCAGTAAGGAAGGGCAGTTATTTATCTCAATACAGAGAACAATGTGTGACTGCTAAGCAGTACAGGCCACAATTCTACCAGATGAAAAGCCTACTTGCATAGTAAGTATAAGATTGTTTTATCCGGTAACCTTAATTCTGAACTCCATGCAGTTAGCACAGAGATTCTGCTCTCAGATGCCTGTTGAAATAAATTGACTAGTAAAACAGAATTTGAAGATACTGTCAGAAATAGAAGGTAGCACTTCCTCTGGGTGATTTTTCTTTCCAGCAGGTCATCTGACACAGTTAGGAGTAGTTTTATTAATTCTGAGTTGATCTTAGTGTACTACAGCTGACTTGTTCCGACGAAAAGTAAATAGCTGGGTCAGCTTTGGTCAGGTATAGCCAGGAACCTAGAAATGTCTGTTTTTACCATTCAGGTGGCTCTCTTCTAAAAGTAGTATGACAGACACCAAATATTTTTAAAGGTGAAATATTTTCCAAAGAAAACATCCGACTCTCCATTGCTCTTGTAATAAAATCCAGAGTCTTTATCATGACTGACACGACCTATATTATCTGATCTCTGCCCCCATTTCCAGCCACATTTTCTGTCATTCTCTCTGCCCCTTCGTTCAGTCATATCCGTGGAGAGGCCTTTTTTAGAATCCCCAGAATCCTGTCTCTTACAATTAAATTATCCTGTATGACTTTGAACTTCCCCTTTGGTAATGTTTCCACTTTTTTTTTTTAACATCCACCTCCCCCACTAGATTGTAACTTCCTTAAGGGCTTAAATGATTTCTCATTTACCATTTTGTCCATAGCAAATAGCACATTGCTTGGATTGTAGCAGTCCCCTTGGTAAAAATTTATTAAAATCATGAATAAATGAATAAATCCATGAAGAATTTACTGAGTAAAGTTGGGTTCTGCTTTATGTTCAGGACAAACAAAAATATAGGGTGATAAACCATCCTGGTTTGCCTGAAACTGAGAGGGATCCCAGAATGTGGGTCTTTCAGTTTTAAAGCTGGGACAGTCCCAGGTACTCGCAGATGAATTGGTCACACATGTAGTGACCATGGCTTTCTGAGAATAGAAATGTGCAATAGTCAATCAGATTTTGTACACACATTTCTCATGTTTCTTCCTGATTGCCTGCCCATACAAAAAGAGAAAAAAAATGTTTTTTCCTCGACAGCAGATATTATGAGGCCTGAGCTTCCGAAATAATTGGATATAACCTCATCATTTCCTCTTCCTCTTAGCTGAATTACAATAAATATTAGTGATTTTCTGTCTTATAGTGGATTCATCTCAATGGTTTTATAGTGGATTCATCTCAATGCTCTGGTTTTATAAAAATCTGGGCTTAGGACCAATTCTTTTTTGTTGTTGTTTATTTGGCCTCAGGTGATCTGCGCTCTTCAGCCTCCCAAAGTGCTGGGATTATAGGCATGAGCCATCACGCCCAGCTGGGACAAATTATTATTGCATATCCACACTTACATGTCTCCTAAAATATTAAAAATTATAAAAACTCGTCTTACAAATGGGTTGAAATGATAATAGATTTTGATTCTAGAAAGAAAAGCTATGTGGATCAATATACAAAATTATTTCATAAAATCTTCTTGTGAGTGAAAATAAGGCAAAAATAAGACAAAATAAATGATAATGACTTCAAGCACCTTATTAATTTTACAGGTTCTCATAGAATGACAATAAATATCCTGAGGTATATGTTCTGAAATTGGCTAAATTACACTTAACTTATAATATTAATTCACTTAAAAACACCTTTATTTTTACTATAAAAAGCATTACTTGGAAGGATTTTATATTTTTAAAAATTTTCTCCAGTATGTGGTGTATGATACGTTCCAATAGCTATTGTGGCTTAAATTAAAGGATTAGATTAGTTATATTAGTTATATTAGTTAGTGTAAGGCAAAGTAATTCTTTTTTAACTTTATTTCAGGTTTGGGCATATATGTGCAGGTTTTTCCTATAGGTAAACTTGTGTCACAGGGATTTGTTGTACAGATTATATCATCACCCAGGTACTAAACCCAGTACCCAATAGTTACTTTTTCTGCTCCTCTCCCTCCTCCCACCTGCCATCCTCACGTAGGCCCCAGTGTCTGTTGTTCCTCTCTTTGTGTTTGTCTGTTCTCTTCATTTAGCTCCCAATTAGAAGTGAGAACATGCAGTGTTTGGTTGTCTGTTCCTGCTTAAGTCTGCTAAGGATGATGGCCTCTAGCTCCATCAATGTTTCCACAGAAGACACAATCTTGTTCTTCTTTATGGCTGCATAGTATTCCATGAGGTATATTTCCCACATTTTTGTTACTCAATCTGTCATTGATGGGCATTTAGGTTGATTCCATGTCTTTGCAATTATGAATAGAGTTGCAATGAACATTGGTGTCCTTATGCTGCTGCTTTGGTTACTGTAGCCCTGCAATATACCTCCAGCTTTGATGATTTTGCTTAGGATTGCCTTGACTATTCAGGTTCCTTTTTGGTTCCATATGAATTTTAAAATAGTTTTTTTCTAGTTCTGTGAAGAACGTCATTGGTAGTTTGATAGGAGTAGCATTGAATCTGTAAATTGCTTTGGGCAGTCTGGCCATTTTAATGATAATTGATTCTTACTGTCCATGAGCATGGGATGTTTTTCCATTTATTTGTGTTTTCTCTGACTTCTTTGAGCAGTGTTTTGTAATTCTCATTGTAGAGATCTTTTACTTCCTTGGTTACCTGTATTTCTTGGTATATTTTATTCTTTTCCTGGCTATTGTGAATGAGATTGCATTTCTAATTTGGCTCTCAGCTTTGCTGTTGTTGGTGTATAGAAATGCTAGTAATGTTTCTACATTGATTTGATATCCTGAAACTTAGTTGAAGTTGTATATCAGCTGAAGGACTTTTTGGCCAAGAATATGGGGTTTTCTAGTTATAGAATCACATCTTCTGAAAAGAGGGATAGTCTGACTTCCTCTCTTCCTACTTGGATGCTGTTTATTTTTCTTTTCTCTTGCCTGATTGCTCTGGCAAGCACTGCCTGTAATATAGCAATATAGTGAATAGGTATGTTTCCCCAATACCTAATTTACTGAGAGTTTTTAACATGAAGAGATGTTGAATTTTATCAAAAAACTTTTCCACATTTATTGAGATAATCATGCCAGTTCTGTCTTTAGTTCTGTTTATGTGACGAATCACACTTACTGATTTCCATGTGTTGAACCAACCTTGCTTCCTGGAGATGAAGCCTACTTGATTTTGGTGGGTTAGCTTTTCGATGTGCTGGTGGATTTGATTTGCAAGTATTTTGTTGAGAATTTTTGCATCTGTTTTCATCAAGGATATTAGCCTGAAGTTTTTTGTTGTTGTTGTTGTGTCTCTGCCAGGTTTTAGTAACAGGATGAAGGTGGACTCAGAATAAGTTGGGAGAGGACACTCCTCCCTAAATTTTTAAAACAGTTTCAGTAGGAATTGTACCAGGTCTTCTTTGTACACCTGGTAGAATTTGGCTGTGAATTCATCTGGTCTTGGCCTTTTTTTGTTGGTAGACTATTTATGACTGATTCAATTTCAGAGCTCATTATTGGTCTGTTCATGAATCCATTTTTTCCTTGTTCAGTCGTGGGAGGGTGTATGTGTATAGGAATTCACATATCTCTTCTGTGTTTTCTAGTTTGTGTTCATAGCAGTAGTTTCCAATGGTAATTTTTATTTCTGTGGAGTCAGTGATAACATCCCCTTTGTCATTTCTCATTGTGTTTATTAAGATAGTCTCTCTTTATTTTTTATTAGTCTAGCCAGTAGTCTTTTTTTTATTTTCAAAAAACCAATCAATACCAACTCCTGTTTTCTTGATCTTTTGAATGGTTTTTTATGTCTCTGATTTTGGTTATTTCTTGTCTTCTGCTAGCTTTGAAGTTGATTTCTCCTTGCTTCTCCAATTCCTTCAATTGTGATGTTAGGTTGTTTATTTGAGATCTTTCTAACTTCTTGATGTTAGTTTTAGTGCTTTAATACTTGATGTTAGGTCTTTAGTGCTATGAATTTTCCTCTTAACACTGCCTTAGCTGTGTCCCAGAGATTCTGGTATGTTTTATTTTTATTCTCATTAGTTTCAAAGAACTTCTTTATTTCTGCCTTAATTTCAAAGTCATTCCAGAGCATGTTGTCTAATTTTCATATAATTGCATGGTTTTGAGCATTTTTTTTAGTCTTGACTTCTGTTTTTATTGTGCTGTCGTCCAAGAGAGAGTTTGGTATGATTTTCGTTCTTTTGCATTTGCTTAAGAGTGTTCTATTGTGTGGTCAGTCTTACAATATGTCAGTCTTGACTCTTACAATATGTCCAATTGTGTGGTCAATCTTACAATATGTGCCATGTGGCAATGAGAAAAATATACATTCTGTTGTTTTGGAGTGGAGAGTTCTGTAGAGGTCTATGTGATCCATTTAGTCCAATGTTGAGTTCAGGTTCTAAATATCTTTGTTAATTTTCTGCCTCAATAATCTGTCTAATACTCTCAGTGAAGTGTTGAAGTCTCCCATAATTATTGTGTGGGAGTCAAAGTCTCTTTGTAGATCTTTATAAAATTTATAAATATGTTTGTTACCATATTAGATGAATGTATATTTGGGATACTTACGTTTTCTTGTTGAACTGAAACCTTGACCCTTATGTAATCCCCTTCTTTGTCTTTTTTGATCTTTGTTGGTTTAAAATCTGTTTTGCCTGAAATTAGGATGGCAACCCTAAGTTGCATTTTTTTTCTGATTTCCATTTCTGTGGCAGAGTTTCCTCCATCTCTGTATTTTGAGCCCTTGGGTGTCATTACATGTGAGATGGGTCTCTTGAAGACAGTATACCATTGGGTCTTCCAGTATACCAGAGGGGAATTTAGCTGTCTTACACTCAAGGTTAGTATTGGTATGTGTGAATTTGATCCTGTTATTGTGTTGCTAGCTGGTTATTATGCTGGCTTTGTTATGTGGTTGTTTTATAGTATCACTGTTCTGTGTATTTAAGTGTGTTTTTGTATTGGCTGATAGTAGTCTTTTTTATCTATATATACTGCTGCTTTCGAGATCTCTTGTAAGGCAGGTCTGGTGGTAACAAAGTCCCTCACCATTTGTTTATTGAAAAAGGATCTTATTTTTCCTTTGCTTAGGAAGCTTAGTTTGGCTGGATGTGAAATTCTTGGTTGATAATTTTTTTTCCTTAAGAATATTGAATATAGGCCTCCAATATATTCTGGCTTATAGAGTTTAAGCTGAGAAGTCCACTGTTAGCCTGATAGGGCTCCCTTTGTAGGTGAACTGCCTTTTCTTCTATCTGCCTTTAACATTCTTTAATTTTGATCTGGAGAATCTGATGATTTTGTGTCTTGGGGATTATCTTCTTGTGTAGGAACTTGCAGTGATTTTCTGCATTTTCTGAATTTGACTATTAAGTTCTCTAGCAAGATTGGGAAAGTTTTCATGGATGATATCCTGAAATATGTTTTCCAAGTTATTTGCTTTCTCCCTATCTCTTTCTGGGATGCCAGTGATTCACAGATTTGGCCTCTTTACATAATCCAATATTTCTCAGAGTTGTTTTTTTTTTCTTTTCATTCTTTTTTTTTCTTTATTTTTGTCTGAATGTCTTATTTCAGTGAGCCAGTCTTCAAGGTCTGAGATTTGTTCCTCAGCTTGGTCTTTTCTGCTATTAATACTTATGATTGCATTGTGAAATCCTTATGGTGTGTTTTTCAGCTCTGTTAGATCAGTAAGGTTGTTTTCTAGACCAGCTATTTCATCTTTCAGCTCATGTATCATTTTATTTTGATTCTTAGTTCCCTTGAATTGGGTTTTGCCATTCTCCAGAGAAAAGTAATTCTATATCATTTTTAAAAATTTGTCATGTAGAGATGCAAAAGGTACATTTATACAATGAAAAGACACAAAATATTTAATTTTTACCTGTCAATTAAGCCATCAAGGATAAGTTACAATATGTTTTAGTTTGCATAGTAATTCTTTAAAAAAATCACAAGTTATCATTGAAAAAATAAATGGTAGCATAATCTAATAAATTTCCAAGAAGAGTTATATTCACGGTCATCCTATTTACTATTTTAAACTCAAAGCTTCATGAAGTAAATATCTACATGTTTTATTTGTCTTTTTAAGGCTATAATTCCACCAGATTTTAAAGCCAGAGAAACAAGAATAAATAATATATCCATATACTTCAAAGAACAATTGAATATATAAAAATATATAGATAAGAAAGCACCTTCTTCAAATAAAACATAGAAGCCAAATAAATATTTTTATAGTGCATCTTAAGAATAAAAGCAAATAGCTGCTAATAGTCCAGTAGCTAATCTTAACATTTAGTGGAAGGCAGAATTATTTGAAGAACATGTTGAAAATGTGCATGTCTCTTTCCACCCCAGAACCCCAAATCAAAATCCTTAGGGCTGGCCGAGCGTGGTGGCTCACCCCTGTAATCCCAGCACTTTGGGAGGCTGAGGCAGGTGGATCACCTGAGGTCAGGAGTTCGAGACCAGCCTGGGCAACATGGTGAAACCCCATCTCTACTAAAAATACAAAAATTAGCCAGGTGTGGTGGTGTCCCCTGAAATCCCAGCTACTCAGGAGGCTGAGGCCGGAGAATCACTTGAACCCGGGAGGCAGAGGTTGCAGTGAGCCAAGATCATGCCATCTCACTCCAGCCTGGGGACAAGAGCGAGACTTCATCTCAGGAAAAAAAAAAAAAATCCTTAAGGCTGCTACTCATGTGCACCCCTGGTCAAGCAACACTGCTCAATGTGGCAGTCTTGGCCTCTGAGGGAAAACAAAGTAAAACGAAACAAAACAAAAAACAGAACAGCAACAATAAAACAGTAAAAATACAAAAGAAAAAACAGATTGAACAGCAGGTTAGTAATGCATTTAAACCACCAAATTACTAGTTCATTCTTCTCTGCTCAGTGGTCTTTGTTGATCATCCTCAGAAAAGAAGTCCAGGATGGTGAAAACTAAGAAATCATTGTTATATGTAAAATTCAGAAGTATTTTGTGACCTAGAAAAAAGAGGCTTTAGAAATTGATGAAAGTTGACTCCCAATCACAGAGGATAAGACATGGAAATGGGAACAGTTAGAATGATGGAAAGCAAAGAAATATCCTAAAAAAAAAAGTAGGAGGACTGAGAAGAGCCCTTTTTTAGAATGATGAAACCTAACAAATATATTTGTAGAAATAAGAAAACAACAATAGGCAGGCAGGAAAGAAGGGATAAGAAAGTCAGGGAAGGAGAGAATAAAGGAGGGGGCGAGTGAGAGAGAGAGAAAAAGACACAGAGAGAGATAAGTGATGCAGAATGGAAGGGGATTCTGAAAGTTTGAAATACACCTTGAAGTCAGGCTCTATCACCGTGAATGAATGTGAATAGTCACACATGTACCTGCACATACACAGAAAACTACATAAAGGTGAATCAATGAATAACATGCATAAATTTTTCAAGGTTAATGGACCTCAAACTTAAGCTCACATAAAAAAAAATCTGAAGAATGTAATGAAATATAGAAAGTCTGAAACACATTTTACAAAATGACATTTCAATAATCCCAAAGAATAATTATTAAAACACAGTATGTATTAGATTAAATCTTAAAATATTTCTTCTTTCAGTTTACTCACACTCCTTTTTGCTGCTTTGTTTCCCCAAGAAAAATAGTGTTTACCGTGCAGTTTGTCGAGGTTACTATTATCACATGAGCTGATTCCAAGGACTGTAAATAACCTAGAAAATGTTTGAAAAAACTGTCAGACTACCTCCTAACTAATGTGTTACCAGGGTCCCTAAAATCAAAATCAGGCTACCTGAGTATTTAAGAATCTGTATAGTCCTTTGGTTATTGAGGTCATGTTCCATGATAGTTAATTTATAATTTAAATGTTAATGAATTTTGGCATAAATTCCTAAACTTAGATAATAGATGTCAGGTTTTCTCATTTCTATATTTTCATGGTAATGCATTCCTGCTTCCTGTGTTCAAATGGTGATGGAAAATGTGCCTTGAGGCACTCTGAAATACATCAGAACTGAATTCACTTGGCAGTTTAATCATAAATAATAAGAAAATTAATGTTTCACAAAATAATACCATTGGCAAGCATTGTTTATCCCTACCAAGTTTATCTTAGTGCTTCTTTTTCGCTACCTCAGTTATTCCCAAAGTCTTCTCAAAAATATCTTATTATTTAAAATAATTTCCATTTCCATAATGTGCCTTCCCAAAAACAATTGAAGTAGAGAAATGACTTTGAAATGTTAACTACTTTTTAAATATTATAACCCTCTGAT
The DNA here is from genome assembly GCF_000001405.40 of Homo sapiens. Lineage (NCBI taxonomy): Eukaryota > Metazoa > Chordata > Mammalia > Primates > Hominidae > Homo > Homo sapiens. The sequence continues at coordinate 143,387,469 of NC_000023.11, forward strand.
ATGGTTTGGCTCTGTGTCCCCACCCAAATTTCATGTTGAATTTTAATCCCCAATGTTGGGTGAGGGACCTGGTGGGAGATGATTAAGACATGGGGCCTGATTTTCCCTCTTGCTGTTCTTGTAATAGTGAGTGAGTTCTCATGAGAACTGGTCGTTTGAAAGTGTGTAACACTTCCTTCTTTCCTCTCTCTCTATCCTGCCGGCCATGTGAAGACCATGCCTGCTTTCTCTTCACCTTCCACCATGATTGGTAGTTTCCTGAGGCCTCCCCAGCCATGTCCCCTGTACAGCCTGTGGAACTGGGAGTAAGTTAAACCTCTTTTCTTTATAAACTACCCAGTCTCAGGTAGTTCTTTATAGCAATGTGAAAATGGACTAATACAGAAAATTGGTACCAGAGAGGTGGGACATTGCTATAATGATACCTGAAAATGTGGAAGCAGCTTTGGAACAATTTGGAGGGCTCAGAAGAAGACAGGGAAATGAGAGAAAGTTTGGAATGTCCTAGAGACTTATTGAATGGTTGTGACCAAAATGCTGAGAGTGATATGGCAGTAAAGTCCACATTGAGGTGGTCACAGATGGAGATGAGGAACTTATTGAGAACTGAAGTAAAGGTCACTCTTGCTGTGTTTTAGCAAAGAGACTGGCAGCATTTTGCCTCTGCTCTAGAGATCTGTAACACTTTGAACTTGAGAAAAATAATTTAGGGTACCTGGTGGAAGAAATTTTTAAGCATCAAAGTGTTCAAGATGTGGTCTGGCGGCTTCTAAGAGCCTATGTTCATTTGCATAAACAAAGAAATGACCTGAATCTATAACTTATATTTCAAAGGGAAGCAGAGCATAAAAGTTTAGAAAATTTGCAGGCTGCCCATGTGGCAGAAAAAGAAAAACCCATTTTCTGGGGAGGAATTCAAGCTTGCTGCAGAAATTTGCATAAGTAATGAGGAGCTCAAAATTATTAATACAATTGTTAATACACAAAACGATGGGGCAAATGTCTCCAGGGCATTTCAGATATCTTTATGGCAGCCCCTCCCATCACAAGCCTAGAAGCCTAGAACAGAAAAATGGTTTTGAGGGCCAGGCCCAGGGCCCTGCTGCTCTGTGCAGCTCACAACATGGCACCTTGTGTCCCAGCTGATATGGCTGTTGCTGTGGCTAAAAGGGGCCAAGGTACAGCTTGCAGCATCGCTTCACAGCGTGCAAGCCCCAAGCCTTGGCAGCATCCACATTGCATTTGTTCTGCAGGTATGGAGAAGGCAAATATTGAAGCTTAGGAGCCTCCACCTAGATTTCGGTGGATGTAAGGAAATGCCTTGGTGTCCAGACAGAAGTCTGCTGCAGAGGCAGAGCCCTCATGGAGAACCTCTACTAGGGCAGTGCAGAGGAGACATGTGGGTTTGAGCCCCAACACAGAGTTTCCACTGGGGCACTGCCTAGTGGAGCTGTGCAAAGAGGGCCACCATCCTCCAGACCCCAGAATGGTAGATCCACCAACATCTAACACCATGTGCCTCGAAGAGGTGCAGACACTCAATGACAGCCCATGAAAGCAGCCATGGTGGGAACTCTATCTATTCTACAGAGTCATGGGGATGGTGCTGCCCAAGGCCTTGGGAGACTACCCCTTGAATCAGCATGCCCTGGATATGAGACATGGAGTCAAAGGAGATTATTTTAGAGCTTTAAGATTTAATTACTGCCCTGCTGGGTTTTGGACTTGCATGGGGCCTGTATCCCCTGTGTTTTGGCCAATTTCTCCCTTTTGGAATGGGAGCATTTACCCAATGCCTGTACCCCTGTTGTACCTTGGAAATAACTAACTTGTTTTTATTTTACCGGCTTATAGGCAGAAGGGACTTGCCTTGTCTCAGTTGAGACTTTGGACTTGAACTTTTGAGTTAATGCTAGAATGAGTTAAGACTTTTGGGGACAGTTGGGAAGACATGATTGTGTTTTAAAATATAAGAAGGACATGAGACTTGGGAGAGGCCAGGGGTGGAATAATATAATTTGGCTCTATGTCCCCACCTAAATCTCACGTTGAATTGTAATCCCAATGTTGGGGGAGGGACCTGGTGGTAGGTTATTGGATCATGTGGGCAGATATCCCCCTTGTTGTTCTCATGAAAGTGAGTGAGTTCTCATGAGATCTGACTGTTTGAAAGTATGTAGCAATTCCTCCTTCTGTCTCTCTCTCTCCTGTTCTGGCCATGTAAAGACTACTCCTGCTTTCCCTTCACCTTCTTCCATGATTGTAAGTTTTCCAAGGCCTCCGCAACCATGCTTCTTGTACAGCCTGTAGAATTGTGAGTCAATTTAAACTTTTTGCTTTATAAATTACCCAGTGTCAGATGTGTCTTTATAGCAGTGTGAGAATGGACTACTATAATGCCAGTATTTTTTTTTTATTCTCTAACGTACCCCTCTATCACCTCTAAATTTGGGCAACTAGAACAAAGAAGAGGGTTTACCACAGGACATGAAGGACAAAGAAGTCAGTTCTTAGTCTCTGAGATTCAGAAGAAAGACATTGGCCTACACAGAATATTTAGGTAGACGTCCCTTGGCATTGTCAATTCATCTGCCTGCAGAGGACGTGTTTCAAAAGGTAAGATTCAAAGACAGCTTAGACTGGGGAGATTGGTGGATGAATAGGAAAGGCACAACGCCTAGAAAACCAAAAAGACTGAAGTGTTCGTGAGGACAGAAAAGAGGAGAATAGTCAAACAGAAAAGAGGATAGGTCAATAGATGCCATTGTTTGGAAGAGTGCAAGAATGAGGAGAAGATGCACATCTCATCCGCAATTTCTTGACACAACATAAACTCTACAGAACTTAAAGAAATGGGGGGTCCCAAATTGACTAAATTTTAATCACTTTGCAGAATAGTGTTCACACTAAAAGAAGTTCTAAAAAACTAAAAAAAAGCTAACCTTTTTTTGTGAAATGAAGACTGTATTAAAATCCAGATGGGGGCCGGACACAGTGGCTCACACCTGTAATCCCAGCACTTTGGGAGGCCAAGGTGGGTGGATCTCCTGAGGTCAGGAGTCCTAGACGAGCCTTGCCAACACTGCGAAACCCCATCTCTATTAAAAATACAAAAATTGCCAGGTGTGGTGGCGCATGCCTGCAATCCCAGCTACTTGGAGGCTGAGGCAGGAGAATTGCTTGAACGTGGGAGGCAGAAGTTTCAGTGAGCCCAGATCCTGCCACTGCACTCCAGCCTGGGTAACAGAGTGAGACTCCGTCAAAAAAAAAAAAAAAAAAGAAGAAAGAAAGAACGGAGGGAGAGAGGGAGGAAGGAAGGAAGGAAGGAAGGGAGGGAGGGAGGGAGGGAGGGAGGAAGGGAGGGAGGGAAAAAAATCCAGATGAAAATATTTCAAAAATTCTTAGATCAAAAATGCACATAAGCATGCAGCCCAAGTGTTCTAAGACTTCTCTAATGGCAGACTTTAATAATTATCTTAGATAAGTGTTTTGTTTATAAATCATAAATTTTTAAATAAAAGATTTTTTAAAAGGTAAATATCCATTATATTTTACATCCCTTTGTAACTTGAATTCATGACTCAACACTTGTAACTGAAGTGAAAGGTTGGTGGTTGTGAAGAACAAATGGACTTACTAACACAAAAACTTAACTTAAAAACAGCTTAAATCAGTTACAGAATTTCCTTTATTTCTTTTTATCTTACAAATACTTCATTGTTTTTAACTTTTACTTCAGATTTAGGGGGTACATGTTTGATTTGTTACCTGTTATATTGCATGCTGCTGAGGTTTGGTATATAAATGATTTCATCATGCAAGTATAAATTATTCCATCATGCAGGTACTAAGCATGGTACCCAAGAGATAAATCTTCAACCCTTGCCCCCCTCCCCCACTCCCACCTCTCGTAGTCTCCAGTGTCTATTGTTGCCATTTTATGTCCATGAGTACCTAAGGTTTAGCCCCCACTTATAAGTGAGGACCAGTGGTATTTGATTTCGTGTTCCTCTGTCAATTCACCTGGGATAATGGCCTCCTGCTGCACCCATGTTGTTGCAAAGGACATTATTACTTTTTTTTGGTATGGTTACACAGTATTTTGTGGTGTAAATGTGCCACCATTTCTTTATTCAATCCACTATTAATGGGCACCTATGTTGAGTCCATGTCTTTGCTATCGTGACTAATGCTGCAATGAACATGTGAGAGCATGTGTCTTTTTGGTAGAATAATTTATTTTCTTACAAGTATATACCAGGTAATGGAATTGCTGTGTCAAATGGTAGTTCTGTTTGAAGTTCTTTTTGTCACCTATTTTTAATGTATTTTAAAAATTTCAGTAGCTTTTGGTGAAGTGGTTTTTGGTTACATGGATGAATTATATAGCGGTGAATTCTGAAATATTAGTCCACCCATCACCCAAGTAGTATGTATTGTTGTATCCAATATATAGTTTTTTAATCCTACAGCCCCCTTCCAACCTTCCCCTTCTGAATCTCTAAAGTTCATTATATCACTCTGTATGCCTTTGCATACTCATAGTTTAGCTCCCACTTATAATGGGAACATATGGGTATTTGGCTTTTTATTCCCGAGTCACTTCACATATAATACTTGCTTCCAGCTCCATCTAAGTTGCTGAAAAAGACATTATTTTATTCCTTTTCATGGCTGAGTAGTATTCCATGGTGTATATATACCACAATTTCTTTATCCACACATTGGTTGATGGGCATTTAGGTTGGTTCTATATCTTTGGAATTGTGAATTGGGCTGCAATAAACATATCTATGTATACATCTTTTTCATATAATGACTTCATTTCCTTTGGGAAGATACCCAGTAGTGGAATTGCTGGATTGAATTGTGGGTCTACTTTTAGTCATTTAAAGAATCTTCATACCATTTTTCATAGAGTTCATACTAATTGACATTTCCCCCAGCAGTGTATAAGCGTTCCACTTTCTCCATGCCCAATGAAACATCTATCATTTTTGGACTTTTTAATACTGCTCATTCTTGCAGGAGTAAGGTAGTATCTCATCGTGATTTTAATTGACATTATCCTGATCATCAGTGATGTTGAGTATATTTTCATATGTTTGTTGACCATTTGTATATCTACTTTTGAGAAATGTTTATTTGTGTAATTTACCCACTTTTGGAGGAGATTACTTGTTTTTTTCTTGCTAATTTATTTGAGCACCTTGTAAATTCTGAATTATAGTCCTTTGTCAGATGTATAATTTGCAAATGTTTTCTCCCATTCTGTTGGTTGTCTGTTTACTCTGATTATTTCTTTTGCTGTGAAGAAGTTTTTAAATTTTATCAGGTCTTATTTATTTTTGTTTTTGTTGCATTTGCCTTTGGGGGTCTTAGTCATTAATTTTTTGCTTAGGCAATTATCCAGAAGATTTTTTTCAAGGTTATCTTGCAGAATTTTTCTAGAATTCAGGACTTAGATTTAAGTATTTGTTTGATTTTGTGTTGGTTTTTTATAAGGTGAGAGATAAAGATCTACATTTACTCTTCTCCATATGGCTAGACAGTCCTACCAGCGCCATTTATTAAATAGAGCCTCCTTTTCCTAATTTCTGTTTTTGTATACTTTCTCAAAGATCAGTTATTTGTAAGTATTTGGCTTCATTTCTGAGTTCTCTATTCTGTTGCAAAGGTGTATCTGCCTACTGTTCTGCCAGTACCATGCTGTTTTGGTAACTATACACTAGAGTAGTATAACTTAAGTTCTGGTAATGTGATACCTTCAGATTTGTTCTTTTTACTCAGGATTGCTTTGGCTACTTGGGCTCTTTTTTTATTCCTTATGAATTTTAGGATAGTTTTTTTCCTATTTTTATGAAAAATGGTGTTGGTATTTTGATGGGAATTGCATTGAATCTGTAGATTGCTTTGGGCATTATGGTCATTTTTACAATATTGATTCTTTCAATCCATGAGCATTTGGAGGGTTTCCATTCGTTTGTGTAACCTGTAATTTATTTCAGCAATATTTTGTAGTTTTCCTTGTAGAGATCTTTCACCTCCTTTGTTAAGTATATTTCTAGGTATTTTAGTTTCCTGCAGCTGTTTTAAAATGGATTGAGTTGTTGATTTGATTCCCAGTTTTGTCATTGGTGTATAGCAGTGCTACTGATTTCTGTACAATGATTTTGTAAACTGACTTTACTGAATTTGTTCATCAAATCTAGAAGTGTTTTGGAGGAATCTTTAGGGTTTTCTGGGTGTATAATTATATCATCAAAGAACAGTAATAGTTTAGCTTTCTATTTTCCAGTTCGGATGCCCTTAGTTTCTTTCTTTTGCATAGTTGTTTTGGCTAGGACTTCCCATACTATGTTGAATAGAAGTGGCAAAAGTGGGCATCCTTGGCTTATTCCAGTTCTCAGGGGAATGCTTTCAATGTTTTCCCAATCTGTATAGTGTTGGCTATAGGTTCGTCTATATGGCTTTTATTATACTGAGGTAGGTCCCTTCTATTCCTAGTTTGTTGAGGGTTTTTATCATAAAGGGATGCTGGATTTTATTGAATGCTTATTTTGTATCTGTTGAGATGACCACTTTTTTGTTTTTAATTCTGTTTATGTGGTGTATCACATTTACTGACTTGTATATGTTAAACCATCCTTGCCTCTCTGAAATGAAACCCACTTGATCGTGATGCATTATCTTGGTGTGCTGTTGGATTCAGTTAGCTAGTATTTTGTTGAAGATTTTCGCATCTATGTTCATTAGGAATATTGGTCTGCAGTTTTTCGGGTTTTTTGTTGTTGTTGTTACATCCCTTCCTGGTTTTGGTGTCAGGGTGATACTGGCTTCATAGAATGACTTAGGGAGGATTCTCTCATTTCAATCTTTTGGAATAGTTTTCATACGACCAGTACCAATTCTTTTTTGAATGTCTTTTGGAATTTAGCTATAAGTCTATTGAGAAAAATGAGATGTGGCATTAGATTATTAATTTGAGATCTCAACGTTTTGAGGTAGGCGTTTAATACTACAAACTTTCCTCTTCACACCACTTTTGCTGCATCCCAGAGATTTTGGTGTGCTGAGTCTCTATTTTTATTTCAATTTTAAAAAATGTATGCTTTGATTTAATTGTTTACTTAAAAGTCATCCAGGAACAAGTTGCTTAATTTTCCTGTAATTGTGTGGTTTTGACAGATCTTCTTGGTATTAATTTCTATCTTTATTTCACTGTTGTCTGAGAGTATTGCTGGCATAATTTTGATTTTTTTGAATTTATTAAAACTCGTTTTATGGATGAGCATGGTGTTGATCTTGGAATATTTTCCATGTGCAGATGAGAAGAATGTATATTCTGTTTTTAATGGGAACCATAGAAAATGGTTCTGTGGTTTTAACTCAGGTTTTTAAAATATGCTCTATGAATTTGCCTAAGTAACAAAGCCTAGCTTTATAAAAGATAAGATGGTTATGGTTTCAAGTCCTTTATTCCTAATGATGTTCATTACATGCATTATTTTATTACCTGCTAGGAAACAATTTGTGACTAACAAATCATTCCACGATAAATAACACATTTGAATAGCAGTTAACAAACCCTGGATCAGATGCAAATGATTACATTTTATTCCTTATAGTCATCACTTTTCTAAGTCACTTTCCATATCCACTGCCTTAATAGGGTTCAGTGGAATCCCTGGGGACCTGTAGAACATATCTGAAAAATAAGATCTCTAAGTTATACTTTTAAAAATTAGTAAAATATTTTCAAGTTCATACCATAACTCAAATTAGAAAAAGTGTTTCCTTGTATAGGTCCCTTGGGGAATATATAAGATTATATATAATAATTCTTTTGACGGATGACTTTATACAAAGAGCTACTTTGAGAGTGTCCAAGAATACTGGAAGCAATCTGGTCTCTTAAACAATCTAAGTACCACCTCTTCTGCCCGATTACTAAGCTAACTTTTTCTTATTTAAATAACATCAGCTCAAACATTTTCTAAAATGATTGTTGTGCTTTTGTAGCCCAAAGAGACAGTTTTCTCCGCTTATATTTAGAGCAGATCTTACATTTAGAACTAGACTACATGATTAGCTACACTTAACTCAGCTTAAATTGCCTCTCTTTCAAGAGCTGTAAATTAATACTTAGCTAACTTTAAGGTTAGTATATTCACAGTCTAAAATTAGACTCTATAACTCCTTGGTATATCCATAGGTGGAACAAAAACGACAAAAACATAACAGGTTTAGTTCAAAGCCTACTATACAGTTGTCTGGTTAAGGGTACCTACAGGAAATAGTTTTTCTTCTTTAGGCAGTAAGGAGACAGAAACTTCCCTGGAGGCTGGCCACTTTATCAAGGATGTAGCAATGGAGTGTACAACTAGAATTATTTGATAATAAAACCTAGTAACTATTCCTGATCCCTATGGACTATCAGAACAATGATATATATCATCCAGTTTTTTATTTTAAATTGGCAAAATGTCACCTCTGTTCTCCACTCCCCATGGCATAAATATAAGCTGACAGCAACAACTTCTTTCCCTTTTCTCTCTCTCATTTTGCCCTTTTCAACCCTACTATCTCCTGATATTCTTCTGTCAGAAAAGGCCATTTTCATTCATGGCTCCACATAGCTACCTGCAGCAACATGTGCATTTTTATTGTTGCTCTTATTTAAACCAATCTGTCAAAAAGTTAATTAGCGATTTTATAACTGGACTTGCAGTCACAGCCACACTGCTTCTCTGAGGAACTTTGCCCTTTTTTTCTGAACATTAAAAGCATAATTTGACTATACAGAACAAAACATGTCCCATTTAAAACACATAAAAAAACAGCAGCTCCTCAATTTGATAAATTATAGCAAATCCCAAATTAGTGGAGAAAAACTAAGGATGGTGCGATGTTTTTGTGGGAAAGCAACAAGATTGTCGCATGAGCTGAGAGCCAGCCAGTCAAACCCAGTGTACAGCAGCCCTTGGTGGATTCATTCCCAGAGAAGGAGAGTGAGTTCAAGAGCACCTGGGAGAACTGTTGTCACTTCAGACAGCTTGAAAGACAGAGACAGCTAAATACCTCCAAATTAACACACAGCAGTCAGCTGCAATTTGTAGGACCTAAATGACAGTGTTCTTCAATCGTCTCCCATTTATTTCTCCAAATCCAAACCCTTTCTCATTCTCTGCAAAGCCATTCTTTGAATACAAGGAAATACCATAGCTGCACAGTGACTATTGAAAAGTGCCATCTTTTGCTAAATAAGTGAAATTGTACCCACACCACGTCATTCAAATTCTTTGTGTGTATTGCTTCTGTATTAATGACAAACACACTTTTCTGATATTAGAAGAGAGTATTTTAATGAAGTATGAGTTCATCGATGAATGCCAGTATTTCATAGTCTTGGAGACTCAGTATTCTAAACTACAAGGTTTTCTGGATAACTGAAGACATATTACTTAAAAAGTAAATATTTGGCCGGGTGCAGTGGCTCATGCCTGTAATCCCAGCACTCTGGGAGGCCAAGATGGGTGGATCACCTGAGGTCAGGAGTTTGAGACCAGCCTGACCAACATAGTGAAACCCTCTCTACTAAAAATACAAAATTAGCTGGGCATGGTGGTTCATGCCTGTAATCTCAGCTACTTGGGATGCTGAGGCAGGAGAACCACTTAAACCCAGGAGGCAGAGGTTGCAGTGAGCCGAGATCGCACCATTGCACTCCAGCCTGGACAACAAGAGTGAAACTCCATCTCAAAAAAACAAAAGCAAATAAATAAAGATTTTATTTTAATCATTTAATATATAAATATTTCTAAAATAGGTTGTACTCATCCTTGCATTCATAAAATGAGAAGCTTTAAGGAAAGTTAATCATTTCCTATTGCTTTAAGTATTGAATATGGATACCAGTTCTTACAATATAATTTGGGTTCCTCAGGCTATTGATACCTATATAGGATTATTTGTCCTAGATAGTTTTGAGGTATATTTTTATGTATTTCCTGCATTCTATTCTCCATCAACTATCACTATTACTTCATCCAGCATCTCAACCTTTAGAAATTTCATTTATTTCTAATTTGCAGTTTCCCATGCAGATTGGGTTTTGAAACATGATAACCCCCATTTATTAGTATTGTAGTTGAAATAAGATTTAAAGATAATCAGTATGGACAAGGGGAACTTCTACTATTAGTGAAGTTCATCAACTTTATTAGCTATCACAGCCTCTCTTTGGTCACTCCTAAGTGATTTTCCCTTAGTTATGAGCCCTTGGGTCCACACCATTGAAATTTCTGGTTTGGTGAATTATTATTGTGTTTTCATTCATTCATTACATTACAAAGATCAGGGAGTTTTTAGTTTGTTCCTTTGAGTTTTGCATTTATCATTCCAATAACTCCTTTGATCTATTAAACAAACAAGCATTAAGAAATGTGAGTCTTCTCTACACTGACATAATTCTTTACATTTGAAAACAAAATAGATAATTCTTGCAGAATATTAATGTTTAGAAAATGAGTTATGCACAGGCTTTTATTCCTTCTATTACTTTTTATCTAATCAAGAGCCATTGATCTCAATTAAGAAAGTGCATTTTGCTGGCAACTGCTTTTGTTATTTCTGAACTAGGATTTTTTTTCTTTAGTAACAACTCTCAATGGAAATTATTGAAAAAACCTAGCATTTTTAATTTTCTTGATATTCTTTCTATCCAGAATATTATCTTAAAATTGTATTAACTATGAAGCTTGTTATGTCATTATTTTACATGATTTCTCTCAAACTACAGGACTCTGTGTCTATAAATGATGCAAAACAGAATTAACATTTTATATCATCTTTTCTTAGGTTACTTTCAAATGGAAATAAATATTATTATGATTAAGATGGAACTAATTTTTGTATTATTGTCCAAGAGCCAGAAGGATGATGATATTGGTTTTCATTCCAGGAAATCTGATTATAAACTGCCCTTTTTTATAATGACCACTATACTCTCCTGTGTGTGTGTGTCGGGGCGGGGGGGCGCAGAGTGCGCATGCGTTGTGTTAGGGGGTGGGGGTTTGAGTTTTTATAGGAATTCTGCTATATAGCTGTACTTGGAGACAGAAGGTGTTATGTGGTAAAGAGCAGAGGTTTTGAAGACAGACATATCTGGACTCATATATCCACTGTCTTATGTATTAGCCGTGTAGCCTTGGGAAGGTTATGTGATCTCTCACAGCCTCACTTTTGTATCATCTGTGAAATGAGATAATAAAACAAACTCTTAAAGACTTTTTGGAAGACTGGAAATGATATGTCACACTGAATGCAGTTAATATATAGTAATTTTTATGGTCCTCATAATCTTTGTGTCTAACTGAGGAGTCAGCTAAAACCCAACTCAAACCTCAGCTGTTCAATTACTGGCTGTGTGATCTGGGACATGCTAAACTAAACATTCTGAAGCTAGGTTTAATCACCTGTAGCAAGTAGATGATACTTACCTCTTGAAGATTAACTGAGATCATGTTTGTAAAGTGTCTATGATGGTGCCTCACATTGGTTCAGCTCTATGAAACAGTTTTTATACTCTCTGTTGCATTCTTTAAGCCCCCTTTTGGTATCTTACTAGAAAAACAAAGATGTATCAGGACATTTTATGAGGATGGAAAAATATCATGGGTACACGGACTAAGTGGCTTATTTATTCACTCCAACACTCAAACCTTTCATGACATCCACCATGTGCCCATGCAAAGCACTTTGCGTGTTGTCAAGCTGCAGTGTTTAATTCAAAACATTTACTCACATTATGGGGGCTTTTCAAACATATGCAGATCACATTTCTGCTGTCATATCCTCAGCCCTTGGCAACTCTTTGTTTCATACACAAAATAATTTGGTTACACAACAGAAAACGGGACAGTGTCCAGCATAAGTTTAAATTTTTGAGTTTAAATAATCCCGTCTTGCAGGCAGGAATATTTATACTTACTAAAGTTTAATTTTATGTTATTAAGTGGTGGTGTCTATTTAGGACACCCATTAAATGGTTCAAGATCCAATAGTATAAAAAGGTACACTCCCTCCCATGTTCTGCAACTGTCTTCAGAAAAATAATATTACATTTTCCTATAATATTAGCTTTTAAGAGAACTTCAAAAAGTTTATACTAATTCCTCCCATTTCTCCATCCTCTGTATTATTTTTGAAAATAAGAAAATATTCCAATGATATAATATTATATTTTTAAATGAGTATGGAATGAACAGCGAATTACTGCATCTTAGCTAACACGAAGGAGCCAGGGAGATGGTAGATACTATTACATCTAGGTATTGACCATTGTTACACATATTTCAAAGGCTAAAGTCACCTAAGAATGTTTTAAGTGCTATGGCTTTTGAATGCATCAGAGATTTCCTCAGTGATTGGCCTCAAGAAATTAAAATAAACTCTGTGGCTGTGTAGGATGGTGCAAAATAAAGAAGTCACATAGCAAATATGCCCCAGAAAATAGACATTCTTCCAGCGAAGACATTTACCTTGGCTTCTAGGACAGTCTTGTGTTCATTCATTCGTTTAAAGAGAGTTCAATTTTGTCTCCATACATTTATTTAAAGGCACCTGATTAACTACTGTTTGCCCTCAAAAAGTTGGAATTACTTATTTTCAGAATTAGAGACTGGCCAACAGAATTGTAAGAAACAAATTGTTTCCTGCAACCATTTATCCTTTCTGAAGCTATTCACTGCTGGAAACTGTGTAGTATAATTAAGGTTTTAAGTGGCTCAAAGAGTTGAAATTACATGCTTTGGAGCCAGATAAAATGAATTTATATTTGGTTCCTTCACCTGTCAGCTGTACCTCACTAAGTCTCAATTTTCTCTGAGTAAAATTGGGATAATAATACCTATGTATGTCACTGTGGTGAGGATTAAAAGAAAATATCTAACACTGTAAGCCATTTATAAAATAGATAACACTAGAAAGCACCCAAAATTAAATTATTATTATTAATTGGTGAAGCAAATGAGCCTGAAGCAGATGAGCACTTGCTTTGAATGCTGCTGTATTCATGTCAATGCATTATGGTGATGCTGAACTCCTCAGAACCAACTGGCTGACATAAGTCAGCCACAGATTCAGCAACTCAAAGACTAGAGAGAAGTTTCAATGTGGGTTGAATAGTAGTTTATTTTTTATTTTTATATTTATTTATTTATTTGAGATGGAGTCTTGCTCTTGTCACCCAGGCTGGAATACAATGGCGCAATCTCAGCTCACTGTAACCTCCCCGTCCTGGGTTCAAGTGATGATCCTGCCTCAGCCTCCCAAGTAGCTGGGATTATAGGAGGCTGCCACCACACTCGGCTAATTTTTGTATTTTTAGTAGAGGCGGGGTTTCACCATGCTGGCCCGGCTGGTCTTGAACTCCTGACCTCAGGTGATCCACCTGCCTCGGCCTCCCAAAGAGTTGGGATTACAGGCGTGAGCCACAGTGCCCAGCTGAGTAGTAGTTTATTCAACAATGTGGATGATCCTTCTGTAGTGGCAAGGGGTAGGACAAAGGGAATATATTGAATGAGGTATACGGACTATTGGTCTTTAGGAGAAACCTTTTTGTTTTTTTCAGCATCTGACCATATTACTCTCCCCTCTAATTATGTTCTCTGCAGGACTGTGATAATATCCAACTCCTCTCCAATCAAAACCCCCTCCATTCCTGCCGTGTTATGAGTCTCTGACAATGGAGATTTTAATACATTTATTATACTGATCACTAAGAGAAGACTGGTCATGCAAAAAAAATTGCTGTCTCAATGCAAATGGTCAGCATGACAGCGCCTACCATACAAATGAGTGTGAAATGTGTAGGTCACGGGGCTCCCGTTCTCCTACAAACTTAATATATTGCTTTATGCTACATTGTCCCTCAGTGGCCCAAATAGTTTCAGTTCACTGAATATGAAAAGGACATTCATAAGCTTTGTGATGTTTATTCTCTTCATTCACTTAACAAAACATGTTAAGCAGATTGAGCATCCATGCCAAGTGTGTTTGTTTTCGTTTTACGTGACATGAGAGGTCACTCTTTATAAAGTCTTAAGAACATCCTAGTTTTGCATTGTCTTAAGTGAAGGACTCAGTCAAGTGGTGTCATTTGCCCACTGACTGTTTCTTATTTTTAAAAAAAAGTCTGACTTGTGACCACAATAATAGTGTACTAATTCGTCTGTAAAGTGACTTTTCCATAGACTGTACTTTAAAAAGTAGCATTTTTGTTTGTTTCACTCCTTTGAACGATTTTTGAACTGTGAGCTGGGTAATAGAAGAGGTTGCTTTCGCTTTTAAGTAAAAGAGCTTTCACTAATTTTAAATACTTTATATTGACTATAGAAGATCATTTTCTCATACCATACTGTATGATGATTTTGTTTCCTGTGAAATGGAATGCTTTATATGTGTGTGTGTGTGTGTGTGTGTGTGTGTGTGTGTGTACATAGACACGTATGCAGTGCTATGCAGGAGCTAGTTCTTAATTCTTCATGACACATGCTTGTATTTTTCCTAACTCTACATTCATATTGGTAGCTTGAAACTGGCCATGTTGAGAATACATATATATATATATATACTATGAAGATCAGCAAATGCTATGAATTATATTTCTCCACCTAAACCCTAAGCTAGTTGTTAGACATTTACAAGCACATTACCTATCCTTAACTTTAAAAATTTGTGAGGAAATGGCATATTGAAATCCACTAGATATTTGACATTTATCAATTTAGAGTTAGCTTTGCAACATATTTCCTAGGGATCTCTAATGCCCTAGATCAAAGAGGTAAGCGTCTGTGTATAGAAGGAAGTTAATTTACAGTCTTCTGCAACATTCTAGCTGCTCTTTTCATCTTCAACATAATATACTCTGATATCCATATTGTACAAATATTTAGCTGATGTAAATGTGATCTGAGTGGTAATATTCTACATTTGGTATTGCTCAGAGCAAGCGTGACTATCACAATAATAAGTAAAGTGCGTGTTACCATATCATTTGTGCTCAAATTGCAGAACTGCCTATAGCAAGGCTGCAGGAAAGAGACTTTCTAAACATCAGTAACAATTCAGAGAAAAAGTAAGAATAGGAATCTCAGCAGACAGCAAGATAAAGCAAGAACAAACAACAATTGTTTAACATCAGCCAATATATTTTCCACTGCTAATTCGTTGTCTAAGATCGGGGATGAGATAAGTCTAGGTCTAGATGGGGTATATAACAAACAAGAATACTGGAGTCCTTAGAAATATCTGAACTCTTGAGTCATTGAAATACTGAAACAACTTATTAATCAAAGAAGACAGTGAAGATTTAAACGTTTTAAACCTGAAATAATTTCCAAAATTCTTAGTCAACTCTAAGTTGACATAGATGATTAAGGTCCATTAAGTGATTTTTAGTAAAGCAAAAAATCAAAAGGTTAAACAAATCTGAGGATAAAATCTCAATAAAGAAAATAACAACAAAAAATAATCACACAGGATACAAGAGTGCCTGAGTCCTGTGAATGCTAAGAATTGCATCTGAAATAAATTGCTTCCAGAAAACCAAAAGACATGGCTTGCTTTTGTACTTTGGGAGTTTATTAAGCTAGACTGTTCATGAGGTAAATCAGCAGTAATTCAACATTATGATGCTATTTCTCAACTTCACTTAAGCCCAAACAAAATTCAGTTTAGGCAATAAAACTTTATTTAAAAAGTTAGACGAAGTGAAAAATTCAATCAGTTATATGGTCAGGTTGAATAAAATACCCACTTTTTAAAAAATTTACTATCAAAAACTCACATAGCATCAAATTAATTTGTGACTTTGCATGTGCACACTTAGTGACTTACATTTACTGTATGGGGACAAATACTACTATTTAATTGAGCTATATGCTGAGTACTATGTACTTAGCACACTTTTTCATTATGTCATATGCTTCTCATAATAGATATAGCACAGGAGGCCATATTCCCATTTTACAGGTAAGAAAATTAAGGCCCAGGAGGGCCTTAAAGAACTTATTTACGATCACACAGCTGGTGAAGATTAATGAACTTAGTCTTGTCTGCTAATGTTAAGCTTTTTCAAGTTCGCCCTACTGAGCCCTTTTAAATATATCCCATTTTTTGTTAGGATATATAGATAAACAAAAATAAATTAGAAATTAAGATAGCCCCCTTTGGAACTCCAAAAACTGCGTATTGAAATCAAAATATGACTTATTTTAGAAGAATAGTGTCATAGTTTTACATAAGACTAAATGAGATGGAGTACTACTCATTGACCTGTGTGTAGTGAATATTTGACCTTTTTTTTTTTCAATCTATCTAGCATCCAACTCCTTTCCTTTTGGGGGTAAATCCTCCAATATATGTAGTCCTTGTATGATGCAGTGCTTGCCCCGCCTTATAATTTGAAAACAAAAGTGGGGCAATGTCATACTTTGCATGTTCTAATAGAAGTTTTGGGTACATATTAAGGAAGGGCCAATAGGATGCTTCCACCTATGATTTTGAATCTTGAATAAGTGACACAAAGATAAAAGTTCAGTTCAGGTCCTTTCATGGTAAATGGCCTAGTGTTTCATTGGCAGTAGCAACAATGGAACAAGGCTGCAGTGGGGGAAAGACAATAGATATGCTTTCTGCTTCTTGACTTTTCCAGAAGTGCCTTACTGTCTTACATTTCCCAAGCCTGGTCCTCCCATATATATGTTTTTTAATTCTATGATCCCTTGATATCCTTCCAATAGCTTTCTTTTTATTTTTTTTTAATTTGACAAGAGTCAGCTTCCGTTTCTTGCCATCAAGAAACCTAACAGATATATTATACTTGAAGTACAAAAGCAGGGCTTTGAGGATCATGACATTCACCAAAAAAGTCATGTTCATTTTTCCTGGTTTCTAATATGTGTTTACACAGAAATAGCTTGTGGTTAGAATAATTTTCAAGATACTTCAGAAATGAAGTCCCAAAGTTTGAAAAAAAATAAAAGACTTTACTTTTTAGATATTACAGCCTTAAATACCACTTGTGCTGACTAAAAACAGAAATTAATGTTGTATGAGCTGAAAAACACAGAAAACTTTTTTGGGGAAATAGTTTGATACTCAGTCATTGTGTTCTACAAATGAACAGACATAAGGAAAATAAAGTATTCCCAACATACTTTGTATTTGAGCTACCAGATTACCTTAATTTAAAATCAGAAAATTTTGAATCTTTTTTTTAAAATTATTATTACACTTTAAGTTTTAGGGTACATGTGCACAATGTGCAGGTTTGTTACATATGTATACATGTGCCATGCTGGTGTTCTGCACCCACTAACTCATCATTTAACATTAGGTATATCCCCTAATGCTATCCCTCCCCCCACCCCCCACCCCACAACAGTCCCCAGAGTGTGATGTTCCCCTTCTTGTGTCCATGTGTTCTCATTGTTCAATTCCCACCTATGAGTGAGAACATGCGGTGTTTGGTTTTTTGTCCTTGCGATAGTTTACTGAGAATGATGGTTTCCAATTTCATCCATGTCCCTACAAAGGACATGAACTCGTCATTTTTTATGGCTGCATAGTATTCCATGGTGTATATGTGCCACATTTTCTTAATCCAGTCTATCATTGTTGGACATTTGGCTTGGTTCCAAGTCTTTGCTATTGTGAATAGTGCCACAATAAACATACGTGAGCATGTGTCTTTATAGCAGCATGATTTATAATCCTTTGGGTATATACCCAGTAATGGGATGGCTGGGTCAAATGGTATTTCTAGTTCTAGATCCCTGAGGAATCGCCACACTGACTTCCACAATGGTTGAACTAGTTTACAGTCCCACCAACAGACAACCGCATCAAAAAGTGGGTGAAGGACATGAACAGACACTTCTCAAAAGAAGACATTTATGCAGCCAAAAAACACATGAAAAAATGCTCACCATCACTGGCCATCAGAGAAATGCAAATCAAAACCACAATGAGATACCATCTCACACCAGTTAGAATGGCGATCATTCAGAAGTCAGGAAACAACAGGTGCTGGAGAGGATGTGGAGAAATAGGAAAATTTTGAATCTTAGGTACAGTTACAGGGAAGTTCCATTCAGGTCTTCAACATCATTTATACAATAACTACAAATAAAAGTAATGTATAGTTTATCAAATTCGCAGGATTTACTGAAGGTGAAAACGTGTGACAGCCAACAGATGGTCCATCAAAGTAAAACTGATGAAAATGTTCCCAACTACACTGCTTGAAAACAACTTTGTCTGAGAAATCAGCTTCTTAATATCAGAAGACATGTATATTAATTGATTTAACTCAGGTCATATTCCGTAATATTTGTGAGAAAGAGAAACTCTTGTTTTTTCTAATTCATTTTTGTATAGGAAAGATCACTCCATCCAAAATTTAACATTTAGCCGATGCACATACTATAAAAGAGGTACATGGTAGGCAGCTTCTGAGACTAAGACAGAAGTGTCCAGGAAAAGTGACTCCAAGTTCAAGTTTCATTCCAAATAAAGAAATACAGCCAATTCTTCTCCTTATGCAATTTCTGGATCTTACCCCTCTGATTGAGAGAGACATCCTGGAATAGCAAGTTATGGAAATGTAAGAACTCCTTTCTCAAAAATGTACATTAAAGTTGAGAGAGGCTTTTTTTTTTTTTTTTGAGATGGAGTCTTGCTCTCTTGCCCAGGCTGGAGTGCAGTGGCGTGATCTTGGCTCACTGCAACCTCTGCCTCCCGGGTTCAAGCAATTCTTCTGCCTCAGTCTGCCGAGTAGCTGGGACTATAGGCACGCACCATCATGCCTGGCTAATTTTTGTATTTTTAGTAGAGATGGGGTTTCACCATATTGGCCAGGCTGGTCTTGAACTCCTGACCTCGTGATCCACACGCCTCAGCCTCCCAAAGTGCTAGGATTACAGGCGTGAGCCACCATGCCCAGCCCGAGAGAGGCCATTTTTAAGGGATCTTTGCTCTAGGTCTCCCATCCTGGTTCTACTTGGTAGTCCTGGACATGGAGAATCTGGTAGGAAATACCTATCAAGAGGGCCAAGAGACAAATTTGATGCATATAGACATGCATATAAACCAAACAGTGCTAAGTAATACAGACAGAAAAAGGCAATTCCAATAAAAGAAAGCACAAAAAGAAGATAAGCTACTAGATAGTGTAGGGATTAAGACTGCAAGCTCACAAATCAGAAGGCCTGGATTTCCATCATTTTCTCTTCTGTAAAATGAAGATAATAATAGCAACTAGTTCATAGAATTATTATAAAGACTGAATTAAATAATAGACAAAGATGACTTAGAACAACGTCTGGTGCTTGGTAAGAGCTCAATAAGTATATAACCTCTCTTCTGAACTTCAGATTCTCTATCCCTAAAGTGGTATGAACTAACTGCAGCTACCTCATAGGGTTGTCTTGAGCATCAAATGAGATTATGTGAGTAGAATACTAAACATTGTACCTGACAAATAGTAAATGATCAATAAATATACATTATTATTATTAATTATTTATAATCCCCTTTCTCCTCCCACCAGATTCCCTTGTACCAATCATATTTTCTTTCCTTTCTATTACTGGTAGAGGTTGAAGCAGAGAAAATCTTGAGGTTTCCTAGAGGTTAAGGTGGCTGGTTAACCCTAGGCTGAGATACTCTCCTCAACTTTCTTCTCACGTTTAATTCTCAATTGTCATCAGAATAAACATACTTCATCCTATAGACAGAGAGAACAAAACAGAGGAACAAGTCAGGCAGGCTATGGGATTATGCTGGTTCTTTTTTTTTTTTTTTTTTTTTTGTCTAGAGTCTCACTCTGTCTTCCAGGCTGGAGTGCAGTGGTGCCATCTCGACTCACCACAACCTCTGCCTACCGGGTTCAAGCGATTCTCCTGCCTCAGCCTCCTGAGCAGCTGGGAATACAGGCGCACACCACCACGCACAGCTAATTTTTGAATTTTTAGTAGAGATGGGGTTTCACCACGTTGGTCAGAATGGTCTTGAATTCCTGACCTCGTGATCCACCCGCCTCGGCCTCCCAAAGTGCTGGCCACTGCGTAAGTCACTGCGCCCGTCCTATGCTGGTTCTTAATTCACGTATGCATCCATACCCACACAAGTTTCCATTCAAGAGGCTCAAAATTCACGGTCTCCCACATTTTAACAAATAAATCCCTTAAATCTGAAAATCATTTATGTGTCAAGATGGCAGACTTGGTAACACTGCATGAGGAAGAAAATATTTTATGGACTAATAGATAAAAAGGGAACTATGTAGTGGTAGCTGAAACATTTCACACTTTTAATGTCTGACAAGCAAGCAAGCAAAGATGAGGTTCTGAGACTATATTGCTAAAATATTATATGATTAGTATTTGACTCTACAGTTAAAATAAAAGTTTCTATTGATTTTTAAGAGTGCTGTAATTTATATTTCCTAAATTTCTCTTCCAAGGGGAGTAAAAGTAAGGGGCCAGCAAATACAAGGTGTATTCATGAAAAGGCAATCAATCTTATTTGGCTGAAATAAAGGGTACAGGGAAGGAATAAGCAATGAATAAGGCTGGGGTTAGATTGTGAGAGCCTTGAGCACCATTCTGTGGAAGTTGAGCTTTATTCAAATATTTTGAGCTAGCATGTTAGGCAAAATTTTTATGAAATGTATGTTTCAATTATGTTTTGAATGGTATAACTTTGTAAACATATCTAAAGAAAAGGTAATAGAAATATAGGCAATTGTCCATATTTCTTGCATAGGTTGATGGACATTATTAAGCAGTAGAGAACTCTTTTTTCCAATAATCCAAACATTTTATTACACTTGATTAGGAAATGGCTCATTAATGATCTCACTTTATATCATATAATTGGTAGATACTCGATTTGAGAATGGCATAACATATATACACTCCCAAATGAATTACCACTCATTTTATTCAAAAGTTTATCATATTTTATAAAGGCATGATGTGCATTCTGCCTCTTGGAATTCTATGTTCTAGATGTATTCTATACATCACCTTCATTCTATTGTTTCAAATCCAAGCATACTATCAAAATATCCCTTAGAATTCCCTTAAAAAACATTTTGAAAATGTGAAGCTGCATCTTTGGAATGAAAGCTTGAAATACTTAAATGTAAGTCAATCATTGAACATGTGGACTTTTGCTAAACTTACTTAATAGTTTTTCATATTTAGAAGTCTTAACCATTAAACAAAATAGGCACCCATTTATAATGGCCCAGCAGACTAATTACTTTAGAAAACAGTCTTCTAAAATCCCTCTCCCATCTGTACCACAACCCAGGGTCAATTTATTTACCAGGTTTTAATCGCTAGACTATATAAGGCTAAATTGGAAAAGCCTTAAAATAACCCTTGAAAATGTGGACAGATTCTTAATTATGGCAATAGTATACATAGAAAAATGCCCTTAGACTATGTATTGTTTCACAAATGCTTCTAATGAATTCCTTTATAGAATCATGCCAGTGCAGAGCTAATTTAACTCAGTTTTCAATTGAAATTAAAGAGATCTGTAATCTATGGCCTATAATTTCTTTCTCAAATACAACACAGCCAACTTTCACTTTAATTATTTTGAAGCTTATTCAGAAAAATAGTGCTAACATTAGGGAAGAATTAAATAATCTTCACTTGCATGTTAACAGCAATTTCCTATAAGATTTGGGTCATATCAGCTGTTCAAAAAGGCATCTTAGTAATGGTTCATTTTCTTTAAAAATAAGTATTGTGTGTGTGTATGTGTGTGTTGTGTGAGAATGTGCACCTAATCAGGTCATACTATTATAAAGCAAAACTTGGCAAACCACAGCCCTTTGGCCAAATCCAGATCATCACTTGTTTTTGTAAATAAAGTCTTATTAAAATACAACCATGCTCGTTCATATATGTATTGTCTATGTCTGCTTTTACAATACAACAGCAAAGTTGAGGAGTTTGACAGTGACTATATGGCTCACAGCCCCTAAAATAATTACAATCTGGCTCTTTACAAAAGACGTCTGCTGACCCCTGATATAAAGGATCAGGCTTAGATATCATTTGCTTAAAAAGCCCACCCGATATCAAAAACATATACATGCAAGCAAAATAAGATATTAAGCAAGTAATATTTCTGGCAAGGGATTACAGTTATAATCACCAACCCTTACTGGCAATAAACAGGCTCATTGGTGAGAGGTAATATGCACAGACTCAATGTAGCATGCTTAGTGTCTCTTTCATATAGATAGACTAGGAAAATTTGTAAATCACCTTTGTCAATTTTCATAGTGTTCTCTGGAACTATATACACATGGGCTGCATCTGCACAACGTGTAAAGATTTTGTAAATAGAAATTCAGTCAACTGCTTATTTTGTATATAAATTAGGTGTACCTACTTTTTATTTCTCTTATAGAATAGCTTGGAATGTTTTTACTGCAGTGTGCCCTTGAACAAAAGGTCAGTAGTCGGTCAATTGAAGTTTCATAGACAGCTTGAATGACTGAGAGTCAGCCTCATTTAGTAGATATAACTCAACAGATTTTCTGAGAGAAGCCAAATATCAAATCCTGATTATGCTTCGTAGCAACTGTGTTACCTTCAGCAAGTGGTTGCCCACTTTGGGCATGTTTCTTTACATGCTGATATCATAAGTTTCACAAAGCTGAAGCAACGATTAGATGAAATACTGTATATGTGATACCTATTACAACACCTGAAACATAGGTGGCATTTATCAGAGGGTAATATCTTTCTCTTGAAAAATAACTTCTATTATCCCAATCAATTATTCATATTTATAAAGAACAGTTGAAACTGACATGAGTGTATTTTGAAACTTATGGACACAGAAACATATACTCCAGATTGGCAGGGTCAAACTGAAGTAAATGAAAAATCCAGGGAAGGGGGAGGAGGAAAAAACCAACACAACTGTTGGAAAGCTATACTGATGTAGGCGGAATAGAACATTCACATTACTAATTGCTTGATTTATCAATGAAACATAATGAGGAGTTTGCTCAGTTTTTTTTTTTTTTTTTTTGCATGGTAGAAACTACATGTTCATATATGTCATCGAGACAACAGACTTGTCCTGGGCTTGGCAGAAACCCAGTTGAAACTAATTTTTGAATACAAGCTGGTATAAATAGCAGGAAAAGCTATTCAGAATATTGGAGATAATTCCAGGACAATTTGGTTAATGACAGATTTTTAAAATATTGTTATGTGCTACAATAATGTACAATAGCAGAATTGCAAAATTTGAAAAATAATGCATAATGTCAAAAAGAACACAAAAGAACTGATGTCATTATTTTGAAACTTTAAAAATACCAAATGATGAAGAGAAAATAATCTCCAAAGGTATATACTTAATGGTAACATTTCTTGAGAGAATTATTTCCATTTGCACTAGAAGATAGAGACTAATGTATTATTCGATTGGTGAATTAGAGATGAAGGAGAAGGGGAGTTTTCATTCATTTCATTCAATTATTTGAGAGTAACATAAATAACCTCTTTGGGGACTGAATAATTTGATGATTATAAAGGCAATTTCAATTGACTGTTCACAATCCATATTCATTTCATATCCATTAAGGACAAATTATACCACCCTATTTAGCAGAGAAATAAAGAATGGGAATGCTTTCATAAAAATAGCAGCTCTCATGTGTGGTCCCTTTTATTCAAGCACAATCAACTGCATCTGTTTGTGAAGAAACAGCAAATGTATCAATTAATTTTTTGAAAGACACAAACAATAAAAGTTAAGATAGAAAATACAAACCCCTTTATGTTGGACATGGGTATCGGAGACTCCATTTTCAAAGGAAGCTTTCACCTGGGGTACTATTTTAGAGATCCTGTTTAGAAAAGAAGTTTAAACATGTCTATATAAATATTGCTTTCAAAAATTAGACACTTGGAGTGATAACTCTATTTTCATATCAATTTGTAAAAGATGGAGTGTCTATCACAGATGAAAATCAATTTGAGATTATATTTTTCAAGACTTGGAGTGCCTTCTTTTCCCTTGTTTCTTACTTAAAACCTCCTTATGGGGACATTTTAATGAAGCAATTTACTTTTCTTTCTGGCTCACGTTGCACAACGAGGCAATTAAAGCACAAGTGGTTAAAAGTCCAGACCTCTCAGCCAGATGGGCCTGGATTTAGACATCATTTGGCTCCTTCTTTGCTGTGTGATCTTGATCAAGTTTCTTTACCTTTCTAAACCATGATTTCTGCCTCTGTAAAGAAGGTATACAATACAGTGGCTGTGAAGATTAAAGGAAGTCATGCATGTTAAGCAGTAACAATAAATGTATGTAAACACATTATAAATACACTTACACATGCATTATATAATTATATAATATGTTATTTACAAATACAAAAATGATGTAAAATTAAGTAACATTGTTTGCTTATGTCCAAACAACAAATGTATAATAATATACATGCACCTAGACATTGCTATGGTTTGGATATGGTTTATTTTGCCCCATCAAATCTCATATTGAAATTTAATCCCCAGTGTTGAAGGTGGGGCCCAGTGGGAGGTTTCTGGGTCATGGGGACAGACCTATCATGGATGACTTAGTGCCATTCTAGCAGGAGTAAGTTCGTACTTTTAGTGGTCATGAGAACTGGCTGATGAACAGAGCCTGGCACCTTTTCTGCTCTCTATTGATTCCTCTCTTGCCATGTAATCTCTACACAGGCCAGCTCCTGTTATCCTTCGACCATGTCTGGAAACAGCCTTAGGCCCTCCTGAGAAGCAGATGCTGGTGCTATGCTTCTTTTACATCCTGCATAAACATGAGTTAAATCTATTTTCTTTATAAATTACTCAGTGTCAAGTATACCTTTACAGGGATACTGTACTATAATCCACACAAATGGACTAAGACAGGCATACATGTAACAAATGCTGTTGGACTAGGATTCATCAAATCCTAGATTTAACAAATAAAAATACACGATGCCCAGATGAATTTGAGATTCATGTAAACAAATCATTGGGTGTCTTATATATTTTATATTTCAATAGCTTTTGGGGTACTAGTAGTTTTTTGTTAAATGGGTGAATTGCATAGTGGTGAAGTCTGAGATTTTAGGGCACTCATAATCCAAGTAGTGTACAATGTACTCAAGACGTAGTTTTTTATCCCCCACTCACCTCCCAGCCAACCCCTTCTGAATCTCTAAAGTTCATTTTATCACTCTGTATGACTTTGCATACCCATAGTTTAGCTCCCACTTATAAGAGCATGCAGTATTTGGTTTTCTATTCCTGAGGTGCTTCACATAGAATAACGGCCTCCAGATCCATCCAAGTTGCTTGCAAAAGATGTTATTTCTTTCCTTTTTATGGCTGATTAGTATTCTGTGGTGTATATATGCCACATTTTCTATATCCACTCATTCTTTCTTTTGAGTAGACAGCCAGTAGTGGTATTACTAGATAAAAGGGTAGATCTACTTTTAGTTGTTTAAGAAATCCCTATACTGTTTTCCATAGAGGTTATACTACTTTACATTTCTACGAGCAGTGTATAAGCATCCCCGTTTCACCACATCCACACAAACATTTTGTTTGTTTGACTTCTTAATAATGCCCAGTTCTTGCAGGAGTAAGGTGGTATCTCATTGTGGATTTAATTTGCATTTCTCTGATGATTAATGATGTTGAACATGTTTTCCTATGTTTGTTGGCCATTTATGTATCTTCTTTTGAGAAAGGTTGATTCATGTCATTGGTCCATTTTTTAATGAGATTCTGTGTTTTTTCTTGCTGAGTTGTTTGAATTCTTTGTAGATTCTGGATATTAGTCCTTTGTCAAATACATAGTTAGCAAATATTTTCTACCATTCTGAGGACGGTCTGGTTTCTCTGGCAATTATTTTTGTTGTTGTACAGAGTTTTTTTAGTTTAATTCTGTCTCATTAATTGATTTTTGTTTTTGTTGCATATGCTTTTTGGGATTTAGTCATAAATTCTTTGCCTCAGCTAATACCAAGAAGAATTTTTCCTAGATTATCTTATAGAATTTTTGTAGTTTCAGGACTTAGATTTGAGTCTTTCACCTATCTTAAGTTTATTTTCATATAAGAGATATGGATCCAGTTTCCTTCTCCTACATGTGGCTATCCAGTTTTGCCAGCACCATTTATTAAATAGGGCATCCATTCCCCAATTTATGTTTTTGTATGCTTTGTTTAAGATCAGTTGGCTGTAAGTATTTGGCTTTATTCTTGAGTTCTTTATTCTGTTCCATTGGTCTACATGCATACTTAAATATCAGTACCATGCGTTTTGGTAACTATACCCTTGTAGAATAATTTGATATCCAGTAATTTGATGCCTTCAAATTTGTTCTTTTTGCTTAAGATTGTTTTGACTATCCAGGTTATGTTTTAGTTTCATAAGAATTTTAGGATTGCTGATTCTAATTATGAACAAAATGATGTTAGTATTTTGATAGGAATTGCATTGAATCTGTAGATTGCTTTTGGCAGTATGGTCATTTTCACAATACTGACATTTCCAGTCCATGAACATGTGATATGTTTTGTTTGTTTGTGTCATCTATGATTTCCTTCAGCAGTGTTTAGTAGTTCCCCTTATAGAGATCTTTCACCTCTTTGGTTAAGTATGTTTCTAGATATTTGATGTTTTTGCAGCTGTTGTAAAAGTTACTGAGTTTATGATTTGATTCTCTGTGTGGTCATTATTGGTATGCAAAAGTGCTACTGATTTGCATACATTTATTTTGTAACCTGAGACTTTACTGAATTTGTTCATCAAATGTAGGAGTCTTTTGAAGGAGGTTTTAAAGTTTTCTAGTAATATGATCATGTCATCAGAGAACAGCAATAGTTCGACCCTCTATTTTTCCACTTGAATTCCCTTTATTTCTTTCTGTTACCTGATTGCTCTAGCTAGGACTTCCAGTACTATGTTAAATTGAAGTAGTGAATGTGGGCTCCTTGTCTTGTTCCAGTTCTCATGAGGAATGCTTTCAACTTTTCTTCATTTAGTATGATATTGGCTGTAGGTGTATCATATATGGCTTTTATTATTTTGAGGTATGTCCCTTCTATGCCTCATTTGTTGAGGGTTTCTACCATAAAGGGATGCCAGCTTTCATTAAATGTGTTTTCTGCATCTATTGAAATGAGTATATGGTTTTTGTTTTCAATTCTGTTTATGCGATGTATCACATTTATTGACTTGCCTGTTAAACTATCCCTGCATCACTGGAATAAAACCCACTTGATCATGGTATATTATCTTTTTGAAGTGATGTTGGATTTAGTTAGCTAGTAGTTTATTGAGGATTTCTGCATCTGTGTTCATTAGGGATATAGTTCCGTGGTTTTCTTTTTTGTTATGTCTCTTCCTGGTTTTGGTAACAGGGTAATACTGACTTCACAAGTGATTTAGGGAGGGGTCCCTCGTTTTAATCTTTTGGAATAGTTTCAGTATGATTGGTACTATTTCTTCTTTGAATGTCTGGTAGAATTCAGCTATGAATCCATTATGTCCTGGGCTTTTGGGGGGCAATTTTTAAATTACTGATTCAATTTTACTGCTTGTTATTGGTCAACTCAGAGTGTCTATTTCTTTCTGGTTTAATCTAAGAAAATTGTATATTTGCAGGAATTTACCCATTTTCTCTAGGTTTTCTAGTTAGTGTGCATAGAGGTGTTTATAATAGTCTCAATTTTTTTTTGTATTTCTGTGGCATCAGTTGTAATATCTCCAGTTCCATTTCTAATTGAGTTTATTTGAATCTTCTCTTTTCTTTCTTGCTCAATCTAATTGTCTATCAATTTTGTCTATCTTTTCACAGAACCAGGTTTTTGTTTCATTGATATTTTGTATTTTATTTTCTGTTTTAAATTCATTTTGTTCTACTCTGACCTTTGTTATTTAATGTCTTCTGCTAGCTTAGGGTTTAGTTTGTTCTTGTTTCTCTAGTTCTTGAGGTGTGACATTAGGTTGTCAATTTGTGATCTTTCAGCCTTTTGGATGTCAGTGTTTAGCACTATACGCTTTCCTCTTAGCACCGCTTTGGCTGTATCCCAGAAGTTTTGACAACTTGTGTCACTATTATTATTCATCTCAAAATTTGTTTTTAATTTCCATCTTGATTTCATTGTTAATCCAAAAATCACTAAGGAGAAGATTGTTTAATTTCTGTATATTTGTATAATTTTGAGGGTTCCTTTTTGAGTTGATTTTTAGTTTTTTTCCACTGTTGTCTGAGAAGACACTTGGTATGAGTTTGAACTTCCAAATTTGTTGAAACTTGCTTTGTGACCCATGACATGGTCTATCTTCGAGAATGTTTTGTGTGCTGATGAGAGGAATGTATATTCTGCAGTTGTTAGGTAGAATGTTCTGTAAGTATCTGTTAGATTCATTTGTTTTAGAGTGTAGTTAATAACCATTGGATTTTTTGGTTAACTTTCTGTCTCAATGATCTGTATAGTGCTGTCAGTGGAGTATTCAATTATCCCACTATTACTGTGTTACTTTCTGCCTTAATTCTTAGGTTTTGTACTAATCGTTTTAGAAATCTGGGAGCTCCAAAGTTAGGTGCATATAAATTTTGGATTGTGATATCTTCTCATTGGATTGATAATTTTATCATTACATAATGTCCTTCTGTTTTTTTTTTTTTTTTACTGTTGTTGCTTTAAAGTCTGTGTAGTCTAATATAAAAAGGGCTAATCTTGCTCACTTCGGGTTTTCATTTGCATGGAATATCTTTTTCAACCCCTTTACCTTGAATTTATATGAATCCTTATGTGTTAGGTGAGTTTCTTGAAGACACCAGCTATTTGGTTTGTTACTTTTTGTTCATTCTGCCAATCTGTGTCTTTTCAGTGGAGGATGTAGGCCATTTATGTCCAATGCTAATATTGAGACGTGAGGTACTCTTCCAGTCATCATGTTAATTGTTACCTAAATACTTTGTTTTCTTTGTTGTGTTATTCTTTCATAGACCTTGTGAGCTTTATGCTTTCAAGAGGTTTTATTCTGGTGCATATTGATCTTTTGTTTCAAGACTTGGTGCTCATTTTATTATTCATTGTAGGTCTGCTCTGGTATTAACAAATGCCCTCAGCATTTTTTTGTCTGAAAATGACTGTATTTCTTTTTCATTCATAAAATCTTAGTTTTCCTGGATACAAAATTCTTGACTTATGCTTATTCTGTTTAAGGAAGCTGAAGTTAGGACCCCAGTACTTTCTAGCTTGCATGGTTGCTTCTGAAAAGCCTGCTGTTAATCTGATCAGTTTTCCTTAATAGGTTACTTGATGCTTTAGTCTCAGTGATCTTAGAATTCTATCCTTCACGTTTACTGTAGATAGCATGATGATGTTACACCTTGCTGATTCCCTTTTTTCAATTAATCCCTCTGGAATTTTTTGAGCATTGGTATATGGACATCTAAGTCTGTAGCAAGGCCAGGGATGTTTTGCTCAACTATTCCCTCAAATAAATTTCCCTAACTTTTTGCATTATCTTCTCCCTCAGGTACACCAATTATTCTTGTATTTGGCAATTTTACATAATCCCATATTTCTTGGAGACTTTATCTATTTCTTTTGATCCCTTCTTATTATTACCAGAATTATTTTTCTTGTTTCCTTTTATTTGGGTAGACAATTTGTTCTAATTGTTCTTGATTTTATTTTCCATTAGACTATTTTATTATTGTTATTTTATCTCTTAAGATTGTAACTTAATGAGTATAATTTATTGTAGCCTAATTTGGCTCTTGGTCCTTTTAGAGGTAAAGACTTCATATCGATTCTTGGTTATAGAGAGCCTTTGTATGATGGCTTTTGCAGATGCTGGCTGTCCCAGCATCTGCAAAAAGCCATGATGCAAATGTCCCAGCTTTGACAGAGGTGGCTGGGTGAGCTCTCAGTGAAATACACTGAGGTCTTATCACGGGAAAAGTGGGGACCACCTCAGCTCCCCTGCCAAACCAGCAGAAAAGCAATGCAACTTGCAGACACACTCCTCACCCATTGTTCTGGCTATTCAAATCAGACAGGCACCTCTTTTATCAGCAGGAATGTTGCTTTTCCAAGTAGAGAGGAATTGTGACGCTAGCCCTTGTGCAAGACTGAACCTGGAGGTCACTCCTTCTGTAGGATGCAGTCATTCTGAAGTGTCCCAGAAAGGCTATCTATAGTTGTGCCCACACTGAGTTTTCATGGGAGAAGCCTCAGCTGTGTCTGCAATGGTGGATGAGGGAGGAAAATGAATCCCCTTCCTAAAGACTATTCACAAGTACCAGAGCTGCCTGACTCTTGGGTAATATCTGTTGACTTTCCCCATTTAGCCCAGCATAGCACCTGCACCTCTGCTGAAAGAAACTTCCCACCAGCAGAAAGTTCTGGGACTCAAGGCCTATCATCTGGATTATTTTGTCCCATGGAGCATTCTCTTAATATGGTGCACTCTTCCTTTTCCTAGGGGTATAAGTCCCTGAGGGCCAGACTACTGTTAATGCTGCTGTTCCTCTGTGTCTAGCTGCAGAGTAGGGCTGCCACATTCCAGGCTGGTGCTGGGGAATGTCTGCAAGGGATCAAGAGTTAAGCCTTCCCGATGGAGACAGCAACTGAAGCTTTCAGACCATGCCCTCCCAGTCTGCCGACTGGGCAGACTGGGGCTGGGCATCTTGTGTTTTATCTGCCAACTGTAACTAGAAAGATTTTATTGTTAGAGGGTTTCAAAATGTCCCCACATGTAAAAGTTAGTTGTCATTACTTTGGTTTTGTAAGTTAGCATAGTGTAATAACCAGTTTATTGAATTGCCTGTAATACTTCTATCTCAACTCTGATCAATCTGCTTACCAATATTTTAGTGACATATTTTTCAGATGCAATAACTCACTGGTCACTTCCAACAACTGTCTAATATTCAGATATTGGGATCTCTTTAAGGTGGCACAAATTCAACTACTTCTAAAACATCCACTTGACCAAAGTAAAACTCAAATATTAGTGCCATGCCAAGATGGTGAACAAGTTGGCTGCCCTCACTGCCTTATGGAATCTTCTATATTGAAAACTGGCACCTGACTCTGTACTTATGCACAAGTCTTCAAAATCTGGGAAACATTGATTATGCTCTCCCAGTAAGTTTTTTTTTCACCATTTGTCACCTAGGTGGCAAGAAGAACCTACAGATTTTCTGCTGCCCACCCAGCATTCAAATGGGGAGAAGGGTGAGCTGTCTTTCTTACACGTACCCTTAACCCTGGGGACTATCTTACCTAGTTTGAAAGGAAAAAGATAAAAGTCAAAGCTTAATCTATTTTTATTAATTCCCTTCCAATAATCTCTTTTGAATTTCTTTCTTTTTTCTGAGAAAAGTTAGAAGTGATAATGATGGTTGGATTTATTCTTTATTTTAGCAAATTCTGTATAGATACATCTAGCACCTTGCTTTAGAATATGCAGACACTATTGTACTTTCTTCTAAGTTTGAGGCTTCAGCCAAATTTCTGAAACAATAGGGAATACTTAACTTGCTGATACATTATTTAATTCACATTGACTAATAGAACTAATTTAATTACAAAATACAAGAATTTTAAAAAGATTAATAAGCCTCATGCGTGATGCTTATTGACAACTTAGTATATTCAAGTTAAATGTAGACTCTGTAATTATCTGATCTCAGTGAATCCATCATTTAAAAACAATCCATTCTGCCTTAATAAATGATCTATGATCTTAAGATTTAGAACTCTGAAGGATGACTTCTAATGACCTTGGGATTCATATTATTTCATTTCTTACCATTTAATTTAATTAATCTCTAAATTTCTTCTTTGTAAAGTCCTTAACTTAGGGCTAATACAAATCTATCTTACGCCGGGCGCGGTGGCTCACGCCTGTAATCCCAGCTCTTTGGGAGGCCGAGGCGGGCGAATCACGAGGTAGGGAGATTGAGACCATCCTGGCTAACACGATGAAACCCTGTCTCTACTAAAAATACAAAAAATTAGCCTGGCATGGTGACACGTGCCTGTAGTCCCAGCTACTCGGGAGGCTGAGGCAGGAGAATTGCTTGAACCCGGGAGACAGAGGTTGCAGTGAGCTGAGATCATGCCACTGCACTCCAGCCTGGGCAACAGAGTGAGACTCCGTCTCAAAAAAAAAAAAAAAAGTCGATCTTAAGTAGTTTTATTTTTCTTACCATATTTATTTCTTAGCACTTCTGCCATTTCGTTTTTTAATTCTTATGTTTTAAAATTGATACATTGTTATTGTAGATATCTATGGGGTAAAATTTGATGCTTCAATACATATCTTTGCTATATAATCACTCAGTCTGAGTATTTAGTGTATCTATCGCCTCCTGCATTCATCATTTATTTGTTTTAAGAGCATTCAACAATGTCTCTTCTAGCTGTTTTATAATATGCATTATTTTACTGTTAACCATCTATCGCACCTGCAATAGAACACCAAAATTTATTCCTCCTACATAATTGTAACTTTGTACCCATTACCCATCATCTTCCAAACCTCCTACCCTCTCCTTTTCACCATCTCTGGTAGCCACTGTTCTTCTCTGCTTCTACGACATCATTTTTTTTTTTTCCTTTTTTTCAGATTCCACATATGAGTGAAATCATGCAGTGTTTGTCTTTCTGTGTCTGGTATATTTCAATTAGCTTCATGTCCTCCAGGTTCATCTATTTTGTCACAAATAATAGAATTTCATTTTGTTTTACGGAAGAATAGCATTCCATTGTATACCATATTTTCTTTATCAATTTATCCATTGTGGGATACATACGTTGATTTTACATATTCACTAGTGTAAATAATGCTGCAATAAACATAGAAGTGCAGGTATCGTGTTGACATACTGATATATTTTCCTTTTAGATATATGTGCAGTAGTGGGATTGCTAAGTCATGTGGTAATTCTATTTTTAATTTTTTAAAAAGAAACTCCATAGTGTTTTTCATCATAACTGTACTAGTTTGCAATCCCACCAGCAGTGTGTAAGTGATCCTTTTTTCCTCATCCTCACCAATTTAAAAAAACAGCCTGTATGGCAAATAGTTATTCTTGCTTCACTTCATGCAAATAATCAGACCAAGAATAGTAAGACTAAAACGTATTTTGCAAATAAATTGGTCCCAGTATGATTTGTCTGTAGTAAAAATGAGGGGCTGGAGAGAGGAAAAATATGATTCTGAAGAAACTGTAGTATACCTGTTATTAAATTCTAGCCTTGTGCATTGTTTTCCATTTTTATTATTTGTCTACAATTTTCCTGGACTAGATCCTGAATTCTTTCCTGCCTACAGGCCTCCAAACTAACATTTTCAATTTTTTTTCTCTCCTATTCTTCTGACTTAGAATCACTAAAAATTAAAACTGTGCTCTTCTTAAAGTCCTGCAAGCTTATGCTAGACAACTTAAACTTTGAGAGAAATAATAGCAACTGTGTGTGTGTGTGTGTGTGTGTGTGTGTGTGTCTACCTGCTGATATATGGATGTCTCAGTAATACAGCTGAAATCAATTTTCCAGAATTGATTTTCTCTTTGTTGCTATAATCTGGCTTTGGTCTTTTTTTTCTCCTCCCTTTTTTTTTCTTCTTACTTCCTCCCTCTATTTCTCTCTGTGGGACACCAGACTTCATGACCTCCTATAATGAGTTTTTCTTACAACGTGGGATCTAACCTTCTAGGGATAAACCTCAGTGACCAGGGATCAGGCAAAAACCCATAACCAACTTATTTTCTTCTACATTGCTTTCTGTGAAATATTTTGAAGAATGGAGGGGGAATGTGAAAGGAAAATAATATCTCAGGACCCCAAATTCACTACACCAAATGAATAATTCAGCTTGGGAACTGAGTCACACAAACAAAACAAAGCAAAACAGAACAACTGCGATCCTTTATGTTTCCAAACAGATAACTGCAATATCGAAGGCCACCCTATCTCCCCAGGTGGCCTCACTCACAAATTGCTCATGAGGAAATTCCTTGAGGATCCCAAAATCTTTCACAATACGTATCCCCCTACAAATTAATCCTGAATCAGAGTTCTGTTTAATCTCATCCTGACAATGTAAATTAACAGCTTAACTTCACAGGTACCAAAAAAAGATAAGACTAGAAATCAGGCCTTAGCCTACCCCAAGACAAATATATATTTGACTTCTTTCTCTGCTCCATGCTTACTTTATCTTATGTTAAATGTAGATCTAGCATGCACAAGATGAATGTATAATTATCTTTGTTTTAACTTTTTCTCCTTCCCCTCCTGCCCACTCTTTTCTCTTTAAATATTGAAGTCGTCAAAACTCTTTTTGGAAAAAACACAAGCCACAGATCCTAGTGTAACTTGTGTTTCTTTTTCCCAGGCACATACTCAACATTGGCAAAATAAACCTCCAAGTTGATTGAGATCTGTCTCGAGAGTTTGGGTTTACATGTTGTCATTCTCACCGGAGCGAACTGTTATCTCATTGTGGTTTCAATTTACATTTCCCTTATGACAGTGATGTTGAGCATTTTTTTATATATTTGAACATTTGTATGTCTTTTAATAACTGTCTATTTAGGTCTTTTGCCCATTTATTTTAATTTGTATTTTACTTTAAGTTCCAGGATACATGTGCAGAATGTGCAGGTTTGTTACATAGGTATACATGTGCCACGGTGGTTTGCTGCACCTGTCAACCCATTATCTAGGTTTTAAGCCCCACATGCATTAGGTATTTGTCCTAATGCTCTCCTCCCCTTGCCCCCACCCCCTCAACAGGACCTAGTATGTGTTGTTCCTTACCTGTGTCCATGCATTCTCATTGTTCAACTCCCACTTATGAGTGAGAACATGTGGTGTTTGCTTTTCTGTTTCTGTGTTAGTTTGTTGAGAATGATGATAAGGATTTTTTTTTTTTTTTGAGACAGGGTCTCACTTTGTTGTCCAGGCTGGAGTGCAGCGGCATGATCTTCGCTCACTGCAGCCTCCGTCTACAGGTTGTTCAAGCAATTGTCATGTCCCAGCCTCTCGAGTAGCTGGAAATGTAGGTGTGCACCACCACACCCGGCGAATTTTTGTATTTTTAGTAGAGACAGGGTTTCTCCATGTTGCCCAGGCTGGTCTTGAACTCCTAGCCTCAAGTGATCTGCCTGCCTCAGCCTCCCAAAGTGCTGGGATTATAGGCATGAGCCACCATGCCCAGCCCTTTTGCCCATTTTTAATCAGGATTTTTTTGTTTTTTGTTTACTGGTATAGTAC
Source organism: Homo sapiens (assembly GCF_000001405.40). NCBI lineage: Eukaryota > Metazoa > Chordata > Mammalia > Primates > Hominidae > Homo > Homo sapiens. The sequence goes on from NC_000023.11 coordinate 143,422,870, forward strand.
CTCATATATTCTGGATAGTTACCCTTTGTCACCTGTATAATCTGCACATATTTTCTACCATCATGTAGGCTTTCTTTTTAAGTTTCCTTTGCTGTGCAAAAGTATTTTAGTTTGATATAATCCTATTTGTCTATTTTTGTTGTTGTTGTTTGTACTTTTGAGGTCTTGATTTAAAAATCTCTGCCCAGAATGATGGTTTCCGGCTTCATCCATGTCCCTACAAAGGACATGAACTCATCCTTTTTTATGGCTGCATAGTATTCCATGGTGTACATGTGCCACATTTTCTTAATCCAGTCTATCATTGATGGACATTTGGGTTGGTTCCAAGTCTTTGCTATTGTGAACAGTGCATTCCTTTGTAATTTGGATGCCTTTTCTTTCTTTCTCTTGCATAATTGCTCTGGCTGGGTCATCCAGTACTATGTTGAATAGATGTGGTAACAGAGGGCAGCCTTGTCTTTTTCCTGATCTTAGAAAAAAAAGCTTTCAACTTTTCCTCATTCAGTATGATGTTAGCTATGAGTTTGTCATGTATGGTCTTTACTGTGTTGAAGGACTTTCTATACTTAATTTGGTCAGAGTTTTTTTCATTAAGGTATGTTAAATGTTGTCAACTGCTTTTTCTGTGTCTATTGAAATGATCATATAGATTTTTGTCTTTCCATTACTATGGTTTAATCACATTCATCAATTTTTGTATGTTAAAGGACCTCCCTGCATCTTTCACTTGATCATAGTGAATGATCTTTTTAATGGGCTGTTGGGTTTGGTTTGCTACTATTTTGATGAGACTTTTTCATATATGTTCATCAGGGACATTGACCAGTAATTTTCTTTTTTAGTTGTGTCTTTGTCCAGTTTTGGATTCAAGGTAATTCTGGCCTCATAAAATGAGTTCAAAAGTATTCCCTCCCATTTGATTTTCTAGAATAGTTTGAGGAAAATTGGTATTGTTTCTTCTTTAAATATTTGATAGAATTCATCAAAGAAGCAATCAGGTTTTGAGCTTTTCTTTAATGAAATGCATTTTATTCCTGATTCATTTTTCTCACTCATTGTTGGTCTGTTCTGGCTATCTATTTCTTGATAATTTAATCTTGATAGGTTGTATGTGTGCAGAAATTTATCCATTTCTTCTATCTCATCAAACTTATTGACATATGGTTGTTCATAATAATTTCTTATGACCTTTTGTATATCTGCAGTATCAATTGCAGTGTCTTCATTCTCATCTTTCCAATTTCATTGATTTAAATATTCTTTTTTTCTTAGTCAAGCTAAAGGCTTGTTAATTTTTCTAATTTTTGAAAGACCCAACTCTTTATTTCATTGATCTTTGAATTATATTTTTAGTCTTTAATGTATTTTCTCTCTGAGTTTTCTAATTTCCTTCCTGTTATCAATTTTGGGTGTAGTTTGCTTTTGTTTTCCTAGTTACTTGAGGGTGTTGATTGCAAATTAATATGGATAGGCTTTGTGTTCCCACCCAAATCTCATTTTGAATTGTAATCCCCAGGTGTTGAGGAAGGAACCTATTGGGAGGTGATCGGATCATGGGAGAAGTTTCTCCCATTCTGATCTTGTGATAGTGAGTGAGTTCTCATGAGATCTGATGGTTTTATAAGTGCTTGAAAGTTTCTGCCCCTGCCACCGTGTGACAACGGTCCTTTCTGCCCGCTTCCCCTTCTGCCATAATTGTAAGTTTCCTGAGGTCTCCCCAGCCATGTGGAACTGTGAGTCAATTAAACTTCTTTCTTTATAGATTACCCAGTCTTGGGTGTTTATTTATAGCAGTGCAAAAATGGACTAATGCAAAAATGTCTCTTCTTTTTTTAATGCAGGCATTTGTTGTCATAAATTTTTATTTTAGAACTGCTTTTGCTGTGTCCCATAGGTTTTAGTATGATATGCTTATTTTCTTTTTTGTTGCAAAGAAATTTTTAATTTCACTTTAAATTATTTCATTGACTCATTTTTACATTAAATTTCAAAGATTTTATTGTTTATAGTTTATACTATTGTGATAATTAATAGACAATTGCTATGATCTTTTAAATTTAACTTTTATTTTAAGTTCAGCAGTAAATGTGCAGGTTTGTTATATAGGTAAACTTGTGTCACAGGTGTTTTTTATACAGATTATTTCAGCACCCAGGTATTAAGCCGAGTACCTATTAGTTACTTTTCCCAATCCTCTACCTCCTCTAACCCTCCACCCTCCAATAGGCCCCAACGTGTGTTGTTTCCCTCTGTGTGTCCATGTGTTCTCATAATCTAGCTACTACTTGTAAGTGGGAACTTATGGTATTTGATTTTCTGTTCCTAGATTATTTTGCCAAGGATAATGGCCTCCAGCTCTATTCATGTTCCTGCAAAGGACATAATCTCATTCTTTTTCATAGCTGCATAGTATCCAATGGTGTGTTTGTACCACATTTTCTTTATTCAGTCTGCCATTGATAGGCATTTAGCATGATTTCATGTCTTTGCTATTGTGAATAGTGCTACAGTGAATATATGTGTGAAAATGTCTCCATAACAAAACAATTTCTATTCCTTTGGATATACAATATGGTTAGGCTTTGTTTCCTGACCCAAATCTCGTCTTGAATTGTAATCCCTAGGTGTTGAAAGAGAGACCTTTTGGGAGGTGCTTGAATTATGGCAGGCAGCTTCCCCCATTCTGTTCTCATAATAGTGAGTTCTCATGAGATCTGATGGTTTTATAAGGGGCTCTTCCCGCTTCACTTCTTCACATGCTCTCTCTCACCCGCTGCAATTTAAGACATGCCTGCTTCTGCTTCCACCATGATTTGTAAGTTTACTGAGGACTACCCAGCCATGCAGAGCTGTGAGTCAAACTGCCTTCCTTTATAAACTACTCAGTCTGCGGTAGTTCTTTACAGCAGTGTGAAATGGACTAATGCGGTAAACTGGTACCACAGAGAGTGGGATACCACTATAGAGATACCTGAAAATGTGGAAGTGACTTTGGAACTGGGTAACGGGCAGAGGCTAGAATAGTTTGGAGGGCTCAAAAGAAAACAGGAAGATGTTGGTAAGTGTGAATTTTCCTGGAGACTTGTTGAATGGTTTTGACCAAAATACTGATAATGATGTGGACAATAAAGTCCAGGCTGAGGTGGTCTCAGATGGAGATGAGGAACTTGTTGGGAACTGAAGCAAAGGTCACTCTTGCTATGCTTTAGCAAAAAGATTGGAGGCATTTTGCCCCTGCCCTAGAGTTCTGTAGAACTTTGAACTTAAGAGAGATGATCTGAAATTGGAACTTATCTTTAAAAGGGAAGCAGAGCGTAAAAGTTTGGAAAATTTGTAGCCTGATAAAAACATTCAGCTCAGCTTCTGTATTTTCCCTCTGCCCACTAATTGTGCTTTCCCTCTGAATATGGCTGAAACTGGTTGGAATCAATGTGGCCAACTGGACTGTATGCAGAACAAGCCTGCTAACATCACAGTCCAAATTTCCACTGCTTGTTCTATACTAACTCCCCAGAAGTGCCACATGTAACATGTGAGATATGAACAGATAACTGTGAATGCCCAAGGGGTTTTCAGACCTCTTCTTTTCTTCCACTAGTTACCTGCCAATCCCAGAATCCACCCCCTAAACCTTTTCTGGAAAAAAAATGCCTTTAAGCCAGCACAAGGAGACCAATTTAAGTGGAACTCTGACCTTCTTATTGGTTGGCTCACAATAAAAGTCTTACTTTCCTCGAAAATCCAGTGTAACAGTATTGGTTCTAGCACATCAGGTAGTAAGCCTTTTTGCTTGGTAACAGTTATCATGAGTCCAATGTAATGTGTCTTTTGGTTATAATAGACTATTTTAAACTTATAGTAACTGGGAAACTTACCTTTTCCCCATAGGGAGAAGGTCTCCTTACTCTGAGCCATTCCCAGCAGGGGAGACAGTGTGGCAGAGGCAGAATCCCTTGCTCCTCTTTCTGTGGTCCTCCCCCGCGTTCTGTGCTCTAGATGGGATTTTATCATCGCTCTTGTGCTCTCTGGCATACTTCTTTAGTCACTATAGTTGAAATATAATTGTTTATTCATTGTTTTGGTTTCTTTCTGTTGGGGGGATGAGCACCAGGTAACTCTGTACATCTTGCTGATGTCACCTGTGATGGTTCTGTCATTTTTATTCCTTTATTCATGGGTATGTTTATTCCTATGGTTGTGAATTCTTCATAAAAGTCTGAAAATATTTTAATCATCTCAATCTCAGTTATTTATTTTAAAACAATGCTTGTAAATAGGGAATGAAAGCTTTATGCACATAGATAATCACTGCAACGCTATTTGAAATATAAAACAATATTTAAAATTGTCTAAGAATAGAAAGTTAGAAGTAACTCATGACACATGTACTGAAAATACTGTGTGCCTATTTTGGTAATATTTATAAAGAATTTAAGAGCATAGGAACAATACAATTTATTTGGTGTTACGTGAAAATGAAAAATACATCTGTATGCTTTATGAGCATGAAATAGAAAATGTTTAAATAATAATAGTAATAAACCAGTAAAAAAAAATATAGTTGCTTTTGGCAATAGACTATTGATGATATTTTTTCTTCCAAATATTATAATGTTTCTTATTTACAATTTTTCTGTAATGAGTATGTCTTACTACAGAATAGAAAAAAAACAATGTTATTTAAATATCGCTTTTCAATAAGCCTTTGAAAGACTTCTTTCTTTTCTGTGAATCAAATAAAAAATAAATAAATGATACAACTCCTTCTCTTCCTTTTTCTCTCCTTTGCCTCTTCCTTCTTATCTTCTTTGCTTCAGGTTGACGATAAATTCAGTTTGACATTAATTAAAAGCCACAAATGGTGGAATAAATGCATTCTATTATGTTATTTTTTATCTGATGACTAAAATTTCACTTTTCCACCAGCTATTTTGGTACCATGCAGACATAGCTATTATATACCCAAAGATGAGGGAGTTGCTTTGTATTATTATGCATATTTTTATAACAAAAATTAATTCTTATTCTTTTATATACCATGTTTAAATTTAGGCTTTTTTCCATAAAATGTAATTAACTGTAGCCAACGTCTTACAATTTTCTATTATTACTGTGTGAAAATAGCTGCCATTTAGTGAGAAGCATCATCATCTTTATCTACTATTTATTGAGTAGTTTCACAACTAGACTACTGCAATTGCCTTCTAACTAGTCTTCTTGCTTTCACCATTGCCATGAAACAGTCTACTCTCAATAAGTATTAGGGGTGATTCTGTAACATGTCTTAAAGAGTGTCAGATTACATTATTCATCTTCTTCAAAACCCCTTAATGACTGTCCACCTCAGTCAGAGTAAAAACCAAAGTTTTTACAGGCAACTTCAAGATGTTTTATGACGAGATCCAATTACCTTCTTTGACCTAATCGCCTGCTTTTCCTCCCTTTTTCTCCCTCCACTAAGGTCAGCTGACTACAGCCATGGTGGTCCTTGAACTTTCTGAAGACCTTAAGGGTATTCTTGTTTTAAGGTCTTTCTGGTCCTTACATTTGCTGTTTCCTCATCCTGGTATGCTCTACCCAGTTCAACACGTGGCTTGTTTCCTCATTTTCTTTAAGGTGTGTATCCAGTTATCACAGTATCAAAGCAGCCTTTCCTCATCACTTCACATAAATAGGACACCCTATCTCATGCAGCACTTTTGACCAACACCTCTTCCCTGATTTACATACAGTACATCACCTGCTGACACACTACATATTTTAATTGTGTTGTGTTTGCTTAGTGTTGTCTTCCTCACTAGAAGGTAAGCTGCATGAATTTATAGGCATCATTTTGTTCACTGCTGTATCTTCAGCACCCTAGAATAACGTCTGATATGCAGTAGGTGCTTGGTAAATTCTTGCTAAAGAAAAAAAAAAAAGAAGGAAGGATGGAAGGAAGGAAGGAAAACTTTATATAGACAATCTCATTTAAATCCCTTAATAACTTTGTAAGGCAGATAATATCATTATTCCTATACACATGAGAAAATTGAAGTTGAGAAAGTTTGTTATCTCAGTCAAAATCATGTACCTTGTAGATAACAGAGCTGGGACTAAAACCCAAGTTTTTCTCTCAGCATAGTCCACTCTTTTCATCCTCATGATTCACAATTTACATTCACAAACATAAAAGGATGCTGGTATTTGATATTAACCTCATCCAGGGTTGGGCTACTGAAACTGATTTATGCTCTCAAAGTACATTGAACAAACTCCCACGGGGCCAGAGCCGGAAAGAACTCTATCTGGGAATCTTTGAAAACATCTCTGAGCCTCATCCTCCTTATCTGTAAAATGTGGTCCATGTAGAAATCAGTGTCTAAACTCCCTTTTCACTCTAACATTTTAGGACTCATTCCTTCCACTCATTCCCCTTAAATAAAACATCTCGATGGATTAGTGACGAATTCGCTGATGATCACTCCCAGGAGCACTGTCATGCATTTGGTATTTTTAAAATTTGGAGATGTCATGATTCAGCATGGCAGGAATCTGAACCCAGCCAACTGGGTTGTAGCTAGACTTACATTGAATATTAAGAGACAGCATTTACAACCTCAAGGTGCTAATTCATTCATGCATGAAAAACATAATGATAATAAGATGCATATTTATGCAAGTTCACACACATTCATGCACATTCACACACATTTTTCTCTAAACATGTATATGATTAACTCCACAACCCCCCCTCGACCCACCTATTCCTGTACTAATCTAATTTTATTAGAGATAAGCTATTATTTTTGCTAAACCCCCAAAACAAGAAATCTACATCATTAATTACAGCCAGGGTCCACAACCCAAACCCAATTATAATCTCAACTACAAACAAATTTTAGTCCAACGCTCAATTAACTTAATTTCAAAAATGCATAATTGTTAATAAAACTAGGTTTTCTGAGCTAGAAAGGGCACTTAATTATTTATAAGGTTACTAAATATTGCCCCAATACTAGCATAGCATTTCAACCCTTCATTTTTGAGTGAGAAGGAAATTCTCTAGATCTGAGTTAATGCAGCTTAATAGGTCAAAGCAAGGCACTGAAAATGCCTGAATGAGTCCACATTACTCCTTGAATATAAAGGCTTGGCCTTAATGGTTTCTGGTAAGATTACACATTCAAGTTTAAACATTCCAGTGATAATGTCCTCTAGATCATCTAGTATCAAAAGGAGCATGCATCAAGCACGCAGCTCATAATAGCTGGCTCAACCACACCTCCGCAAGAAACAGCAGTGATAAAAACGAAACAATAAATGAAAGTTTGACTAAGCGATACTAAGCCTCTAGGGTTGGTAAATTTCATGCTAGCCACCGTGGTCATACAATTTACCCAAGCGAATAAAACCTGGTTAAACGTGTGTTTAAGATAACCCTCATAATATAGTTAAACTAAGTCGTAAAAAGCTGCAGTTAAAATAAAAATAAACTATGAAAGTGACTTTATTGCCCTGAGGACATGATAGCTAAGGCCCAAACTGGGATGAGATACCCCACTATGCTTAGCTATAAACTCAAATAATTTAACAAACAAAATTATTCACCAGAGTATGACAAGCAATAGCTTAAAACTCAAAGGACATGGCGGTGCTTTACATCCCTCTAGAGGACCCTGTTCTATAATTGATAAACCCTGATATTCCCTTCCATCTCTTGCCACATACCCTATATACCATCATCTTCAGCTAAAAAGGTCTTAAAGTAAGCACAAGTATTAAAATGTTAGATCAAGGTGTAGCCCATGAGATGGAAAGAAATGGGCCACATTTTCTAAATCTAGAACACCCATGACAACCCTCGTGAAACTTAAAGGTCAAAGGAGGATTTAGTAGTAAATCAAGAATAGAGATCTTGATCGAATAAAAACATGAAGCACTCACACACTTCCCATCACCCTCCTCAAATATTTCTATCAACCATCTAAATAACGTAAACTTATACATATATAGAGGAGATAAGTTGTAACAAGATAAGTGTACTGGAAAATGCACTTGGAATAACCAAAATGTAGCTCAACTCAAAGCATCCGGCTTACACCCAGAAGATTTCATATGACCTGACCTCTTTGGACTAATGCTATCCCTTGCCTCAGCAAACTATATTACAAACACCTGCTAAACCAAAACATTTACCCGTGACAGAAGCATAGGAGATAGAAATTAACTTATTTAGGCACTATAGATAAAGTACCATAAGGGAAAGATGAAAGAATTATCCCAATTACAAAAAGGCAAAGCTAATCCCTTGTACCTTTTGCATAATGAATCAACTAGCATAGTTTTACAAAAAGAACTTCAGCTAAAAATCCTGAAACGAGATGAGCTACTCACGGACAGTCAAAAGAACACACTCATCTATGTATAAAAATAATGAGACAATATATGGGTAGAGACGAAAGGCCTACCAAGCCTGGTGATAGCTGGTTGTCCAAGATAGAATTGAAATTCAACTTTAAATTTACCTACAGAACCACCTAATCCTATTGTTAAGTTTAATTGTTAGTTTAAAGGGGGACAGCTCTTTAGACATAGGAAATAAACTTGCACAAGAATAAGATACTAAAGTCCTTTAGTTGGCCTAAAAGCAGCAACCAACTAAGAAAGCATTTAAGCTCAACATTTAAAAACCCTAATTTTAAACAATACATCTAACTCTTAACACTATATTGAATGAATCTATTAGGTCGGTGCAAAAGTAATTGCGGCAAAACCACAAATACTTTTGCACCGACCTAATAGATTGGTCCAGTATAGTGTTTCTAAATATTTCTAAGCTGAAGAAATGCTGTTAACGTAAGTAACAAAAAATAATTCCTCTTGCATAAGCTTACATGAGACTGGAAAATCCACTAATATTTAACAACCCAATATAAGTAATCAGATGACAAACTATTATTCCAACTGTTAGCCCAACACAAACATGCATTAAGGAAAGATTTTTTAAAAAGTAAAAGGAACTCAGCAAAAGGAAACCCGTCTTGTTTACCAAAAACATCACCTCTAGCATTACTAGTACCAGAGGCAATGCCTACCCAGTGACGTATGTTTAAGGGCTGCGGTATCTTGACCATGCAAAGGTAGCCTAATCAGTTTTTCCCCAAATAGGGACCTGTATGAATGGCCACAAGAGGGTCTGATTGTCTCTTACCTTTAGTCAATGAAATTGACCTACCCATGAAGAGGCAGAAATACTTTATAAAGGCTGGGCGTGGTGGCTCACACCTGTAATCCGAGCACTTGGGGAGACTGAGGCAGGCAGACCACCTGAGGTCAGGAGTTTGAGACCAGCCTGGCCAACATGTAGAAACCCCATCTCTACTAAAAATACAAAAATTAGCTGGGCGTGGTGGCAGGTGCCTGTAATCCCAGCTACTCGGGAGGCTGAGGCAGGAGAATCACTTGAACCCGGGAGGCAAAAGTTGCAGTGAGCCGAGATCACACCATTGCACTCCAGCCTGGGCAACAAGAGCGAAACTCCATCTCAAAAACAAACAAACAAAAAACAGACAGAAATACTAAAATAAGATGAGAAGACTCTATGGAGCTTCAATTTATTAGGACAAATGAACTTAGAAAAAATAAAACTTACAAGTCTTAATATTTTATCTAATGAAAGAAATATTTTGATTGGGGTGACCTTGGATAATAACACAAGCTCCAAAATGACTTTAGCTAAGACTGCACTAGTCAAAGTAACGTATCATACATTGACACAAATAGTTTGACCAACTGAGCAAGTTACCCTAGGGATAACAACACGATCCTATTCTAGAGTCCATATTGACTATAGGGTTTACGATCTCGATGTTGGATGAGGACATCCTAATGGTGTAACTGCTATTAATGGTTCATTTGTTTTACTAAAGTCCTACGTAATCTGAGTTTAGTCCAGAGTCATACAGGTTGGTTTCTATCTATTCAATATTTCTCCTGGTACAAGAGGACAAGAGAAATAAAGTCTGCTGCAAAAAGGGCCCTCCATTTAATAGATGATATTATCTTAATCTAATACACTATTACTACACTCTGCCCAAGAAAAAAAGGTTTGTTAAGATTGCAGAGCCCAGCAGTTGCATAAAACTTAAAACTGCATAATCAGAGGTTCAATTCCTCTTTTTATTAACATGTTTGTAATCAACCTTCTTCTACTTATTATCCCTGCCATCCTCACAATAGCATTCTTAACATTGATTGAAGTAAAAATTTTAGGTTACATACAACTTCGTAAAGATCCCAACATTGTAGGCCCATTTGGCCTACTCCAACCCTTTGCAGATGCAATTAAACTGTTCATTAAAGAACCATTACAACAACTAACATCATCTATTCCCCTTTACATTATTGCTCCAACCCTTGTGCTCATCATATAGATCCGCCTCCCCATACCTTACCCCTTGGTTAATGTAAATATAGGAGTATTATTCATCTTGGCCACATCAAGCCTAGTCGTCTACTCAATCCTATCATCAGAATGAGCATCCAATTCAAAATATGCCTTGATCGGCACATTGCAAGCTGTAGCGCAAACAATTTTATACGAAGTTACCCTGGCCATTACTATAAGTCCTTTTGCAGAGTAGGTATTTCACCTGGTCAACTCTTATTATTACACTGGAGTTTGTCATGATCCCTGTCCATGACTAATCTCAACCCTAGCAGAAACCAATGAAGTCCATTTGATTTAACAGAAGGTGAATGAAAGCTAGTCTCAGGCTTAACATCGAATACACTACAGGCCCATTTCCTGTATTCTTCATAGCAGAATATACTAATATTATTATAATAAACACCCTAACCACTATCATTTTTCTAGGAGCATTACATGATATCTTCATACCAGAATTATATACAATTAGTTTCATTACTAAAACTGTTCTATTAACAACCCTCTTCCTATGAATTCAAGCATCATACCTATGATTCCAATATGACCAACTTATACAACTCTTAATGAAAAAGATTTCTATCTCTTACACTAGCGTTATGCGTATGACACCTTTCAGTGCCCATCGTAATATCTAGTATCCTGCCACAAACATAAGAAATATGTCTGATAAAATAGTTATTTTGATAGAGTAAATCATAAAGGTTTAAGCCCTCTTATTTCTAGAATTATAGGAATTGAATCTACCCCTGAGAATTCAAAATTCTTTGTGCTACCTAATATACCATATCCTACAGTAAGGCCAGCTAGAAAAGCTGATATGGTTTGACTGTGTCCCCACCCACATCTCATCTTGAATTATAGTTCCCATAATTCCCACGTCATGGGAGGGACCCAGTAGGAGGTAATTAAATCATGGAGGTGGGTCTTTCCTGTATTGTTCTCATGACAGTGAATAAGTCTGACAAAATATGATGGTTTTATAAAGGGGAGTTCCCCGATAGAAGCTCTATTGCCTGCTACCATGTAAGACATGACTTTGCTCCTCATTCACCTTCTGCCATGATTGTGAGGCCTCCTCAGCCATGTAGAAATGTGAGTCAAATAAACCTTTTCCTTTATAAATTACCCAGTCTCAAGTATGTCTTTATTAGCAGTGTGAGATCATACTCATATATGATCTATTGGGCCCATACCCTGAAAACGTTGGTTTATATGTCTCCTGTACTAATCAGCCCTTAGTCCACCGCATCATCCTTTTCACTATTTTTACAGGAACTCTAATCACAATCGGTTCACACTGACTCTTCATTTGAATAGGGTTAGAAATAAACACGCTGGCCATCATCTTTATTTTATTCAAGAAGGCTAAACTCTGTTCCACAGAAGCAGCCACCAAATACCTCCTTCCAAATACGAGGAACCACATCCATAAGTCTAACAACAGCCATTATTATCAATATAATGTATTCTGGGCAATGAACAATTTCAAACATGCTGAACCAAACAGCATTCCTGATAATTATTGTTGTTCTAGTACAGAAACTGGAAATATCCTCCTTTCACTTTTGAGTTCTTGTAGTAACATAAGGAATCGCACTAATATCAGTATAATTATTCTTAATGACAGATACTAGCACCAATTTCTATCATATTCCAAATCTTTCCCTCAGTGGACCTAAATACACTATTAACAATTGCAGCACTATCTATCTTAGTAGGAGATTAAGGGGGGCTCAATCAAACACAGCTCTGAAAAATGTTAGCATATACGTCAATTGCCGATAAAGTTTGAATAATTGCAATTTTAATTTACAATCATGTCATTACAATCTTAAGTCTACTAACTTACCTAATATTAACAGCAACTGTATCTATTCTCAATATGAATATAAATACTAAAACATTATCTACATGACTGAGTGCTGTTACCTCACCCACTCACAAAACACCAAAAAGATATTTTCTTTATTAGCCTGTGGACTACAAGGTAATTAAACCCTGCCACCAAATTCAGCTTAAAATAACAAAATAAAACAGTAACAACAAATGTTAATAATTATGTATGTATTAAACAGGATCATTCAACTTCAAGAAGGAAGCAGTTTTAGTCTCCTCTGGGAGTTTTCAAAAGGAAACTATCAAACTGTATAAGTAGCACAGAGGAGATAATAGCAGTGTTTACAGGACTGTATCTTTCCTTCAGTTAACAGTGTTGAGTACTCACTCTGCAGGGGTCTGTAAGAGAAGGTGAAAAAAGATATTATGTTTGCCCTTTAATTGTTCACAACCAGGTAAGGTGGAAGCATCTCACGTGTGTGTAGCCTGCTTCTGCGTAAATACTGGGCAGCAGTGGGTAACACTTGTGTGTGTGTGTGTATGTGTGTGTGTGTGTATTTGCTGCATGTCATTTTATTTATATTACTAAACTAAGGGGAAATAATGAAACCTACTAAGGTAATTCAGTTACACACCTATCCACTAATATATTTCTTGCAATTCAGTCATAGGAAAGACTATTCCCTTGTATTCTTAATTCTACAAGGATTTAATGGTCTCAAGTACACTATTTATTCCATAGAGTTTCTTTTGTCATCGGTCTTCAAGGAATATCACCCATAATATTGGCTTTCAGAGATGTTCAGTGTAAAGAGCCTTTGCCCAGTCTCAAGTAGCAGCAAAACTCTTCTCTACTTTTTCTTCCTTCAAACTCAATCTGAATGGAAACCCAACCTTTACCAAGCTGCTGCAGTTTCTTCTTACCCCCACATCTCTTCTACTTTAAAGTCTACATAAAGATGCCTGGGCCTGCCTGTTGTTTCCATGACAACCCTCCCCTGCAGTTCATCTGTAAGAACATCTCCAGGTTTCAGTTAAGTCTACAGTGATGTTACCTGGGTCAGTTCATTCTGTGGAATACACAATTAGACAAGCTCATTATTAGTAAAGCATTAGCTTCGAATGATCAACTGCCTAATTATGTCCCTAAAATAAATCAAATTACTCATTGTTCGGATGGAGTAAATAGGTACCAATGTTGACAAAGTTCGTTTAAATTTTTGAAATTTCAGAGAAGAAGGTTGTGAGTTTGCATTATTTTTAAATTGGCTAAAAACCATGCTTGATGTATAGATAGTGCCATTTAATAGCACTCTGACACTGTCAGAAAGTATTTAGGGCCAAGACACTGGCTCTTTCCAAATAAGATAGATGACAGCTGAGAAAAAGAAACATCTAAATGACTGACTGAAGTTTTCTGCTTTTCTTCCTGATGTTTGGCAGCGTGTACAGATTATTTTCGTAGATATTTACCAATTTTGGAGCTCAGAACCAATCAAGTTCCAGCAAAAACAGTTTTTACTTCTTTAAAAAAAATATTGTGTTGTGCTAATAACCATTCAGAGTCTATTAAAGCACAGCTAGTTCAAATTTAATTAAAATTTCCAAATGCTGATTGAATAAACCTTTACTGAGTTATTTGCTGTTGACACGTTTGTCCTAAAACACTTTCAATTTTATAATAATTGGTAAACTACAATATTTGGTTGAATTGAACATAATGGAATAGACCTTTTTTTAATGTTTTTATGGCAGTAGAAGAGTTGGGTCAAATGGTCATCTTAAAGTTGTGCCTTCATGTGCAAGTAAGTTAGTCATTATGCCTGCGAACAGTTAAGTCATTGAATAAGTAAGGCACCCTTTAGTTTCCATCCATCTTCATTTTCAATAATGTCTAAAATCTTATGAAAAGGAGATTTTGTTCAAGGCATGTGATTGCTGTTTTCTGATATTATGACGTGGATATTTAAGCCAGGACACTGAGGTTTGACCTCGCTGTGGTTACATGCCAAGGAAATGTGTATGAACATTTTACATCGTTCACACTAGTCTAGTGGCGTGTAGAGCTATAATGAAGCCAGAGGGAAAAGGAAAAGTCAGTAATACTGATCCTGTCTTTATTTAAAATTTTGATGTTTTATTCGTTGTGTATCTAATGCATTAATTTTGATTTTTAAAAAACATTGGATTAAAGTATTGTTTATCATTATACTGAGTTTTTTGGCTATCCTTGAATTTTGCAACGAAGGCAATTGCCCCTCACTCACCCTACACTAGTCTTGGTCCTGCACCAGTCAATATAAACCTGTGGGGTTTTTTGGTATTTATTTCAATAGTTTTGGGGGGACAGGTGGTTTTTGGATACATTGATAAGCTCTTTAGTGATGATTTCTGAGATTTTGGTTCACCCGTCGCCCAAGTAGTGCACACTGTACCCAATATGGATTCCAGAAGCACCTTCGGGGCATATGAACGCTATTTGATTTGTAACCACTAGATGGAGACTTTTTCATTAGGTAGCACAGACCCCCTCACTCAATCTCTTGAGTTAAAGGGTATTGTAGTTGTCAGAGATACAACATCCAAACCTGGGAAAACTATATTCTTGGTTAATTCAAAACAGGAGTTAGGGAGAATTTTTATAAATAGTAAAGGCGGTTGATACCGTTATTATCAGAGTCCAAATTGAGGAATCTCGGTTTTGGCTTCTAAATCTGCTTTCAATTCCAACTGTGTTTACTATGTTGAATCTCAGTTTCCTTATGCATAAAAGGCAAGTAGTCATAGTATCTACCTATTAGGATTGCTTTCCGTGCAAATATAAATTTGAAATATCCTAACAAAATGACTGGTCATCAATAAATATTAATTACATTTTCTCTTCCCTTTTTTTTTTTTAACAGAAGATGTGAAATAGAAAGAATAGTCTATTAGCACCAAGGGAAATGCGTTCAACATTATGTCCCCTCCCAATTACTGTTATTCAAAACCATGTTTAGAATAACAAAACTTCAGAAATGCCAAGAAAGCTTCCACTCTGGCTAAGCTTATTCCAGAGATCAGCTCCTGGTCTTCTCCTAAGTCAGACTACCTGCTATGGAAGTGGACTCATTTATTTCCATCCAACAAATGCTTTTAATGCACCAGAATTTTGTGTGCAGGATTTTGCTAGGGGTTGAGGACATAGAAATAAGACAAAACACTGTTACTAGAATCTCGCAGTATCTAAATTAGGTGTGAGGTTAAATAATATATACATAAGTTATGATTTGATTCTACAAATATTTATTGAGATTCTACAATGTACAGGACATTGCACTGGGCAATGACTGGCATAAAAAATGCCTAGCACGGTCAGAAAAACACAAACCTGTTAGAGACAGAGACCCACATTCAAATCTCAATTCTGCTTCTTCCTGACTGTGTGACCATTTATGAGTCCCCAACTTCTCTGAATCTCATTTACTCTCAACTATAAAATGGAGATCATTCTCTCATGTGACTGTTGTGAGGATAGCATGTTATTCTGCATACTGCATACTGCTTCGGACAGCACCTGACACATAGTAAGAACTCAAAAAGAGTCAGTTATTATGAGTAATAATAGTAATTTTAGGATCCACCAACAAACTGTGTACTATGAAGCTTCCAGTGTAGAAGTTGTAACGCAATGACTTCTCTTCTATTTCTTCTTAACCTGGCTCATTCTCCTTCCCAGTTGAAATAATGAGATGAGATTGTTTTTCTGATAAATTTATGAAAACAATCTTCTAATGAGGAAGACTCTCAGGAGAATCTTCCTTACAGATGGGCATGCAGAAAGCAGTGACGTATCAGTGAAGAGGTTGAAGAGTGGGTATTTTGTAAATTTGTGTGTTTATTTTTGGAGGTATACATACTATCACCATAGTAGATTTCAAGCTACCAAAGGTATAACAACCAGCTAGAGAAATTTCTGAAAATTTAACAAGCGGTTCTCCTGGGCCAGTCTGAACAAATTCCAGCACACCACTGGCAGAAAGCCTATGGGTGCCCATCTGCATTGTTTAAGGTATTGAGGACTTCTTAAGAAATACAAGCCATAGATGTTTTCAGATTTATTTTGAATTTTTAAATCAGGATTCTGAATCTTTACTAAAGAACTTCCCAATGTAAAGTTTTCAGTCTTTCTCTTTCTCTTTCTTTCTTTCTTTCTTTCTTTCTTTTTCTTTCTTTCTTTCTTTTTCTTTTCTTTTCTTTTTTCTTTTCTTCTCTCTCTCTCTCTCCTTCCTTCCATCCTTCCTTCTGTCCTTCCTTCCTTTTTATTTTTAATTGACTAATAATAATTGTATATATGTACAGGGCACAATGTGATGTTTTGTTCTACGTATACAGTGTAGAAAGATTTGATTAAGCAATTTAACATATTTATCTATCATATAGAAGTGGAGGCTGTTATCTTGAGTGAAGTAACTCAGAAGCAGAAAGTCGAAGACAGCGAGTTCTTATAAGTGAGAGCTAAATGATGTGTACGCATTAACATAGACAGTAGAATAATAAACATTGAAGACTCAGAAGACTGGGAGAGAGGGAGGGGGTGAGAAATGAGAAATGACTTAATGGATACAATGTGCAATATTAGGCTGATGGCTACACTAAAAGCCCAGACTTCACCACTATGTAATATATCCATGTAACAAAACTACAGCTGAACTCTTTAAAACTCGAACTCCTGACCTCATGATCCTCCCACCCTGGCCTCCCAAAAGTGCTGGGATTACAGGGGTGAGCCACTGCACCCAGCTTAAATGGACTCCTTAAATCTATACAAATAAAAATATTTTAAAAATTCAAAAAACCTATTCATCATTTTTCCAATTTATCTTTTCTGTGGTAAGAACATTAAAATATATATATATATATTCTTTTATAAACTGTGGCCACCATGCAGTATAATCGATGACTAAAACTTATTCCTCCAGCAGAACTAAAACTTCGGTCCCCTTGATCAACATCTTCCTCTTCCCCATCCCCCCACTTCTTCCAAGCTTCTGGTAATTACCTTCCTACTCTCTCTCTCTCTCTCTTTTTTAAAATACTTTAAGTTCTAGCATACATGTGCAGAATGTGCATGTTTGTTGCATAGGTATGCACGTGCCATGATGGCTTGTTGCACCCATCAACCCATCATCTACATTAGGTATTTCTCCTAATGCTATCCCTCCCATAGCCCCCCACCCACTGAAAGGCCCTGGTGTGTGATGTTCCCCTCCCTGTGTCCATGTGTTCTCATTGTTCAACTCCCACTTATGAGTGAGAACATGAGGTGTTTGGTTTTCTGTTCCTGTGTTAGTTTGCTGAGAATGATGGTTTCCAGCTTCATCCATGTCCCTGCAAAGGACATAAACTCATCCTCTTTTATGGCTGCATAGTATTCCATGGTGTATACGTGTGCCCTTTCTTTATCCAGTCTATCACTGATGAACATTTGGGTTGGTTCCAAGTCTTTGCTATTGTGAACAGTACTGCACTAAACAGACGTTGCATGTGTCTTTATAGTAGAATGATTTATAATCCTTTGGGTATATAGCCAGTAATGGGATTGCTGGGTCAAATGGTATTCCTGTATCTAGATCCTTGAGGAATGACCACACTGCCTTCCACAATGGTTGAACTAATTTACACTCCCACCAACAGTGTAAAAGCATTCCTATTTCTCCACATCCTCTGCAGTATCTGTTGTTTCCTGACTTTTTAATGATCACCATTGTCTTGGCTATTCGGGTTCTTTTTGGTTCCATATGAAATTTAAAGTAGTTTTTTTTTCTAATTCTGTGAAGAAAGTCAATGGTAGCTTGATGGGGATAGCATAAAATGTATAAATTACTGTGGACAGTATGGCCATTTTCATGATATTTATTTTTCCTATCCATGAGCATGGCTTGTTTTTCCATTCATTTGTGTCCTCTCTTGTTTCCTTGAGCAGTAGTTTGTAGTTTTCCTTGAAGAGGTCCTCCACATCCCTTGTAAGTTGTATTCCTAGGTATTTTATTCTCTTTGTAGCAATTGTGAATGAGAGTTCACTCATGATTTGGCTCTGTGTTTGTCTATTATTGGTGTATAGGAATGCTTGTGATCTTCACACATTGATTTTGTATACTGAGACTTTGCTGAAGTTGCTTATCAGCTTAAGGAGATTTTGGGCTGAGACAATGGGGTTTTCTAAATATACAATCATATCATCTGCAAACAGAGACAATTTGACTTCCTCTTTTACTATTTGAATACCCTTTATTTCTTTCACTTGCCTGATTGCCCTGGCCAGAACTTCCAATATTATGTTGAATAGGAGGGGAGAGAGAGGGCATCCTTCTCTTTTGCCAGTTTTCAAAGGAAATGCTTCCAGCTGTTGCCCATTCAGTATGATATGGGCTGTGGGTTTGTCATAAAAAGCTCAGATTATTTTGAGATACATTCCATCAATACCTAGTTTATTGAGAGTTTTTAGCATGAAGGGGTGTTGAATTTTATCAAAGACCCTTTCTGCATCTATTGAGATAATCACGTGGTTTTTGTAATTGGTTCTGTTTATGTGATGGATTACGTTTATCGATTTGCATATGTTGAACCAGCCTTGCATTCCAGGGATGAAGCCGACTCGATTGTGGTAGATGAGCTTTTTGATGTGCTGCTGGATTTGGTTGGCCGGTATTTTATTGAGGATTTTTGCATCGATGTTCATCAGGGATATTGGCCTGAAATTTTCTTTTTTTGTGTGTCTCTGCCAGATTTTGGTATCAGGATGATGCTGGCCTCATAAAATGAGTTAGGGAGGAGTGCCTCTTTTTCTGTTGTTTGGAATAGTTTCAGAAGGAACGGTACCAGCTCCTCTTTATACCTCTGGTAGAATTTGGCTGTGAATCTATCTGGTCCTGGGCTTTTTTTTGGTTTGTAGGCTACTAATTACTGCCTCAATTTCAGAATTTGTTATTGGTCTATTCAGGGATTCGACTTCTTCCTGGTTTAGTCTTGGGAGGGTGTGTGTGCCAAGGACTTTATCCATTTCTTCTATATTTTCTAGTTTGTTTGCATAGAGGTGTTTATAGTATTCTCTGATGGTAGTTTGTATTTCTGTGGGATCAATGTTGATACCCCCTTCATCATTTTTTATTGTGTCTATTTGATTCTTCTCTTTTCTTCTTTATTAGTCTAGCTAGCGGTCTATCTATTTTGTTAATCTTTTCCAAAAAACTGCTGTTAGATTCATTGATTTCTGAAGGGTTTTTCGTGTGTCTATCTCCTTCAGTTCTGCTCTGATCTTATTGATTTATTGTCTTCTGGTAGCTTTTGAATTTGTTTGCTCTTGCTTCTCTAGTTCTTTTAGTTGTGATGTTAAGTTGTCAATTTTAGATCTTTCCCACTTTCTCCTGTGGGCATTTAGTGCTATGAATTTCCCTCTAAACACTGCTGTAGCTATGTCCCAGAGATTCTGGTACATTGTGTCTTTGTTCCTGGCTTCAGCCCCCTTTTCAGGGAAGTGAACAGTTCTGTCTCACTGGTGTTCCAGGCACCACTGGGGTATGAAAAAAAAAAAAACCCTGCAGCTAGCTCAGTGTTTGCCCAAATGGGTAGTTTGCACAAAACCTAGTTTTGTGCTTGAAACCCAGGGCCCTGGTGGTGTAGGTACCTGAGGGAATCTCCTGGTCTGCATTTTGTGAAGACCATAGGAAAAGTGTAGTATCTGGGCCAGAATGCACCATTCCTCTTGGCACAATCTCTTATGGCTTCCCTTGGCTAGGGGAGGGAGTTCCTAGACCCCTTGCACTTCCCGTGTGAGGCAATGCCCCACCCTGTTTCAGCTCGCCCTTTGTGGGCTGCACCCCCTGTGTAACCAGTCCCAATGCGATGAACGGGTACCTCAGTTGGAAATGCCGAAATCACCCACCTTCTGTGTTGATCTCACTGGGAGCTGCAGACTGGAGCTGCTTCTATTCGGCCATCTTGCCAGCCACACCTCTACTCTCTTTCTTAGCCAAGTGAATGTATTTTGAATGACTGATCCTGGACAGTTGGCATGAAATAGTGTCTAACTGCTCTGTATCTACCTTGTTTGTGTTGTGAAAATGGCCTACATTCTTGGTGCCCCACCATCAGTAAAAGAAAAAAAGCATAAAGATGGCATCATGTGGTTTTCCAAATTCTCCTAATCTCTTTGTTACAGAAGCAAACTCAAGACTGGATGGTGCTTGTACTTAAAGCCTGGAGAATATGGCCACATTTTCACAGGCAGGGAAGTATTATTCATATTTCTAATGCTGCTTCTCATGTGCAAAGCATACATGAATCAAATTTCTTAAAATTCAGTTAAACAAGTCTCCACAAGTGAAATATAATGGGTGAGGTATTAAGAAACTTAATGACTATTTCTCTGTTACATTTACCATCATGCTAGCTTTTGCCAATAAATAGTTAAAGGAAGAAAAGAGTCCATTATAGCCTTAATGAATGCACCCATTAGGTCACAGCTATATATTGACTAATTGTAATTTATCAGAAGCTACACATATATTCGTTTGAAATAACCGTGACAAAATTCTGCATGCTTTTAGGTATTCATATTTTTGTTTTGCACATAAAAACATGTAGTTACATAAAAACATCTTACAAAGGTCATACAAGTAGGAAATAGAAATCAGAATTTAAATCCACGTGTGTGTGACTTCACAGCACGTATTGTCATAAGTCTGGAAACCGTACAATGGTTTGGGTATATAAAGATAAATCAGAAATTGTCTTGGCCTTACAAATACTAGTCCAGAATATAATTATAGGCCGAGCACGGTGGCTTATGCCTGTAATCCCAGCACTTTGGGAGGTCAAGGTGGGTGGGTTATCTGAGGTCAAGAGTTCGAGACCAGCCTGGCCAACATGGTGAAAACCCACCTCTACTAAAAATACAAAAAATTAGCCAGGCATGGTGCAGGCACCTGTAATCCCACCTACTAGGGAGGCTGAGGCAGGAGAATTGCTTGAACCCGGGAGGTGGAGGTTGCAGTGAGCCAAGATCGCACCACTACACTCCAGCCTGGGCAACAGAACAAGACTCTGTCTCAAAAAAAAAAAAAAAGAAGGACAACCAGGAGTCCTTTATGTACTAAAGACAACCAGGCCTCTCTCAGTCAAACCACGAGCAACACAATTTGAAAAAATGGCCAGACTCCCCATTCCACATCAAACTCATCTGCACATTATTTTTTTTTTTTTACAAAGCACTATTTTTAATTGATATATAATAGATGTACATAGTTTTGGGGTACATGTGATAATTGAACATATTCGTATAATTGGTAAAGATCAAAGCAGCATATCTGGGCTGTCACCTTAAATATTTGTATTTTCTTTATGCTACAACTATCTGCATTTTTCTTGGTATTTTGAAATACACAATAGATTATTTTAAACTATAGTCACCCTACTGATCTATCTAACACTAGGTGTTATTTCTTCTGTCAAACCATATATTTGTGCCCATTAATCAATTTATCTTCATTCCCCCTCACCCAGCTCTTCCTGGACTCTAGTTATCACCAATCTACTCTGTCTGCATGAGATCCACATTTTTAGCTGCCACATGTGAGTGAAAACATGCAAAATTTGTCTTCCTGTGCTTGGCTTATTTCACTTAATGTAATGACCTCCAGCTCCATCCATGTTGCTGCCAATGACAGGATTTTATTCTTTTTTGATGGCAGAAGAATATTCCATTGTTTATATATAAATGTCACATTTTCTCATTTTCTTTTTTTTTCTTCAACCTTTATTTTAAGCTCCAGTGTACATGTGCAGGATGTGCAGGTTTATTACACAGGTAAACATGTGCCATGGTGGTTTGCTGCACAGATCAACCCGTCACCTAGGTTTTAAGCCAAGCACCAATTAGCTATTATTCCTGATGCTCTCTCTCCCCCTGTCCCCAACTACAGGCCCCAGTGTGTGTTGTTCCCCCCATGTGTACATGTGTTTTCATTGTTCAGCTCCCACTTATAAGTGAGAACATGCAGTGTTTGGTTTTCTGTTCCTGCATTAGTGTGCTGAGGATAACAACTTCCAGTTCTATCCATGTCCCTGCCAAGGACATAATCTCATTCCCTTTTTTGGCTGCATAGTATTCCATGGTGTATATGTACCACATTTTCTTTATCCAGTCTGTGACTGATGGACATTTGGGTTGATTCCATGTCTTTGCTATTGTGAATAATGTTGCAATGAACATATGTGTGCATGTATCTTTATAATAGAATGATTTATATTCCTTTGGGTACATACCCAGAAATGAGATTGCTGGGTCAACTAGTACTTCTGCTTCTAAATCTGTGAGAAATCACCACACCATCTTCCACAATGGCTGAACTAATTTACATTCCCACCAACAGTGTTAAAGTGTTCTTTTTCTCCACAACCTTACCAGCACCTGTTGTTTCTTAACTTTTTAATAATTGCCATCTGTCTGGCATAAGATATTATCTCATTTTGGTTTTAATTTGCATTTTTCTAATGATCAGTGATGTTCAGCTTTTTTTTTCGTATGTTTGGTGGCCACATTAATGTCTTCTTTTGAAAAGTGTCTGTTGATATCCTTTGCCTACTTTTTAATGGGGTTGTTTGTTTTTATCTTGTAACTTTGTTTAAGTTCCTTGTAGACTCTGGATGTCAGACCTTTGTCAGATGGATAGATTGCAAAAATTTTCTCCCAGTTTTTAGGTTATCTGTTCCCTCTGCTGATATTTTCTTTTGCTGTCATCTGCACATTATTGATGCATGTACCTTCCTCACAGATTCGAGGAGTTAGAGTTTCTTAGGCTTAAGTAAGCAGTGCATAGGGACAAGGGAAGGGTAGTTAAGATAGCAAATTAACACTTTGGGCAATATTCCTCTTAAACTGAGTCATCTTTAAACATCTACTTATTAAAAATACACCAGAAACTAAGTGACAAATCTAAGCTGGCCATGACTCTAGGGCTCTCAAATCATAAATGTATAAACATAAGTAAATCAGATTAAAAAGCCTCAAGTAGGGTTGTCAGATAAAATACAAGACATTTAGTTAAATTTGAAATTCTAATAAACGATGCATATTTTAGCATAAGTGTGTCCCAAATATTGCATGGGGTATACATATACTAAAAAATGTGTACTTATGCTGAAGTACCAATGATAAATCACTACTCATCAGTTATTCAAATTTAACTGTGTGTTCTACATTCTTATTTGCTAAATCTGGCAACTTCTAGCCTCAAGAGAATATGGGTTGATAATTGAATAACATTTAATGCTCCCACCTTCAATACCATCCCTCGAGTAGCCTGACCTGCTGTATATCAAGCTGCTAAGACACATGTAAAAAGACAACCCGTGATATACTCCAGGCAAAAAAGAAAAAAAAATGAAATAAACTTTTCCCAGGGTACCCTTTCACTTACCATTGACTCTACTCCAACCCCCAACTCTTTCAACTTGACAACTTTAGAACCTAATATGCACTAGACATGGTAACTTTTAGAAGTTTCATCCCATGTTGTACCATATATACTGAAATTTATTAATTTCTTAATAATTAAATTAATCTCTTAATATCTATGCACAGTGGTAGACTTCAGATGCATGTGACTACATGTCATAATGTTAAAGAGTCAATCAAACATTTATTCATTTTTACTTTTTTTTTTTTTTTTCCCACTCGGGAGCTAATTTTGTTTTTAGGTCTCAACCATTTCCACAATCTCATGCAAAGCTCACAGGTCCCATATTCTGTTCCTTCCATGCCAAATGGATAAAATGGCTCTTCCTGGTCCCCCTCTATCTTCTAAGGGCTGATAAAGCATAGACAATTCAGGCATACTTGACTTTATGCCTATATATGTTCCTGGAAAAGTCCACTGGCTTTGCATTTATTCAACTGAATTCTTGCCGAATGTACTGTCCAATAAAGATGACCCTTAACTGGGAGTAAAGTGATGGAGCTCCCCTCGTCCTGGCTTAACCATTTATGAAATCAATGACCCAGAGACCTCTGAAGCCTCGTGTATAGAAAAGATATTAAATCTAGCTTTACTTTCCCATGTGATTCCTGTAATAATCCAGTGATATTACGTCAGAGAAAGCACATTGGAAACTGTAAAATACTTACAGAATATTAAGAACCACCTTCTATATTCGTTTTTTTTTTTTTTTTGAGATGGAGTCTTGCTCTGTTGCCCAGGCTGGAGTGCAGAGGCACAATCTCGACTCACTGCAACCTCCGCCTCCCAGGGTCAAGCAATTCTCCTGCCTCAACCTCCCAAGTAACTGGGACTACAGGCGGACGCCGCCACACCCAGCTTATTTTTTGTATTTTAGTAGAGATGGGGTTTCATCTTGTTGCCCAGGCTGGTTTCTGAGCTCAGGCAATCCACCTGCCTCAGCCTCCCAAAGTGCTAGGATTACAGGCGTGAGCCACTGCACCTGGCCCAACCTTCTATATTCTTTACAGCAGATTTCCATAGTGATAAAAAATATTTAAAATACAAACACTCCATTTTCTAAGCTATAAATCGGAATTGGTATAGCAGATTTCTCTAAAGCAAGACCTCTCTGTTTCAACTAAAGTAGCACAAGAAGGAAATCTCCAATCAATGTCTCCATGTAGATATCTAAGTCAATTAGTAGAGCATTTTAATTAGATTAGACTCATTTTGAATGTTGTTTATGAAATGTATTTAATTTTTTTTCTGTTTTGGTTTTGCATGTTGGTTTCTGTAGCTGTCCATGTAGTTATGGCAGTTTTGCAACACACACAGGGCAGAAAAAAAAACAAACAAACAAAAAAAACAGTTGTTTAGTCTAAAGGCAAGACAGAGATTCTGTGTCTACATTGTATATAAAGCCTCCTGGCTGTGAATATTAACCTCTAGTATAATGAATACCTTGTATTTCTTGTATATCAGGCCAGAGCTCTTCTTATACTGCCAGGCATCCAGCAGCCTCTAAAGACTGGGAGTAGCTGCTGCCCCAAATGGCTGGGTATCATGAAAACCCTTCTACTGTGCAGTGTGATCATGGAGGAGGTCCACGGGAGAGATTGGAACTTCAAATAAAATATTTACAGTCTATTTGAGTTAATGAAATAGTTTCCTATCAGCTGGATGTGTGTGTCTATGTGTGCCCACATTTTTGCAAATAATACTGAGCAATTCTATCAGAGAATTGAGACTAGTGATACCTTTGAAAGCCCTCCTGACTGTAACAGATACTGTTTATTAAGGACGTTATTTTGTTTGAAATACACATCATTTGGCTGTTCCATTTTTATTTTCTGCTCTCTTGCCTCTGTAGGTTTTCAAGTTGAACTACTTAGAAAATGTTTACAGCTTTAATTTTTTCCCATAACTGAATGCGATTTTTTTCTTTGATTTTTCCCCCTAAGGATCATTTTGCCATTTTGATTTTGCCCAATGAGATGTCAAGGAAGGTATACTAACATTTATTGAACCCCTGCTATGTTACAGATAACTAGACACTAGGTGCCTCCTATGTACATTATTCAATTCCATCCACGAGACTGTGAGGCACAGATGACCATTACCTTCAACATACAGATGAGAAACTGATGCTTTGACTTCAAAACAGGTGACTGGACACTTCCCATTACTAATAGTAAATTCATTTTTATTCTTGTTTTCTATAGAAAAAATGCTCTTTTCCTCTCTTCTTACAATAGTACCTGTTCTTATCTTTAAAAGCCACTTCATTCTTGGAAGCATTATTAAGTGAAACTGAAAAATAAATAAATGAATAAATAAATAAATAAATAAATAAAAGCTTTCTCTTGAAGTCTCCCAAATCAGAAGAATTTTCTCAGTAGGGGCAGATTAAAGTATGGCCCTCAAGAGATGGATGAAATGTCCTCTTTGGCAGACTTACAGTTCCCATCTGTAGACCATCAGTCACCTGCATTCTCAAAGCTTTAGCTTGCTCACTCCCTCTTTCAGCACTAATGTATTTGCTGAGTTTGTTGTTTACAGAGTTACCCTGAAGATATAAAGGAGAGAATGTAAAACGAGGGAAAGACCTCCTTTCTTCAGCTGTAAATAAGCCTGCTCAAGTTGACCTCTCATGGTAGTTTTAAGTATAAATTAGGAAACATCTCAAGTTCATGAGTCCTCTAAGTGAAAAAACAAGAAAGGAAAGTCACTAATTTCAATGAAGGAGCAGCCAATTCATCCGAAATGATCTACCTAAAGGCTTTATCTTGACACATTTAAAAAAACATTGGGCCAGGCACTGTGGCTCACACCTGTAATCCCAACACTTTGGGAGGCTGAGGTGGGTGGATCACCTGAGGTCAGGAGTTCAAGACCAGCCTGGACAACATGGTGAAACCTCATCTCTACTAAAAATACAAAAATTAGCTGGGCGTGGTAGAGGATGCCTATAATCCCAGCTACTTGGGAGGCTGAACCAGGAGAATCGCTTGAGCCCAGGAGGCGGAGGTTGCAGTGGGCTAAGATCACACCACTGTACTCCAGCCTGGGTGACAGAATGTGACTCCATCTCAATAATAATAATAATAATAATAATTTTAAGTGCCTCTATGTTTTTTAAACAAATTTAAGATCTGGCTGACTTCTTAAGGTAAATGTTGAACATAATAATTTCATAATGAAATGAAAGCAGATTTTATTTAGCCCAGCATCTATATGAAAAATTAAGAGAGCAATAGATAAAATATGTTTTTATATTATAAATTCATGTTTTACATTCACTTTAGAAAGTAATACAGCATTGAGTTTATTAATCTAATGATCTCTGACTTGTTTGATAATTTGATAATCTGCTTAGAGCAGTCCAAATTATTCTGTTTCTTCTATACCTTGTAAAATGATTATAAAATAGTTATTACTATTTTCATTAATAGAGTACTTACTACATGCTAGGTATTTGTTTAAGAACTCTGTTTATTATTCAATTTAATTATCAAAACAACTTTTTAAGGTATGAATTACTATCTCTACTCTCCAGATAAGAAGGAGGGTTGGAGAAGAGTAATTTAGCCAAAAGTCATTCTATCAGTAACTGACAATTAAACCTAAACCCTACTCTATCAGATTCCAGAACCCATGACTTAACTACTAGACTACACGGTCTGAGGCTTAGGTAGAAATAATGAGTAGATTCATCTTTGAAATGGCTAGTGATTTACAACTCTTGGGTAAGTAGCAAGTCCCTCACATCTCAAGAAGGTCTTTGTTTTTATCTACAAATTGAAGCCAAAAGGTTTACTAGGGATCAAATAAAATGACAGTTTATTCCCAAACATCTGTGGAATAAATAAACTAAAGAGGCAAGGAATTCTTAATCAAGGTAGCATGGGGAATATGAAGCCCAAGGAATACATGTATCCTATATAGACCAAAGGAGGTATGTGGCTCATGAAAGGATATTTGGCCAAGAGGAATATGTGGTCTGAGGGAAATATTAATATGTGGCCCAAATTGGCCCAAGTACCATCAGCCAATCTGCAGTCCTGTATCCATGGCCAACATTATACTGTGATCATGAAATTTTTCCTACTGAATCTGAGCTTATGCTCAAAATTCTTCAAGAAATAGTCCCTCAAGTAGGAAATATAGGGCTGTCTTTAGAGTTAGCATGCGAAATGAAACTATTTGCTTATCGCTGAGAAAAATTTGAAAGTTGACTTAAGCAAGGTACATGTTTCTAAGCTACGGTGTTCTAAGTTATAAAGTACTAAGAAAACTTGTACTTAATGTATAACTTATGGTGATAGAACTGAAATGACCTCTTCTAAATGAGAAAGTAAATTTGATTTTTTCTTTTAAACAATATTTGCTCTTAATTGCTTGTTATCTTGCACAAAACAGAATCCTTTTTGTTTGATTACTTTGATCTCTCTAGTTTTTGTCCCTTTTGGACATTAAAAAAAAATCACTGTCATCAATAAGTACATGCTGCTACTTTTGCACAGTATGATGGTTAATATTAGTGTCAACTTGATTAAATTGAAGGCTGCCTAGATGGCTGGTAAGGTACTGTTTCTGGGTGTACCCATGAGGGTGCCAAAAGAGATTGACATTTGAGTTAGGGGACTGGGAAAGGAAGACCCACCCTCGAATTGGGTGGTCACCATCCAATCAGCCGCCAGCATGAAAAAAAATAAATCAGGGAAAGAAGGTGGGATAACTTTGCTTGGGTCTTCTGGCTTTCTTCTTTTTTCCCATGCTGGATGCTTCCTTCTGCTCCTCCTGCCCTTGAACATCAGACTCCAGATTCTTCAGCCTTTGCACTCTTGGACTTACACCAGTGGTTTGCCAGGGACTCTTGGGCCTTTGGCCACAGACTGAAGGCTGCACTGTAGGCTTTTATGGTTTTGAGGCTTTCAAACTTGGACTGAGCCACTACTGACTGCTTTCTTCCCCAGCTTGCAGACAGCTTATGGTAGGACTTTGCCTTGTGTGACTGTGAGTCCCTCTGGAGAACCCTAACTTAACACACAGGGATTTGTAAGGTTTAAAAACTATCTTCCCAGATGAAAGCTAAGCTTGTGGCAGGTCTATAGATTACTTTGGAGGTGTTGTCCATGAATGTTCCAAAACTATGTTAAAATATCTAAGGAGAGGATCCATAGTTTTCCAAAGAGCAATGAAAGGTTTTTGGCTTAATCCCTCATGAAGCTCCATAATATCCACTGAGTCTATATGAAATATTAAGCACCATACTTGAATTGAGGTACAGAGATAATTACAAAACAGACACCAGCCTAATAGAGTCCACAGATGTGCAACTTCCTGCTCTGCAGGCACTGACTCCCCACCGGTCGTTCCTCATAGTGTTCCATAAAGTTAGTCTCCTGGAGGCATAGGGTGTCCTCTAGCCCAGCTTCCTAGCCATGTCAGCAGAGGCATTCCACTGAGAACTGCCCTGTTGCATGTCTCTTTGGAAAACATAGTCCTAGCTTCTCTTTCTAGGAGATGGAAAAATGCCTTGTATCCCTTCCCAATGAATTGCAGAATAAGAAAATAAAGCACTAGTTAATTTCTCAGTAGGTCACACTCTGATATGAAATTCCCAATAAATCACACTGCTACATTTTTAAAGATCACAGTTTGAAAAGATTGTTTCGAGTAAGAAGAGATTTGAGACAGAGACCAGTGAAGAAGCTATTGCAGTCATCCAGGGAAGCAATTACGATGGCCTGAAATAGAGGGCTGGCAATGGGGACAGAGAAAAATGCAAGGATGTTGAGAGATATTTTTCTAGGTAGAACTGATAGGAGCTTTGAGAAATGAGGCTCAAGGTGTAGGCCTGAAGGTGCCAACAAAGGATTTTGTATAACACATTAAAGGACTTAGACTTTATCCTAGAGAATAGAAGTTGCAAACTGGTAGTCCGTAATTCCAGTAACCTGCGGATCTATTTTATTTTCCCTACCCCACAGGATTAAAGAAATACATTACTTGCCAAAATGTAATTCAAGCTGAGTGGTGCTTGCTTCTTTTAGATAAGCCATGGATTCTCATATCTGCCATGATCCACCTGGGGCCAAATGTTCTATTGCCTGCCTAGACCCTATAGACAATTGATGTTGCTCCTCTTGTTGCAGGTATTGAACAGATCCTTAAATGTCTAAACCAGGGAGTGGCAGAAGCATTTTTTTTTAACTAGATCATCCGGGTACCATGCGGATAAATTGGAGAGAGACAAGATCAGAGATAGAAAGACCATTTAGGAGACTGTGGCAGTACTAGATATAAGAGAAGGTAAGGTGAGGCCTGAACTAAGTAGTCCAGATGGAATGGAGAGAGCAGCTTCCAGAAATGTTTAAGGATCAGAACCAATAGAGCTTGGTGATTGGTTGAGATACAAAGGATGGGGTAAAGCAGTCAAGGATAACTGACTTAGGTTTCTGGTTGTATCTGGATTGAGGTAAAAAACACAGCAGAAGAAGCTGGTTGAAAAACATTGATTCCTATATTGAATTTAAATTCATTAGGTATTTGCTAAGGGAAAATTAGAGCTGCTCAGTGAGTCATGGAATATATGAAAAACTAACACAAGATGCTTCTTGTCACCCTAAAAAGTCAATTTCAGAGGACAAAACCAGTTTCAGTACATTGGTTGGGTAATCAATTTCTTTTCCCAGGAGGTCACAGAACCTGACATGCTGTGGCCAAGATGTATGTATGTATATATTTCACTAGCAAAGTGAATGAGAACAAGATGAACCAAGATAAAATGAGAACAAAAATTCATTCCATTATTCCCATTATTTATTGTTCACTAAAGATGCAGCTCCATAGTATGGATAAGATGCCTATAGACATTCATTAAAAGATTACTACCATGTGTTGACACATATACTTAGTTCCATTTTCTTCTATGTCATCTAAGTCAGCCAGTGGTAATGAATGTATCCTATGGGGAAGATGCGAGATTAAGGCAAATTAAATTAAGTCATTTCTTCTCTCCACACACACAATGATACGTAGTGCAGTGAAGATGAGGGTTCACAATGATTACAGAAGTGTAAATATTTACCAATATTAAGATTTAAATGTCCTCAAATTATATGTAAATAGAGAGCCTTTAAGCCTTTACCAAAGGAAGATGAATCTCGATTTGCATTTCCATCTTTATTTACTATCAATTGTAAAGCCATTATCAGAAAAAAAAAGTCTATCTAAAACTGGAAGATTTTGCAAAGCTGACAAAGTGAAATAAATACCTTCTTTATCATGACTCAGTTTTCCCTTTGTTTAACTACCCAGAGGAAGAGATGAATGGTAGTAGAATTGAAAGAAATTAAACACAGACGACAACTTGTAGGCAAGTTGCAGACATAAATCTTTGATAATTTATATTAAAATTAATACTTATCACATTATCTTTCCAAGTCAAATAAGCAACCAGAAAGAGGCATTACTAATTTGTCAAGGATACTTCAGTCTGAATTATTGTATGTAGCATGAATTGAGAATCTTATTATGGTAAATTTGCAACTGATGTCTCCAAATCAAATTTGCCTCTTTTCTACTAGAAATGATGTATTTTTATCCAACGGATCTTTTTCCGTATTATCTATGCCTAGATGTTATTCTTACATTGATATATCGTGTTGCGTGTCAACAGTTTACATTCCCAGAAATGTAGCCCTTAATATCACCACCATGATCAAAATGATTATACAAATTATATTGCTGTTAGACTCCATGGCATCAGACTGAGGTGATGTAATTACGGCTTCCAAGCAATAACTTTTTTAGTTTTCTTCTTCCTATGTACACTATATCAAAACAATATGTTCAAGAAGAGATAGTAAACTTACACTTTTCTATTAACCCTAATCCCTGGCCCTAATTTAACAGAGTTGTTTTAGCACCAGTAAAAGTTATATTTCCTTCTGAATGTGTTATATTATTTTCATCCAAGGTTAAACTATGAGCACTTCCATCTGAATTATTTATATGTGTTTGGAGCCTTCATACTTTCCCTCTGTTCTTGTCACTGGAATATCATCAGATGGTCCCACTTTAACTGCAATTTTACCTTGGCAAGGCCACAAACAATTCTGCTAAAGTTCTTGGAAGAACTACTGTAGTTCACTGATATCCTTGTAGGTTTCCTGAATTCCACCTCTAACCCCAACCACAAACAAGATAAAATCGGTACATGAGGCTATTTGAACGCAAATACATATGAAAGACTTGTTAGCTTTTCTTCCCTTGTATTCTATATCACTCAACAAACCATCACCAAAGTCTAAAGAAATGTGATCTGACACATTTTGAGAAAATGTTCTCTTGATCTAAAGCAAATATATTTATCTTCTCCCCCAACGAGAGGAGTCTGTTGCCTGTCATTTGAAAGTTTGCCAACTTTGACGATTTGTCTCTGACCAACACTTGTCCCAAGTTTTTAACTTATGAAGAACATTCCAAGGAGCTTTTCTCCATAAAGGGAACAGTTATATATAGATATACTCAATGAAATTTTTTTCATAGTGTTCCATTTACTAAGAACAACAGATGGACATTCTAAGCAGTTAATAAATGCAGACGAAAGATGATATGCTGGCTGGCTGGCTGGCTGGCTGGCTGACTGGTATGTTAGCAGAATTTTCCCAAGATAAAACAATGACTTCAGCAAAGATGAATGCTCTCCAGTTGTTTAAATAGATGGGTTAACACTTGTTTTACTAGGTAGTAAACACATGCAGTGTTAAATGGCAATTTACAAGCATTTAATAATCATATAAATGTATTATACAATGATTTGAACATTGGGCAGTTTATTGTCATTCTCAATAAAGAGCTTTGGAGGCAAAACATATAATTATTTTGTAATTCCATTTAAAAGGGTATAGGGCTAATCAAGAATGTTGCTAATAATAAATAATCAAATGAAGAGGCCACACAGCTGCTAATTTCCATAATCTATACGGCATGTTCTGGCTGCAATTCTAGAACATAATTCTATTCTGAAATCCTATATCATGGTGGATTCACACAATCCTCAATTTCTATCTCCACTTCCCAGAAATATTGTTAGGGCAAAAATGGAATATATGCAAAGACACAGCATTAGACCAATATGGATTATTAAAAAAACGACAATTGCCTGATCCAAGTCTATACAAGGTTAACAAATGTAGGCATGACTATATTACCTGTATTTTAATGCCAAATTAGAGTAGCCATTTTTAAATAAGCTTGAGAATTAGGTTCTAAAATGTTTAATGAGCCATCATCATAAGCAATAGAGTTTTGGAATCGAAAAGGAAAAATACTATTTGAGACGCAGTTTTCTTGAATATTTTTAGATTTTCCACAGTATTATTTCCCTCATGCAAATGGCATGTGAATAACTACTTCTTCCTAGGTTAGATCTGAAACTGATGAACTGTGACCAAATAACCAGACATCACATCTTAATCCAGATTCTTTCATCCCAAACACACGTGAGAATTTCCATTCTGTTCAGCATTTAATGGCACTGGCCACCTGGTGCACATAAAGGTCATCCCAAGAAAGCTCAGTGGCCCTCCTATTTCACACTTGTAGGTAAATGTTGAAAGTTGTGTGAAAGAGGCCTTTTTATGGAAGCTTGATTACAGTTATGAAGAATTTCACTTATATTCTCATTTTGGCCAGAATTATTTAAAATAATCCAGAGCAATCTTTATAGTCAAAAGAGTAGGATCTGGGGAGGAGGCTCAGTCTAAGGTTGCTTCAGTGGTAATTAGACTTACAGAAGATGGCAACAGCCCCCCACTCCTCAGAGCCACAGTAACTTATTTGCGTCCCTGATGAAGGGGCCATTTTAGGGGTCCCCAAGGGAATGGAAAGTTGAAACTGCTTCAATACAACATAGCCTAGCGGAGCAGGCTGTCCACAGTGAGTTAGGGTTGCAGACTCTATTTGGTTTGGTTGCTTCCCACAATAAGCCACGTTTGAGTGTTCTCCCTTTTGCTCCTTGTTCCTGGAAATAGCCTCTTCTCTGTCAGACAGGCTTTTATGCACTTTTTTCGTTTCTTTTAAGCCATTTTCTTCATCCATCAAGACCATCAGTCTAAAAGGCTATCTGGCAGAAATGGCCCAACATGAATTAAACAAGGGATAATGGTATCAGGTTCAGCTACTTCAGACCTCTGACTTCCACTTTTCTGCTGTCTAGTCATCACACTTTTGATCTCCCTCCCGCAGAACTGGCAAAGTTTAACTTTCATTAGAAGTCATTTTCAATGGCATGTTATTTCTCTTGTTTTCTGGATAAGACTCCAGTCTTCCCATAATTTTGAAAATATCCATCTGATACTTTGTTTTCTTCTCCATTCTGCCCCTGAAAACATCTGTTTGACTCAGAGTCAGCAAGGACTGCTTAATGGGGTTATTGTAAAGCAAACAGATTTCGGTTAGGTAAATATCCCATAGGTAAGCAAAGTATATTTTCCATGTTAATCCTTTTTGAGTCGAACAAGAAGGCATTTTTATACAAGCATGTCAATCAATTAAAAAGGTAAATATCATAGAACTACATAATGTCACAGCCCTAAAGAAGGGCACTAGGAGGTCATCTAAAACAACACCTGCATTTTTTTTTTCATATGCAAAAACCTAAGCCCAGGGAAGGTGCCCTGCCAAATGTTTCATTGAGTTAAGCACTGAGCTGTATGCAAGCTATCTAGTGAAAAGTATAATGATGTCTGCAATTTAGTTTGAAATACATCAAAAAATGAGATGAATTGAGGGATAGATACAGGGATAGATAGGAGATCAATCAAGTGCAGTAAAATATTAATCATAGGATCTAGATGGTGAGTTTATTTATGATCATTCACTAAAAGTCTTTCAACTCTTCCGTGTATGTTTGAAATTTTTCATAATAAAATGTTGAGCATTTGAGCATTATAACACCTTTATATAGCTAGTAAGTGAACAAAATTAGAGATAGATGCCTCATAGTAAGTCTGGTGTATGCATGGATGAATGGTGGTATTCACAGTCCAGGCAGATAACCTGATATGGATTCTTATGCAGAGAATACCCTGTTCCAAAATGCATTGGAGGGATTCAAAGAGATAAAATAGTTTTGAATTAGTAAGGATTCTTGCAATTCCAGGTGAAAAATGCTCACCCCAGACTGGCTCAAGCAAATAAAGGGACTGCCTTTGTTTCCATAACTGAAAACTCTAGGGGTCAACGTAGCTTGAGACTTGGCTCTGTTCAGGTTACCCGCACAGAGACTCACTCCATCTCCTGGCTGTGGCTTGTTTTGCATCAGCCCTGTTCATTTTTTTTTTTTTTTTTTATTATACTTTAAGTTCTAGGGTACATGTGCACATTGTGCAGGTTAGTTACATATGTATACATGTGCCATGCTGGTGCGCTGCACCCACTAACTCGTCATCTAGCATTATTCACAATAGCAAAGACTTGGAACCAACCCAAATGTCCAACAATGATAGACTGGATTAAGAAAATGTGGCACATATACACCATGGAATACTATGCAGCCATAAAAAAGGATGAGTTCATGTCCTTTGTAGGGACATGGATGAAGCTGGAAACCATCATTTTCAGCAAACTCTCACAAGGACAGAAAACCAAACACCACATGTTCTCACTCATAGGTGGGAATTGAACAATCAGCCCTGTTCTTACTCAGCCTTTGCTTTTCTGGTTGCAAGGCTCTCCACACCACCCTGTTTATACACCTCACGTATCCAAACCCAAAAGAAATGTGAGCATGTCTCTCTCATTGGGAGAAACAAAAGTCCAAAGAGTGCATCTTATTTGCTTGGCCTAAGTTATGTACCCATCATTGAATCAAAATCAATGCCCAGAGACTCCAGTATTCTGAATATGTCTAAGCTGACCCGTCCACATGAAGAGTGAGGAGAAGAGGCTGATGCCTGAAGGAAAATTCCAATTTGTGTTCTAAAAAGACTGGTGATGGATGCCAAAACATGAAAAGGAAATGTTGTATCACAGGTTTGCTGCCAGAATATCTTTCAGATTGCTAAGAAAATCATCTTAAGATCCAAAATGGCAGCAATAAGTAGAAGTCTTAGATATGAGTTACCTTCCAGTAGATTCACTAGTGTCTTTCTGACCTGAGGAATCTCTCCCTAAAGGATCACAAATGCAAAGGTTGAAAGTAGGCCATTTTGGCCGGGTGCAGTGGCTCACACCTATAATCCCAGCACTTTGGGAGGCCAAGGCAGGCAGATCATGAGGTCAGGAGATCGAGACCATTCTGGTTAACATGGTGAAACCCCATCGCTACTAAAAATACAAAAAAAATTAGCCAGGCGTGGTGGCGGGCGCCTGTAGTCCCAGCTACTCGGGAGGCTGAGGCAGGAGAATGGCGTGAACCCGGGAGGCGGAGCTTGCAGTGAGCCGAGATTGCGCCACTGCACTCCAGCCTGGGCGACAGAGCGAGACTCCGTCTCAAAAAAAAAAAAAAAAAAAAAAAAAAAGGAAAGGCCGTTTCAGGAGTAGGTGCACACAGCTGGATTTGGGACTATGAGAGCTCCTTGGAGAATAATCTAGGACTTGGTGATAAAGGAGCTCGAGCTCTATATACCTGGATTCCATGGAGATAGAAAAAAATATATATTTTGAATATTAAATAGGACACTTAAGCCAGAGCCACTTTTAGAGCCACTTTCTTGGAAAACTTAGTGATTTTTGCAAGTCAAATTGAAAGGAAATTCAGTTACACTTCTTATTTCTGGCTAAGTCAATTTCCAAATGAATTGAAGAGTGTGAAATATTTTATTAATTAACATTACATTAGCTACTGGGTTGCTCATTAGGATTTGGTGATTTTATCATCAGATGCACTGTTCAATCAAGGCTGTTTTTATCTTTATAATCATAAATAAAATTAGGTGAAGCTGTGAATGCCATCTAGATGCTATAGCTGTCTATCAGTCACTTTCTCAGGGTAAAACAGTAGGCCAGAGTCTTGCCCAGAGCTGTCATGTATGGAGCCAGAGGGCAATGACCACACAGGCTCCTGAAGACCCTTCCCAGTCTACCACCAGAGGAGTACATCTCTAATGGTAATGAGAACATGAAAGGCCACAAGCTCAACTCAGAGCTACATTATGGAACCAGAGGTTTCAGATTTCCTGGGAAGATTAGAGCAAGAGACAGCAAGTCATGAGTGGCAGAGGACGGTGCCCTGGGCAAATACTGGAGGTAATGTTGCTGGAAATAGATGAGTTGTACTGGTTACAGTGTCCAGGGTAGGGAAAGATAATGACTGATATTCAATAATGTCTGGCTACATTCGCACAAATATAGTTTGATCCACATAAAAATACCCCTCTAGACCCAACCTGACTTAAGCCAGTTCTTTTTATTTTTTATTTTATTTTTGTTTTGTTTGGGTTTTTTTGTTTATTTTTTTGAGACAGAGTCTCACTCTGTCGCCCAGGCTGTAGCGCAGTCGCGCCATCTTGGCTCACTGCAAGCTCCGCCTCCTGGGTTCACGACATTCTCCTGCCTCAGCCTCCCCAGTAGCTGGGATTACAGGCGTCCGCCACCATGCCCGGCTAATTTTTTGTATTTTTTAGTAGAAACGGAGGTTTCACCGTGTTAGCCAGGATGGTCTCCATCTCCTGACCTCGTGATCCACCCACCTTGTCCTCCCAAAGTGCTGGGATTACAGGCGTGAGCCACTGTGCCTGGCCAAGCCAGTTCTTTCTAAATGTGGAGTAGAGTGCTACCTAGAAAATGTCTTAAATAAATTAATATGCAAAATTGGGGTTTTAAAGATGTCTTGACTTAATATTTGCACTTGACTTATAGCTTTGGGTGTTAAATTGCTCTTCTCCATATTTTTCCTAGTAATCAGGGAGACAGAGCCCATCTTTTATTCCAACATGACCACCAGGTTGACAGACATGGTGAATGCCCAAATTGTAAAAAAACAAACAAACAAAAATCATTTAAGAACTGTTTAAAGAGTATGTGCTTTGAGTATGTGATCTGAGTCAAGACTTAAGCTAGGCAATGGGAATGCAATGGTGAATAAAAATAGCCACATCAATGCAAAATGTCTGCATAGGGTGCTGACAGGTTACCAGGGTTCAGAGCACCCAGAGCTTCATAAGTCACATTAAAGTCTTGGTCTTTAGATTTGTGTTTTCAAGAGATCATTCTGACTGCTGTGTAAAAGATGAACTGAAAGGGATACGTGGGGAAACTGGAAGGTCAGCTAGGAAGAAGATTACTGCAGTAGTCAAGAACACATGGTGATGGTTTAAACTAAGGTGGTGATTGTGGAAAATGAAATAATATTTTAGAGGCAGAATTGGCACGACTTAGTGACTAAATATGGGAGATGATGGCAATTGATAAAGACTATCTCTTTAACCCAAAACTTGAAACAGGCTTCTCTCCTCTGAGTTCTCTGCTTGACTAAGCCCAATCTTGGGCTTCTCTTTCTGTCTTTAACGAATCAAGTTTGAGTAAGAACTCTGCAAAAGCACTTTGGAGAAAATCCCCCACCCTTGTCTGACCACCCTTGTTATTGTATCAACCTGACCTGCCTTAAGCAAGAATTCTATTGAATTGTTCTAGCAAGAACCTGTCTTACCTCTAGTGTTTCTTCTTAATAATGTTCCATCCATTGACTTTTACTCTGCTTGTTGGTTATAAATCCCCACTTGAACTTGTTGGACCAGAAGTTGAGTCTAATCTTTCTTCCCCGCTGCAAGATCACATTGCTGTAGTCCCTATACCTCTCCCAAACCCCCACTTGATTAAAGTCTGCCTTTGTCATCTTTAACAAATGTCATTGAATACATTTTTTTAACATGAGGAAGAATGTTGTATATTATAAATACAACATATATATGTATATATGTGTGTGTGTGCATGTGTGTGTGTGTTCATATGACTTTACAGACTCCCATCATCATCAAGAGAAAGCCTCCTGCATTTTGCAAAGATCAGAAAGGACATTCTGTGCTGATCAAAGAGAAATAAGAAATATGATATTGAAGAAGCTCTAGTAGTTTCTTTAATTGATGTCATGTACAAAGATTCTGGTTGGAATGCGGAAAGCCCTAAGTTCCCCTTCATTAACCATTACGGTTTAATTATCCGTGGCTAGGTCTCAACTCTTGTTAAACCTGTTTCAGAAGCCACAAAGCAGGGAGTGAAAAACTGGCTGGATATTGGAACTGATGTAACATACTCCAATAGATAAGTATTTCATTTTAATTAGCTAGGGATGAGAGGCAGCATGATGTAGAGGAAAGGCACAGCAATGTTAGAGTTAGGAAAAGCTATGTTCACATTTAGGTTCTGCCACCTACTGGGTGTGCAGCCTTGGAGCACATGATTTCTACAAGTATTTTCTCTTGTTTAAAATTACTTGAGCGATATTTCAGTCCCAGGTTGTTGTAAGGATGAAACCTGATAATTAAACGTAGTTTTGGGTAACACATATACTGAATAGAACCACGCCTACCCTTCAAGGTTATTGTTGGTTCAAGAGATAATACATGTAAAATGTAAGGTACATAGAAGATACTAAGCAAATCATAACTATTGATACGGGAGTGTGACAGGGAAGTGCCGGGTAAAAAAGGGCAGGGTCCCTGGTGAAGGCTCCACTCTCGGGCCTGTGACCAGGGACCTAAGTGAGGACGGACACTCCTCTTTTTATGGCCAAATGTTGCATTTTCCAAGACCACTCTGGTCTGCCATGCCCTCATCCTGTGCCTATAAAAACCCCAAGACCCCAGCGGGCACAGACACAAACAGCTGGATGTCAAGGCAAACACACCAGCAGAAGAACACACTGAACAGATGCCAGCAGGCCATTGAGAGCAGAACAACGGGGAGGCTGACGGGAATTGAGTTGGAGGAGAGTCCAGCCACTGGGTTTCCCGACTCCAGGGGAAGATCATCTTCCCTCTCCATCCCCCTTCTGGCCTCTCCATTCACCTCACTGAGAGCTACCTCCACTTAAAAAACTTATACAACCTTGCACCCATCCTCCAACCACACGTGCGATCCGATTTTTCTGATACACCAACTCAAGAACCTGGGATACAGAAAGCCCTCTGTCCTTGCTGAGATAGGGCAGAGGGTCTAATTGAGCTAATTAACACAAGCTGCCTGCAAGTGGTTAAGCTGAAAGAGAACACTGTAACACAAGCCCACTGGGGCTGCGGGAGCTGTAAACACTCAACCCTGGACACTGCCGTGGGGTCCGAGCCCAGGCTCCACACGACCTGCCCGTCTGCATGCTCCCCGTAGTGGTTTGAGCTGCAGTGCACCAAAGAAGTGAGCCACTGCCCCTGTCGCACACCCTGTGAGGGGGATAAGGGAACTTTTCCCATTTCACTATTAAGAGGAAAGAAAGCACCATGCCTGTTCTAAATAAGCAAAATAGAAAAAAAAATATTGATTAAGTAAAATTCTTACTATTTAAAGAAGCCCAATGTAAAACTAGTGACCACTCTTTTGATGAAATTCTTTTTTTAAACCAATATTGCAGGGCTTTATAATAATGATTTATAATAATTATTGTTTCCATTACTTGGGATCATCTTAATACCACGATAAAAAAAAATTCTCAGATTTTCTTTATTTCCAATGGTTTCTTACCATAGAGGTCTTCAGTAATTATATTATATAAACAAGTACCCCTCCCTCATCCAGTCCACAGATATAACTTCATCACCACATCTTTCTTCACACTCTCTTTACCCTTTATTTTCCTCCTAGTACCCATCACTAACATCTGATATACTTGTTAACTTACATTCTACTTTCCTCACTAAAATAAAAACTCAATGAGAATAGAACTGTTGTGTTTTGCTCATGATTTATCTTGGGCACCTAGAACTACAGTTGGCACATAGTAGGTAACAATAAATGTTCTTTTGAATAAATAGTAATATTTGTGTATACTTACCAAATGAAGATAAATCTTCTAATATAAATTAATATAATAACAAAGCTTGCTTGCAAGCCATATGCACCTTATAGCTTACACTTTCTTTTTCTACAACTCCTATGGCTTTTTTTTTTTTTTTTTTGGACAGAGTCTTACTCTGTCACCCAGGCTGGAGTTCAGTGGCGTGATCTTGGCTCCACCTCCCGGGTTCAAGCGATTTTCCTCCCTCAGCCTCCCTAGTAGCTGGGATTACAGGCACATGCCACCATGCCCAGCTAATTTTTGTATTTTTAGTAGAGACGGGGTTTCACCATGTTGGCCAGGCTGGTCTCAAATTACTGACCTCAGGAGATCTGCCCACCTTGGCCTCCCAAAGTGTTGGGATTACAGGCGTGAGCCCCTGTGCCTGGCCTCCTATGGCTTTATTAACCCTATTTTGCAGTTGAGTAAATTGAAATTCAGACAATTTATGTGCTTTGCCTAATATTACACAGCTAATAAGTGTAATTCCTTTGTTGAAAGATGTTTCTAAAAGAAACTGGTACAGTTGCAGTGTCACACATCCTGAAAAAAAGTTACTGTGAATATGCAGAATAATACCACATCCAGTGTGTAACTGTCACTAAATGAATTGCTTACTTTCTAGTTGAATTTTAGGTTTCTTGTATTAATAAAAGTATGCAAATGCTGACTTTTTCCTTACCCTGCATTACAAACAATAAGGACAAGGACCTGCTGCGTGATATTGCTTTTGTTCAAATAAAGCAAAAAGAATTGGAGCTTGATTTATAAATACCTGCATAATGACAATAAATGCATATGTCTGGCTTCCATCTGTCAGAAAGTAGCAGAAACACACCATATTTGATTGAGATCTGTATTTTTCCATTTTGCCACAGAAAATGTATCTTGCCTATACAATGATTTAAGATGAGTTTTATAGTCAACGTCTTATTAAGGTCCACCCTGGGAAAATTGGGGAGTAGGCAGATTTTGGCTATTGTGCTTTGCCTGTCCTCCCATGCCACTACCAACACTGTGATCACCCTCAAGCAAAAGGCAAAAGAGTCCCTTTAAACTCCTCGTGCTCTCCTCTCCTGCCAAATGCCCAGTGTAAACCCATCTCTCCATGCAAAAAAGAAAAGTAAGTTGAGAAGCCAATTTATGCTTTATTGTTAATATATGAATGATTCCAGAACAATTTTGGAGTCACGTAGATCTTAGTGTGAAATCAGGCTCCACTATTTGCTAGCTATCTGGCTTTGGATAAATTATGTAATCTCTCTGTGCTTCATTTTTCTCATCTATAGAATGGAGATATTAGTCTGTATAAAGTTGAGTGAAGATTAAAAGTTTAGTGAAGATTAAGAGTGTGTGTGTGTGTTTCTGCATTTGTGTGTGTCAGAGCACCTGCAACGTGTCAAGCATTATTTAAGTATTTGCTAATAGAGAGGCCATGCACTATAGTAATGAGGGTAACAGATCCAAATTTGACTTCTGTGACCTGGGCAAGTGAATCTCTCTGAATCTCATACTCCTTAATAAAATGAGAATATTTCCTACTTTACAAAATCAAATTAAGGATTTAAATAACATACATAACACATCTGGAATATTGTCTGATGAAGAGCCAATATCCCATATGGTATTAAATATTATTCTTTGCTACCTGAAAGAGGATGCTGCCATATATGAATTTTATTCTAAATTAATCAGTGAAATAATGACCTTGAGGGAGTGGTTTCATTGGAGAATTAGTGGTGAAAGTATCTTATAAATCAGGTCAGGCATGGTGACTCATGCTTGCAATCCCAACACTTTGGGAGGCTGAGATGGGAGGATTTCTTGAGCCCAGAAGTTCAAAGCTGCACTTAGCCATGATCATGCCATGGCACTCCAGCCTGGGCAGTAGAGTGAGATAGTGAGATTCTGTCTCAAAAAAAAAAAAAAAAAAAAAAAAAAGTATCTTATAAATCAGACTAGCAATAATGATACAA
Organism: Homo sapiens; assembly: GCF_000001405.40. Lineage (NCBI taxonomy): Eukaryota > Metazoa > Chordata > Mammalia > Primates > Hominidae > Homo > Homo sapiens. The sequence continues at coordinate 143,465,596 of NC_000023.11, forward strand.
AATTGTGGTTCAATGCCATATGTGACAGGTTGTATTTTCTCAGAATGATCAGAGCAGCACATGCTATTCTTACTAAATTACTTTAACACTCTTTGAAAGTAAATATATCGTATATGGCCCCTTCCCTTGAATTTGGGTTTTTGTGACTGCCTTGCCCACTAGAGATGTTATGTGGCTTCCAAAACTAAGCTCTAAAAATGCCATACACTTCTGCCTAATATTGGTGATGCTAGCAACCATGTCAACAATGGAACTTCTCTGAGGCTGGCATATTTTTAGGAAGCCCAAACTAGCCCATATGAAGATAACACATGGAGAAATGCTAAGACTACATGATAAACAATAAGCCAGAATTGGCTATCTAAGCCCTTCCCAAATTCTGGAAGCTCAGAAACAGTGAGAAAGAGTAAAATAATTTTTGTTTTAAACCACTAAGACTTAGTGTGGCCTGTTATGCAGTATTAGATAACAGATTCACTACTCAATGGTTTTCTTATGTTTTACTCTATAGAAACACCTGTTAATATATCTTAATAAATAACTGCCCCATGAAATATATATTATCCCAACTTTTATAGCTGAGGAAACAAAAATCTGAAATGTTAACTGATCTTACAGAGGTCACACAGCCAAGATCAGTGGTAGAGTAGAAATTCAAACAGATCTTCTGATTTCAGGCCAAAAATTGGCCTATTTATATTGCCCATCTAAGAGTAAAGAACTTTTAGAAGACCAATATAAAAATGCTGATGCTGCAGTTTGTCCTGGAATTCCAACACCTTTCTGAAACTGAGATTATGTAAACAGATGTTATTTCAAGTCTTACCCGATGTTTTAGCTGACAGGTTTTTGTAGTTCATACCACAATTATGAGCTAATGCTATCTTTAACTACTTGATATGAAAAACTGAAGCATGTTCAATATTTACATTTCATTTTACTAGATCTTAGTCATTTTGTTGTTCAATTTCACATTATAGTTTTATGATTTCTCACTTGTATGAATATTAATTGAAATGGGAAATTTACTCAGTGATTTAAATGCATGTTTTTTAAGTATTTGGAGGAAAAAAAATTAATTGGGATATATGTCCTGAAAGAAAACAACAATCTTTTCACAGAAATGGAAATTACTGCCATGTCATTGTATTCCCTGACCATGTACAGTGAACAAAATAGCCAATTAAAGAGTGTGACAACCACTGTCTTGAAATTCCTACAGGTAATTTAAAATGCCTTGTTTTTATTTGATTGTGTATATTTTCAACATAGAAATATTTTTTCTCCTTTCAATAATGCTGATTACTGTTTGTTTCTAATTGGTCATGGTGACAGAAGGTTGTCTGCAGAGCACCGTAAAGTAAACATGAAGAACCATCTCTCATAATTTTCCCCTCACATTCTCTAGGTTTTAGCCTAGAGTGCCTCAGGGGGGACGGAGTACCAGACCCTGGACTTTACTTGATTTCTTTTTCTCAAAGTCTCCCAATTCAGAATTCTATTACTCTGATACCCTGCATCTCTTTTCCTTCAGTGAATGCTTCAAAAATAAAAAATAAAAAAAAAACACATTTTGAGAATAATATTTGTTGAGATTTTGGTTGTGTATTAGTCTGTTCTCACACTGTTATGAAGAAATAGCCAAGACTGGGTAATTTATAAAGGAAAGAGGTTTATTGATTCACAGTTCTGCATGGCTGGGGAGGCCTCAGGAGACTTACAGTCATGATGAAAGGCAAAGGAGAAGCAGGCACCTTCTTCACAGGGCTGCAAGAGAGAGAATGAGTGCAAGCAGGAGAAATGCCAGACACTTATAAAACCATCAGATCTCATACGACTCACTCTTAATCACAAGAAGAGCATGGGAGAACTGCTCCCATGATACAATTACCTCCACGTGGTCTCGCCCTTGACCTGTGGGGATTACGGGGATTACAATTCAAGATGGGATTTTGGGTAGGGACATAGCCAAAACATATCAGGTTGTATAACAATTTTTTAAAATTTTTGACAAGATACTTGCTAAAATTTATTTTGACATTGCCAGCTTGCCTAGGATTATAGAATGTCTGAACCAGTAGGGCCACTCGAATTCATTTAGTCCACAATATTTTTTACAAATAGGCTAAGTGAGGCTCTAAGAGAAGAAGGACCTGGTCCACAGTCACATAGTGAGCTGGTGGCTGGCTTTTCTTGTGTCCAGAGCCCTCTCTTGCTTACTTTCCTTTGCTCAGTAACCCTCCTTCATCAATATTGGGAATGGGAAGTTTTGCTCATGCAAGCTCACCTGAATATATAATGTATTAGCCTGACAAGAACCAGATATATGATTCTCAATTCCTTTCACATGCAACCTGTGATCCTTTAAACCCTCCAATATATTGCCACAAACATTGTATGGCAGATAGCCATAAGACTGCATGGAATATACAGATTGTATTAGTCTGTTTTCACTCTGCTATAAGAACATACCCGGCACTGGGAAATTTATAAAAGAAAGAGGTTTAATTGACTCACACTTCAGCATGGCCAGGGAGGCATCAGGAAACTGACAATCATGGAAGAAGAGGAAGCAAACACGTTCTTCTTCGCAGGGTGGCAGGAAAGAGAAGAATGAGAGCCAAAGGAAGGGGGAAGCCCCTTATAAAACCATCAGGTCTTGTGAGAACTTACTCACTATCAGAAGAATAGCCTGAGAAATACTGCCCCCATAATTCCATTACCTCCCACCAGTTTCCTCCCATCACACATGGGAATTATGGGTACTACAATTCAAAACGAGATTTTGGTGAAGACAGAGCCAAACCATATCATTGTACCCCTGGCCCCACCCAAATCTCATTTCCTCACATTTTAAACCTTAAATCATGCCCTTCTAACAGTCCCCCAAGGACTTAATTCATTCCAGCATTAACTCAGCATTCAAGTCCAAACTCTCATCTGAGGCAAGGCAAGTCCATTCCACCTATGAGCCTATAAAATCAAAAGCAAGTTAGGTACTTTCTACATATAATTGGGGTACAGGCATTGGGTAAATACACCCATTCCAAGTGTTATAAATTGGCCAAAAGAAAGGGGCTACAGGCCACATGCAAGTCCAAAATCCAATAGGGCAGTCATTAAATCTTAAAGTTCCAAAATAATCTCATTTGACTCTATGTCTCACATCCAGGGCACGCTGATGCAAGAGGTGGGCTCCGACAGCCTTGGGCAGCTCCACTCATGTGGCTTTGCAGGGTACAGCCCCCCACCCAGCTGCTTTCACAGCTGGCATTGAGTATCTGCATCTTTTCTAGGCTCACGGTGCAAGCTGTCAGTGGATCTATCATTCTGGGGTCTGGAGGATGGTAGCCCTCTTCTCACAGCTCCACTAAGCAGTACTCCAGTGGGAACTCTGTGTGGGGGCTTTGATCCCACATTTTTGTTCTGCATTGCCCTAGCAAAGGTTCTCCATGAGGGCCCTGCTGCTGTAGCAAACTTCTGCCTGGACATCCAGGCATTTCCATACATCCTCTGAAATCTAGGTGGAGGTTCCCAAATCTCAATTCTTGTCTTCTGTGCACTCACAGGCCCAATACAACTTAGAAGCTGTGAATGTTTGGGGCTTGCATCCTCTGAAACAATGGCCTGAGCTGTACCTTGGCCCCTTTTAGCTATGGCTGGAGTACCTGGGATATAGGGCACCAAATCCTAGGTTGTACACAGCAGAGAAACCCTGGACCTGGCCCAGAATACCATTTTTCTCTCCTAGGCCTCCAGGCCTGTGATGGGAGGGGCTGCCACGAATGTCTCTGACATGCCCTGGAGGCATGTTCCCCATTGTCCTGGCAACTAGCATTTGGCTCCTCCTTACTTATGAAAATTTCTGCAGCAGGGCTGAATTTTTTTCCCAGAAAGTGGGTTTTTCTTTTCTATTGCATTTTCAGGCTGCAAATTTTCCAAACTTTTATGCTCTATCACCTCTTATATGCTTTGCTGCTTAGAAATTTCTTCTGCCAGATACCCTAAATCATCTCTCTTAAGTTCAAAGTTCCACAGTTCTCCAAGGCAGGGGCAAAAAGCCACCCGTCCCTTTGCTAAAGCATAGCAAGAATGACCTCTACTCCAGTTCTCAACAAGTTGCTCATCTCTATCTGAGACACCTCAGCCTGGACTTCATCATCCATATCACTATCAGCATTTTGGTCAAAGCCATTCAACAAGTCTCTAGGAAGTTTCAAACTTTTCCATACCTTCCTGCCTTTTTCTGAGCCCTCCAAACTGTTCCAACCTCTGCCTGTTACCAAGTTCCAAAGTCACTTCCACATTTTTGGGTATCCTTATAGCAGCAACCCACTTTCTGTGGCACCAATTTACTGTATTAGTCCATTCTCACTCTGCTGTAAAGAAATAGCTGAGACTAGGTAATTTATAAAAAAAAAAAAACTGATTTAATTGACTCACAGTTCTGCATGGCTGGGGAGGCTTCAGGAAACTTACAATCATGGAGGAAGGCATCCCTTCACAGGGTGGCAGGAGAGAGAATGAGTGACAGCAAGGGAAATGCCAGGTGCTTATAAAACCATCAGATCTCATGAGAACTTACTATCATGAGAATAGCATGGGGGAAACTGCCCCCATGATTCAATTACCTCTTACCAGGTCCCCACACAACACATGAGGATTATGGGAACCACAATTTGAGATGAGATTTGGGTGGGGACACAGCCAAATCATATCACAGATTAAACCCTGGAGTGACTAAACTCAAATATGAACTAGTTTTGTCTTATATAAATACCTTCTCTGCCCTCTGAAAACCCATTGGCCATATATGGGCAAGGCTGTGGGTATTACAGTGGTATAGTTTATTTTAAGATTGAAAGCATAAAGTGTGTCTCCAAGTTCTGCCTCAACCCACATAGACATATTCTCAAACAGATATATTTCCTTCTTGCCCCTTGGACTATTTTCAGTTACAGACCAGAAACCTTCTATGGAGCTTCCATCTCTCCTGGGACAGTGTTTCATTTGAACTCGCTTTGGTTCTTGAACCTGTCCTTTTTCTCTGGAATGTCTAATGGAAGAATTTCTTTGGCTCAATACCCACTGTTGTGAGGTGAGTCAGGCCACACCCACTCAAGAATGGGTGAGAACTCCAGGATTCCACTTGCTACAGTAGCAAGTTTGGATGTTCCCAAAGTAAATAATAATAATAATAATTTAATTAAAGCTATTTATTAGCTTAATTTTTAAAAGTGTTTTACATATTAAAAATATAAGTGGGTCATTTTCACACAAGTTAACCTAGCCTTTGGCATTATCTATATGGAACAAATTAAAATGTGAATAATAAAATTAAGTGGGTAATTAAAAAAATAAACCCTTGATTAGGGAAGAAATTAGTTTTGGTGGAGGCCTGAATTAACCATATTCCCCTTCTATCTACATCAAATTTAGCTAATAGCCTTATTTCATCATTGTGCTTAAGAGTCACTATCCCAGGCCAAATGGAATTTACTCAGTTCAGCAGCAACCATTAATGTGGCCCAAAGTGAGGTGTCAAGTTTCCCACCCTGAACTCTATTCCTGATGTCAACTGTCATAGTTGCAAGGTTAAGAGATAGTCCCAGGTTATTCATCACATATAAGCATGGCCACAATGTGGGTATAAAGTGCCCTTGTAAAATGGAAACTACTTAATTAAACAAACAACGAACCCCAGAGCTTTTGCACATTACAAATAAGTCCAGCAATGCAAAAACAACCCTGATGCAAGTGTCTCCATGTGCCCAGCACATAATCGACACAATATATATCCTTCCCTTGTGTGGAAAGAAAGAAGAAGAAATAATCATTTCAAGTTTGGCATTCCATATATCAGTTTCAGTGAATGTAAATTACTTATGATTTGCACAGTAATCCCATAAATCAGCTTCCGAAACTTTAAGGTATGTACGCAGGAATCACCTGGGCATCTTGTAGAAATTCAGATTCAGATTTACTGGGCCCAAGATTATGCATGGAAAAACAAGACCCACACTGCTAGTCTATGCACCATACTTTAAGTATCAAGGCTCTAGACTAGAGGTTTTCAATTAGTTTGATGCAGTGCTGTAGTAAGAATGGAATATTACAGCCAAAGATACTTACATTCACATAAATGGGGGAAGGCGGGCAAGACCTGAGGCAGGTACTTCAAGCAGTGCTGTTCACCCCAGTAGTTGTGCAAATGTTATTTTCTACGTGTGCCAGGATAGAAGAAAGGTGTGGAAATACATCTCTAAATAACAATGGAGGTTTTCCATAATTTCTGTCATTGCAATAAATTATCCTTAATAATAATCACAATTATAACAATAATTATCATATATTGCACACTTACTATGTGCAATAATTTTGCCAAATATGTCACATTAGCTTACTCATATAAACTTCATGACAATCATCAGATATATCAGCCCCTACATAACCTCAGCTATTCCTATGGCTTTGTACTTTAAATAGTATCTATATACTGATGATTCCCAAATTTATGTCTGCAGCACTGACTCCCCTGAACTCCGGGTGTGTTATCCAATTGGCTACTTGACATCTCTGCTTGGAAATGGTCAAAATCTATAACATGTTCCAAGTAGAATTCCTGCTCCTCTCCCAGACTTCCATCCAATTAGTCCAGCCCAAACGCTAGGAATTGTGTCGTTTGTTGGTTTTTTTGTTTGTTTGTTTTACTTCTCTTGCTCTTATCCTACACATGTAATTCATTAGAAAATATTGTCAGCTCAACTTTCAAAATATAATCCAAGTCAATCTACTTCTCTTCATCTTCACTGGCACCATCAACTCTTGCTTGGATCAGTGAAACAGCCTCCTGGCTGTTCTCTCTCTGTTCTTCTGTTTAAGCAGCTTTGATTGACGGGAAGGATACTGGATGTTTGTAAGTGGCAGCTGGTGAGCCCAGACCAGTGGATTTGAGCCAGATGATAATAGCAAACACTTATATTGCACTACTATGCCCCAAATGCCTTGTTAAGTACAATGCATGTAAGTAACAGATTTACTACTCACAATAACCCTCTGAGTCATGTTCTATTATTACCCCCACTTTATAGATGAAGAAACTAATGAATAGAGAAATCATGTAATTTTTCCAAGGTCATTTAATTAGTGAACAATTAAACCAGGATTCAAGACAAGGCAGTATGACTCAAGAGTATGTTATTTGAAATCCTCTACTCAACTCTCTGATGAAAAGCTCTGTCACACTAAAGAGTATGCACTGTGACCTGAAGGCCAAGCAAAGGATTATTTAATTAAACAAATCCACTAAGTCAATCATGTGGTCTTTTTATCTATGGGCAAGTAAATAAAGACAAGCAAATGATTATTTTATAACTGAATTGATCATCTGAGTGAACTGAATCGAAATAGTTAAATTACTTAAGCAAATAAGCAGCTTACCTTGGAAGCTGTGTGTATTGCTAATTCTGCTGGTCCATTCTGACATCCTCTGGGAAGTGTGCTTAGGGTACCACAATTGCTTTAGATAAGGAATGCTAGTCTGGTGCTTCCATATAGTTATACCAATATATATTTTAATACTTTTTCTCAATGTATAATTCTAGTTTGAATACAAAGTAAAAGAGTATGAATACCAATCTCTTTCATGATTATAACAAAACCTTGCCTAGTCTGAAAAATATGTCCCAAGAAATTTGGCTTATATTTAACTTACCTCTTAGGGAATAAAACCTAGATTGTAATTCAGTACCTCTTTTGCAGCAATCAGTTGCTGCATTATACTAATACAAAAGATTTATTCATTCCGATCACTTGCCTCTACAGGTGTAATAGGAAAGCCACATAACAGAAGGCACACGATCCCCTGGTAAATTTTGCATGTGACTCTTTTAGCACTATTCACAATATATCAACATGGTCTGCTTATGTGGCCTGGCCATCTCCCACACTGGAAGCACCTCCACGACAACAACTATTTTGTCAGCTTTAGATCTCAAGCAACTAGAAGAGTGCCTAGAAAAAAAAAGACTTATTAGTAAGTGATTATTAGATACCTGAAGTGGCCTTTGACATAGCTGATTACATTTTCCTTCTTAAATACCTTTTTTACTTAGCATCTGATACACTATTTTCTCCTGGTTGCTCTTATACAATTAATGGCTATTTCTTTTCAGTATTTCAAGCATCTACACATACTTTCTGGTTAAATATATCCAGTCTCATAACTTTAAATGCCATGTATATGTTGAAGATTCTAAAATCTTTGTCTTTAACACAGATCTGTCACTCAAACTCTAGACTCACATAGTCAAGTGCCTATTCTACATTTCCATTTCAGTGTCTAAACACAAACCTAATATATCCATTGTCCAAACCCTGATTTCTGTCTCCTAGCTTTCTATTCTTACAGTCTTCCCCATCTCAGCAAGTGGCAAGTTAATTTTTCTCAAGGAAAAATGTACAGTTTTACAAATATGTCCAATCTGTCAAGCAAGTCATATGGTCTCTATTTTCAGATTCTATCCCCAACTCAACCATTTTTCTCCAGCTCCACTGCTAGTATCCTAGTTCAAGCCACCATCAATCACTCGCCTCAGTTATTCCCTAAGTGTCCTAACTGGTCTACCTATTTCAACCTTTGCCCTCCTACAATCATTTTCAACACAGCAGCCAGGGTGACCCTTTCAAAACCTAAAGCATCTCACTTCTCTTCCCAAAAACAGGTGATTGTTTCGAAGCACACTTAGAACAAAATCCAGTTTTCATGCAATCCTTCACAGGCAATACATAGTTTTTCCTGCCTCCCTCTCTCCATCTGACCTCACCACCAGATTACCACTGTCTTCCCAGTTCACTCTCCAGCTACACTGGCCTCCTTGATATTCTGGGGAATATACAAGCCATATTTTCTGCCTCGAATTCTCTTTATATCTCTATCATCTTTTTTTAGGTCTCTCCTCAAAGGCTTCTTTTGAAAAAAAGTCTTCCCTGACCACCCAATATGGAATGACCCACTCCTCACTCTCATCAAGCTCTATCTCATTTTACTCTGAGTCAGTTTCTTTTCGTAACACTTATTACCACCTGACATGTTGTATATTTGTTTCTTTAAATTTTCTGTGTCCCCGCTCTACGCTATTAGCTTCATGAGAACAGGGCCTTCATGTATTTCTAGTACCCAGAATAATGCCTGGAACAGTGTGAGCACTCAGTATTTCTTGAAGAAATAGAGGAACAAAATGGCAGATTCTAGAAAACAAATGATAAATTGTAATTTATACTTGTAGCTGGTGAAATAAATTTTGAATGGCCAGAATCTGTGAGTTCACACTGAGCTCCTTAAGTAGCTTTGGACACTGCCTTATGCATCTTTGTATCCTTAATGCCTTGTATAGAAGGGGGATGTGTAATGTACTCAATAAATGTTGAATGAATGAGTATATTTTCATATTAGAAAAAAAAAACACTAGCTATTTCAACTTGTGATCCCTGGATTGATGTGAGGCAGGTTTGCTAAGGGTGGTTGTAAAACACTTTACAGTTTTCGGGCACTAGGGCCATGCTTGATAGCAGCTAGATTTTTATTTGAATGGAGCAGCCATTAGTACTATGGTTAGTTCAGCAATCTGATTTGTCCACAAGGGCTCCTTCATGTGGCTTTAACGGTCCTTCTTTTATGAGGGAATTAACCCGCTTGCCTTTGCAGATAGGAAGATAGGGGCATTACGGATGCAATCACAGCACTGTAAAAAGAGTAAAGTCCTATAAAGCTTTATATTTATGCCAAACTACAGTCATTTGGGAATGACCCAGAATCATACAGTCTATTCTAAAATATAAATGAAATTATGGCTGAATATCAGATAAATTCAGTTAACATATAAAAATGCTTATTTTAAAAATTATTCATCAATATTGAAAAGGTCATGCTATTAAAAAGCACATAATATTCCTTTTTTTAAATATTTTACTGCATTTTTGAAATCTCCTGAATGTTATTTTCCTAAAATTACATTTTCTAAATATAGGGTACCCTTAAAATGCATCATTTAAACTGGGAACCTTTGAGAGGTAAAGAGGGCTGTGACAATACTTTTGGCTGATCACAGGAACAAACAGACTGCCTCAGGCCATCTGAGACATAATATTCCTCTACTCAAATGTATATTAGTCAACTTTTACATAGTTAAATTTGGTTTAAAAACATCCAGATTCCTAGTTAACTTTCATTCAGGTTATAAAAAGATAGGTAGCCAATACAATTAATCTGATGACCTGTATTATATATTGACACGGTTTGGCTGTGTCCCCACCCAAATCTCATGTTGGGTCATAGCTCCCATATTTCCCATGTGTTGTGTGAGGTACCCAGTTGGAGGTAATTAAATCATGGGGGCAGGTATTTCCCATGCTGTTATCATGTTAGTGAATAAGTCTCTTCAGATTTGATGGTTTTATAAAGGGGAGTTCCCCTACAGAACCTCTCTTGCCTGTTGCCATGTAATACATGACTTTGCTCTTTGTTTGTCTTCTGCAATGATTGTGAGGCCTCCCCAGCCACGTGGAACTGTGAGTCAATTAAACCTCTTTCCTTTGTAATTACTCAGTCTCGGTATGTCTTTATTAGCAGCATGAGAACAGATTAATACAGTAACTTGGTACCAGTAGAGTGGGATGCTGATGTAAAGATACCTGAAAATATGGAAGTGACTTTAAAACTCCGTAACAGGCAGAGAGGTTGGAACAGTTTGGAGGACTCAGAAAAAGACAAGAAAATGTGGAAAAGTTTGCGGCTTCCTAGAGACTTGTTGAATGACTTTGGCCAAAATGCTGATAGTGATATGGACAATAAAGTCCAGGCTGAGGTGGTCTCAGATAGAGATGAGGAACTTGTTGAGAACTAGAATAAGGTCACTCTTGCTATGCAAAATCACTGGAGGCATTTTGCCACAGCCCTAGAAATCTGTGGAACTTTGAACTTGAGAGAAATAATTTAGGGTATCCGGCAGAAGGAATTTCTGACTGGCAAAACATTCAAGAGGGAGCAGAACATAAAAGTTCAAAAAATTTGTAGCCTGGCTATGCATTAGAAAAGAAAACCTCATTTTCTGGGGAGAAATTTAAGCCTGCTGCAGAAATTTGCAATAGTAATAAGGAACCTCATGTTAATCACCAAGACAATGGGAAAGATGTCTCCAGGGCATGTCAGAGACCTTTGTGGCAGTGCCTCCTATCACAGACCTGAAGGCCTAGGAAGAAAAAAAAATGCTTTCCTGGGCTGAGCCCAAGACGCCTCCCTGCTGTATGCAACCTAGGGACTTTGTGCCCTGCATCCCAGCCACGGCAGCTGTGGCTAAAAGTGGCCAAGGTACAGCTTGGGTCGTGGCTTCAGAGGGTGCAAGCTTCAAGCATTGGCAGCTTCCGTGTGGTGGTGAGCCTGTGGTTGCACAGAAGTCAAGAATTGAGGTTTGGGAACATCTGCCTAGATTTCAGAGGATATATGGAAACACCTGGCTGTCCAGGCAGATGTGTGCTGCAGGGGCACAGCCCTCATGGAGAACCTCTGCTAGGGCAGTGCAGAAGGGAAATGTGGGGTCAGAGCCCCCACAGAGTTCCCACTGGGGCACTACCTAGTGGAGCTGTGAGAAGAGGGCCACTGTCCTCCAGACCCCAGAATGGTAGATCCACCAAGAGCTTGCACCATGTTCCTGGAAAAGACACAGACACTCAGCATCAGCCCATGAAAGCAGCCAGGAGGGGGGCTGTACCATGAAAGCCACAGGGACAGAGTTGCTCAAGGCCATGTGACCCCACCTCTTGCATTGATGTGACCTGGATGTGAGACACGGAGTCAAAGGAGATCATTTTGGAGCTTTAAGATTTCATTGCCCTGTTAGATTTCAGACTTTAATGGGGCCTGCAGCCACTTTTTTTGGCCAATTTTTCCCATTTGGAATGGGTGAATTTGCCAAACGCCTGTACCCCCTTGTATCTTGGAAGGAACTAACTTGCTTTTCATTTTACAGGCTCATAGGTGAAAGGGACTTGCCTTGTCTCAGATGAGACTTTGGACTGTGGACTTCTGAGTTAATGCTGAAATGGGTTAAGACTTTGGAGGGCTGCTGGGAAGTCATGACTGGTTTTGAAATCTGAAGACGTAAAATTTAGGAAGGGCTAGGGACAGAATGATATGGTTTGGCACTGTCTTCAGTTAAATCTCATCTTGAACTGTAGCTCCCATAATTCCCACACATCATAGGAGAGACCCAGTGGGAGGTAATTGAATCATGGGGACAGGTCTTTCCTGTACTCTTCTCATGATAGTAAGTCTCATGAGATCTGATGGTTTTATAAAAGGGAGTTCCCCTACACAAACTCTCTTCTCTGCTGCCATATGAGACATGACTTTGCTCTTCATTTGTCTTCTACCATGATTGCGAGGCCTCCCCAGCCATGTGAATCTGTGATTCAATTAAACCTCTTTCCTTTATAAATTACCCAATCTCGAGTATGTCTTTATTAGCAGTGTGAGAAGAGACTAATACATATATATTTTTGTTTCTTTTTCCCCGTGTCATTTCACTTATGACACACAAACATTATCATTTTTGACAGAGGAGGAAGTAGTTTATGCAACCAGTCAGAAACTCACAGATCAGTAAAGAGAACTAGCATTTATTCTAGGTGTCTGGACTGCCAAGTCAGATAATAAATGACAGAATTGAGATTAAAATACAAATATGTCTACCTTTAGGTCCATGTTCTCTCCACCCACAGCACAACAACACTTATTAATGCTTTCTCAGTGGGTGGGGATGAAAACAAATCATATAGCTCATGAGTTGATGAATATTTAAGCTGAGCGACGGGTAAATAGAAGCTAATTACACTAGTCAATGTTTTGTTTGTGTTTGTCATTTTCCATAATAAAAAGTCTGTTTTAAATAGCTTTTCTTCTTTTCACTTCACTGACTTCAACTTTCCTTAAATGCTAGGTTTAGTATTAGTGCATATGCATTGCCATTTTTCTTTAAGTTTTTATGATGATAACATTAATATATACTCATTTAAAATATTCAGAAAGTACAAGTGTATAAAATAGAAAATAAATCATTTATAACCCACTTACCCGGAAATGAATATTTTAATATATTGATGTCTCATTTTCTATTTCATTTTTTCTTTTTATTGTGTTTTGAAATACACATGAAATTTACCAAATTAAATATTTTAAAGTGTACATCTAAGTGGTATTGAGTATATTCACAACGTTGTGCAACCATCAACACCACCTAGTTACAGTACCTTTTCATCACTACAAAGGAAATTCCAAAACTAATGTATCACTTAATCACTCCCCATTCTCCCCTGGCCCTGGCAACCACTAACCTGCCTTCTGTCTTTATGTATTTGCCTATTTTGGACAGTAACATATAGATGTAAAATATTATATATAATATTACATATATGTAATATTTTACATATATAAATGTAATCATATAGTATTTGTTTTTTGTGACTAGTTTATTTCACTTAATTTTTTCAAGATTCATTCATACTGTATAATATATCAGTACTTCATTCCTTTTATGCCTGAATAATGTTTCATTGTATACATATACCACATTTCATTTATCTGTTCATCAGTTGATATGAATTGGAGTTGCTTCTACCTTTTGGTAATTTTTAATAATGCTAATGTCTACAGTATTTTTAAATTAACTGTGTTAAGTTATTCTTACATTGCTATACAGAAATACCTAAAATTAGTTAATTTATGAGAAAAAAGGTTTAATTGGCTGATAGTTCTGCAGGCTGTACAAGGATGGTGCTAACATAATTTAGCTTCTGGGGAGGCCTCAGGGACCTTTTACTCAATACAGAAGGTGAAGGGGAAGCAAGCAAATGACATAGTGAAAGCAGGACAAATCACATAGTGAAAGCAAGAGAGAGTGAGAGGGAGGTGCCACACACTTTTAAATGATCAGATCTCATGAGAACTATCACAAAGATAGCACCAAGCTGTAAATGATCCATCCCCTTGATCCATACACCTCCAACCAGGCATTGAGAATTGCAGTTCAACATGAGATTTGGGCAGGGACAAATAGCTAAACTATATCGCTGACTTTTCATTTTTAAATAACATTTAATTCACATGCACTTGTAGTATATAATACAGACAAATTTCCCTGTACTCTTTACCTACTTTCCCCCAGTGGTAGCTTCTTTAAAACTATGCTACAATATCACCTCCAGGATACTGATGTTGGTACAGTCAAGATACAGATTAGTTCATCACAATAAAACCTCATATTGCCCTTTCATAGCCACACACACACCTGTCTACTGCTACCATTCCCTCAGTAACCCCAATAACCATGAAACTCATATTTTCTATAATTTTGATATTTCAAGAACATTTCATAAATAAAATTATATACTATGTAACATTTGGGATTCTTTTCCACTCAGGATAATATTTCGGAGTCTATGCAGGTTGTTTTATGTGTCAATGTTTTATTCTATTTTATTGCTGAGTAATATTCTGAAATCTGTGTGAACATATGTTTCCGTTTCTCTGGGACAAATGCACGGTTGTATGTATAGCTTTTGTTGTTACTTTTTATTGTTTCTTTTTTTTTAAGTGCCAAACTGCTTTGTAGAGTGGCTTCTTTGCCTTTTAATATTTTATTCGGTTATAACTAAGTGGTTCTGTTACTCTGGATTCTTGCCAGCAGTTGGTATTGTCATTACTTTTTCTCCTTTAACTTTTATTTGAAGTTCAGGAGTAATATGTAGGTTTGTTACATAGTGTTATATAGGTAAACGTTTCATGGGGGTTTGTCATACAGATTATTTCCTCACCCACCCATTAAGCCTAGTATCCATTAGTTATTTTTTCTGGTCGTCTCCATCATCCCAACCTCCACCCTCTGATAGGCCACTCTATTGCTCTGCTCTATGTGTCTACGTGCTCTCATTATTTTGTTCCCACTTATAAGTGAGAACATGCAGTATTTGGTTTTGTGTTCCGGCATTAGTTTGCTAAGGATAATGGCCTCCAGCTCCATCCATGTTCCTTCAAAGGATATAATTTTGCTAGTTTTTAGGGCTGCATAGTATTCTGTGGTGTATATGCACCACATTTTCTTTATTTAATCTCTCATTGATGGACATTTTGGTGGATTTCTTCCTGGTTCAGTCTTGGGAGTGTATATGTGTCCAGGAATTTATTCATTTCTTCTAGATTTTCTGGTTTATGTGCATAGAGGTGTTCATAATATCCTCTGATGGATATTTGTATTTCTGTGGGTTCAGTAGTAATATCCCCCTTGTTGTTTCTGATTGTGATTATTTGGATCTTCTCTACTTTTTTCTTTCTTAGTCTAGCTATCAATCTATCTATTTTATTAATTGTTTCCAAAAAGCAGTTCCTAGATTCATTGATCTTTTCGATGGTTTTTTTGTGTGTATGTCTCAATGCCCGTATTAGTCAGTTTCTCTACAGGGACAGAACTAATAGGATAGATATATATGTATAAAAAGGTATTATTAAGTATTAACTTACACAATCACAAGGTCCGACAATAGGTTGTTTGCAAGCTGAGGAGCAAAAAGAGCCAGCCCGAGTCCCAAAACTGAAGAACTTGGAGCCTGATGTTCTAGGGCAAGAAGCATCCAGCACTTGAGAAAGATGTAGGCTGGGAGGCTAGGCCCGCCTCTCCTTTTCAGGTTTTTCTGACTGCTTTATATTTGCTGGCAGCTGATTAGATTGTACCCACCAGATTAAGGGTGGATCTGCCTTCCCCAGCCCACTGACTCAAATGCTAAATCTCTTTTGGCAACACCCTCACAGACACACCCAGGATCAATACTTTATATCCTTCAATCCAATCAAGTTGTTACTCACTATTAACCATCACAGTTCCCTTCAGTTCAGATCTGATTTTCTTTATTTCTTGTCCTCTGCTAGCTTTATAGTTGGTTTGTTCTTAGTTCTCTAGTTCCTCTGGCTGTGATTTTAGGGTGTCAAATTGAGATCTTTCTAAGTTTTATGTGGGCATTTAGTGCTATAATTTTCCTTCCTAACATGTCTTAGCTGTGTCCCAGAGATTCTGGTATGTTGTATCTTTATTCTCATTAGTTTCAAATAACTTCTTAATTTCTGCCTTAATTTTATTATTTACACAAAAGTCATTCTGCAGCACACTATTCAACTTCAATATAACTGTGTGGTTTTGAGTGAATTTCTTAGTCTTTATTTGTAATTTGATTGTGCTGTGGTCTGGGATACTGTTTGTTATTATCTCAGTTCCTTTGCATTTACTGAGGAGTATTTTATTTCTGATTATGTAATCAATTTTAGAGTGTGTACCATGTGGCAATGAGAAGAACGTATATCCTGTTGTTTTGGGGTGGAGAATTTTGTTGATGTCTGCCAGATCCATGTGATCCAGTGCTGAGTTGAGATCCTGAATATCTTAATTAATATTCTGTCTCAGTGATCTGTCTGATGTTGTTGGTGAGGAGTTTAACGCTCCCACTATTATTGTGTGGGAGTCTAAGTTTCTTTGAAGATCCCCAAGAACTTGATTTATAAATCTGGGTGCTCCTCTGTTGGGTACATGTATATTTAGAACAGGTTGGTCTTGTTGAATTGAACCCTTTACCATAATGTAATGCCTTTTTTGTCCTTTTTGATCTTTGCTCAGTTAAAGCCTGTTTTGTCTGGAACTAGGCTTGTGACCCTCGCTATTTTCTGTTTTCCATTTGCTTGGTAGATTTTTGTCCATCCCTTTAATTTGAGCCTATGTGTGTCATTGCATGTGAGATGGGTCTCTCGAAGAAAGCATGCCAATGTGTCTTGGTTCTTTATGCAGCTTGCCACTCTGTGTCTTTTAATTGTGACGTTTAGCTCATTTACATTTAAGGTTAGTATTAACATGTGTGGATTTGATTCTGTCATCTGTTAGCTGGTTATTTTGCAGGCTTGTTTATGTGGTTGCTTTTTATTGTCACTGGTCTGTGTACTTCAGCGTGTTTTTGCAGTGGCTAGTAATGGCCTTTCTTTCCATATTTAGTGCTTCCTTTAGGTGCTCTTGTAAGGTATGTCTGGTGGTAATGAATTTCTTTAGCATTTGCTGGTCTGAAAAAAATCCTACTTCTCCTTCACTTATTAAGCTTAGTTTGGCCAAATATGAAATTCTGGGTTGGAATTTTTTTAGGAATATTGAATATTGGTCCCCAGTCTCTTCTGGCTTGTAAGGTTTATGCTCAGAAGTTTGCTGTTAGTCTAATGGCTTCCCTTTGTAGGTGACCTGCCTTTCTCTCTAGCTGCCTTTAACATTTATTCTTTCAGTTCAGCCTTGGAAAATCTGACGATGATGTGTCTTGAGGATGACATTCTTGTGAAGTATCTTACTGGGGTTCTCTGCATTTCCCGAGTTTAAATGTTGGCCTCTCTATCTAGGTTGGGAATGTTCTCATGAATGACATCCTAAAATATCCTTTCCAAGTTGGTTCCATTCTCCCTATCTCTTTCAGGGACACTAATGAGTCACAGATTTGTTATCTTTACATAATCCCATATTTCTCAGAGGTTTTGCTCATTCCTTTTTATTTTTTTTCTCTATTCTTGTCTGAGTGTCTTATTTCAGAAAGCCAGTATTCATTGTCTGAGGTTCTTTCCTTCAGTTGGTCTACTCTGCTATTTATACTCGTGATTGCATTATGAAGCTTTTGTAGTGTGCTTTTGAGCACACTACAAAAACATTTGTTAAAATTTATTAAACTACATTGATACTATTACAATCACAAAAGTCCATAGTTTACATTAGGGTTCACTCTTAGTGTTGCACATTCTATGGACTTAGACATATGTATGAAATGTCTCCACAGTTATAAAATCATACAGAGGAGTTTCACTGCCCTAGACATTATCTATGCACTGCCTATTTATTTCTTCCTCCCTCTAACCCCTGGCAACTACTGATATTTATTACTGTTTACATAGTTTTTTCTTTTACAAAATGATATAGAATCAGAATTGTAAAATAAATATATCCTTTTCAGATTGGCTTCTTTCATTTAGCAATATACATTTAAGGTTCCTCCAGATCTTTAGACGGCTTGACAGTTCACTTCCTTTTAGCACTTAATAATAATTCATTGTTGGAGTGTGCCAGAGTTTATTTATCCATTAACCCACAGAAGGATATCTTGGTTGCTTGAAAGATTTTGGCAATTATAAATAAAACTGCTTGACAGAACAGACCATGTCTATTGTCAGTACTGAGTTGGAGGTCACTGCAGCACTCTCACCAGGGTGTATGGGAGATAATAAGGAAACCCTGGGAACTCATCATCATGTTGTTCCCCAAGTCCTAAAGTCCCTATGAAGTCTGGCATCTTCTTTTCACTTCTCAGAGTCTTCCTATGCTTATTTGTTGTGTTATATGTAAACTTTTTTAGTTATAGAATAGTAAGGCTATTCTATCTTTGTAGAATCAAAAGTAGTCCCTCAGAGTCTAATTTTATGCATATAAATAATATATTTTGCCTAAATTGGCTCAATCTTAAACTTATTTATTTAAATAAGAATTAGAAAATTCTTTAAAAAATTTTAGAAGAATATTTAAACAAAACATAAAGTCATAGTTGGTTTGCATGTTTGTTTGATTTTTTATTTGTAAAATAAGAAACTAGAACTGGTTGTCCTCTAATATCTTTCTATCTCTGGCAATCTAGGATCCTAAATACAGTCTAGAAATAGAATAAATGATGGTTCCAACCCACTTAGTATAAAACTTCAGTCTTCATCATTGTAATAAATCTTCAGAGATGTATCTTGACCTTTTAACTTCAGGATCTAATATTTTCTATTTGACAGATAATTCATTCAGCCTATACAAGAGGTTAATTTTGTTTCTCCATGCAAATCTCTGGACTCAGTACAAATAGAATGTTTGTGGTTGACTAATTGCAGTGTCAATATCATAATTATTAAAAGAATGTATGAAAATAGAAAACATATGTTCACATCAAAGCTTCAAGTTTGTGTGGTCTTTCAAACAGTAGGGATCATCTTGGTTAAGGCAGCATGAGCTCTGGTGTACACAGACCTCCAGCTATGTTCACATTAGAGTGAATCCCAACTTCCTCACTTCTTACCTGTGTGAATTGGAAAAGTCACTTAACCTCAGATACTTCATCTCTAAAATAAGAACACTTATCTATCTCATGAATTTGTTACAAGGATTGCACAAAAATAATGTCTGGAAAAAATAAGCCCTCAATAATAACAGCTAATGATAAAATCTTCATCATGAAAATACATATCATCAAAATCATCATCTCTATGCTTAATCTATATAGTAGAAAATGGTGACTGTTGTTAAAATTAAATAAGCTAAATGGGTATAAAATGCTTAGATTCATGCTTAGCATATATTTTACACTCAATAAATATTCAAACTTATTGCTTATATCTATAAATTTATTACAGTTTCTTACCAACTAATACTGGAATATCAAGTCAGTACAGTGAAGACTGAAAAAACCTTGATTTGTAACTGAACTGACTAGCTGTTTGCACATCAGGCAGTCATGCTCTCACTTTGTCAGCTATGTAAATACTTTAAATGGCCTAAATTACTCTAGCGAATTCAAGACATCTGCTTTAAAATGGAAAACACTTAAAACAATCATAAGGCCTGATTTTCCTAAGTTTCCTAATCATTTTTAAGTACCTAAGATGTGGAGGCCTTGATTTGAATTTGCCAATTTCTGTAAGCTTGCAGAGTTGAGTCTTAGTCATAGGCCTTTCCATCAACCACAACCTCAATGCGTTGTGGAAGATGTAAAATTTTCATCTAGTTTTATAATATAATAGTAAAGTCCCAAACTTTTCTGAGAATATCTAAATGAAGCCTCAAAATTACTCCAAGCCATGTCTTCTTGTGAAAGCAATACACAACCAACTGCATTTAAAACGTAATGATCATATTCAAAAATGATGTCAAAAGTACATTCAGACAGTGTAAAGTTATGGTACAATCTTTAAAAATATAATCTGCAGTTTTTGCAAGCACCATGAAATATCTTTTATTAAGTGAAATTTTACTGACCACATTGCTTTTCTGCCACTCTGCTCTGGGCACACACACCTTCTGAAAACCAAATTTATTTAGAATTGGCTTATGTATAACAGGAAATGATTATCTTTGCTCACTAATAGAGAAATAGTTAAGCAATTGATCCGTTCATGGAATTATGATAAAATAATTAAAAATATTATCTTGGAGACTTTAGCAGCATGAAAAAATAATTGTGTTGCAATGTTCGATGATAAAAACACTATGCAAAGATGTATCTGGGAAATGTTTTAACAATGTAAAATATGCACACATATTGTCAACAGCAGTAATGGACACGGAAAAAATGGAAACAACTGATGGGGTAATGGGAATGTAGATACACTTATTCCCATTGATTCTCATTAACAGTTGCTGGGACAATGAAATAATGAAGTGGAACCCAATCCTGCAAGGAATTTGAATTTATCAGCTTTTTATTTTTCTAATCACATTTCTGCGTCCTATCTCTAAAGCTTCATTGCCACTGCTGGGCTTTAGAGATGCTGAATAAGCTTGAAAGACCTGGCTCCTTTGTCCGTCCCCTAGCCAAACTCTCCACACGTTGTGGCTGCACGCTGACGCATGGTTTCGATTCCCTTCTACAGACCACTGGTTAACGTCTACACAGCTTCACTCACCAGGCATAAGATAACTTCATCCGTATTGGAGCATACTGGACCATTCCAGAACATTATTTCTTTGCCTCTTAGTATCTCTGCACACATCTCAGCCCTACTTTAATCCCCTGAAAAATGGAGTAATACAGTCTCCATGCTAAGGTATCCATTTCCCTCAGCTTTTTCTCTCCCCAAAGTCTGGTCTGCAAAAAACCTAACCTCTGCTCAGCCATTCATTCACAATCCCTTTGCCCTTCAAAAATTCCCAGGCCTCTGTTTCCTGTGACTCCCTTCACATCTCCTTGTAAGTTCTTATGCCTCTGGAATAAATTCTAAGACAAGTTTTGCCAACGATGTGATACAACTTGCATAGCAATTTCATTGCTTTAGCAGTGCCAACCAGATTATAAGCCTTGGTTATCCTAAAAAACTCAGTGTATCATTAGTACGCATGTCAGCTGCTCTGGAAGTTTGATAAGACGTACAATTACAAATTTTCATGTCATTATTATTTTGGAAAGACAATGTACTTGCTTACCTTGCTACTGAAAAAAAGCATGCACTTTATATAAAAGCCATCAGATATTTTTTCAATTAATTCAGTTTCCTTGAAACTATGTCAGAAGAGTAACAAAAATACCCAAAGAAGAGAAAAGCTATGATATAGTCATGTCTCATATAATTAAGATAAATTTCAAAATGATATGGCACTGCCATTTCACCCCATCAAAAGCTCCTCACAAAATAAAGAGAAACTTTGTGGCCATTATATAAGTTCAAAACCAAAGTATATTCCTTATTCCATCTATAGTATTTGTACTAGACCAATCTTGCATTACTATAAAGAAATACCTGAAACTGGGTAATTTTAAAAAGAAGTTTAATTGGCTCACATTTATACTTGGAGGAAGACAAAGTGGGATCAGGCATCTCATGCAGCAGAGCGGAAGCAAGAGGGGAATGGGAGTTACCACACACTTTCAAATGACCAGATCTCAAGAGAACTCATTCATTATTGCAAGAACAGCACCAAGCCATGAGGGAATCTGCCCTCATGACCCAAACACCTACCACCAGGACCCACTTCCACCACTAGGGATTACATGTCAACATGAGATTTGGGTGGGGACAAATATCCAAACCATATCAATATGGCGGTAAAAAAGTAAAAGCTCTGGATTCCACCCGGGTTCAAACAGCTTCACCAGGACAAGCTTCTTCCCTTTTCTCAACTTCACCTTTCTTACCTGTGAAATGGAAAGAGTGATATGACAGACTTCATAAGGTTGTAGTGAAGATTAAATGAGATAATATGAAGTGCTTAGAATGGTGCCTAGACTACAGTAGGTTCCCAATAAATGCTAGTATTAACACTTCACACCATTGCTGAAATACATCAAAGCAACTACAGTTAT
The DNA here is from genome assembly GCF_000001405.40 of Homo sapiens. Classification (NCBI taxonomy): domain Eukaryota; kingdom Metazoa; phylum Chordata; class Mammalia; order Primates; family Hominidae; genus Homo; species Homo sapiens. Next base: position 143,487,766 of record NC_000023.11, read on the forward strand.
CAAGACTGATACTGCCACTTAATCCTAAATGGATTGAATTTATCTTTCAAGAGTCAACATACTGAAAATAAGACAGTTAATAATTAAAATGTAGAAAAAAAAAAGAAGTTAAACTTGTGGTAGAAAAAAGAATTGATGACACCAGGCATGTGAAATAAAATAGTTACAACAAATTAAACAGATGTTAGTTTTAGTTTTATAGGTAAGGAAGGTATAAATAATTTTGCATTGTTTTTTACAGTCTATACAGTCAGATTAAACAACACATATAGTCTTACCCTTCAGAAGCTAAATTTTACAGAAATAATGAAGAATGTATGATATTGAGTCATACTTTAAAAACATCTTCAATGTGGTACTTGCGATAAACACGTATATCCTGTTCAAATAGGCAAGTATTGTATCTAGGCCATCTGGATTGGAAAACCTATAATGCAGTAAATCCATTTTAGGCACTCTTTTTTCTGTTTATCTTTCTAACTACTGAGAAAGCATTAAGAGGAATATTCCAACTTTTTGTTTGGTCTTACTTTGGTTCAGTGATTTTGAAACTCATAATAAATATAAAGGGGAAGTAATTTTTTCATCAGCATGTAGAATATTCATTTATAGAGCAGCTGTAAAAAATGAAAGACATATGATTAAATAGTCATCAGAACTATCATAAGTATCTTACCTTCCTATTATCCCAGAAGCTGCACTCTGAAATTATATTTATCTGGAAATGAATATTTGACCAAATGTCTTCGTCTTTGAAAATTGAAAGAAAGAGCTTATAGGAAAAAGAAAGAGTGGCAGATTGTATTTTCCAAAGACAGCAACACCAATATACGTATTTCATACTGCATGCCCTTTTTACAGTGTGAATGATACTCCCCCTTTTCCTTGTATTTGAGTGGGAGCTTGTGACTGCCCCCCAAAATAGACTATGGCAGGAATGATGCTATAATTTCTAACACTAGGTATAATATGCATGAAGCTTCTACTTGGCTTTTTCTCTGGAAGCATGTACCCTTGGAACACAGCCAGAACATTGTAAGGAATCCTGGGCTACATGAAGAAATCAAATGTAAGAATTGTGGTAACAACCCTGCTAAGGTGTAAGCCTACATACAGCATCAATTGTCCAAACATATGAGCGAGCAAGCTTTCAGATGATTCCACTTTTGAGCTGTTTGAACCTTCCAGCTGAGGCCCCAAAAGTCATTCAGCAGAGACAAGCTGTACCCACTGTGCTCTGCCTGAATACCTGAAGCAGATAATGTTAACATCATAAACAACTGTTTTTCCACTACTCTGTTTTGCAGTAATTTGTTATACATACATAGTAAATAAAACAGAAATTTAAAGTAGCTTGTAGTGAAGAACTCTTCAATTCCTTGATTGTCCTCTTTTAGGTATAAGCTGCCTTTTGGGAGATGTTTTTTTAAATCAATAACACACAAGCTGGCTGTAGATTGGCTGAGGATACTGACAATTGGCCTTCTAGACTCACGGGAAGACGACTTTCCAGTGGGGCAAATCTGTGAAATTAACAGGCAAACAAAGCCCCACAAATATAAAATTAAGTTCAGATTCTCCTCCAAATAATGATCTGAAGGCCCATTACCATGATCATTCCCAAAGTGGTATTATACAGATTTTTTTCTATTAAGGACAAAATAGTTGAAAATAGGTTTGGGGAACACTGTTACTTCATAATATAAGAATGTTTGTCTTGTCCTCAACATAGTCTCTCTCCATAACCCCTCATACAATCCTGGGCCTATGATAGGCTTACTTTCTTTCCCTGCCTCCATAATGAGATTAAATCACCTTGTACTTATGTATAAATTTGGCCAGTAACCAAAACTGGTGCACCTCTGCTATGGCATGCCACCCAGATTCCCGTTTCAGGATCAATATACGTATTTTCTCTGACTGCTAGACTGCTAGCTACTGACAGCCCAGAACTGAGTCCCTCCATGTAAATTACCCTTCCCTTTCCAAGGTCACACCTCCTCCATGAGGGCAGCCCAAATATAGTGACTGTTTCATGTGTGAATGCAAGTTCATTGCCTCATTTGAAGATACCTCAAAGGTATCTTCCCAGCTCAAGGGCTTTCTATGATCTCAGCTGCAGGATCCACTTCTACTGCACGGCAGTTTAACATCACCCTCTGCCCAGCCCTGCTTCTCTGTCTTCCTTAAAAGTGTCATTCCAAAGTAGACCTCCTCCTCCACATAAATCTTTGTCTTAGGATATGTCTCCTGCAAGACCAGCCTTCAAGAAATCTTAGTAGAATATGTAGCGATGGTCAAAGGTCATAGCAAAACGAGTAAAGCCTTGATTGTGGAATTGCAGGAATTAACCAGCAAATGAAATAGTATTGAAGGTGAATATTGGGAAAGGTCATCTTAGCACAGACTCAGATTGTTTGTTTTTGTTTCTCTTGATTGGGACTTCTTGGAGTCCTGTACTGAGAAGGATTATGAGGCCAAGTCAGTGATTGGAAGAGGAAATATTCTACAATCAGCCAATTATTGTCTGTCTTGGATAAGAGATGGGGTGAGAAAGAACTAATGTCAGGCAATTACTAGTTTAATAGTAATTATTCAATAAGTGTTATTCTGAAAATGAATATTTTTGTTGTCTCATTTTTTTTAATTGAGGAAAAATTCACATGACATACAATGAACTACAAATTTTGTTAAAGTACACATTCAGTAGAATTAAGTATATTTCCGATGCTCATCCATGACTTCTATCTAGTTCCAAGACATTTCATCACCCCAAAAGGAAACTATAGAAATTAAGCAGCCACTCTGCATTCCCTTTTGCCCTTTTCCCCCAACTCCTGGAAACCACTAATCTGCTTTTGCTTTTATGAAATTAGCTTTTTTGGATTGTTATGTTTTCTTGGAGAATTGGCCACTTTATCACTATATCATAATACCCCTCTTTATTCCTGATAATTTCCCTTACTGTAAAGTCCACTTTGTTTGTAATTAATATAGCAGCTCCAGCTTTCTTTTGATAGTGTTAGCATGGCATATCTTTCTCTGCCCCTTTACTTTTAATTTGTATATATTTTTGTATTTAAAGTGGTTTTATAGTAGACAACACATAATTGGGTCTTGTTTTTAATCTGATAGTCTTTGTCTTTAATTGGTGTATTTAGACGATTGACATTTAAAGTGAGTGTTGACATAGTTGGAATAATACTTAAGAGTTATGTTACTTTTTTCTTCATTGCCCTTATTATTTGTTTCTCTTTTTGTTTTCTACTATTTTTTGCTTCCTGTGGTTTTCGTTGAGCATAGTTCTATTTTGTCTCGTCGCTTAGCCTATTAATTACAGTTGACTCATGAACAACACAGGTTTGAACTGCTTGGGTCCACTTATACACAGATATTTTTTTAATAAATATAGTAGGTTCTCCATATCAACAGCTACTGCATCTGCAATCAAATGTAGAATGAAAATACAGGACACAAAATCTCTGTATATAGACGACCAACATTTTGTATCTGCAGGTTCCACAGGGCTGACTACATGACTTGAGTATGTGTGAATTTTTGTATCCGTGGGGTTCTTGGAACAAATTCCTTCAATTATTGTTTGTCTGAGAAAGTCTATTTCTCCTTCACTTTTGAAGGATAATTTTACAGGATACAATATTGAGATTGGTGTTTATTCTCCCTCAGCACAAAATATTTCACTTCGCTCTTTTCTTGCTTTCATGGTCTCTGAGGAGAGGTCCCAAGTAATTCTTATTTTTTCTCTGCTACAGGGAGGCTGCTCCCCTTTCCCTCTGGTTTCTTTGAAGATTTTTTTTCATCATGTTGATATTCTGCACAATATGATAACCTTAAATGTAGAGTTTTGGGGAGCATTTATCCTCCTTGGTGTTTTGTGAGCTTCCTGGATCAGTGGTTTGGTTTCTGACATTAATTTGAGAAAAATTCTCAGTAATTATTTCTTCAAATATTCATTTTCTTCCCTTTTCTCTTTCTTTTCCTTCTGCTATTCCCATTATCCATATGCTACACATTTTGTAGCATCCCACAGTTATTGGATTTTCTGTTCTGGCTTTTGCTTACCTTTTTTTTTCTTTGTTTTTCAATTTTGAAAGCTTATATTGATATAACCTCAAGCTTACTGATTCATTCCTTAGCCAAGTGCAGTCTACTAATGAGCCCATTAAAAAGCATTCTTTATTTCCATTACATTGTTTTCAGTCTCTAACATTTATTTTTTATTCCTTCTTAGAATTTCTACTTCTGTGCTTTACATTACCCACTTGTTCTTGCAAGTTGTCTATTTTCAGTTAGAATTCTTAGTATTAATCATAGTTATTTTAAGTTGATGGTCTGATAAATCTAGCATTTTTGTCATATCTGATTCTGGTTCTGATTTTTGCTTTGTCTCTTCTTGCACTTTTTGCCTTTTAGTGTGTGTTGCGATTTTTCTTATAAGCTGGCCATGATGCAGAATACAACATCAACATACAAAAATCAGTAGCATTTTATATATACCAACAGTGAGCAATCTAAAAAAAAAAGAAAAAAGAAGAAAGCAATCCCATTAATAATAGCTACCATATATATAAAATGTCTTTTATATTTAACCAAAGAAGTGAGAAGATCTATACAAGCAATACTATAAAACACTAATAAAATTAAAGAGGACACCAAAAAATGGAAATATAATCCCTGTTCATGGATTGGAAAATGACTACTGTTAAAATGACATTACTACCAAAAGCGGTTTACAGATTCAATGTAATTCTTATCCAAATAACAATGACATTCTTCACAGAAAAAGAAAACAAAATCCTAAAATTTATATGAAGTCACAAAAATTACAGATTCAATGTAATTCTTATCCAAATAACAATGACATTCTTCACAGAAAAAGAAAACAAAATCCTAAAATTTATATGAAGTCACAAAAATCCCTGAATAGACAAAGTAATATTGACCAAAAAGAAAAAAAAGCAGGAGCCATCACACTGCCTGACTTCAAAATTTATTACAAAGGTATAGTAACCAAATCAGCATAGTACTGGCATTAAAAACAGATACACACACACATATAAAATTCTTCATGATTTGACACTTTCATCAATATTTAATTCCCTATAACTATTTCTGTCTTGAAGTCTATTTTGTCTAATGTTAGTATAAGAACCCAAAACTGTCTATTGGTTACTGTTTGCAAGAGATAGATTTTTCTACCCTTTGTATTTCAACTTATTTGTGTCTTCGAATCTAAGTTAAATCTTTTGTAAACAGCATATATTTGGATCGTTTTTAAAAATTCATTCTGCCAGTCTCGGCCTTTTAAATCAAGAGGTTAATCCATTTACATGTAATGCAATCACTGATAAGAAAGGTCTTACTTTTGCCATTTTGCTAATTGTTTTCTATGTCTTTTTATGATTAATTGATTTTGTCCTAGCGTAGCATGTTTATTCCTTTCTTTTTTATTCTTTGACATAATATTTTAGTTTTTCTTCTTTAGTGGTTACCATAAGGATTACAATTAACATTTTAATTTTATAATAAAGGTGAATTATACCAATGTACTTGCCATAGTATGCAAAAATTTCAGCTCCTATGCGGCTCCATCCCCCCTTATGTTCTTATGGTCATGAATTATATCTTTATATTGTGTGCTCATTAGCTTAGGTTTATAATTATTTTATGCATTTGTCTTTTAAATCATATAAAAAGGAAGATGAGATGAGTTACCAACTGACTACACAATACTGCTAACTTTTGTATTTACATACATAGTTAACCTTTATCATTGCCTGTTTTTTATTTATTCATATGGCTTTTACTTATGGTCTAGTGACTTTTCATTTCAGTCTGGAAGACTCTTTTTCACTTTTTTTTTTATAGGGTAGGCCTACAAGTAATGAACCCCCTTAGGTTTTGTTTATCTGGAAATATATTTATTTCTATTTCATTTTTGAATGATGATTTGGACCCATATGGAATTCTTCATTGACAAATTACTTTTTCTCTCAGCACTTTAAACATATCATCCTAATACCTTCTGAATCCTGTGGTTTCTGAAAAGAAATCAGATAGTAATCTTATTGAACATCTCTTGGACTTGACAAGTTGCTCTTTTTTTTGCTGTTTCAAAGATTCTCTCCTTGCTATTGGCTTTGGACAATTTGACTATAATTTGTCTCATTGTGGATATCTTTGAGTTCATCCTGCTTCAAGTTTATTAAGCTTCTTGGAATTAGAGATTCATGTCTTTCATCAAATTCAAGGATAGTCAAATATTTTTTTCTGTTTTTTTTCTTTCTCTTCTTCTGAAATTTTCATTATGCAATATGTTTGATAGAGTTCCATGGGTCTCTTAGGCTCTCTTTATGTTTTCATTATTTTCTTTTGCTTATTCTCAGTCTGAATATTCACAATTAATATAATTTCAAGTTCACTGACTTCTTTTTCTTCTGCCTGCTTATATCTGCTGTTAACCCCTCTAGTAAATTTTTATTTCAGTTTTTGTACTTTTTACCTCCAGAATTAATATTGAGTTGATTTTTGTAATTTGTATCTCTTTACTAATGTATATTTTGAGACACTTTTCTCCTAGTTTCTTGAAGTTTCTTATGTGTTTTAAATGTAACAATTGGAGCATATTTAAGACAGTTGATGTAAAATCTTTGTCTAAAAGTCAAATATCTGAACTTCCTCACAAGCAGTTTGTATTTTCCTTCTTTGTGAAAGAACCATGCTTTCTTATTAGTTTTCAATGTCTCATGATTTTTGTTGAAAACTAGACATTTTTAATATTATAACGTGTCAACTATGACAGTGATTCTTCTCCATCTATGGGGTTTATAGTACCTGTTTCAAATTATTATTGTTTGCTTGTCCACTAACTTTTCTAAACTCTTTTTATAAAGTGTGACCTTTTTAATGTGTGGCCACTCAACTCTGTGTTCTGTTAGCTTAGTGGTCAGCTTTGACAGTTTTGACATTGTTCCCTTAAGTGCCTGGAGCCAACAGAACATAAAAAGTAAAAAAAAAAAAAAAAAAAAAATTCTCAGTCTTTGCAAATTGGCTTTTTATTGTGCCATTCTTTCAGCAATTTCCCAAGGTGTTTACAACTCTACCTTAGAGTTCACTTCTGACTTGTGCAGAGACTGGAGCTAGCCAAAGGTAAATGCATAGGGTCTTCTCAGGCATTTTTGAGCATTTGTCTCACCTTTGGCATGAATGTAGCTTTCTCCTTTATTCAATAGATGTGGAAGCTTTAAAAGCCCTTTATTCTCACATGCATCTCCTTTCTCATCTCTTCCCTCCCAGAAGTTTGGTCTGTCTATGCTTATACCTAGTGTTGTCACTTTTCCTAGGCTTCAAGAATCAGTACGTTTTTAACTGCTTTTAGGAAAAGCAACTCAGTAAGCTGTCTCAGCCCTGGAAATGGTCAAAGTTAGACAAAATAAAAGAAAACCATCATGCAAGTCTTTACAGACACTTCCAGACAGCCTGCAACTGACAACCACATTGTTTGAGAACAAAATCTCTATTGCTTCCTCTGGCACCAGCAATCTGCCCCAGGAGTGAAGTGCACATTGCTGTTCTTACTACTACTGCAGACCTGTAGTGTGTGTGATGGTAGACAGCCAATTTAAAATACCATAGCACTTTCTCACTACAAAGCAGCAGCTTCTTTCTTCACCAAATTTCCCCCTGCTTGTTGGAATTTTTAACTGGATTCCATAGTTCAATACGATTGATTCTGATTTAAGTTTTTGCCAGTTATTGGTTGCTTTTTAGGGTGAGGGGATGAGAAATGGTGCTCATAATTTGCCTACTCGGCAATCTTTCCTGATGTCACTTCATCTTTATCTGGAGGTGCATAATGTCATGGCTATTTTTTCTTTCCTTTTTGATTTTCTGGATGAGTAGCTCTAGCTGGTATTAAACTCTTCATTATGTGAGAAAGATGACTAGGAAAAGGGAGCATCTACTCTCTAGGCGTGAATACATTTGGGGGTCTGTAAATCTGTAGTAGTCATACAGCCACTTTGCAGGTACACCTGATTCTTTCAGCTATAACTTCGTAACATGTCCTTTGCCCACGATAATTTTTTAATGAGAAACGAAACAATTCCCATTCTTTTTTGCACAATTAACATGCAAGAAGGAATTTTCTAGCCATTGCTTCCATTAGCAATTAAGAAATGGAGAAGAATTTTTTTTATTTCATTTAATCCTCAGAGGGAAAAACAATTAGAACTAGTAGCCTAATTTATACAGATAAGAAAATCAGCTCTCAGATATTTGCTCAAAGATGTGATCCCAAGTGTGCCAGACTCAATAGGTTTAGTTGGTAAATATGGTACTACGATATCCTATGTGAAACATATCTTTACTTAAATAGAGAATATTACTGAAAAGAAAGAAACTGAAGGGAGAAGAAAACGTTTAGATTTTTCAGCATCTTTTCTTGTGTAGGGTTTGAGATCCAAAGGCTAAATATCCTCTACGTCTATTTTGATCTTCCTTGTGTTTGCAGTTAAGTTTATGTAGAAGTAATACATTGGGGCCCTAAAATGTTATCACAGGTCATTAGGAACAGACAATGAAAATTTAATACCATTATTATTGATATAAATTTTAAAAAATACTTGATTTAATACTAGCTCTTCAAGTGTTGAGTGCTGACTGAATTAACCGTCTTGTTTTTCCTAAAAAACTTAAAAGAAAGCTTTCATTTTCCCAAACACCAATAAAAAAGCATTTGTTTTTCCAACTAAACACCAAATAACAAACAAAACACCAAAAAGTATACAGGAAATAAATAATATTCCTTAAATTTAAAAATATCTTTTTCAGAGAAATGATCAAAAGCAAATTAATCCCACATATGAGAGCATGCAGACTGGAAGACATACAACCCTTGTGATGACTAAAGCTTCCCCTGTGTTCTATGTCATAAGTTGGAGAGCATGCCACAAGTTGACCCAGGTGCACATTGTTAATTTACAGAACTAGTGCTATATTAGTTTATAGTCATGTCTATCTGTTTGTGGTAACTGTTCTCAACCCAGCTGCTACATTCTACAATAGAATTTTTCAAATGCATGTACATTCTTCTAAGCAATATCAGAAATGCATTAGTTAAAGTGTTGTTAGATGTCAGTGCAGTAAAAGGTAAATTGCTGCAACGCAGGCCCTAAAACTAAAGTATTTGTATTAGTCTGTTCTCACACTGCTATAAAGTAATACCCAAGACTGGGTAATTTATAAACAAAGGAGGTTTAATTGACTCACAGTTCCATATGGCTGGGGAGGGCTCAGACAACTTAACAATCATGGATGAAGGTGAAGGGGAATCAAGGACATTCTTCACATGGTAGCAGGAGAGAGATGAATCAGAAAAGGGGGAAGAGACCCTTATAAAATTACCAGATCTCATGAGAACTTACTCACTATCACCAGAATAGCATAAGGAACCACCCCCAAGATTCGATCACCTCCCACCAGGTCTCTCCCTTAACATGTGGGAATTACAATTTCGATTACAATTCAACACAAGATTTTGGTGATTATGCAGAGCCGGATCATATTATTCTGCCCTAGCCCCTCCCATATCTCATCCTGCTCACATTTCAAAACACAATTATCTCTTCCCAATACCCCCACAAAGTCTTCACTTATTTCAGCATTAATCCAAAAGTCCAAGTCTCTTCCACCTATAAACTTGTAAAATCAAAAGCAAGTTAGTTACTTCCAAGATATAATGAGGGTGCAGGCATTGGATAAATGCACCTGTTCAAAATGGGACAAATGGGTCAAAACAAAGGGGCTACAGCCCCATGCAAGTCCAAAATCCAGCGAGGCAGTCATTAAATCTTAAAGCTCTGAAATGATCTCCTTAGTCCATGTCTCATATCCTGGGCAAGCTGATGCAAGAGGTGGGCTCCCACAGTCTTGGGCAGCTCCATTCATGTGGCTTTGCAGGGTACAGCCCCCTCCCAGCAGCTTTCATAGGTTGGTATTGAGTGCCTGCAGCTTTTCCAGGCACAAGGTGCAAGCTGTTGATGGATCCACCATTCTGAAGTCTGGAAGATGGTGGCCTTCTTCTCACAGCTCCACCAGGAAGTGCCCCAGTGGGGAATCTGTGTGGGGGCTCCAACCCCACTTTTCTTTTCTGTACTTCCCTAGCAGAGGTTCTCCATGAGGGCTCCACCCCTGCAGCAGACTTCTGCCTGGACATCCAGGAGTTTCCATACATCTTCTGAAATCAAGGTAGACGTTCCCAAGCCTCAATTGTTGACTTCTGTGCACTGGAAGGACCAACACCACATGGAAGCTGCCAAGGCTTGGGACTTGCATCCTCTGAAGCAACAGCCTGAGCTGTATATTGGCCCCTTTTTGTCACAGCTAGAATGCAAGGCCCCAAGTCCTGAGAGTGCACCAAGCAGCAAGGCCCTGGGCCCGGCCCAGGAAACCATTTTTTTTTTTCTCCTAGGCTTCCAGCCCTTTGATGGGAGGGGCTACCATGAAAACCTCTGACATGCCGTGGAGATCTTTTCCCCATTTTCTTGGAGATTAAAGTTCAGCTCCTTGTTATTTATGCAAATTTTTGCAGCTGGCTTGAATTTCTCCCCAGAAAATGGGTTTTTCTTTTCTATTGCATCATCTGGCTGCTAATTTTCAAACTTTTATTCTCTGCTTCCCTTTTAAACTTAAGTTCCAATGTCACATTATCTGTCTCAAGTTCAAAGTTCCACAGGTCTGTAGGGCAGGGGCACAATGTTGCCAGTGTCTTTGCTAAAGCATAGCAAGACTGACCTTTGCTCCAGTTCCCAATAAGTTTTTCATCTGTATCTGAGACCACCTCAGCCTGGACTTCATTATCCATGTCACTATCAGTATTTTGGTCAACACAATTCAACAGGTGTCTAGGAAGTTCCAAACTTTTCCACATCTTCCTGTCTTCTGAGTCCTTCAAACTATTCCAACCTCTGCCTGTTCCAAAGTCACTTCCACATTTTTGGGTATCTTTATAGCAGTGCCTCACTCTCTGCAGTACCGATTTACTGTATTAGTTCATTCTCACACTGCTATAAAGAAACACCTGAAATTGGGTAATTTGTAAAGAAAGGATGTCTAATTGACTCACAATTCCACATGGCTGGGGAGTCTTAAGGAAACTTAACAATTACGGCAGAAGGTGAAGAGGAAGCAATGACATTCTTCACATGGTTGCAGGAGAGAGAAGAATGAGGAAAGAGGGAAGAGTCCCTTATAAAACTATCAGATCTTGTGAGAACTCACTCGCTATCACCAGAACAACATGGGGAAATGTCCCCCATGATCCAATTAACTCCCATGAGGTCCCTCTCCCAACATGTGGGTATTACAATTTGGATTACAATTCAAGATGAGATGTGGGTGGGAACACAGAACCAAACCATGTTAATATGCAGTCATGGTATCTTTGAATTTATGTAACAGAAAATGTGCATTTACTCTGAGCTTTCTGAGGAAAAGTCAAGAGATAATATTTATAGTGAGTGGATATGAATTCAACCTCTTTATTCAAGACTGCCTGGGTTTGAATCTCTATTTCCCTGCTTGCTATGTGGCCTCCATTCCTCATTCCCTAAGGATGCTGATAGCCAAACTACCAGAATCATAAGCTGCTTGTGAGGGTTAAATTACCTCATGCATATGAAGTGCTTGATATTTAGTGAATGCTAAATAAATGTTAGAGATAATTATTTGAAAATGTTAAATATTATTAGTATTATTAATAGTGTTATTCACATTTAGTAAAGCATTTCAATGCAAAGGAATATTCTTCCTTTATTGTGCATTATTTTATTTAATTTTTTTTGAGACAGGGTCTCACTCTGTTACCCAGTTGGAGTGCAGTGGCACAATCTTGGCTCACTGCAACCTCCGCCCTTTGGGCTCAATTTTCCTGCCTCAGCCTCCCAAGTAGCTGAGACCACAGGCACACACCACCATGCCTGGCTATTTTTTTTTTTTTTTTTTTTTGGATTTTTGGTAGAGATTGGGTTTTGCCATGTTGCCCAGGCTGCTCTTGAACTCCTGGCCTCACCAATATGACCACCCCAGTCCCCCAAAGTGTTGGAATTACAGGTGTGAGCCACTGCGCCCACCCAAATGTGCACTGATTTAAAGTTTACTAAAGTAAAATTATCTTTGGATATCTTTTAAAAATTAAGCTGTTGCTCAAGGAACTTAAAATAGAGCTACAATTTGACCCAGTAATCCCCTTACTGGATGTATACTCAAAGGAAAATACATCATTATATCAAAAGACACATGCACATGTGTGCTCACCACCAAACTATTCACAGTAGCAAATGCATGGAGTCAATCTAGGTGCCCATCAATAGCTGGATTGGATAAATAAAATGTGGTACATATACACCACGGAATTATATGCAGCCATAAAAAACAATGGAATATGTCCTTTGCAACAACATGGATGGAGTTGGAGGCCATAATCTTAAGTGAATTAATGTAGAAACAGAAAACCAAATACCAGATGTTCTCGTTTATTAACAGTAGCTAAATATTGAGCACAAATGGACATAAATGTAGAAGCAATAGACACTGTAAGCTGCAAGACGGGGGAGGGAGGGAAGAGAGCATGTGTGAAAAAACTACCTATTGGGTACTAGAATCACTTCTTGAGTGCAATATATTCATGAAACAAACCTGCATGTGTACCCCCGTATCTAAAATAAAACTCACGAAAAAAATTAAGGTTGTGTAAGATGAAAATAATAATGTAATTCAGATAATTATATCTACTGTCTATGCATAGAAGTTTTTATTTTTAGTAGATATCAGCCTCAACTTTTTTTAGAGTAGATATCAGCCTCAACATTCTATTAAAATTTCAGCTAGGGAGATTCATTCCATTATCTTGGATACTTTGGATATATTTGCACTTAGATTAATGTGATACATAGACCCAAACATTTAGTGATTAAATCTGAATTCATGGAATTAGATAATTGGACATCACCTTTAAAGGGTGTTTCTTTAACAAGCTCAAGGTTATATTTTTAGTTATAACCACAGCTGGGGCTAGAACATTTTATGAGTCACTATCAGTCTTTTTTTTCATGACCATGCTACACTTTACTTTCCACGCTTGTGCCATCATTCAGCAAATATTTACTAATTGCCTATTGTGTGACAGGCTCCGTGCTATTTCCAGATGATACCACAGCAAACAAGGTCAAGTCTGAACTTCCAGGAAATTAACAGTCAAGCTACCACACATCCTTGCCACTGTTCAAGCTTTTAAATAATATAACTCTTATTTTCCAAGTGATATCAAGCTTCAAAAACACAACAACTTTCTGCTTTACGCCAGGGAAATATAGTAGCAAGTATTCAACATTTTGATATAAAGAGTGACAGGCATGGTGAGATATTTGCACCCACAGGAAGAGCTGTAGGGGGCAAGGCCCTCTGAGGACTCACTAAAAATCACTGACAAAAGGCAGATTGATAGCAGAAGAGGTATACGGATTTATTTAATGGTTGTACATGTGAGCCTGCAGAATGAAGACCCAAAGATACAGGGGAAATTGTGCATTTTATGCCTAGTTTTAAGGAAGAAGTATGGACAGAGGTGCAGAAATAGGGTTGGACAAAAAGGCTATAAACTAATACTAATGAACTGAATGGGGAAACACAGAAAGGCCTGTATGTCTAGATTATTCTTGGCTTCTTTGAGCAGTATTCTTCCTTCTGGGTGTGGGGCAGGGACCCCTCTGAAATGGGGGCCTTCTGACCTACAGTCAAATAAGGTAGATCAGACAATTTCTTTATGGTCAGTTTTTACACAGAAAGGTGGAGTGAAAATTAGAGTAATATTTTTAGGTTTTATTGCTGCCTTTGGGGAAAATATGTTTTGGTTTCTATGACACACCTTAGGGAAGAAGGATCCTAGTTTCTATAGCTAGCCTTGGGGGAGAATGAGACTGAGAGACAGGAGGGTGGGAGAAGAGTAGAGAAAGACTTTTGCTCCTGAGTTCTTCATTTTGGGGTATTGTTTTCTGAGCTCCAAAAGAGCAAAATTACAGTTGATCATTTTGTAAACAGCATTTCCAGGACAAACACATCCACATCAACTGCCTAAGGGAGTTTATGCCACTTTCCCCTAAGTTCCCTACTGTGGTCCTACTAATCATAGGTATGACACTCAAAAAGTGTAAGTCTGGCCTGATTCCACATGACACCATATCAGAGAGTTGAAGAAAGACAGTGTGATCTCTCCTGAGGCTTTCGCTTCTCTGAGTTCAGTGTTCTTAATATATCGTCCATTTGTTTCACCAGATCCGTTCTCCACTCTTCTTCACTCTGCTTTGTGCTGCTAAAAATCTGACTCATATAAACCATGGACTGTATTAGTAAGTGTCACGCACGTCCATGTGAAGAGACCACCAAACAGGCTTTGTGTGAGCAATAAAGCTTTTTAATCACCTGGGTGCAGGTGGGCTGAGTCCGAAAAGAGAGTCAGCAAAGGGAGATAGGGGTGGGGCTGTTTTACAGGATTTGGGTAGGTAATGGAAAGTTACAGTCAAAGGGGGTCGTTCTCTGGCAGGCAGGGGCGGGGTCACAAGGTGCTCAGTGGGGGAGCTTCTGAGTCAGAAAAAGGAATTTCACAAGGTAATGTCATCAGTTAAGGCAGGAACGGGCCATTTTCACTTCTTTTGTGATTCTTCACTTGCTTCAGGCCATCTAGATGTATACCTGCAGGTCACAGGGGATATGATGGCTTAGCCTGGGCTCAGAGGCCTGAGATTCCTGTCTTCTTATATTAATAAGAAAAATAACATAAAATAGTGTTGAAGTGTTGGGGCAGTGAAAATTTTTGGGGGGTGGTATGGAGAGATAATGGGCGATGTTTCTCAGGGCTGCTTCGAGCGGGATTAGGGGCGGTATGGGAACCTAGAGTGAGAGAGATTAAGCTGAAGGAAGATTTTGTGGTAAGGGGCGATATTGTGGGGTTATTAGAAGGAGCATTTGTTGTATAGAATGATTGGTGATGGCCTGGATACGTTTTGGATGAGTTGAGAAACTAAATGGAAGACACAAGGTCCGAATAAGAGAAGGAGAAAAACAGGTATTAAAGGACTAAGAATTGGGAGGACCCAGGACATCCAATTAGAAAGTGTCCAAGGGGGTTCAGCATAATTACTTGCTTGGTTGGCAAATTTTTGGGCTCTATCCTTGAGTTTTTTTATGTTGTTATATACCAGGCCAGATTAATTTAGGTAAAAACAACACTCTTCATTTAAAAATATAGAGTTCTCTTTTTTTTTAGCAGTGAGTAAGTCTAGGCCTCAGCGATTGTGGAGGAAAGAGAAATGCAAAGCCAGCAATTGTTTGTTAAAGAAGGATTAGAAATGGCTAGGTGAGAGTGAGTGACATTGATAGTGTGGTGGAGATAGCTGGGGAAAGGTAGAGGGTGGCATAAGAACGGGAACGAGAATAAGAGTGAGTATAAAAGTAAAGAAAAGGACTTTATCAGGATGAAAATATTGGAGGGTGCCCTGCCAGCAAAGACTATTTATTTACTTTAAGAGGGAGTTAAGAGTGGCCATTTGGGGATAGCACCAGGAGATATTAGCTGTGATGGCTTGGAGAAACAGTGTAAACTGGCAGTGTAAACAAGAGCAGGGCATTTATGAGTAGTTGAGCATGGTGAATAGGAGTATGACTAGACAGAAGATAGCAGGGATGACAAGTTTTTGGGGTGCAGTCCAAGTTGGGCTGGTGTCTGGAATGAGACTGGGGCCTAATAAAAAGGAGCATTCATACAGGAGCTTAAATGGGCTGTACCCTGTAGCATTCCGAGGATAGGCCTGAATTCTGAGAAGGGCAAGTGGTAAAAGTACTGTCCAGTCCTTTTTAAGTTGGAGGCTGAGCTTACTGAGGTGTGTCTTTAAAAGACCATGAGTCTGTTCTACTTTTCCTGAAGATTGAGGACGGTAAGGGGTATGAAGGTTCCACTGAATACCAAGAGCCTAAGAAACTGCTTGGGTGATTTGACTAGTAAAGGCCGGTCTGTTATTGGACTGTATAGAGGTGGGAAGGCCAAACTGAGGAATTATGTCTGACAGAGGGGAAGAAATGACTGCAGTGGACTTCTCAGACCCTGTGGGAAAGGGCTTTACCCATCCAGTGAAAGTGTCTACCTAGACCAAGAGGTATTTTAGTTTCCTGACTTGAGGCATGTGAGTAAAATTAATTTGCCAGTCCTGGGCAGGGCCAAATCCCTGAGCTTGATGAGTAGGGAAGGGAGGGGGCCTGAATAATCCCTGAGGAGTAGTAGAATAGCAGATGGAACACTGAGAAGTGATTTATTTGAGGATAGATTTCCATGATGGAAAGGAAATGAGAGGTTCTAAGACACGGGCTAGCGGCTTGTAACCTACATGGAAGAGGTTATGAAATGACGACAGAATAGAATGGGCCTGTGAGGCTGGAAGGAGCTGTTTTCCTTGGTCCAAGAACCATTTGCCTTGTGTGGGAAGAGATTGATAGGTGGAAGTTTCAGTGGGGGAGTAGGTGGGAGTGACCGATGAGGAGAAAAACTGGCCGTGAGGGACAGAAGTTGGAATGCTAGCTGCTTTTTTAGTTACCTTATCAGCATAAGCATTGCCCTGAGTCCCACTGAAACAGACTGTTTCCCATCAGAACGATACCTGATACAGTTATTTTCGTCATTTGCCCCACAACACCATTTCGAGTCTCAACATCACTCAGATTTCTTCCTTCCTCAAGTGACTATTTAATTTGTCTGTCTTCCTCTTAAAGGTCCACAACTGGAACTACTTCTTCAAGTGTAGTCTGATCAACACAGGACAGAAAGAGAAAGTCACCTCTTGCTTTAGTTACATGTCCATGGAATTTACTCAAAGATACTAGTAGCTTCTGAGCTAGTATTTTCACATTCTTAGGTCACAATCTATTCGCTGTCAATTGAAAACCTCTAAGTAGATTTTTTGATACTACTGTTAAACCAAATGTCTCTCGTTCTATTCACAAGATGTTAGTTTTGGGATTCCAAGATCACAGAATGCCAATGCTATCTAGTAAATTTTTCTTGTCTGATTAAAATCATAGTTCAAGTGGTCCACAGTCTAGCCTGTTTAAACTCTTACTGCATTTAAATCTTGTTATTAGAAAAATCTTCTAATCTTTGTGTCATTTTCAGACTTAATACATATATTGTCAACATCTGTGTTCTAACCCATTGTCATGAATCTGTCAAAGAGAGGGCTGAGAATATATGGATGACAAATAAGTACATAAAAATATATTTAACATCATTAGCCATCAGGAAAAATCCAATTAAGACTACAATTAGATGTCAGTACACAACTTTCAGAAAGGCTAAGCTTTTTAAAAGTGACAAAACCAAATGCTGATGTAGATGCAAAGAAACTGGATCATGCATGCATTGCTGGTGGGAATGTAAATGATACAGCCACATTAGAAAGTTGGAATTTTCTTACACAACCAAATAGGGCAACTACCATACTACCCATAATCTGGGTAATTATTACAGAGAAATCCTGCAGGGGAATGATTATAACAGCTTTATTTGTAATAGCCAAAAACTAGAAACAGCCCAGATGTCCTTCACCTGGCAGAAAGATTAAGCAAACTGGTACATTTATACAATGTAATATCACACTCAGGAATATAAAAGAATAAACTATTGATATATGCAACAACATGAATGAACCCTCAAATACTTATGATGAGTGAAAAAAACAATAATTGATATGGTTTGGATGTTTGTCCCCTCCAAATTTTATTTTGAAATGTAATTCCCAATGTTGGAGGTGTCTGCTTTCCCTTCACCTGCCATAACTGTAAGCTTCCTGAGACCATAACCAGAAGCAGATGCTGGCACCAATTCCCGTACAGCCTACAGAATTGTGAGCCAATTAAACCTCTTTTCTTTATGCATTACTCAACTTCAGGTATTTCTTTATAGCAAGGCAAGAACAGACTAACACGCCAATTCCAAAAGGTTACATACTGAAAGATTCACGTAACACTCTGAAAATGACAAAATTATATAGGTGGGGAATAGTGGTGGCTAGGGGTTATGAACTTGAGAGGAAGGTTGGCAGTGGCTATTAAAGGACAACATGAGAGATCTTTTGTGTTGATGAAACTCTTCTGTACTCTAATTATGGTCGTTGTCCCTTGAATCTAGGCATATGATAAAACTGAATATAACTAAACACACACCCATGAGCACATGTAAAACTGGTGAACTCTGGATAGATTGAGTGTATTAATGTCAGTTTTCTGGTTGCGATGTTGCACTATGCATTTGCAAGGTCTTATCATGTGAGGAAACTGAGTAAAAGATACATTGGTATCTCTTCATATTACTTCTTACAATGGCATGCTAACAGATATATTAAAAGGCATTCAACATCATTAATCATAAGAGAAATGCCTATTAAAACCACTATATCACTTCATGCTTGTTAAGATGGCTATTTTCAAAAAGACAATAAGTAACAAATGTTGATGAGGGTGTGGAGAAAAAAAGAACCCCAGTACACTGTTGGTGGAAACGTAGATTGGTATAACCATAATGTAAAACAATATGGAGGTATCTAAAAGAATTAACAAGTAACTACCACATGGCCCAGCAATCCTTCTTCTGGGTAGACACCCAAATGAGATGAAATCACAGCCTCATATAGATATATGCACTCTCATGTTCATTGTAGCATTATTCCCAATAGCCAAGATATGGAAACAGCTTAAAATGTGCATCAATGGATAAATGGATTTTAAAATTTGGTGTGTGTGTGTGTGTGTGTGTGTGTGTGTGTGTGTGTAGTTATACATAGTTATACAGAACTAAATATTATTCAGCCTTACAGTAAAGAGGTCTTGGCATTTGCCACAACATGGATGAACCTGGAGGACATCACGATAAGTTAATTAATCCAGACAGAAAGAAAAAGATTCGATGATCTCATATGTGGACTATATAAATAAGGGGCTCAAGTAGACAGAGGTAGAGAATGAAACATTGGAGGTGGGAGAAGAAGTGGGGAGAAGTAGGTCAAAGGACACAAAATAGCAGATATGTAGGATGTAAAAGTATAGAGATCTAATGTACAGGGGGACTAAACCTGATGAAATTGTGTCATGAATTTTTGTTAAATAAGTAGATTTTAGCTGCTATTGTCACACACTTAAAAACTAAGAAGAGAGATATGCTAATCTGCTTCACCATAGTAACCATTTTACTTTATGTATCCTATAATATCATGTTGTAAACCTCAAATAGACACAATAAGTTTTTTTAAAAAATAAAAATAAAAAATGCATCACACTTCTATATACTAACATTGAACATGTGGAAATCAAAATTAAACACATGATACCATTTACAGTCACTCGAAAGAAAATGTAATACTAAGGTATAAATTAAACAAAACATGGACCAGAAGGTGGTTACAAATATTAAATATCAAAATATCTTTCTAAAATTTACAAAATACAAAAATGTACCTGATAAATCCATTTACAAGGGAAGAACAGATTTTATATACATAGATGCATCTTAAAAACAGGCCTGAGTGAAACATTAAATATTGACAATGCATACATAAATTGAAAACAAATGTCCACAAGCAATAAGAAATGTTTATTAACACTCATACAGAGAAAAGGATACACATCAAATGCATTACAATAATTGCCAATGTAGACAAGAGAAATAAAACTGGGTCGTGGAAATAAAGGAGAGTGAATGAATAAATAAACAGGAGAGGGTCTTGGAAATTAACACAAAGAATGTAACTCAGCCCTCTAAACTTGATGCCAAAACCACTCTATTGTATTCCCTTCAATAAAAACAGTATTTTTTTTCAAGGGAAGAATTCCTAGTCATTGACATTCTATAGAAATGCAGGTGTATGGAAGTGGCAATAAAAATACCAACTTTTGTTTGTATCATTGTATGCAAATTCTCTGTAGACTATGCTTTCATTGATTGCCTGCAGTAGACAATGGCCACTCCCAGTGCCCCACACTTGGTAGGCTACTGCTCCACCTAGAGTTTCTTAACAAGGAAATGCCCTAGTATTGGGACCATGGCCTCCAAGCACCATTATTTTAGTGTGTGTGACATGATGTCTTACTTTATGTAGGGTGAGGTTTTTGATCCGTTTGAGGGGCTTCAGTTGCTCACAGCATTGGATGAGTCATAACCCATGCCACTATGATGTATGTGGCCTGGAGGTGGTGATTTTGATGTCTTCATTTTGGAAAGAGTGTCACTGTCACCTAAATACAATCCAGGTCATTTTATTTTGTTTTATTTTATTTAATTTTTGTTATTTTGGAAACAGAGCCTTGCTCTATCCCCCAGGCTGGAGTGCAGTGGCGTGATCTCGGCTCACTGCAACTTCCACCTCCTGGGTTCAAGCGATTCTCCTGCCTTGGCCTTCAAGTAGCTGGGATTACAGGTGCCTGACACCATGCCTGGCTAATTTTTATATATTTTTTAGTAGAGACAGGGGTTCACCATGTTGGCCCATGCTGGTCTCAAACTCCTGACCTCAGGTGACTGCCAGTCTCAGCCTCCCAAAGTGCTGGGATTAGAGGCATGAGCCACCATGCCCAGCGAATACAGATCTTTTTGTACACCCTTCTACACAATCACATGCTCCAAGAAACACCATGTCCTTTTCTTCCTCTCCTGTAAGACAAAATTTTAAGAAGAAAATTTGTCTGAGGAATCAGTCCTCCGCCAGTCCTTATTTGCAATGTCTGGCTAACTGTCAACCTGTGGGTCCGTCTCCCAACCTACAGGACCTCATATCCCTCCCTTCTCAAATGCCTACCTCTTCCCTTCCCTTCCCCACCCCACACCAGACAACAGGCAGAGATAAACACAGTCATCAGCTCCTTAAACTTGATTTTATTGTAATCATCGCCATCAGTGGTGATGATTTGTCCAATTTGGTTTCTCCATGTGTGACTAATCCTCCCCACTGTCCTGTGAAGATCCTTCAGATAAGCCTAGGTCTTCATCCTCCTGTGAGGATCCTTCAGATGAGTCTAGATCTTTGTCCTCCTTTGAAGGTCCTTCACATGGGCCTAGGTCTTCATCCTCATTTGAAGATCCTTCAGATAAGTCTACGCCTTCGTCCTCCTCCTTTTGGATTGGATTGATGGAGTTCTCTTGGGACTGTTCATTCTCCAGTTGATTTGAATTTATTTTCTTACCCTTCCTGAGGTAATACACAAATATTATTGGATATTCTGATGTTTTTGTGTTCTTCAAACTCTGTTCGGGGGCTAAGACTCTGTTTGGTACCTCTTGCATCTGGTAAGAAAATAGGGAGAGGCCAGAAAGACATTATTTTGGGTGAATAGGATAGAGACTAGATAGCAAGGGGGGCTTTATGAGAAGGAATGCAGGTGGAGGAAGGGGTGTGTGCCAGAGAAGAACAAGGTGAAATCATAGGGTAGGTATCTATGCAGAAGAAGAAGAGGAGCATGGGTAGAGTCACCTGTTAGTCCAAACTGCATGATTTTGTAAGTTTTTGCTATGTTGCAGACCTTGGTCAAAGTGAAACATTCCATGGGGGTTCAGGCCATGAGCAACATCCTGCCTAACCACCTGACCACAAGGTGGACAAAGGCTCAACTAAAGAAACATCCCTATCATAAGTCCTGTTCCCCTTATTCTTTCATCTTCTCCAGCCCTGGGCTAACCTCCAGATATTGATTAAACTCTCCATCTTATTTTTCCTTCATTCCCCTTTCCAGGCAGCTGCAAAGGAACACCACAATGATATTCCACTGGAAAAAGGGCCAAACCACCTGATCATAAGAACATCTTATCAATATCCTCCTGGGCAGCAAGCCATACTGCCCAGCTCCCTCCCACCCATACCTGTAAGTACCCCAGGCTATAAGCGGCAGTGGGCTCTGGCATTAAGCTGGTCCCCCACTTCCACAGGTGTCTGCAATATTCCTGTGTTGTTGTTTGAGATGCACCCTCTCTGTCTGTCTTTCTTTCACCCTCATCTTCCCTTCAAAACCTAACACTTTGGTGCCAAAACCCAGGACGGTGATTGGGTTCTAATGGGTAAGTTTTCTCTTGCAACCTGGAAAGCAGAAAGCAGCAAGCAGCACAAACTAGACCGGGGCCTACTTCCAGATCCTGAGTGGACTGTCTGTTCCCAGTCCTGTTTCCCCTATTCTCTCATCTTCTCCAGCCCTGGACTAACCTCCAGATATTGATCAAACTCTCCATCTTATTTTTCCTTCCTTCCCCTTCCCAAGCAGCTGCAACCAGGATCACCCCCATTGCTGGACATCACATCCAACACTGGGCTTCAATTCGTGGGTGAGTCTCCCTATTCTTCCTTTCTGGATTCCTTTCTATTTCTGCTTGTTCTCCAAAAAAATTCCAGTGCTGGGTGAGAGGTCTCCCCAGTCACCAGGTGACTGCAGCCTCCCTTCTCAGGGGACAGCCTCAGAACACTTGCCATTCTGGCCGCTCCGTCCTCTGGGGAGCATGAATAGCTATGGGGCTGTCCCAACTCTCCAGGTCCCTTCTCCCAGGTGGAATCCAGTACTCACTTTCCTCTGGGGTATTCACTTCCCTCTGGAGAACTCACTCCCCTCTGGGGTATTCACTCCCTTCTGGGGTACTCACTTTCCCCAGAGTATTCACTCCCATCCAGAGTATTCACTCCCCTCTTCTAAAAAACAAAACATTCAACTTTCAAATTCAACATCATCTAAAAATCTTTCTCCAACACAATGGTAAATGATCTGAAGTGCTTTGCTTATCTCCGCTCATGCCTCACTCACTCTCCTGCCAATCTTGTTCACCTTTTCAAATCTTCCTCCTCAAGGAGAAACCCCCCAAAATGCCTCCTCCTCGGGACAAGCCTTCCTCCTCTGAATTTCAACCTGGCCAACAAACCCCTTCGTCTGGCTCCTGCCCTCTCCCATTCCCTCCACCTTCTCCTTCGGATCCGGCTCCTCCACCCCCTTACTGTCACCCTCCATCCCCCTTCCTTCTCCACCTCAAACCAGGTCTCACGCCCAACGCTCTTTTGCCGAAAACCAGACACATGCCCAAAGGCCTTCCAAAGTCTTTCCCTTGCAGGAGGTTGCAAGGACTGAAGGCATAATCTGAATTCAAGTTCCCTAGCTGACTTCTCCCATACTGAAAAGAGACTTTGCTCCTTTTCAATGGATCCTACCTCCTTCCTCAAGGAATGTCTGTACTTCCCTAAATCTTATGACCTTACCTGGCATGACATATATGTCATCCTCTCCTCTACCCTCACCCTGGAGGACAGGGAACACATATTTACGGGTGCCCAGGTCCATGAGAACACCCTCCACCAACAAGATGCTGCTCATAACCCAGTAGGGACCCTAGCTGTCCCCAGAACTGACCTCAATCGGAATTATCAGGCAACTTCTGTAGACAGGCAGAAACCAGGCCATATGATATCATGCCTTCTAGCTGGCATAAATAAAGTCGCCCCTGCTCTTTTCCTCTCCCGCCTTTTCAAAGGTCACAACTAAATATGCCACCTTAAGCCCTAATACCATTAAGGGCAAAATCTACCTCCATTTACACTTTATCTCCCAGTCAGCCCCAGACATTTGAAAAAAAACTTTAAAAAGTGGAGGATGGCCCTCAAACCTCCAAAGAGACTTAATCAAAGTGGCCTTTAAGGTCTATAAGATTAGAGAGGAAGAACTAAAAAACCCAAACCTAAAAAAGGGCCAGGCTAAATATCAAATGCTGATAGCTGCCACTCAACAGGGTTCCCAAGGCATACAGAATTCCTCAACTTGGCAACAGTCAACTCCAGGAGCCTGTTATAAGTGCATCCAACAGGGACACTGAGCAAAAGCCTGGCCTAATCCCGTGACACTCTGGAAGCCTTGCCCCATCTGTGATATCAAGCAACACTGGAAGTCAGACTGTGCTCAGTGAAACTCTTCATCTAGCTTCACCACCTGTACCTGAAGACAGGTGGGGCCTAGAGTCCACCACCCCTACTGCCATCACCACCTCGGAACCCAGGGTAATTCTGTCAGTCTCTAGTAAGTCCATGTCTTTCCTATTGGATACTCAATACGACAACTAGTTACTCGGTTTTACCAGAATATTCTAGACCCTTTTTCTGTTCTTCGATCTCTATTGTGAGAATCAATAAAATCCCCTCTAGGCACAGACTCGTCCTTTATTATGCAACCTATTCAACAGCCCCCTTCACCCACTGTTTCCTGGTTATCCCTCAGTCCCCTACCCCTATCTTGGGGTGGGACATATTAAGTAAATTCCAGGCCTCCATGCAATGCGGCTCCTACAATTCTACCCCTTTTATTTTACTCCGACACCCAAACGCTTCCCTCTCCCCCTACTCATCCTCATTATCCACCCTGTTACCTTCTGTTAATTCTAAAGCTTGGAATGTTTCTAAACCCACAATAGCCACACATCACATCCCAGTTAAAATAACCTTTCAAAACTCCTCCATTTTCTTTTTTCAGTCTCAATATCCCCTTAATCCAGCCGTGCTTAGGGGCCTCAAACCTATTATTTGTAAACTTTAACAAGCTCATATTCTCAAGCCTGTTAACTCTCCCCAGAACACCCCTATTCTGGCTTTCCAAAAGACAGACGGGACTTACCCCTTTGTCCAGGATCTCCAAGTTGTTGACCAGGCAGTGGTACCAATACATCTAGTGGTCCTCAACCAATATGCTCTACTCTCCCATATTCCTAAATCTACTACACACTCCTCTGTATTGGAACTGAAAGATGCCTATTTCACCATTCCCTTAAATCCGGCTTACAGAAGTCTTTTTGCTTTAACTTGGTCAAGTCCTAATACTCACATGTGCACCCAACTAGAGTGGACTGTACTCTTACAGGGGTTCCAGGATAGCCCCCACCTATTCAGACTTGCCCTCATCAAGGACCTAGGTGAACTTTCCCTTGCTGCTAGCACCCTCCTGCAACATGTCAAACTCCTTCTCTGTAGCCCCTTCCTTAACCTGTCCATCCAACACACCACTTAGGTTTTAAACTTCCTCCATAATAGAGGAAATCTCAGGTAGCCCAAACCAAAGTTTGGGCCTAGCCCACAATATTTCAGGTAGCCCAAACCAAAGTTACTTACCTTGGGTTTGTCCTAACCCCTAATTCTCGAGCCATCCCAACCCAATGAAAGGAGCTAATTTGGGACATGCCCTTTCCTCACACAAAAAAGTACCTTCTCTCCTTCTCGGGCCTTGTGGGTTACTTCTGGCTGTCAGTTCCCAATTTTGACTTGCTGGCCAAGCCACTAAACAGGGCCTCACATGGGCCCATCCTAAAACCCCTAAACCCAGCTTGCCCCATCAACTCCCACTTAAAAACTTAAAAATGCCCTTTTAATGGCCCTGGCACAGGGACTGCCCAACCTCACCAAGCCCGTTACTTTGTATGTACATTCTGACCAGGGCCTTGCCCTTGGACTACTCTGCCAAACATACGGCAACGCCACACAAGCCACTGCACTTCTCTCAAAACAACTGGACTCTGTTGTTTTGTGTGACCAAGGCTGGTCACTCTGACTAAAAATCTTGGCTGTGGCCACATCGCTGGCCTTAGAGGCACGGAAACTCCCTCTTTACCAACACATTACTATTGCATCTTCCCATTACCTACAGGACCTCATAAACCATCAATCCCTTCTATCCCTCCTACCATCCTGCTTATAACAGGTACATGCCTTATTCCTAGGTAGCCCTCTAATCCCCTTCCAGAGATATAAAACTCTCAACCCAGCCACCCTCCTCCCTGTAAACACTTCCGATTCTAGGCTCTCTCACTCCTGTCTGGACCTCTTAGACTCCCTCTCCTCCTCCTTCCAACACATTTCACATGCCCCTTTGCAGGGAACACATACACGGTTAGTTAATGGAAGCTCTTTTAGGGAGCCATGTCCAGCAGCTGGCTATTCCATCATTGCTGAAAATAAACTCCTAGAATCCAATGCTCTGCCACCCCATGCTACCTCTCAACAGCCTAAGCTAGTTGCCCTAACCAGGGCCCTCACCCTAGCAAAGGGAAAGAGGGTCAACATTTACACCCATTCCAAATATGCATACCATGTCCTACAGTCTCATGCCTTCATCTGGCAGGAACAGGGTTTCCTAACTACAAAAGGAACTCCCATAAGAAATGGCAAACTTATACATAAGCTGCTGGGGGTGGATAAACTACCACCAAAGGCCACCATTATCCATTGCAAGGGGTGCCGAAAGTCTAAAGATGCCATAACCGAGAGAAACCTTTCAACAAATTTGGCAGCCTGGCAGGCAGCCCTTAAAACCCCATCGTTATTGCTCATTTTTTCCTGTATATACCCAGAAGGAATGAACCCCACTTGCCCGGGCTGGTGCCATTCAGGAAAAAATTGTTTGATCTCAGTGATAAAGTGTCTTGTCCAAGTTTAAAAAACCTTCTGTACTTTCATATGTGCACAACCATTTCCATGCTGCTTACTGCCCCTACTCCAGCTTTTAGAAAATTATATACATTCTTCTGCCATGGCTGCCAATCTGAAATATATTACTAAGGCATGTTCCCTTTGCACTCAAACTTCCCCTCAGGAAGCTATCAAACCACCTCCTTTCCAACACACAAGGTCTGAGGACACTTACCAGGGCAGGACTAGCAAATCAACGTCACTCACATGTCCCCCAGAAAGTGATTCCTATACCTTCTGACAATAGTAGATACATTCTCTGGATGGATAAAAGCTTTTCCCACCACCACCGAAAAGGCACAGACCATTGCTTCTATTCTCTTCACCCATATTATCCACCGGTTTAAACTCCCCTCTTGCATCCAGTCAGACAACGGGCCAATTTGTTTCACAGTTTAACCAACAGCTGGTAAAGGCTGTAAACATTAAATTGGCTTTGCATATTCCTTACCACCCCGAATCTTCAGGGAAACTTTTTTAGAAAACAGCAACTGACCAATCTTCCCTAAAGGTTAAAATGGCCTGGACTTCACTTCTCCCATTGTTCCTCATGCATTTATGAGTCATTTCCCAAAAGCTCCTCAGCCTAAGCCCATTTAAACTCATGTACAAATGCCCTTTTATCCTCCAGAATCTCCCTGTATTTTCCCCCCATTCTATATGGAATACTTGGCCGGCGTTACACCTCACCCAACATCTAATAAGACAGTACACAAATGCTTACTTGACCCAGCCTAAAAGTCCATCCTCAAAATACTCCGCCCTGTCCCTACAACCAGGGGACTGGGTCTGAATCACAGACTCCTCCTCCTCCCCTTTCCAACCTAAGCGGAAATGTTCCCACCAGGTTATCCTAACTACTCCGACTGGGGCAAAGCTAACATCCTTTCCACACTGAATACACCATTCCAAACTAAAAAGAGCACCAGACCCACATCTAGAAATTTCCTCACCCCCATATTATTCTCCTTCCCCGACAGGACCAACCTCACTGTACTTAACAAGAATTCCAGAAGTTGCCAATCCAGAACACCTTAGTCCATAACACTCTCTGTCTCCAATTTCCAATCTTTTATCTCCTACTTTATTTCAGATCTTTCCTGGCTACCCTTCCCCATGTCCCTGAATAGTCCATGCCAATTCGTCATACTAATCCAGGAGGTATGACTGCAGGGCACCTTCCAAAATTTCACTCCTACTCAAATCTCCTCTTTCTTCTTTTGTCCTCTTTGTCTGTGGGATACTCTAAGTCCCCACCCCCAACCTCTGACAGTTGAGCCCCCTTCATCAGCCTCACACCTTTCCTCTTAAATCAGTCACACTCCCCTCTTCCTTCCAACTGTTAAACTTGTTTGTCCACACAAATCCAGCAATTCACAGCCCTTCCTGTCAACCTGGCCACATGAACTCGGTCCAAAATAAGCCTGCATCTCACCTACTTGACCAGTTCATTCCCAAACCTGTTTATAATCTTGATCAGCTAAACTCTTTTTCCCCCAATCCATCAAATCCACCCACACCATCACATACAGGGCTGTCACCCTCCCTCGCCTCATAGCCTCTTAACTGAATATGTTACAAACGGATTCCATAAAACACCTTTTAGAAACCCCTCCCCTCTTGGCTGGAGCCGCTCTTCATATTATCCAACTCAAGGGCGCTCGCTGGAAAACATGCACAAACAATTCCCTCAAGTGCAACCTATATCCTTCTGCCCTGTCAGGGCTACAATGGCTATTAGTTACAAAAACCCATTTCCCCCTCTCTTTCCAAAACCAAACAGCCTCCATCTCCTCCACCACCAACATTTCCTATCAGGCCGTCAGAGGGGCTACCCTTGCTGGCAGCTATTCAACTTGGAAAAATATAAAAGTTAAAACAAAGAATTTCTGCAGAATTCAACACCCACCTTCTCATGGCTTGCCACCATAACCTACAACTTTTGTCTGTCCACCCCCAGTGTCTTCTTCTTTTGTGCCACAAACTCTTATCTCTGCCTACTGGCCAAATGGTCAGGAACATACACCCTGGTGTTTCAGCCTAAACATTAACATTTTGCCTAACAAGCAGACCATCCAGGTTCCTTTAGTAGCTTCTGTCTCATCTTCCTCCACACACACTAAGCAGGCTCTACATCTCATTCTAGTGTTAGCAGAAGTAAACATCTCTGCTGCAGTCAGCACTGAGATAGCAGGGGGCCCCTTTCTTAGGACCCTTAATTTTCCTCCTCCTAATACTACAATTGGCCCATGTATATTTACCTTCATATCCCGCTTTATCTCCCGAAGGCTAAACTCCCCTGTCCAGGCGGCCACCCAGCAACACATTGATACCATCCTTCTCCTCTGCCAAGTCCAGTACCAGTGCCTCCAGGAAAACAACTCTGAAGTCCAACACCCACTGCTTCAAAACCCAAACCCTGATTACAGCTCCCCTATTCGGCAGGAAGCAGCCAGATAATCAACAATGCCCCTCTTCCTTTTATACTAAAGTAGAAGGCAAGAATGTGAGTCCAAACCACCATTTAGTAAGCACCCTGCTATTTTTCAGACCTTGGTCAAAGTGAAACATTCCACGGGGGTTCGGGCCATGAGAAAAATCTTGCCTAATCGTCGTAACACAAGACGGACAAAGGTCCAACTAAAGAAACTTTCCTATCATATCTTGCTGGGCAAAGTTTCAAGATACACCACAATGACATCCCACTGGAAAAAGGACCAAACAGCCTGATCATAAAAACATCTTATCAATATCCTGCCGGGCAGCAAGCCATACTGCCCAGGCCCCTCCCACCCCTACCTACAAGCACCCCAGCCTGTAAGCAGCGGTGGGCTCTGGCATTAAGCGGGTCCCCCACTTCCACAGGTGTCTGCAGTATTCCTGTGTTGCTGTTTGAGCCACCCCCTCTCTGTGTGTCTTTCTTTCACCCTCACCTTCCCTTCAAAACCTGACAATCTTACCTCATCATTTTTTTTGTTATTGGATTCACAGGGGCTCTTCGTCTTCTCCCCATTGGTGCTGGAAGTTGGCTGTTCCATGATTCTGGTTGGTTGTAGAATGTCTATAGTAGGCTCCTGTAGACTGCAGACTTCCACAGCTATGTTGAAGCTTCCCAGTGGGATGTCCCAGAGCTCTTGCCCTCCCTATATATACCCTCCTGGTGACAAGGCAAAGCCACACCCTTGAGCTTTGTTTGATCATACAGGCAGTGTCCCAGCCAATGGCGGTCCTAAGGTGGCTTTGACATCACAAAGCCCCACTGCTGACCACTCCTTGGGCTTGTGGGGGAGGGGTGACAGGGATGTAGAGGAAACCAAATGCGGTTGTTGTTTCAGCATCCCCTGAAGATGCATCCCAAACCGATCTGCCGCCGCTCCTCATTTCTCCATGTTTAATGTTCATGGTTCACATGGAAGTCAGAGGATGATTCCTTCAAGCCCTTCCCCACAGCCATTCCTATGAAGTGATTCATTCTTTTGTCTTCCAGCCCTCACCATGACTTAGTATTTTAGATGTCTCACCTCAAATCCCCCAAGCTAGTGTGGCTACATTTAATTATTAGTTATTAATTACTAGTTACATTTAATAATTAATAATTAATTATCCCATTTCCCTCCTACAGTTCCTTCATATGCACCTTGAAGACCATTTACTTTTAGGCTACTGCCAGGCAAATTTCAACCCATGTTATTTTACTCAATGTCCGTGTAGTTCTTTTAAATTTCCTATTTCCAATCTGCAATAATGGCCTTCAGTCTGTCAAAATTTTAGTGAATAAACATTCTTTACTGTGTATCCTAGTCTTGTTTCAAATGAGGGGTGTATTTTCATAGTAAATGTAGTCTCCCAACATGAATTCTGCCAGTATGTGGGTGGGGGAAGGAGTGGATATTCAAGTGCTGGAAGTTGTTCTCAGTGTTTACATGCAGGATGCTACAATCTAAGACCCACATGTGCACCAGTATGGGCATAGTTATACTTTGTACTGAAGATTGTGTCCAGTGCAAAAAGAAAAATGCATTCAGTTTGGAAGGGGAGAAGTAAAAGTGTCTTTTGTCAAAGACTACATGAAAGTATATGTAGAAAAGTCAATCTATAAAAAAGCTTCTACAATAATTGAGGTTAGCAAGATTGCAGAGTAAGAGATCAATACACAAATCAATTGTATGTTTATATATTAGAAGAGGCAGTGTTTCAGCTAATGGTAGTCCTAGGGTGGACTGGAAGTTAATTTCAACAAATGAAAGTTGAAACTAAGAACAGTGCAATTTAAAATATCACTAAAAATATTAAAGTCTTAGGGATAAATCTGACCAAAAATGTAAATGACTTGTACACTTAAAACTACAAAAAAATTGCAATGATAAGTTAATGACATCAAAAATCCAGATGTATACTTTGATTTTCGGTTGGAAGATTCAATATTGTAAAGTGGCAGTTATTCCAAATTCATCTGTAAGTTCAACTCAATTCTAATCAAAATTCTAAAAAGGATTTTTAATAGAAATTGACAAGATAATTATAATAGTCATATGGAAATGTAAAGTGCCTAGAACAGCCAAAAGAAAAGTGTTGAATCTTAAAAAGCTCTGGATTGCATCACTGTCAATGTTCTAGTTTTGATAGTGTAATGTGGTAGTGTACTGAAGATTTTACCATTGGGAGAGGCTGGTTGAAGGGTACATAAGGCCTCCATGTACATATCTTTGAAACTTCTTGTGAACTTATAATTGTTTCAAAATAAAAAGCTAAAAATGTTTTAAAAGAGAATAAGAGAGAGGGCCAAAGATAAAGAAGGCATGGCCCTAGATTCCTCCCATAGGTTGACACTTGTCCATTCTCTATAGGAAGTCACAAAACGCAATAACGGAAAAAAAAAATTTAAAAATAGAACAAAAGTGAAGTAGACCCTGGATTTTTGTTCCGGTGTTCGTCAAGCTCACATATCTTTACTTCATACACCATAAAATCAATAAAAGCCTAGCAAAATACGCTGCTGACCCTCCAGAAACAAATAATTTATAGCACTCCCATGACTGCCATCTAAACACTAACAAACCAAGCGAACCTTGTATACATTTTTTTTCCTTAGTGAATTCCAGATGTTGTCTACAGATTAACAACTCCATTTAGTAAATTCTTACAAACTAACATCTAAGTATTTATTTCTTTTGGACTTTTGCCTGCAATTAACAGTGAGAACATCAAACTGTCATGTCATAAAAAACAAAACAAAACAAAACAAGCAAGAACCAACAGCCATGCCGCATCAAATAGGGTAGGTCAAAAATTGATTAAAATTGCTGAAAATAACAGCTTTCAATTACCTTATTACCTTTTATGATTGTTTTCTAAATTTGTTTACAAAAAATATTTTGATGGGTATATCACTATCCAGTGAAAATTCATCAAAATGTTAGGAACACATTCAGTGGCATATTTCTATTGAAAGATTACAACTTACTTTATAAAATAACTCCTATTGAAAAACTTAGTGATTATGTTATATTTTCCACTAAAATGAATAATAAAGAATTAAAGGTCATCAGTGTACAATGAGTTCATTGTATTGATTTTTTTTAAAATTTCTGATGTGTTCAGTTTTTAAGAATATTCTTCTTTTTCATATCAGGTTGAGGAACTACTCAAAGTGACTCTCCCATATCATGCTGTAAGTCAGAGATGGACCCAGGGTCAGAACCAGGGACTCCTTTAAACCTTTTCACCTCTTGTTTTTGAGCCTTTGTACAAGTGATATTACAGACTGACATTAGTTTAGTTATAATAATAACCCTCAACTGCATTCTTAATGATTTTTGTTACAATTTTTATCTAAGGTAGGTTTAAACACCACACAAAGTACCAGACACAGGATAGGATCTGCTTGGGATGTGCAGCATTCCATGGCCACAAAGAGCAAGGTGTTAGAAGCCAACCGTATATTTCCCTCTGGAGCACAGACAGTTGAAAAGCAATCATTGAGAAAGAGTTGAGTATGAAAGAGAAATACATCCTACTACTGGCTTTACGTGTGACTGAATGAGTGGCTTTGAAAAATACCAGCACGATTACCTCCACTGCAACCACCACTACCTCTACACTAATATTAATACTACTACTAGCCATAGATTCTATACACCAAGAACCTATTATATGTCAGGCTCTGCTCTAAGCACATAGTATCTAGGTCAAACAGATGATACATCCAAAATGGGATATTTGACAAATATTTGTCTGCAAAGGGACCATCTATAAACAGGTAGATGCAGGGGGAACGTCAGAGATTGTGCTAGTAGCAGCTGCCATAACTCCGAACCCAAAGGAATGAGAGCAGGGAGGAAGTGGTTACTAGAATCTGGAAAAATCAATAATCATGAGAAAATTGCTGTCTTCAGAAGTACAGTGACCTCCACCAAGAGACTCATCCAGCTCAAGGTGACTCACAGGGATGGAGCCAGGGGAATAGGTCCACAGCCCTCACTCTCCTTCCTTTCTCCCTCCCACCTCCAACTCTCCTTGGGGCTTTTCATTAGCCAAACCCAGTGGACACCAGAGTCCAGGAGCCCATTGAGAGAATCCTTCCTAAATAGCCTCTCAGGACAGCACAGGTGAAGAATGGTGGTGAGTGGATCTGGAAAGGCAGAGGGAAGATGTTCAGCAGAGATGCAATACTCACAGCAGTCCCAGGAGGTAGATATCATCATGCGGGTCTGATTTACTGATAAGGAAATTGAGGCTCAGAGAAGCTCAATAACACAGTAATTGTGAAACAGTGTTCAAACCAAGTTCAAGCTGCCCTACATCTCATATTCTTTCTGGTACTCTGGGTAAACTGCGTACCTTCTGTAGGCTTCAGATCCCTCAGCTGTAGCATGAGTCAATTGGAACAACCAATGTCATTTTTTAAAAATATGCTATGAGGCCGGGCACAGTGGCTCACAGCTGTAATCCCAGCACTTTGGGAAGCTGAGGCGAGCAGATTGCCTGAGCTTAGGAGTTCGAGACCAGCCTGGGCAATATGGCAAAACCCCATCTCTACTAAAAATTCCAAAAATTAGACAAGCATGGTGGCACATCCCTAGAGTCCCAGCTACTCAGGAAACTGAAGAACGAGAATTGCTTGAACCCAGGAGGTGGGGGTTGCAGTGAGCTGAGATGGGGCCAATGCACTCCAGCCTGGGTGGCAGTGAGACCCTGTCTCAAAAAATAAATAAATAAAATAAGATAATAAATAAAAAATATGCTATGATTCTATAATCCTCACTTTTTAAAAATTTTATTATTATTATACTTTAAGTTTTAGGGTACATGTGCACAACGTGCAGGTTTGTTACATATGTATACATGTGCCATGTTGGTGTGCTGCACCCATTAACTCGTCATTTAGTATTAGGTATATCTCCTAATGCTATCCCTCCCGTCTCCCCCGACCCCACAACAGCCCCCGGTGTGTGATGTTCTCCTTCCTGTGTCCATGTGTTCTCATTGTTCAATTCCCACCTATGAGTGAGAACATGCGGTGTTTCGTTTTTTGTCCTTGTGATAGTTTGCTGAGAATGATGCTTTCCAGTTTCATCCATGTCCCTACAAAGGACATGAAGTCATCATTTTTTTATGGCTGCATAGTATTCCATGGTGTATATGTGCCACATTTTCTTAATCCAGTCTATCGTTGTTGGACATTTGGGTTGCTTCCAAGTCTTTGCTATTGTGAATAGTGCTGCAATAAACATACGTGTGCATGTGTCTTTATAGCAGCATGCTTTCTAATCCTTTGGGTATATACCCAGTAATGGGATGGCTGGGTCAAATGGTATTTCTAGTTCTAGATCCCTGAGGAATCACCACACTGACTTCCACAATGGTTGAACTAGTTTACAGTCCCACCAACAGTGTAAAAGTGTTCCTATTTCTCCACATCCTCTCCGGCACCTGTTGTTTCCTGACTTTTTAATGATTGCCATTCTAACTGGTGTGAGATGGTATCTCATTGTGGTTTTGATTTGCATTTCTCTGATGGCCAGTGATGATGAGCATTTTTTCATGTGTTTTTTGGCTGCATAAATGTCTTCTTTGGAGAAGTGTCTGTTCATATCCTTTGCCCACTTTTTGATGGAGTTGTTTGTTTTTTTCTTGTAAATTTGTTTGAGTTCTTTGTAGATTCTGGATATTAGCCCTTTGTCAGATGAGTAGGTTGCAAAAATTTTCTCCCATTCTGTAGGTTGCCTGTTCACTCTGATGGTAGTTTCTTTTGCTGTGCAGAAGCTCTTTAGTTTAATTAGATCCCATTTGTCAATTTTGGCTTTTGTTGCCAATGCTTTTGGTGTTTTAGACATGAAGTCCTTGCCCATGCCTATGTCCTGAATGGTATTGCCTAGGTTTTCTTAATGATTCCTTTAAACTTTAGGTTATATTATGAATCCAGCCAACCAGACTTACAACTCCACAGTGTAAAACTATGTGTGGTGGGGCTATCCTGCCTTGAACTATCGTGGTTCTTCCTTCTGATTCTATTACCACTGGGAGAATACTAGCCCCTAAGAATAAAGCTGTTGGTTTAATATGGAGGATTAGCCCAAAACTAGGATGCTTTAGACAGAAGTAAGCTATCAAAGACCATCAAGTCTCTCAACAACTCTTAAGTGAGCACATATTCTGTTTCAAGCACTAGACTAGTCATAGGGATATAAAGACCATGGTCCTCATCCTGCACTTTTTGAAGAAAATCGTTCTCCATGCCATCCCAAAAGTATATTCCATATATGGCATATTGAAAAGATATACTGAAGTAATGTCCAGCCTGAGAAAAAATAAAACATACTCCTTACAATCAAACATTCTGAGTCATCAGAAATTTTCTACAGTGCTCAACATTTTAACTTTTTTTCTTTTTAATTTTGTTTTATTTTTAATTCTTGTGAGTACATAGTAGGTGCATGTATTTATGGAGTACATGAGATGTTTTGGTACATGCATACAATAAAGAATAATCACATCATGAAGAATGGGGTATTCATCCCTTCAAGAATTTATTCTTCATGTTACAAACAATCCAATAATGTCCTTTTGGTTATTTTGAAATGTACAATTAAGTTACTATTGGCTGCAGTCACTCTGTTGTGCTATCAAATAGTAGGTCTTACTCATTCTTTCTATTTTTTATAACCATAACTTTTCCCACATTTCCCCCAACCCCTAAATACACATCCCATCCTCTGGTCAGAGGATGTTCAATTGTTTTGATATTTCGAATATGTCGAATAGTTCAATTGTTTTGATATTTAGATCCCCCAAATAAATGCCAACATGTGATGCTTGTCTTTCTGTGCCTGGCTTGTTTCACTAATCATAATGGTTTCCAGTCCCATCCACGTGGTTGCAAATGACGGGATCTCATTCTTTTCATGGCTGAATAGTACTCAACTGTGTATATGTACCCCATTTTTTCTTCATTTATCTATTGGTGGACATTTAGGTTGCTTCCAACTCTTAGCTATTGTGAACAATCCTGCAACAAACATGAGAATGCAGGTGTCTTTTCAATATAATGAATTCCTTACTTTTGGGTATATACCCAATAGTAGGTGTGTTGGATCACATGGTGGCTCTATTTAGGTTTTTGAGGAACCTTCGAACTATGGTTGTATTAGTTTATATTCCCACCAACAGTGTACAAGGGTTCTCTTTTCTCCGTATCCTCGCCAGCATTTGTAATTGCCTGTCTTTTGGATAAAAGTCATTTTAACTGGGGTGAGATGATATCTCATTCTAGTTATATTTGCATTTCCCTGATGATCAATGATGTTGAGCACCTTTTCATATGCCTGTTTGCCATTTGTATGTCTTCCTTTGAGAAAAGTCTATTCAAATCTTTTACCCATTTTTTGATCAGATTATTATATTTGTATCTCATAGTGTTGTTTGAGCTTTTTGTATATTCTGGTTATTAATCCCTTGTGCCACAGCTTGTTTGCAAATATTTTCTCCCATCCTGTGAGTTGTCTCTTCAATTTATTAACTGTTCACAGAAGCTCTTTAACTTGACATAATCTCATTTCTCCATGTTTGCCTAGGTTGCCTGCACTTGTAAGATATAAGATATTGCCCAAGGAATTTTTGTGCAGACCAAAGTCCTGGAAATTTTCCACAATGTTTTCTTGTAGCAATTTCACGTTTGTGGTCTTAGATTTAAGTTTTTATTCTATTTAGATTTGAATTATGTATATGGAGAGAAATAGGGGTCTAGTTTCATTCTTCTGTATATGGATATCCAGTTTCCCCAGCACCATTTATTGAAGACACTGTCTATGTCCCAATGTATGTTCTTGGTACTTTTGTTGAAAATTAGTTCACCCTAGATGTGTAAATATGTTCTCTATTTTGTTCCATTGGTCTATGAGTCTGTTTTGATACCAGTACTATGCTGTTTTGGTTACTACAGCTCTGTAGTATAGTTTGAAGCCAGTTAATGTGATTCCTTCAGTTTTGTTCTTTTTGCACAGGATAGTGTTAGCTATTCTGGATCTATTGTGGTTCCATATAAATTTTAGGATTGGTTTTTCTATTCCTGTGAAGAATCTCATTGGTACTTTGATAGAGATGGAATTGAATCTGTAGATTGCTTTGGGTAGTAGGGCCATGTTAAAATTATTAATCCTTTCAATCCATTAAAATGGAATATATTTCCATTTTTTGGCATCCTCTTTAATTTCTTTCATCAGTGTTTTAGTTTTCATTATACAGATTGTTCACTTCTTTGGTGAAGTTAATTCCTAGGTATTTCATTTTACGTGTGGCTAATGTAAATAAAATAATTTTTAAAATTTATTTTTCAGGTTGTTCACTGGTGGCATATATAAATGCTACAGATTTTTGTGTGTTGATTTCGTATCCTGCAACTTTAAATAATTTGTTTAGGAGTTCTGAGAGTTTTTTGGTAGAGTCTCTAGGTTTTTCCAAATAGAAGATTGTATCATCTGCAAACACAGATAATTTCACTTCTTCCATTCCAATTTAAATGCCCTTTCTTTCTCTTGCTTGATTATTCTAGCTAGAACTTCAAGCACTATATAACAATGGTGAAAGTGGGCATCCTTGTTGTGTTTCAGATCATAAAGACTTTCACTTTTTTTTCCATTCAGTATGATACTAGATGTGGGTCTGACACATATGGCTTTTATTATGTTGATATATGTTCATTCTATATGCAGTTTTTTTTCAGGGTTCTTAACATGAAATTATATTGAATTTTATCAAATGTCTTTTCAGCATCAATTGAAATGATCCTATGGTTTTTAGCTTTCATTCTGTTGATATGATGTATTACATTGACTGATTTGTGCATGTTGAGACCTTTTTGCATCCCAGTGATAAATTCTACTTGGTCATGATGAATTATCTTTCAAATGTATTGTTTAATATGATTTGCTAGTATTTCATTGAGGATTTTCATATTAATATCCATCAGAATTTTGGCCTGTAGTTTTTGTTTTTCCTTTTTTATGTGTCTTTGTCCGGTTTTGGTTATCAGGGTAAAACAGGCATTTTAGAATGATTTTGAAAGTATTTCCTTCTCCTCTATTTTTTGGAACAGTTTGAGTAAAATTGGTATTAGCTCATCTTTAAATGTTTGGTAGAATTCAACAGTGAAGCCATCAGGTCCTGGGCTTTCCTTTACTGAGAGACTGCTTATTACAGCTTTTATCTTGTTACATCCCTTTGGTTTATTCAGGTTTTGGATATCTTCATGCAAACTTGGTAGGTGGTATGGGTAAGAATTTATGCATTTCTTGGAGATTTTCCAATTTATTGACATATAGTTTCTCATGGTCGCCACTAACGATCCTCTGAATTTCTGCCGTATCTGTTGTAATGTCTCCTTTTAATCTCTGCTTTTATTTATTTGGATCTTCTCTGCTTTTTCTTACTTACTCTGGCTAAAGTTTCGTCATTTTGTGTAGCTTTTCAAAAAACCAACTTTTTGTTTTATTGATATTCTGTATTGATTTTCTTCATTTTAGTTTCATTTATTTCTGCTCTGATCTTTATTATTTATTTTCTTCTATGAATTTTGGGTTCAGTTTGATCTCATTTTTCTAGTTTTTTTAAGATGCACCATAAAATTATTTATTTGGAGTTGTTCCTCTTTTTTAATGTAGGCACTTATAGCTATAAACTTCCTACTTAATACTGCTTTTGCTGTATCCCATGGGTTTTAGTATGTTGTGTTTCCATTATCATTTAAGAAACTTCAATTTACCTCTTAATTTCTTCATTGACCCACTGGTAATTCAGGAGCATATTATTTAATTTCTATGTATATGTATAGTTTCCAGAATTATTTTTGTTATTAATTTCCATTTTCATTTTTTGGTGGTCAGAGAAGATGCTTGATATTATTTCAATTTGTTTACATGTTTTCAAACTTGGTATATGACCTAACGTATATTCTATCCTTGAGAATGATCCATGTGCTGAGTAAAAGAAGGTGTATTCTGCAGTCTTTGGAAAAAGCATTTTGTAAATGTTTATTAGATCCACTTGGTCTATAATGCAGATGAAGTCTGATGTTTCTTTTTTGATTTTATGTCTGGAAAATGTGTCCAATCCTGAAAGTGGGGTGTTGAAGTCTCCAGCTATTATTGTGTTGGGACCTCTCTCTCTCATTAGTTCTAATACTATTTCCTTTATATATCTTGGTGCTCCAGTGTTGGGTGCATATATATGTAAAATTGTTATATCCTCTTGCTGAACTGATTTCTTTATTATTATATAGTGACCTTTTTTTTCTTCTTATACTTTTTGTCTTGAAATCTATTTTGTCTGCTATGAGTATAGCTAATCCTGCTTCTTTTTTGGTTTCCATTGGCATGGAGTATCTTTTTCCATCCCTTTATTTTCAGTGTATGTGTTTCTTTATAGATGAAGTGTGTTTCTGGTAGGCAACAGATCAATGTGTCTTGTTTTTTCATACATTCAGCCACTCTATGTATTTTAATTGGAGAGTTTAGCTCATTTACATTCAATGTTATTATTGATAAGTAAAAACTTACTCCTGTCATTTTGTTATTTATTTTCTGATGGTTTTGTGATCTTCTCCTTCTTCTTTCTTTCCTTCCTGTCTTCCTTTAGTAAAGATGATTTTTCTGTGGGTATATGATTTAGTTTCTTGCCTTTAATTTTTTGTGTATCCGTTGTATGTTTTTTGGTTTGAGGTTACCATGAGGCTTGCAAATACTATCTTATAACCCATTATTTTAATCTGATAACTACTTAAGACTATTTGTATAAACAAAGAAGTAAGCAGAAAGAAAACTAATAAAAACTGCATCTTCATCTCACTGCTTTTTGACTTTTTGTTGTTTTTATTCATATCTTATTGTATTGACTATGTCTTGAAAAGTTGTAGTTATTATTTTTGGTTTAGTCTTTAGTCTTTCTACTTAGAATAACAGCAGTTTACACACTACAGTTACATTGTTATAATATTCTATTTTTTCTGTGTACTTACAATTACCATTGAGTTTTATGCTTTTAGATGATTGCATATTGGTAATTAACATCCTTTTATTTCTGACTGAAATACTCCTTTTAGCATTTCTTGTAGGACAGGGCTGGTGTTGATTAAATCCCTCAGCTCTTGTTTCTCTGGGACCATCTTTATTTCTCTTTCATGTTTGAAAGATATTTTTTCAGATATATTTTCTAAGGTAAAAGATTTTTATCTTTCAGCACTTTAAATATGTCATGCCTTTCTCCTGGCCTGTAAGGTTTCAACTGAAAAGTCTGCTGCCAGACATATTGGAGCTCTTATCTTGCTGCTTTAAGAACCTTTCTTTATCCTTGATTTTCAGGAGTTTGATTATTAAATGACTTGAGGTAGACTTCTTTGAGTTAAATCTGCTTGGTATTCTATAATATTCTTATACTTGGATATTGATACCTTTCTCTAGGTTTGGAAAGTTCTCTATTATTATCCATTTGAAGAAACTTTCTACCCATATGTTTTTCTCTACCTCCTCTTTAAGGCCAATAACTCTTAGATTTGTCCTTTTGAAGCTATTTTTTTTAGATCCTATATGCATGCTTCATTGCTTTCTACTATTTTTTAATTTTGTCTTTCCTGACTGTATATTTTTAAATAGCCTGTCTTCACGCTTACTAATTCTTTCTTCTCCTTGATTGATTCTGCTATTAAGAGAATTTGACAGATGCTGCAACCTGTCACTTGCATTTTTCAGCTCCAGAATTTCTGCTTGATTCAATTGTTTCAAACTCATTGTTAATCTCTCTGATAGAATTCTGAATTCTTCTGTGTTATACTGAATTTCTTTGAGTTTGATCAACACAGCTATTTTGAATTTTCTGTTTGAAAGGTCACATATCTGTTTCTCCAGAATTGGTCCATGTGGTTTATTTACTTCATTTGGTGAGGTTATGTTTTCCTGGATGGTGTTGATGCTAGTAGATATTCTTTGGCATCTGGTCATTGAAGATTTAGGTATCTATTGTAGTCTTCACTGTCTGAGCTTGTTTGTAGCCATTCTAATTGAGAATGTTTTCCAGATATTTACAAATACTTGGGTGTTTCATTTTAATCTGTATCTGCTTTTGTGGGCACCCAAGCCCAGTAATGCTGCAGTTCTTACATACTCGTGGAGGTCCCACCTTGACGGTCTTGGACATGATCCAGGAGAAGTCTCTGGGTTATCAGGCAGAGACTCTTGTTCTCTCCCCTTACTTTCTCCCAGACAAACTGTCTCTCTCTCTCTCTCTCTCTCTCTCTCTCTCTCTCTCTCTCTCTCTCTCTCTCTCCATGTTCTGAGCCATCTAAAGCTGGGGATGGAGTAACACAGGCACTCCTCTGGCCACCAACACTATGAACACTATGACTGTGCTGGGTCAGGCCTGAAGCAAGCATAGTTCTGGGTCTTGCCCAAGGCCTTCTGTAACCACTCCCTGGCTGCTGCCTTTATTTGCTCAAACCCCTGAGGCTCTATAATCAGCAGGTGGCAAAGCTATCCAGGCCTGTGTCTTTCCTTTCAGGGCAGTGAGTTCCCCCAGGTGGGTTCAGAGATGCCATCCTGGAGTCAGGAATTAGAGTTAAAGATCCTAGAAATCTACCTGGTGTTCTACTGTACTGCAGCTGAGCCGACACTCAAACCATAACTCAAACCACAAGAAGCCGTTCTTCCCACACTTCCCTCCTCCCTTTTCCAAAGGCAGGGGAGCCTCAACCTGTAGCCACCCCTATTGCAGGCCATGGAGAGTACTGCAACACTACCACTGATGCTCCCTTAAGTCCCAAGTGTTCTTAAGTCAGCTCATGGTGAATGCTGCCTGGACTGGGACTCACCCTTCAGGGCTGTGGGCACCTGTCTGGTCACGGGCAGGTCTAGAAATGCTGTCCAAGAGTTAAGTCCTGGAATTGGGGACCCCAAGAGCCCGCTTGTTACGCTATTCCCCTCTTACCATACTGGTACCTGAAGCCAGTATGTCTCAGTGGTTCACCCAAGGTCCTTGATGCAGTACCTGGGTATCGCTGCTGTCTATTCAGGAACCAAGGGCTATTCAGGTGGCCAGTGATGAATGCTGCCAGGGCTTGGTCATTTCTTTCAAGGCAGCAGGTTGCTTTCTGGCCCAGGGTGTGCCTAGAAATGTTATCCAGGAGCTAGTGCCTGGAGCAGGGGCTTCACAACCCTGACCGGTGCCCTGTCCTGCTGCGGTTGAGCTGGTATTCAAGATGCAAGAAAAAAAATGCTCCTCACCATTCCATCTCCTCTCCTCAAGTGGAAGGAAGTGCTCTTTTATGGAGCCGCTAGCTGGGGCAGTCTGGAGCTAGGGCAGGGGTGGCGCCAGCACTCCCTTGGCTGCCCCAGCTGGTATCTCGGTAGGTCATCTGCACCCCTCCACATCCCTGCCACAAAACACTGTCTCTGGGCTCAGTTCAATGCTAGAACTCACCTAAGCGTTGCAGTCCTTATGGCCCAGACTGCCTTTAAGGTTTTCTGAGAAACCCGGAACAGTTTAGCCTTTAGTGGCAAGGTTTGCAGAAACTCAAGTTCTGATTCCTGGGATGGGTAATTTCCCTCTGGCTAGAGGTGGTTTCAATGCTCCCTTCCCAGATGGGAGTCAGCTAAGTTTGGTCTGGTTTTCCTTTCTCCTGTAAGAGACTGCTCTGCTCACAACTGCTCTGCTCTTGCTCTTCCAGCTTCCGGAGATGCTCTTTACACCATACTGCCACTGCCTAGGGTAGGGAAGGGGTGGGGTCAGCGATTTGAGACTGTTTTTTCTAACTCTTCAGTGCCTTTTTCAGTGATACAACCAGGTACTAAGAGAGTTCCCCTAATTTTGTTTTTTTTTTTTTTTTTCTGAGACGGAGTCTCACTCTGTCGCCCAGGCTGGAGTGCAATGGCGGGATCTCGGCTCACTGCAAGCTCTGCCTCCCGGGTTCAAGCGATTCTCCTACCTCAGCCTCCCGAGTAGCTGGGACTACAGGCGCCCGCCACCACGCCCGGCTAATTTTTTTTTATTTTTAGTAGAGACGGGGTTTCACCGTGTTAGCCAGGATGGTCTCGATTTCCTGACCTCGTGATCCGCCCGCCTCAGCCTCCCAAAGTGCTGGGATTACAGGCGTGAACCACCGCGCCCGGCCGATTTTTGGTTCTTATAAAGGTGTTTTGTTCTGTGTGGATAGTTGTTAAATTTGTGTCCTTGCGAGGGGGCTGATCTGTGCAGCCTTCTATTCTGCTTTTCTTGCCCCACCTCTCTCACCTTAATTTTTTTTCCTCTGAAACGCCTAAGGCTAACCAGTGTGATCCCTTATTACTATCCTAATATGAACAGTGCTTTAATGTCACATGCTGGATGGAAATCTTAGTTTGCAATGAGAAATACCTTCAACTGCACATATTAAAGTGTAAGAAAAAAAGCATTGTTGTTTTTTGTTGTTGTTGTTTTTACCTTGTGGCCTTGATAAGTTGAAAGAATATTCTTTTATTCCAAAGATGGTATTTGGGGGATTTTGTTCTGGATATTAGTGCTAGGTATTTAGGTATTTGGATGGAGAAAAGAAAACTGGTTTTTGTCTATTGATATTTAGTATATTTTATTTTTTCATGTTATCAGTGACAATGTTACGACTTAGCAAACAACAGTTACAAATAACGAAAATTGTAATTGCTCCTGCATTTTTATTTAACTCCCTCATGTATCCTGAGAAGATCTTCCTGTTTTACCTAATTATCTCTCCAACATCCCCTGAACTCTCAAGAGGTAGACACTATGTGAAGGTCAATTCAAAGACAGAAACTAAAACCCCATCCACAGCTGACTCCATGCTGAATCCCTAAGATGCCTCGTCCTGCTAACCAATGTGTATCCACCAAGCAGTTTTCTTTTTCACTATAAATATTATGCTGTTTGACATTTAAAAAAATTTAATCAAAACCCATAGCCTTAATTAAATGATGAATTTCAGGAAATTATAATGCCCAGTGGGAGTGTAATAAAGCTAATAATAGACACACTGGTCTAAAAATGATCTCACCACATCACACCTAACCCTTCTCACCACCTTGCAGTTCACATTCCATGGGAAAAGCTCCTCATACTGAGAGTGTTTTACTTTCCTTTTCCCAAATCATGGCAATTTTGAATATTCACACTTTGCAGATATCAACATATTTCTAAAGCATATTTAGCTTGGTCAAAGACTGTTGAGGTCATTACCACAGTAACATAAATATTTAAGATGCATTGAAAATTTTGTTTTAGAATGGG
This sequence comes from Homo sapiens, assembly GCF_000001405.40. Taxonomy (NCBI): domain Eukaryota; kingdom Metazoa; phylum Chordata; class Mammalia; order Primates; family Hominidae; genus Homo; species Homo sapiens. The sequence continues at coordinate 143,532,135 of NC_000023.11, forward strand.
CTTTTTAATCATTTCATTGTAAGCAACGTTTTCCTGCTGTTTACTTACTCCTACATCTGCTGTCTTCTTTTGTATTGTGCTTTGTATTTTACAGAACATTTATAATACCTGCTTTATAAAGCAGGTATTTCTAACCTGGGAAAATATAGGATGGAAAGGGAACGGAAATACCTTTGACATGTACATTCAGCAGAACAATGTGCTGCTGGGTACATTTGCAGGAACATATAAAGATCTTCGCTTCTAACAGCCATTCTGTCCCTACCATGGAGGACGCAATCCATCTCTCATCTGTGAGTCATCACATTCCCTCAGAAGCCCTTTCACTTAAATGGGAACCAAAAGCTAACATTTGCAAAATCTTGAAGGACATTACAGGGGTGAACGTGGTTACCGCATTCTCTGCTGGGGCCACTCTAGGAGGAGGAGAAAAATAGAGGCAGAGAGGTTTCCAGGTTTCAAAAAAATAGCCTAGAATTAGCAAAGTTTCCACCTTGTTAAGCTTGGCGAGGGAAATGAAACTTAGCCACTGGCAATAATAGAGTAAAATATGATTTTCACTAATAATGTTTTGTTTCAAAAAATGTTTGGAGTTAAATTCATTTTGTCATTACACAGGAATATGCTTACATTTGCCTAGATGAATCTTATCAGTATGAAAAAATATGGGTGCATTTCTGAATAACTAGGATTAGAAACAGCAATACCATCCCATGTGGTCACCAATTAGAGTCACGAACACACCTGTATCGTATTAATGGACATTCAGCTGCACTTTTAACCAGAATGCATTCTTCCAGGCCCTGCATTTAATTTCCATACCAGAGGAAGCATTTGGGAAAGGCAGAATTATTTGAGTGTGTTCCCAGTTGAAACCTATAAACATCTACTGAACTTCTTTCTGTGCCAGCCACTGAACTGTGAGGAATGGATTAGTTAGACCTAAAACCATAAAAACCTAGAGATGAGTCAGACACGGATTCCCTGTGGAAAATAAGGTGAAATATGGCATGACCAAGGGACTGCATTTTAAGGAAGGTATAGGATGTCCTTGAGGCTCAAAGAAGGATAGATCTCAGAAGGCAGATTGGATCTATGGAGGAAGTTGTATCTGGAAGGGGTTTTATGGATGGAGGAGCTCTTCTTTAGTGGTGAAGAAGGAAGCTGTTCAAGAAGGAACAGCACGGGGGAAGGGGATGTGGGGCAGGTTGACTCCTCTCTGCACCATCACAGCCCTGCCCATGTCACACGTACGTCACTCCTCTACCCTCATGTGCTCACTGCTCGGACTCTGTCTCAGCACTGTGACCTCCATGTGAGTAGAATCCAGCATGTGCTCATCTCCTTAGCCCCATTTCTAGCATAAAATAACATGTGGCAATTTGACAATCAAGAGAGTCATCAATATTTGTTCAACTGATGGATGTATAGGTGAAAGTGAGTGGCCCAAGGCCAGGCACACTTAGGAAGTGGAAGAGCTGGAAACCAGACCAAAGTTTGACTAACTCCAAATCCTGGGATTTAAAACACTATGTGATGAGAGCCCCTGAGGAGCAGAGCAAATACTAGGAGAGAGAAGTTATGAAGCATCATCTCTTCCCACCACGTGGAATAGAAATCATGAACATCACACCTGGTCATCACTCACTGTTTGCTTTATTGTGGGATTGGAGAAAGGGGCTGTCTTAATTACGAGGGAAGCAGGAGGCATCCTGAGACAGCCAAGTGTTCACATCCACCCGTATCTGTGCTGCACGGTTCAAATGGAGCAATTGCCTGGGTTAAGGCGCATAATACCTATAACAAAGGGGAAGTCAGGATGACGCATTGAAGTCCACAGAGGTAGGCTCGAGTCCCAGCAAGGCCACTTGCTACCTATGTGACTTGGGGCACATTCACTAACTCTCAGCCTGTTTCCTCAGGAAATAATGCCAGCGGTATGCTGTGAAGAGTCACCATGGTGAATAACAAGAGCCAGTGAAGAAGTGCCTGTGACCTACACGTCCTGTCCATGTCAGGTCCAGTTACTCAAACAGATGTGCCCGTCCTCCCCCAACCAAACTCAAGGCAGAGGAGTGGAAGGGAGCTCCTCAGGCAGGAGTTGCAATGGGGAGTGCACACTCGCCAATAGCTTGGTGTTTGTTAAGACTTAACATGGTGTAGGGTCTGTATATTGATTCAATCAGGGTTAGCATGTGCCTGAAACTGCCACTGGGAAAGTGAGGATTTGGTCATAAGACTGGATTTTGCATGTGAATGTTGTAGGTGAGGTAGGGTGTGGGTTCTCTGCAGTAAATACTTTTCCAATTTGTCAGGGCCCATGTCATTGCCGATGTTCAATATTTTTGCAATCCCCCTAGCTTATAGGACGTGCACCTGCACTCAGACAAGCATGGGGCTGAGTCCTGGAGCACCACACACTGGCACTGAGTTTCCAAAGAACCTTCTTGATTCATGAAGTAGGGGATGGCTGAAGGGAGATGACCATGAGCACCAAGGCCACAGAGCCCTCCAGAAGGACCACAGCCAGACTCTGTGCTCCACACCACAGCCCTTTTCTCCCAAGTTGTCCCAAGAGTGCTGTGACACTGTACAAACTGAGTTCTTCCTAGTCATCATGATAACAAATCGGGCTGACTTATGGAGGCTCCCTTTGCGCCAGGAGCTCTAAAGGCATGAATCTCCTTGAAATTCCCAACAGCTCCACGAAGTGAAGGAAGCACTGTGATCATTCCCATTTCACAGATGATAAAAGAGACTCACAAGGTAAAGAGATCAAAGTCTTTGAGTCCTTCCCACAGATCCCCCTGGGATTACCCATCATCCAGAGGGGTACCTGCTAGGGGTACCCAACTACCACTGGGCAAGTAGCCCCACCCTCCTACACATCCACAAACGTGTGAGTAAAAAAAGTGCAAAAGAAGCTCATTTCTGGGCAGGGAAGGTACCTGGTGAACTTGCTGGTCCCACGCTCCAGTTCTTCCATGAACATGCCAATTGTTCCTATGGCTGGGGGTAGGGAGCAACAGCCATCTGGGCTGATTGCTTCTCCAGGCCTTATTGCATCTAAACAAAGGATCAAAGTGAGGCTGAGGTTTTTATTTTTTTTCCCAAGATGGTGTACTAGAGGAATTGTTCGCATACCTCTCCCACTTGGAAAATATTGTGTAGAGATTCACACCACAAACTTTTTTTTTCAAGAAGCAATGCAGGAACTGAACAGGAAAGTTGAAGGAACCCACACAGCCTCCGAAGGAAGCAGCAGGCTGCAGCCTACACTGAGCCAGGCAAAGGGCTGTGAGTCCCCAAAAATATGAGGGGGAGAGACTGCTTCTCAGATTCACACCGTGACCAGAGAGCCTGAAAGACCAGGCCATCGGGAAAGCCTTAAGCCTACCCAGCACAGAAACTGACTGGGGGAGGGTTGTGGAACATAATAGTAGGAACAGCAGCAGGAAGACCCTTGTATGCACCTCCAGTCTCCAGTGCAAAGCAAGGAAAGCCACTCCTTATTGATCCTCACAGGGGACACTGTGGAGGTCAGCCAAATAGTTCAGGCAGTGGTCACAGGTGGAAAGAAGCCCCAAGCTGGGTTTGATGATGTCACCTTGGGTGGGGATGAACTCTCTTGACCAAGGCCAGCCTGTTCAAGTGAAACATGGGCCACAGCCACAAGCACAGGGGCTGGGAGCCTGGCTTTGTGAATGGACCCGGAGGGGCGTGGCCTGAAATATGCAGTTGCTATCTCCCTGGGGAAAGCCTATGACTTGGGGCAGTTGCAAATTCTAAGTGCAGGCTGCCTGGAACTTAGATCGCTGCTGCTAGTGGAACACAGTGGGAGTGAGATCTCCCTCACCAAATGTGTGGGATCCGTGTGGGGCTTACTGCAGTCTGCTACTCTCCACTCCCTGCTCAAACTCTTCTGTGCAGCAGAGACAGCAACACTCCCCTCTGGAGCACAAACCCAGTGGCCTGAGAACCACCCCCTTCCCCTGACACCCACAGGAACTGCTGCTTGCCCTGCATGTGGAAAGTCAGTTCACAAACCCGCCTGACCTAGACCACACCTGGCTTTGCCCTGCCACCTGCCCTGCTAGCTTAACACAAAGGAAAGAAACATTTGGGAACTGTATGGCCTCACCCATTGCCTGATAAACTGGAGTACCCCCTCTGGGCAGCACAAGGCAAGCAAAACTCTCACTGCTACTGCCACAGCTGGTGCTCTTTGGCAAGTGCCACCTCCTGGCTGGAGGCCAACCGACACAGTCCATTACAGCATCTCCTGGTAGAATAACACTGAGTCTAGGAAGGAGAAAATTTCTGTGTGGCCTAAGCTATCACCACTGCCTGCACCACTCTGGCTAATCAAGAGGTCCTGATTCTGTCCAAATGATCAGTTTATTACTATGATAAGTGGCATTCGAGAAAGCCAACACACTAAGGCTTTCTAAAATCAAGGAATCCCAGAGTATAGGTCACTCCCCTGCCACTAGCAGTAGAGCTGGTGCTGCTACCCACTTCCGGGAGGCATGAGAACAGGTCACATCACTGGATCCCTTGATCTCATTCCCTAGCACCAGCCTGGAGTATGGCAATTTCACTAGGCAGCTAGACCCAGTGGAGCAACAATACTCACAGTCATCTGGCTCCCAGGGACTTCGACTCCTCGGGGAAGAGGGAGTGCACCACATCAAGGGAACGGCCCATGAAACAAAAGAATATAGATGACAGGCCTTGAGTACCATATCCTTCTGCTGGTGGGCAGTTTCAGCAGAGGCACAGTCGCAGTGCTGGGCTCAGCAAGTAAAGTCTGCAGCTCTAATCTAACAGTCAGACAGCCTTAGTGCACGTGAAGGGTCTTGGAGAAGGAAACAACTTTCCCCCTTTGTTCACCACCATGAGCACAGTTGGGGCTTCTCCCATGGGAGCTTTGCATGGGTGCAACTATAGACAACCTTTCTGGAACACTTTAGGGTGAGAGCATCCCTGCAGGAGGACATCCTAAAGGTTCAGGATTTCAAGATAGAGTCACAATTCCTCTCAACTTGAAAAATCTACATTTCTACAGATGAAAAGAGGTACCTGTGTGGTCCGAATAGCTGGAGCACTGGAACAGGAGTATGTCTGAGAAGTGGATAGCTTCCCTGCTGACCTGCCAGGGGAGCCGAGGTGGCTCTAATCCTTCCCCCGATAAGACCTCAGTGTGATTCACTGAAAGCTTCTCCAGCCACCTTTGTCAAGACAGGGACACAGCCGGGCGCAGTGGCTCACGCCTGTAATCCCAGCACTTTGGGAGGCCGAGGCGGGTGGATCACGAGGTCAGGAGATCAAGACCATCCTGGCTAACATGGTGAAACCCCGTCTCTACTAAAAATACAAAAAATTAGCCGGGCGTGGTGGTGGGCACCTGTAGTCCCAGCTACTCGGGAGGCTGAGGCAGGAGAATGGCGTGAACCTGGGAGGCAGAGCTTGGAGTGAGCCGAGATCACGTGCCACTGCACTCCAGCCTGGGTGACAGAGCGAGACTCCGTCTCAAAAAAAAACCAAAAAGAAAACAAACAAACAAAAAAAAAAACAAAGACAGGGACATCTGTCCACCATTGAGTATTTCATTTACCCACTAGCTTTAGCCACAACCAATTCTTACTCAGGGAAACCTCCCCTACTGGCCTGAAAACTGAACTATCAAATCATTAACCCTTTTCCCTTTTGCCCCAAGAATACTCATTGGTGGTGCTTGTGGTTGAAGCATTTATTATGAGATAACTTTGCTATGAAATATCTCACTTTTATTATTATTTTCACATCACTCTAGTATATGAACTTTGGAAACTAAATACATCATTCTATTCATAGCATTCTGTTTTTAGAAATGGTATTTCCACTTAAAAATGTAGTAATTCTCAATTGCTGAAAATGTCAAATCCTAGAAAATATAGCTTTCCTTTGCATGATGTTAACATCAGCCATGAACAGTTGTTGGCCAGAGACTTACTTGATGAATCCGATTTTTCAGACATAGACAATCTGATGACTGAGATGATTCTGATGTTTGTTCTGTTTAGAAATAACTCCAAGAGTTTATATTTTATTTTTACACTGAAAATCAGTCAGATTTGCTTCAGCCTCAGAGAGCGTGTTTATGTAAAATGTGGTGGCAGCAATCTGCACTATTTTTTTCTAAACAGGAAAAGGCTTAAAGAAAATACTGGGGAAAAATAAATATGCAAAAAAGTGTACACCATGGGGAAATGAAATAAGCTTCAAGAGTCCTCTACCATTCCAACCTTATAGGAGACAGTAAATTTGCTCACACAATGAACACATTGCTACTACAACCAGCATACGATAAAACTATTATACAAAGACTCTATATAACCTAGGAACCTTACAGTCTCCACCCATGAAAGAACCAGTAACTGAATTAGGCTATGTTTCACTATAAGCATTAAAGTAGCATACTTAAGAGAAAAAAATTTAAAAACAAATAAACACAGTCAAATCAACATAAATTCAATAATAATTAGAAGAAACACTACCCAAATGAGAAAAAAAATCAGAAAAGTAATTCTGGTAATATGACAAAACAGGGTTCTACAATGCCTTCAAAAGATCACACCAGCTGTCCAGTAATGGATTCAAATTAAGATGAAATCTTTAAAATATCAGATAAAGAATTCAGAAGGCTCATTATTAAGCTATTCAAGGATATACCAAGGAAAGGTGAAAGCGATCATAGATGACTTTACAAACAGTTCAGCATATGAATAAATGATGTTCTAGAGAGATAGATATCATAAAGGAAAACTAATTAAAACTTTTGGAAGTGAAATACAAAGGGAATTACAAAATGTAGTGGGAAATTTTTACAACAGACTAGAAGAACTAGAAGAAAAACTTCAGAGTTCAAAGACAAGGCTTTTAAATTAACATAATCAGAGAAAAATAAAGAAAAAAGAATCAAAAGAACAAAGTGTCCAAGAAATATCGGATTATGTAAAAAGGCTAAACCTAAGAATAATTGGTGTTCCTGAGAGAGAAGAGAAAAAAAAAAAGTCTGGATATCTTATTTGAGGGAATAATTGAGGAAAACTTCACTGGCCTGGCTAAAGATTTAGATATTCAAATACAAGAAGCTAAAGGAACTCCTGGGAAATTCATTACAAATAGATCTTCACAAGGCACACAGTCATCAGGCTATCTAATTTCAACATGAAGGAAATAATTCAAAGAGCAATAAGACAAAAGTACAAAGTAACCTGTAAAGGAAAACCTATCAGACTAACAGCAGACTTCTTGGCAGAAACTTTAAAAGCCAGAAGAAATGGAGGTCCAATTTTCAGCCTTCTTAAACAGAATAATTGTCAGCTAAAAGTTTTGTATCCAGTAAAGCTGTTTCATAAATGAAAGAGAAATAAAATCATTTTCATACAAACAAATGCTTAGGGAATTTGTCACTCCCAAATCAGCACTACAAATAATGCTAAAAGAAGTTCTAAATATTGAAGCAAAAGTTCAATATATGCCAAAATACAAATGCTTGAAAGCTTAAAACTCACAGGGCCTATTAAACAATAATATAATGAAAAAAAAAACTATCTTGTTAACAGTTAACATGATGAAGAGAGCATTACCTCATATCTCAATATTAGTGTTGAATATAAATGACCTAAATGCTCCACTTAAAATGTACACAATGGCAGAATGGATGAAAAATCACAAACCAAATATATGCTGTCTATAAGAAACTCACCTAAAACACAAGGATTCATATAAACTCAAGGTAAAGGGGTGGAAAAAGATATTCTATGTACATGAAAACCAAAAGCAAGCAGAACTATTCTTATATCAGAGAAAACAGATTTCAAAGCAATAACAGTTAAAAAAGACAAAGAAGGTAATTATAAAATGATTAAATAATCAATCCAACATGAAGATACCACAATTCTAAACTTATATGCACCAAACACTGTAATAGCCGGATTCATAAAACAACTACTACTACACCTATTCAATGAGATAGACAGCAACACAATAATAGCGGGAGAATTCAATACACAGCTTACAGCACTAGACAGATTATCAAGACAGGAAGTCAACAAAAAAATGGACTTAAATGACATAGTAGAAAAAATGGACTTAACAGATATTTACAGAAATTCTACCCAAGCATTGTAGAATATACATTCTTCTCATCAGCACATGGAACATTCTCCAAAGACGGACCATATGATAGGCCCCAAAACAAATCTCAATCAAGAAAAAAGTGAAATTATATCAGCTATCTACTCAGACCACCATGGAGTAAAACTAGAAACCAACACCAAAAGGAATCCTCAAAACTATACAAATACATGGAAATTAAATAATTTTTTCTTGAATGATTTATGGGTTAATGAAGAAATTAAGATTGAGGTCAGGTGCGGTGGCTGACACCTATAATCCCAGCACTTTGGGAGGCCGAGGTGGGTGGACCACCTGAGGTCAGAAGTTTAAGACTAGCCTGGCCAACATGGTGAAACCCCGTCTCTACTAAAAACACAAGAATTACCTGGGCATGGTCGCAGGTGCCCATAATCCCAGCTACTTGGGAAGCTAAGGCAGGAGAATTGCTTGAACCTGGGAGGTGGAAGTTGCAGTGAGCTGAGATCGTGCCATTGCACTCCAGCCTGAGTGACGAGTGAAACTCCATCTCAAAAAACAACAAAAAAATGAAATCAAGATGGAAATTAATTATTGAATGATAATGATACGAGTTATCAAAACCTCTGTGATGAAGCAAAAACTGTGCTAACAGGAAATTTTATAGTACTAAATGCCTACGTCAAAAAGTCTGAAAGAGGCTGGGTACCGTGGCTCATTCCTTTAATCCCAACATTTTGGGAGGCCAAGGCTGGTGGATCACTTAAGGCCAGGAGTTTGAGACAAACCTGGCCAACATGGTGAAACCCCGTCTCTACAAAAAATACAAAAATTTGCCAGTGTGGTGGTATGCGCCTGTTGTCCCAGCTACTCCAGCAGCTGAGGCAGGAGAATCGCTTGAACCCAGGAGGTGGAGGTTGCAGTGAGCGGAGATCACACCACTGTGCTCCAGCCTCGGCAACAGAATGAGACTCTGTCTCAAAGAAAAAAAAAAAGTCTGAAAGAGCACAACTTGACAGTCTAATTATATACCTGAAGAAACTAGAGAAACAAGAACAAACTAAACCCAAAGATAGCAGAAGAAAAGAAATAACAAAAATTAGAGGAGAATTAAATTCAAACAAAAATACAAAAGAACAATGAAACAAACAGCTGGTTCTTAGAAAAGATAAACAAAACTGATACACCATTAGCTAGATTAACCAAGAAAAGAACAGAGAAGCTTCAAATAAGTTCAATTAGAAATGAAGCTGAAGATATTACAACACCACAGAAATACAAAAGATCATTTGAGACTACTATGAACACCTTTATGTGCACAAACTAGAAAACTTAGAGGAAATGGATTAATTTCAGGAAACATAAAAGCCTCCTAGATTAAATCAGGAAGAAATAGAAACCCTGAACAGACAAATGACATGCAGCAATATTGAATCAGTAATTTTAAAATTGCCAACAAACAAAAAATAGCCTACAACCAGATGGATTCACAGCTGATTCTACCAGACATTCAAAGGAGAATTGGTACCAATCCCACGGGAAAAAAAAATGAGAAAGAGGGAATCCTCCCTAAAAAATTCAGTGAAGCCAGTATCACCCTGTTACCAAATCCAGTAAAGGACATTACAACACCACCAAAAAAACTACAGCCCAATAACTCTGATGAACATAGATTCAAAAAACCTGAGCAGAAAACTAGCTAACTGAATCTAATAGCACATCAGAAAGATAACACAACATGATCAAGTGCATTTTATCCCAGGGATTCAGAGATAGTATAACATATGCAAATCAATAAATGTGATATATTAAATAAACAGCATTAAAAGCAAAAGGCATATGATCATCTCAATAGATGCAGAGAAAGCATTTGAAAAAATCCAGCATCCTGTTATGACAGACACTCTCAAAAAACTAAGCATAGAAGGGACTAACCTCAAAATAATGAAAGCCATATATGACAATCCCACGGCCAACATCATAATGAATGGGGAAGAGTTGAAAGCATTCCCCCTAAGAACTGAAACAAGACAAGTATGCCCATTTTCCTACTCCTATTCAACATAGTTCTGGAGGTCCTAGCCAGAGTAATCAGGCAAGAGAAAAGAATAACGGGCATACAAATTGGAAAAAAGATGAAGTCAAATTATCACTGTTTGTAGATGATATGATTGTATCATATCATCTACAGATAATATGGCACAATTTAGAAAATTTTAAATATGTCTAGAAAATTTTAAAGATGCCTCCAAAAAATTGTTATGTTTGATAAAAAAAGTCAGTACATTTCAGATTACAAAATTAGTGTACACAAATCAGTAGCACTGCTATGCTCAAACAATTACCATGCTGAGAATCAAATCAAACACTTAATTCCTTTAATAAGAGCTGGAAATAAATGAAATACCTAGAAATATACTTAGCCAAGGAGGTGAAAGATTCCTACAAGAGAACTAAAAGACACTGCAGAAAGAAATCATATATGACACAAGCAAATAGAAACCCATCCTATGCTCATGGATTGAAAAAATCAATATTGCAAAAATAATCATACTACCCAAAGCAATCTACAGATTCAATGCAATTCCCATCAAAATACCAACATCATTTTTCACCAAATTAGAAAAACAAATTCTAAAATTCACATGGAACCAAAAAAGAGCCTGATTAGTCAGAGCAATCCTAAGCAAAAAGAGCAAATCTGGAGACATCACATTACCAGACTTCAAATTATACTACAAGGCTAGAGTTACCCATATTGCATGGTACTGATATAAAAGTAGGCACATAGACCTAGTTTTGAAACAGAATAAGAAACAGAAATAAAGCCAAATACATACAGCCAACTGATCTCTGACAATGCATTCAAAAATATAAGTTGGGGAATGGAAAACCTATTTAATAAATGGTGCTGGGAAAGCTGGCAAGCCGCATGTAGAAGGATGAAACTGGATCCGTACCTCTCACCTTATATAAAAATCAACTCAAAATGTTTCAAAACCTTAAATATAAGATTTGAGACCATAAAAATTCTAGAATATATCATGGAAAAAACTATTCTAGACATCAGTGTAGAAGAGAATTTATGACTAAGACCCAAAAAGCAAATGGAATAAAAACAAAAATAAATAAATGGAACCTAATTAAACTAAAAAGGTTTGTACAGCAAAAGAAATAATAATCAGAGTAAATAGCCAACCCACAGAATAGAAGAAAATATTTGCAAACTATGCATCTGACATAGGACTAGTATCCATGTAATCTATAAGGAACTCAAACAAATCAGCAAGAAATAAACAATTCCATCAAAAAGTGGAAAAATGACAGGAATGGACATTTCCCAGAAGAAGAAATATAAATACCAGTCATGATGGCTCATGCCTGTAATCTTAGCACTTTGGGAGGTCCAGGCAGGCAGATGGCTTGAGCCCAGGAGTTTGATACCTGCCTGGGCAACACAGTGAAAACCTATCTTTACAAAAAATATGAAAGTTATTCAGGTATGGTAGTTGCTTCAAAGGGGATATAAAATATAATTAGTTCTGTAGCTGTGAATGTTATAATTAAAATATCTGTACCTGTAGTCCCAACTACTTGGAAGGCTGACAGTGGAGGATCACTTGAGCCTAGGAATTAGAGGCTGCAGTAAACCCCCGAGATTATGACACTGCACGCCAGCCTAGGTGGCAGAGCAAGACTTTATGTCAAAAAATACATATATAGAAATGGCCAACAAACATATCAAAAAATGTTCAACCTCACTAATTGTATTAGTCCATTCTTGCACTGCTATAAAGAAATACCTGAGACTAGGAAATGTATACAGAAAAGAGGCTTACTTGGCTCCTGGTTTCACAGGCCTTACAAACGGTGTGGCTGGGGAGGCCTCAGGAAACTTGCAGTCATGGCGGAAGGTGAAGGGGAAGCAGGCACATCTTACATGGCCAAAGCAGGAGCAAGACAGAGAGAGGGGAAGTGCTACACACTTTTAAACAACCATATCTCACAGTAACTCACTCAGTATCACAAGAAAAGTACCAAAAAGGAAATCTGCCCCCATGATCCAATCCACTCCCACCAGGCCCCTCCTTCAACACCAGGAATTACAATTTGACATAAAATTTGGATGGAGACAAAGCCAAAACGTATCATTTCACCTCCTGCCCCTCCCAAATCGCATGTCTTTCTCACATTTCAAAACAATCATGCTATCCCAACAGTCACCCAAAGTTTTAACTCATTCCAGCATTAACTCAAATGTCCAAGTCCAAAATCTCATCTGAGATAAGACAAGGCAAGTCCCTTCTGCCTATGAGCCTGTAAAATTAAGGGCAAGATAATTACTTCCAAGATACAATGAGGGTACAGGCATTGGGTAAATACACCTGCTTCAAAAGGGATAAATCAGCCAAAACAAAGGGGCTACAGGCCCCATGAAAGTTTGAAACCCAGCAAGGCAGTCATTAAATCTTAAAGCTCCAAAATAATTCCTTTGACTCCATGTCTCACATCCAGGCCACACTGACTCAAGGGGTAGGCTCCCAAGGCCTTGGAAAGCTCCACCCCTATGGCTCTGCAGGGTACAGGTCCAATGACTGCTTTCATGGATTGGTGTTGAGTTCCTGTGGCTTTTCTGAGTGCACAGTGCAAGCTGTCAGTGGATCTACCATTCTGTGGGCCAGAGGACAGTGGTCGTCTTCTCAAAGCTCCACTAGGCAGTGCCCCTGTGGGGACTCTGTGTGGGGGATCCAATCCCACCTGACCCCTTTCCACTGCTGTGCTGGAATCTAGGCAGAGGCTCCTAAGCCTCAACTTTTGCCTTCTGCACTGTCACAGGCCCAACACCATGCAGAAGCCACCAAGGCTTGGGGCTTGCACTATCTAAAGCAATAGCGTGAACTGTACCATAGTCCCTTTTAGTCAAGGCTGGAGCTGGTGCAGCTGGGATGCAGGGCACCATGTTCCAAGGCTGCACAAGGCAGCAGTGCCCTGGGCCTGGCCCACAAAATCATTCTTCTCTCTTAGGCCTCCAGGCCTGTGATGGGAGGAGCTGCTGGGAAAGTCTCTGAAAGGCATTTGAGGCATTTTCCCCACGATCTTGGCTATCAACATTTGGCTGATCTTTACACATGCAAATTTCTGCAGGCAGCTTGAATTCCTCCCCAGAAAATGGATGTTTCTTTTCTTTCACATGGCCAGGCTGCAAATTTTCCAAACTTCCAGACTCTCTTCCCTTTTAAATATAAGTTTCAATTTCAGACCGTCACTCTGAGAATGAATATGAGCATACGCTGTTAGAAGCAGCCTGGCCAATTCTTGAACACTTGCTGCTTAGAATTTTTTTCTACCAAATACCCTAAATCATTACTCTCAAGCTCAAAGTTCCAAAGATTCCTAGGGCAGGGGCACAATGCCTCCAAACTCTTTGCTAATGCATAACAAAAGTGGCCCCTGCTCCAGTTCCCAATAAGTTTCTCATCTTCATCTGAGACCACCTCAGCCTACACTTTATTGTTAATATCGCTATCAGCATTTTGGTCACAACAATTTAACAAGTCTCTGGGAAGTTCCAGACATTCCCTCATCTTCCTGCCTTTTTCTAAGCCCTCTACACTCTTCCAACCTACGCCTGTTATTCAATTCCAAAGTCACATTTTCAGGTACCTTTATAGCAGTACCCTACTCCTGGTACCAATTTTCTATATTAGTCTGTTCTTGCACTGCTGTAAAGAAATATCTGAGACTGGGTAATTTGTATAGAAAAAAAGTTTAATTGGCTTCCAGTTCCACAGGCTGTGAAAGAAGCATAGCTGGGGGTGGTGGGGGAGGGGTCAGGAAACTTTCAATCATGGCAGAAGGCAAAAGAGAAGCAGGTTGATCTTACACGGCCAGAGCAGGAGTAAGTGCTACAGAGGGTGAAAGTGTTACAAACGTTTAAACAACCAGATCTCATGGTAACTCACTCACTATCACAAGAACTGCACCAAATGGGAAATCCACCAGCATGATCAAATCACCTCCCACCAGGCCCCACCTTTAACATTGGGGATTAAAATTTGACATGAGATTTGGGCAGGGACACAGACCAAACCATATCACTAATCAGCAAGGAAATGCAAAGTAAAACCACAACGAGGTACTGCCTTACTTCTCCAAGAATGGGCAGTATTTAAAAGTCAAAAAACAAGAGATGGTGGTGTGGATACAAGGTATAGGAAACGCTTATACGCTGCTGGTGGGAATGTAAATTTGTGCAACGTCTATGGAATCCAGTATGGAGATTCCTTAAAGAACTAAAAATACATCTAACGTTCAACACAGCATTCAACACAGGCCCACTACTGGATATCTACCCAAAGGAAAAGAAGTCATTATATAAAAAAGACACCTGCACTTGTATGTTTATAGCAGCACAATTCTCAATTGCAAAGGTGTGGAATCAACCTAATTTCCCATTGACTAATGTGTGAATAAAGAAAATGTGGTATATGTACACCATGGAATACTACTCAGCCATAAAAAATGAAATAATATCTTTTGCAGCAACTTGGATATAGCTGTAGGCCATTATTCTAAGTGAAGTAACTCAGGAGTGGAAAACCAAGAACTGTATATTCTCACTTATAAATGGGAGCTAAGCTATAAGTATGCAAAGGCATACAGATTGATATTATGGACTTTAGAGACTCAGAAGGGGGAAGGTCAGAGGAGGGAAAGGGATAAAATTAACTACATTAAGTACATTGTACACTACTCGGGTGATTGGTATACTAAAATCTCAGAATTCACCACTATATAATTCATCCATGTAATGAGAAACCACTTGTACCCCAAAAGCTATTGAAAAAATTCCTTTCTTTCTTTCTTGCTTGCTTGCTTCTTTTTTTTTTTTTTTTTTTTTGACAGAGTCTTACTGTGTCACCAGGCTGGAGTGCAGTGGCGCGATCTCAGCTCACTGCAACCTCTGCCTCCTGGGTTCAAGCGATTCTCCTGTCTCAACTTCCTGAGTAGCTGTGACTGCAGGAGTGCACCACCATGCTCAGCTAATTTTTGTATTTATAGTAGAGACAGGGTTTCACCATATTGGCCAGGATGTTCTCGATCTCTTGACCTCGTGATCTGCCCGCCTTGGCCTCCCAAAGTGCTGGGATTACAGGTGTGAGCCACTATGCCTGACTGAAAAAAAAATATTTCTTTACAGTAAGGCTGAGGGTCAAAACACACTAGGTAAAGACAGTAGGAAATCAGAGTCTTGGGACAATGATGCTAAAGAATCAGGAAATCAGGACACCCTGTTACACTGGGTTGGTGAAAGTTATGACCCTTGTCTTTTGCCAAAGTGATTAACAGAAAAACCAAGTACACACATGGGCTCTGTGTGCTTGTATTTTGGGCTTTTAAGGAAGCGGGAGGGGAAAGGCTACATCCAATTCAGAGGCCAGTCTTGGCAGGAAGAGGCGCCTGGAAGAGGGAGTGGACATGGGCAGCTCTGCAGGAGAGGAGAGTCCTTATGATCTGCAGAAAGAAAAGAGGAGGGAACAGGATGCCCATTTAGGCTGAGAGGCAGCCCTGGGGCTGAGCAGTTAACGGGGCTACCTGCAGCTTCCAGGTAAATGCTGATTCAAGAGTTGGTGTTTCCCCTTGTAGTCACAAAAGTAGGGAATAGTGAAAGGAACAACAGGGTCAGTGCCTAATCCATTCATGTAGTGTCCCATTTGGAGCACTTTCAAGTGAGGAGTATCACGCAGGGTTCTTACACTTGGCTACGAGCCACCAAGCTATAGATAGGTTCTGCAGTGAAATAAGCAACTAAAAGATGAATAAAGCACTTCTGGTAACAAATACTTTTATGATCTTATTATTGCAACAAATGTTTGAACAAATGACTTTTATACAGCCTCCTGAATGTAAATATTATGTTATTTTAATAGCACACAAAACTGCTATTTTTATTTTAATAAAATATTTAACTTTCAAAGGGGCTGACATAAAAAGCACATTAAGTGTACCCTCAGCTAAGTTGTTGTCTTACACAATTCCAGGTGCTATAATAAAATACCTTACAGTGGAAATAAGAAACAGAAATGTATTTCAATTATTTATAAATAACAGAAATTTATTTCTCACATTTCTGGAGGCAGGGAAGTCCAAGATCAAAGGATCAGCAGATTTTGTGTTTGTTGAGGGCTCTTTGCTGGAAAGATGACATCTTGTCACTGAGTTCCCACATGGTGAAAGAGGGTGAGGGGCTGCCTGGTTCCCTAGAGCCCTTTTATTAGGGTACTTATTCTATTTAGGAGGGCAGTCATCATGGCTTAATCATTTCCTAAAGGCCACACCTCTTAAAACATTTGCATTGGGGATTAAGTATTCACTTGAATTTTGGAGAGACAGAAATTTTCAGACTATAGTAGAAGTTGATTATTTATTCCAACTTCCTACTTTCTTAGCAGAACCTAGGAGCCCCAGAACTTTGCAGCATGGGAGCCATGGAGTTTATTTACTCCAGAGGTGATGTATCTGAGATCTGGCCCCCAGATGGGTTTTCTTGGGATTTTCTTTTGCCTGCATGACGATCTTTTAAAACATGAGGCACATCTTTTTTAAAATGGGATTTCATATGGAAAGCTAAATTTCTGGCTTTTTCAGAAAAATCAGATGACACGTCAACACTGAGCTTTCAGGTCAAAATTCAGCTGCAGCCACATGATTGTGATCACTTTAGGTGGCCTTGAGTCTGAGTTACCCCCAGTCCTACCACTTCCTTCCATCCCTCAGAGAGGCAGAACACTAATTGCCATTCATCAATGTGCTTCTATGTCTACTTGTTCTTATACACGTCATATTGCACTAATTTAGGTTGCCTGTCTGATCTGTATAGGCCTTGGTATTCTAACTGCTGTTTTCATCCAGTTTCTTCCTTTTCCAGATAAGAACATGGCAGCTGAGATGGAGATGAAAAAAAATCACTCACCATTACACAGCTGCTTTCTGGTAGGTGGGATTTGAACTCGGGTGCCCAACTTCTAGTTTAGCTCCCTTGCAGCATCATTCAGTCTTCCTTTCTTTCTGGGAAATGTTTTCTAAACATTTCATCCTGCTTATTTTCTTCCAAAATAATCAGGAAGAAATTCAAGTATAACAAACACAGAGTAACTACAGAGGGCCAGGTGCTTCAGGGATGGAGCAGACTGAATCCTGCTGGAAGGAGCCCCCTAAGGCACTGTGAGATGTTGGGGAGGGAACACTAGTCCTCCATGAGGAGCTGGGAGGGAACACTAGTCCTCCATGAGGAGCCAGGAGGTAGAGGGAGATGCTGCTGAGATGGAGGGAAAAAGGCATTTGTTCAGTGGAAAGTAAGCAGGGGCACATGGAATAGAGGGAGGCAGAAAGAGTTATTTTTGATAAATGAAGTTAATCAACTCATTTGAAAGTACCTCTCTGCATAAAGAAATTTAGGAAGTCAATTTTCCCTGACAGATCTATATGCTCAAAAAAAAAAAAAAAAACCCAAGCAATTTATACACTGTGATGTTAGTGTATATTCAATTCCTCATGGCTTACTACCAGCAGTTCCAACAAAACTTCTCCTCCTAAATCCTTCTTTAGTTCAGATTCCTATCCCCCTGTCTGAAGAGAGAACTGTCCAACCAATGAGAATCAGCTCCATCCTTTAAGTAGCCCTCTGGTCAAATAGGGGCAGCTCACTTCTAAGTGGTCAGTAGGACCCCAACACCAGCTGCTATTACTAGCCAAGTTAAATATCACACAGGACAACAGAGAGTCCGGAAATGGATACACATATATGGACAATGGATTTTTGACAAAGGTGCAAAGGCAAATCAATGAAGAAAGGCTAACTTTTTTCAAGAAATTTGGTTGGAATGATTGGATATTCATAAGTGGAAAAAACCTGTCTTAACCTAAACCTTGTACGTTTTATAAAATTAATTAAAAATTGTACCTGGACTAATATGTATAGCATAAAACTATAAAGGTTTTTAGGAGAAACCATAGGAGGAAATGTTTGTAACCTAAGACTTGGTGAAGAGTTCTTAGATATGACACCAAAGTATGACCTGTAAAGAAAGAATGGGTAAACAAAACTGATGTGGTTTGACTCTGTGTCCCCACCCAAATCTCATGTTGAATTGTAATTCCTAGTGTTAGAGGAGGAGCCTGATAGGAGGTGTTTGGATCATGGGGATGGTTTGTGATGGTTTAGCACCATGTCCCCAGTATTGTCTTATGATACAGTTCTCATGATATTTGATTGTTTGAAAAGTGTGTAACACCTCCACTTTTCTCTCTCTCTCTCCTGCTCCACCATGGTAGGATGTGCTTGCTTCCCTTTCACCTTCCACCATGATTGTAAGTTTCCTAAGGTCACCCCAGCCATGCTTTCTGCACAGCCTTCAGAACAGTGAGTCAATTTAACCTCTTTTCTTTATAAAGTACCCAGTCTCAGCTATGTCTTTATAGCAGTGTGACAACAAACTAATACAGATAATTGGTACCAGAGAAGTGAGGCATTGCTATAAAAATACTGAAAATGTGAAAGCAGCTTTGGTACTGGGCGATGGACAGAGGCTGAAAGACTTTCGAGGGCTCAGAAGAAGACAGGAAGATGAGGAAAAGTTTGGAATTTCCTAGAGACTTGTTGAATGATTGTGACTAAAATACTGATAGTGATATGCACAATAAAGGTCAGGCTGAGGTAGTCTCAGATGGAGATGGGAAACTTATTGGAAACTGGAGTAAAGGTCACTCTTGCTATGCTTTGGCAAAGTGACTGGTGGCATTGCGCCTCTGCTCTACGGATTTGTGGAACTTTGAATTTGAGAGAGATGATCTGTGGTGTTTACCAAAAAAAAATTTCTAAGCAGCAAAATGTTCAAGAAATGGCCTGGCTGCCTCTAACAGCTTATGCTCATATGCACTTCCAAAAAGATGGTCTGAAATTGGAACATATATTTAAAAGGAAAGCAGAGTATAAAAGCTTGAAAAATTTGCAGCCTGACCATGCAAGAGAAAAGAAAAACTCACTTTTGAGGAGAAATTCAAGCCAACTCCAGAGATTTGCATAAGTAAAGAGGAGCAGAGTGTTAATAGTGAAGACAATTGGGCAAATGCCTCCAGGGCATTTCAGAGACCTTCACAGCAGCCCCTCCCATTACAGGCCCAGAGGCCTAGGAGGGAAGAATGGTTTCGTGGGCCAGGCCCAGGGCCCTGTTGCCCTGCCTAACCTCAGGACACTACTCATTGTGTCCTAGCTGCTCCAGCTCCAGCCATGGCTAAAAGGGCCCCACATGTGTCTCAGGCTGCTGCTCCAGAAAGTAAAAGCTGCAAGCCTTGGTGGCTTCCATATGGTGTTAAGCCTGTATATGTACAGAGGGCAAGAGTTGAGGCTCAGGAGGCCCTGCCTAGATTTCAAAAGATGTACGGAAATGCCTGGACATTCAGGCAGAAATAAGCTGCAGGGATGGATCCCTCATGCAGAACCTCTACTAGGGCAATGTGAAGGGGAAATGTGGGGGTGGAGCCCCACTGAGTCACTGCCTAGTGGAGCTGTGAGAAAAGGGCCAATGTCCTCCAGCCTCCAGAATATTAGATCCACTGATAGCATGCACTGTGAACCTGGAAAAGCCACAGGCACACAATGCCAGCCTGTGAAAGCAGTCATGGGGGCTGTACCCTGCAAAGTCACAGGGGTGAAGCTGCCCAAAGCCTTGGGAGCCCACCTTTTGCATCAGTGTTCCCTAGATGTGAGACATGAAGTCAAAGGAGATTATTTCCAAGGTTTAAGATTTAATGACTGCCCTGCTGGGTTTTGGATTTGCATGGGGCCTGTAGCAGCTTTGCTTGACAAATTTATTCCTTTTGGAATGGGAGCATTTACCCAATGCCTTTACCTCTATTGTATCTTTAATGTAACTAACTTGTTTTTTATTTCACAGGCTCATAGGTGGAAGGGATTTCCCTTCTCTCAGATGAGACTTTGAACTTGGACTTTAGAGTTAATGCTGTAATGAGTTAAGACTTTGGGGGACTATTGATATGGGATGATTGTATTTTACAATGTGAGAAAGACATGAGATTTGGGAGGGTCCAGGGAGAAAATGAAATGGTTTGATTCTGCATCCCCATCCAAATCTCATGTCAAATTGTAATTTCTAGTGTTGGAGGAGGGGCCTGGTTGGAGGTGAGTGGATCATGGGGGTTGTATCTAATGGTTTAGCATCATTCCCCTAGTGCTGTCTCATAGTAGAGTTCTCACAAGATCTGGTTGTTTGAAAAGTGTGTAGCACTTCCCGTTTGCTCTCTCTCTCTCTTTCTCTCTCCTGCTCCACCATGGTAAGAAGTGCTTGCTTCCCCTTCACCTTCCACCATGATTATAAGTTTCCTAAGGCCTCTCCAGCCATGCTTCCTGTATAGACTGCAAAACAGTGAGTCAATTCAGCCTCTTTTCTTCATAAATTACCCAGTCTCAGGTATGTCTCTATAGCAGAGTGAGAACAAACTAATACAATAACTTTATCAAAAAGAAGAAAAAAGAAATGTTTTCTCTGAGAAATCTACCATTTAAAAGCTGAATGACAAGCAATGAGCTGAAAGAAAATATTTGCCAATCTGACAGAAAAATTTTATGTGACATATACATATAAAGACTTTTTAGAAATCAATTAAAACATTCAAATAGCAAATATGTGAACAGACACGAACAAAGAAGATATGTGGATGGCAAATGAACATATAAAAGTAAGTCATTAAGAAAATGCAAATGAAATCCTCGAAGTGATACCCCAACACTTCTGTTATGATGAACAAAGAACAAAAATAACAACAACCAGAGAACACCAGGTGCTGGCAAGGAGGCAGAACAGCTGGGTTCCTCATGCATTGCTCATGGGGATGCAAAATGGTACACCCTCTTGATAACAGTTTTGCAGTTTCTAGAAGTTAAGTTATATTCACTCTATAGACCAGCAATCCTATCCCTATTATATTTACCCTAGGAATTTACCTAAGTGAATTATATTCACAAAATAACTGTTCATGAGTGTTTAGTAGCATCTTTATTCAAAATCACCATAAACTGTAAACAACATAAATGCCCTCAATTGGAGAATTGATAACCACAATGTGATACATCTATATAATGGAATAATACTCAGCATTAAATATTTTAAAAAATACTAATACAAGCAACTTGAATGATTATCAGAGAAAGATGATGAGTGAAAAAAGACAGTCTCAAAAAAAACCATCTACTGTAGGATTCCATTTATATAACATTTTAAAAGCAAAAACTATAGGAAGGAGAACACATCTGTGGCTGCCACGGGTTCTGCGTGTGCGGAGAGTTTAACAGTAAAGAGTTTCTCAAGACTCTTTACCCCCTTACAATGTGAGGGGGTGATGGAACTGTTGTGTATCCAGATTGTGTTGTAGTTACATAAATCTAAACATGTGTTATAATTCATAAAACTGTCCATGCACAAATGTTAATTGTACAGTATGTTAATTGTAGATAATCACACAGGTAAGACTCAAGTTGAGGATATCTCGGTATGTGAAAGAATGTGATGCTTCTTAAGGAAAGTCTACACAATATCTCACAGTCGAAGCTCCATGAGGGAAGGGACCATACCTTAAAGCCATGTACCACTAGTGATGACTGTCATCCCTGGAGCAAAGTTGGTGCTTACTACACATTTGTAGACTGAATGAATAAGTACTGAAGTCTGCTGTGGCCACTTTTATTCCTTCCCTGCCTATTCTGAAGCTTTTTAGGTAATATTATTTAACCTACCTCAAATATAGTGGCCAGAAACCAAATTGGAACAGATATAAATCACTTTAACCTCTCAGGAAACAAAGTTTGCTATACGTTTTCCCAATTCTAACAACAATATAAGTCCCTCTTAAAAGAAGGAATAGGTGAATAGATCAGTGTTTGGTAGATTGAGGCTAAGGAATCTATTAGACAATCCGAGCAGGGGTGTTGAAGTGGCAGCTGAATCTCTAGAAGAGAGATCTGATCTGTAGATTCAGATGTGTGGGTTTGGTGGCAGTAGAGATCTGCCAATAAATTACAAGATAAAATCTGAAGAGTAAAAATGACAAGTGGATTCAGGGCAAATGACTAGGAAACTTAAACTTTTAAAATGTTAGCAGAGAAAGTAGATTCTGTAGCAGAGTTTGAAATAGAATTGACCTCAGAGAGAAACAGAAAACCAAGAGACAATGATGTCACATAAACAAGAACGAAGTCGTATCAAGAACAGGGTAGTCACAGTGTCAATGACTGCAAAAATGTCTGTAGACAGAGAGAATGAGGACAAAAGAAGATGTGATGTTCCCGGGGCCTGTCGGGGGGTGGGAGGCTAGCGGAGGGATAACATTAGGAGAAATACCTAATGTAGATGACAGGTTGATGGGTACAGCAAACCACCGTGGCACATGTGTACCTATGTAACATAACTGCACGTTCTGCACATGTACCCCAGAACTTAAAGTATAATAAAAAAAAGAAGGCGTGATGTTCACTGATTATCGGAAAAAGTTCCAACTATTAATTTTCTATTGTGTGCCTATTTTATTCAGGAAAGGTAATGTTCTTCAAATTAGAAAGAATAGAACAGACAGTTTAAGAGGGCAATTCCCGACCCAGATCAACAAAAAGATAGCAGGAGATTATCTGACTATTTACCAAAAATGCAAGCTCTTGGATCCAGCCTAATGAAATTCCCAGTGTGAAAAGATCTTACAGGTATAATTTCAGTCACTGTCAGTAATTTTTGACGTGGCTTGTAAAACTGGAGAGAGATGCTCACAGAATGGGGAGAGACGAAGGTTGCTTAGAATTTCAAGAAAAAGAAACAATTGAGGATGTATACAATAACACTGTTTGTCTGGCCCTGAATCCTGACAAGGTGTTTGGTAGCAGGAGAAGTCAGAGATCACTCCAGGTTTTAGGACCAGGTCACTTATTGATGATGAGAATATTTTTTAAAATACAGAATCTAGACAACAATTTGGAAGGAAAGGTGAAGGGTGTCATTTTGGCATCTCAGGCCTGAGCTGAAGCTGGGCTATGCAAATGTAAATGCTGGAGGCAAGAACTGCCACTCAGCTGGAGTTTCATACGGCGGGGGTCCTGGGAGGGATGCTGTTTTATATAATGGCATTTTTTAAATTTTTCAAAAGTAGTAAAAGGAGAATATCACTGGGCCAGGAACCGAACTTTACACAGTGCTTAGCATGAGTAATGGGAGAGAAAATGATGCTCAGGAGAGGCGATGGAGAACCAGGAACATGAAGTGTCAGGCCAAAGGTCAGAGCAGGAAGGAGTCCCGTGAGCATACCATCCTCTCTTACCCACCTCTGACTTTGCTCAAGTTATCTCCTCTGCCTGGGATACCCTTCTCCCACACTGCATCCCAACCACCAGGTTAGCGTCCGTTCCTCCATGCATCTGCACCTCAGGTGTCATTATTTCCAGACAATCTTCCCTGGACCTCCTCCCTACTACTTCCTCACAAATTAATAATAATCGCCACGCCCATGTTATTCATCTATTGTGTTTGTACAAGTGCACACAAGACTATAAATTGGCTTTGAGATAAGGATGTATATCAGGTCTCTCTCCATGGCTTGGAAATGTCTGTCTTCTCACCGTGTGTCTTCACATCATCTTCCTTCTATGCATTCCTCTCTACCCAAATTTCCTTTTTTTATAAAGACATCCATCACAATGGATCTCACTTAACATGATTAACATGATTGACTGTGTAAAGCAGGGGCCCCCAACCTCCAGGCCATGGACCAGACCGGTTCGTGGCCTGTTGGAAACTAGGCCGCACAGCAGGAGGTGAGTGTTTGGCGAGTGAGCTTACCAGTGGCGTTAGATTGTCACAGGAGCACAAACTGTACTGTGAACTGCACATGTGAGGAATCTAGACTGTGCTGTCTTTATGAGACTCCAGCTAATGCCTGATGATCTGAAGTCAAACAGTTTCATCCTGAAACCATCCCCCCACCCATCGGTGGAAATACTGTCTGCATGAAACCAGGCCCTGGTGTCAAAAAGGTTGGGAACCGCTGCTGTATGCCTAAATAAAGACATATTTTGAGGTACCGGCAGTTAAAACTTCAACATAAGAATTTTAGTAGACACAATTCAACCCATAACACTGTCTAAACCAGGGCTGCCCAATCTTTTGGCTTCCCTGAACCACATTGAAAGAAGAATTGTCTTGGGCCACACACAAAATACACTAACACTAATGACAGCTGATGAGCTTTAAAAAAATAATCGAAGGAAAATCTCATAATGTTTTAAGAAAGTTTACGAGTTTGTGTTGGGCCACATGTGGCCCATGGGCTACGGGTTGGACAAGCTTTGTCTAAACCTATCTTTGTTGCCTATAAACATGGCAACAACAACACATGAGTGATGATGGTCTACACCCAGGCCTGAAATCCTCTGCATTTTATGTGAAATAAAGATAGAGAACACTGGCATAGCCTCATCCATACACAATGTGCAAACACAAAACTAAAGGAGTCTTGGCACTGCAGCCTCTTCTATAAATGCACGCATGCAATAGACTCATTCCTGACTTCATCCATTACTCAATTCACAGAGCTAGTCGTTTACCAGTAGTGGAGAACCAGAAGAAATTCAGGGTAAGTGAAGACCTCAACTACTGCCTAATAGATCAGCTCACAGGAAGCCACAGCCAGGCATAGAAAGAGTAGAGTCAGGCTGACCTTGTGCAAGTCACTTCATGTCTTTAGCCCCAGTTTCTCCTCAGTAAAACGGAGATAAGAATAACCATACTGCCACGCTGAGCTGTTCTGAGGATTGAATAAGATGTGAAACAAAACTTTGCATCATGGTGCCTGAAATATAGTAAGCAGTCAATAAATGTTAAAAGTATGTAATCCATGGCCAGGTACGAGGTAAGCTTTCATCCTACAAGGTTCACTAAATTTACAAATGATAACCAGATGGTCACCATTTACTTCATTTAGCATTCTCTGAAGACCAAAATGTTAGTCCACTTCCATTACCGATTTCTAATGTGTTAAGATAGTTTCCCGCTGATGATTCCAAGTGTCACAGAGGGCTTTCTTAGGCTGAGCACGGTGGCTCATGCCTGTAATCCCAGCACTTTGGGAGGCCAAGGCAGGCAGATCACCTGAAGGCGGGCAGATCACCTGAGGTCAGGAGTTTGAGACCAGCCGGACCAACATGGAGAAACCCCGTCTCTATTAAAAATACAAAATTAGCCGGGCATGGTGGCACATGCCTGTGATCTCAGCTACTTGGAGTCTGAGGCAGGAGAATCGCTTGAACCCGGGAGGCGGAGGTTGTGGTGAGGTGAGATCGCACCATTGCACTCCAGCCTGGGCAACAAGAGTGAAACTCCGTCACAAAAAAAAAAAAAAAAAAAAAAAAAGAAGGCTTACTTTGAGTTTGGTAATACAATAGAGCTTATTCTAAGCATATATAAATGGTACAGACAAAGGTAATTGCTGAACAAGGGCCTTGTGAAAATGCTCAGCAAACTTCCACTCCATTGCAGTAGCCTCGCTTCCTCCAACTCTTCTCCTGAGCCCGAGTTTTTTTGCTTCACGGTTTTCAGAGATTAAAAAACCCAACAACATACTTTGAATATGTACTACAAAAAAAAAATATTTTAAAAGGCAGGTACAGCCAGCCTAAGGTTTTGAATTGGTATCAATCATTTCTTCAGATTAATGGAGGTGTCAAAGTGTGAAATGTGTGTGTGTGAGGGGGGGCAACATCCATTGAAAGAATCCTTGATTTCATGGAGTATAAGAAATAAGAAATTCTTTTTTTAAGGTCAGAAAATCTGGTAAGATAAACTGTGGAGTGCTTTATTAAACTATGGAGTTATATTGATTAGAGGTAGTACACTATCAAAACATTTACTTTGAGCCTTCCAGTTCTAGAAATGTCTTTGCAAAAACAAACTTCCCTGTCGTCTGCTGCCACAACTCAGGAATACCCAGCAAATGGTGTATAAACTGAATAAAACTGAATTTGGTGAATCTCTTTACCAAAACTGAAACCTCAGCATCTTCAATCTCTTCCTCTCTCTAAAAAAAGGTAATGAAAGTCAGCCAATTCTGCCATTAAACTATCTTTGGAATCTTGCCAATCATTTTTGTTTTCATTGCTGCAACCAATGTTTCAGGCTCTTACAACTCACATTTGTCCTTGCAATCATTTGGTACTACAGATAAAATGAAATCTGAACTTTCTGGCATGGCATTCCAAGGCTCTCTACATTTGGAGATGCAAGCTGTCTATCACCACCCCCCTATGCCCCATCCAAACTGTGGACCACCCACAAGGGCCATACACTGCTCTTGCTTTGAAAACCTCAGACACATTAATAATACTCCATTACTTTTGCTCATACTGCTGTTCAACCTTTATCATCAGCCTTTTCACCCCCCGCCCCCACCTACATGTTACCCCTTGCCAATCAAAGCCTACTCATCCATCAGGGGCCCCATTTAAACGTTCCCACTAAGCCCTTCCTGACTCCTGGAAAAGAATTAATCAATTCCTCTGCTAAACTCTCATAGCCCTTTAATTGTATATTATTTTTCTCATGACACTAGGAGTTACTGTCCTTTAGGGGAAAAGGGGGAGTCAGATAGATTTCATTTAAAACCCCAACTCTAATACCTTTTAGGAGTCTGACCTTAGGCATGTCATCTTACCTTGCTATTCCTTAATGTTATCCTCCTAATAGAGACTGCTACATGCAGTGAAATATTATTTTCTTCGTTTTCATTCTGGACATACTGTGTGTGCTAGAGCAGTCTCTCTCTCTCTCTCTCTCTCTCTCTCTCTCTCAATCTCTCTCTTTCCCCCGTCTCCCTCCCTCCCTCCCCACAACCCGCTCCTAGCACAACAGAGTTACTTAATAAATATTTGTTGAATTAATGGCAAATTAGTATATTCTCAGTGGTTGCTTCTCATGTGTAATGATTAATCCAAATGTTCATATTCTGATTCCAGAATGAAGCTCAGCTAGAGAAATGAAAGAAATGTAATCACCCCTCACTTCCAGTCCAGCAGTCACCAACTTTATCATTGTTATCACTGCTATCATTTCTCTCTTCTTACTGCACTCCTCTTCCTACTGAACCTTTATTCCAAAGAGACAAAATAACCTAATTACACTTATAATTATTCTACCTTATAATTAATCAAAACCAGCTGGGAAAGCAAGTGGAACGTTTCCATTTTTCCAGTCAAATTTCTTTCCTAAAAGTGTCTGTGGGAAAACTTCAGAAGATAATCTACCACAATGAGGGGGCAGATCTCCGACTCCAGAGATTGGAGATGCCTGACTTAGGGGCTGACCGTATGAATCATGCAAGGACAAGACCTGTACTCAGGAGGTATGCAAGATAATCAGGAAGAGTAAATAGATACACTAGATGAAAAGCCCACAGACAATTCAATACCAATGTTTATCATCCAATATATTCGAGTGTTAAACAATTAGTAAGTGCTGCCAATAGCATCTCTACTTTGGCAAAATAATAGGCTATTTCTTAGTTAATGGAAATACCTCATGAAACAAAAAACAGAACACATACTGAGTTGTTGAAAAGCTCATACCCTTTGTCTAAATAATATATATCTTCAGGATTTATTCTGAAAAAATTACTTAAAAATAAAAAATCAATACACACATAAATATTTCCTGAAGTTTTTAGAATAATAACAAACATATGAAAACAACTGAAAATTCCAACAATAAGGAAATGATTATTTTTAAAGAGTAAGCTATATTACCTCTCTGTGTTTCATTTTACTTATCTTTAAAATGGAAACAATATTGACTAATTATGTTAGGGCATTAAATTAAGTAATCCAGGTAAAATATGTGCATCCTAAATTGGGTTCCAGGAGATTTCCTTATTAATAAATCCATTCTTCTCTTTTGAGCTCTTCTGAAGTGTTTCTGTTTTTGTTCCTTGCAATCAAGTGATTCCAGATTCAGATGGGTAGAAGGAATTCCAGACTCAGAGGAAGAGACAGAGAGAAATATTTTCCTCTCACTCTACCTTTAAGTATATAAAAAATGCAACAAATGTTTTAGTATAAATGACATACATTACCAGGTATTTTATAAAACCTATAAAAAATCTAATTCTAATACTGTATTTTTCCATATACATGCATGCTGACAATGGGTCACCCACTTTAAGCACCATATGTGGAAGATCTCATTAAATGTTTCTTATTTTTTCCACTTCACAGATTGGAAAATTGAGGCATAGAGAAGTTACATATAGCTAGTTAAGGAGACCACATCTGTATACAGAAGGGTTTAGACCTTTACTCCCCTGTGCAAAAATGTGTTTGGGGTAGAGGAGTAGAGAAGAAACACAAAAGTGAGTAAGCTGTGTGGGTAGAAGCTGGCTAAAGGACTTTCTTATTTTGAAGCTAAATTTGTCTGAAAATCTACTGTTTTTACTCAGTGATTTTTGTTTGTTTGTTTGTTTGTGTTTTAATTTTGGGTTGCCTGTGTGAGTGTACGCATGTATATTCCTTTACATTTTTGTTTTGTTTTGTTTTGTTTTTTGTTTTTTTTTTTCCTCTTTCTTTTTATTATTATTATTATTATTATACTTTAAGCTTTAGGGTACATGTGCACAATGTGCAGGTTAGTTACATATGTTTTTGTTGTTTTTTTTCCTCTTTTATTATTATTATTATTATTATACTTTAAGTTTTAGGGTACATGTGCACAATGTGCAGGTTAGTTACATATGTAAACGTCACTGGCCATCCTTTACATTTTTAATAAAATTTTCTCTGGATTAGAAAACCTGCCTTGAGGTTCCATTCACATATCAAGCAATTAGTTTTCATTAATTCTTAAGTATGGGTTGGATTGTGGACCATAGGGCTATTGAGACATCATATGTGGGGGGACTGAAGTCCCTAGAAATTGTTCTCTTCTCCCTGGCTTCCCCACTGGTTAAAATCTAGTCTGAAGTTACACAGATCTGCCAGACTCCAAAATAAAAATGCCTGACCACAAAGTTGAACTCCCAGTAGCCTTTACAGGAACAATAATAATTGTCTTAAAATTTTATATTACTCTGCCTGCCAGCTATGGAGAGTAAAGACAGCCCAAAAGAGGGAGATTCACCCCGCACAGCACACCCACCCTGCCAAGGGACAACCAGACTGCTTATTTAAGTGGGTCCCTGATCCCATTCCTCCTGACTGGGTGAGACCTCCCAACAGGGGCCTCTAGATACCTCATACAGGAGAGTTCTTGTCAGCATCAGGTCAGTGCACCTCTGGGACAGAGCTCATAGAGGAAGGAGTATGCAGCCACCTTTGCTGTTTTGCAGCCTTCAGTGGTGATACCTCAAGTTGTGGGAGGGACCCAGATGAATAGAATCTGAAGTGGACCCACCAGCAAACCTCAGCAGCCCTGGGGAAGAGGGGTGGGATTGCTACGTGAAGAACAAACAGAAAGCAACAACAGCAACATCAATGAAAAAACCCCCATAAAATCCCCATCCAAAGGTCAGCAGCCTCAAAGATTGAAGGTAGATAAATCCTAAAAGATGAGAAAGAATCAACGCAAAAATGCCAAAAACTCAAAAAGCCAGAGTGCCTCTTCTCCTCCAAATGATCACAACACTGCTTCTGCAAGGGCCGAGAACTGGGCTGAGGCTGAGATGGATGAATTGAGAGAAGGAGACTTCAGAATGTGGGTAATAACAAACTTCACTGAGCTAAAGGGATATGTTCTAACCCAATGCAAAGAAGCTAAGAACCATGATAAAACATTATAGGAGCTGTTAACCAGAATAAACAGTTTAGAGAGGAACATAAGTGACCTGATGGAGCTGAAAAACACAAGAGAACTTCACAATGCAAACACAAGTATCAATGGCTGAAGTGACCAAGCGGAAGGAAAAATATCAGAGCTTGATGACTATCTTGCTGAAACAAGGCAGTCAGACAAAATTAGAGGAAAAAAAAAACAGAATAAAAAGGAATGAAAAAAACCTCTGAGAACTATGTGATTATGTAAAAATACCAAACCTACTACTAATTGGGGTACCTGAAAGAGACAGGGAGAATGGAACCAAGTTGGAAAACACACTTCAGGATATCATCCAGAAGAACATCCCCAGCCTGGCAAGACAGGCTAACATTCAAATTCAGGAAATCCAGAGAACCCCAGTAAGATACTCCCTGAGAAGATAAACCCCAAGACACATAATCATCACATTCTCCAAGGTCGAAATGAAAGAAACAATGTTAAGGGCAGCCAGAGAGAAAGGCCAGGTCACCTGCAAAGGGAAGCTCATCAGACTAACAGTGGACCTCTCAGTGTAAACCTTACAAGCCACAAGAGATTGGGGGCCAATATTCAGCATTCTTAATGAAAAGAATTTCCAACACAGAATTTCATATCTGGACAAACTAAGTTTTATAGGAGAAGGTGAAATAAAATCCTTTGCAGACAAGCAAATGCTGAGGGAATTCATCACCACCTGGCCTGCCTTGCAAGAGCTCCTGAAGGAAGCACTAAATATAGAAAGAAAAAAACTGCTACCGGCCATTACAAAAACATACTGAAGTACACGGGCCAAGGACACTATAAAGTAACTACATAAACGAGTCTGCAAAATAACCAGCCAGTATCATGATGACAGAATCAAATTCACACATAACAACATTAACCTTAAATGTAAATATGATAAATGGCCCAATTAAAAGACATAGAATAACAAGCTGGATAAAGAGTCAAGACCTATTGGTGTGCTGTATTCAAGAGACCCATCTTATGTGCCAAGACACAAATAGACTCAAAATAAAGGAATGAAGGAAAATTTACCAAGCAAATGAAAAATAGAAAAAAGCAGGGGTCATAATCCTAGTTTCTGATAAAACAGACTTTAAACCAACCAAGATCAAAAAAGACGAAGAAGGGCATTACATAATGGTAAAGGGTTCGATTCAACAAGAAGAGCTAACTATCCTAAATATATATGCACCCAATACAGGAGTACCCAGATTCATAAAGCAAGTTCACAGGAAACTACAAAGGGACTTAAACTGCCACACAATAATAGTGGGAGACTTTAACACCCCGCTGTCAATATTAGACAGATTATCAATATTAGATGACAGAAAATGAACATAGATGTTTAGGAATTGAACTCAGCTCTGAATCAAGTGGACCTGATAGATATCTATAGAACTCTTCCCCCTGAAATAACAGAATATACATTCTCCTCAGTGCCACATGGCACTTACTCTAACATTGATCACATAATTGAAAGTAAAACACGCCTCAGCAAATGCAAAAGAACTGAAATCATAACAGTCTCTCAGACCACAGTTCAATCAAATTAGAACGTAAAATTAATAAACTCACTCAAAGCCACACAACTATATGGAAATTGAACAGCCTGATTTTGAATGGCTCCTGGGTAAATAATGAAATTAAGGCAGAAATCAAGAAGTTCTTTGAAACTAACGAGAACAAAGAGACAATGTGCAAGGATCTCTGGGATGCAGCTAAAGCAGTGTTAAGAGGAAAATTTATAGCACAAAATGCCCACATCAAAAAGCTATAAAAATCTTAAATCATCGTCCTAACATTACATCTAAAAGAACTACAGAACCAAAAGCAAACAAACCCTAAAGCTAGCAGAAGACAAAAAATATCCAAGCTCAGAGCAGAACTTAAGGTGATAGAGAAACAAAAAAATTCTTTAAAAAAATCAATGAATCAGGAGCTGGTTTTCTGGAAAAAAAAAAAAAAAAAAAAAAAAAAAAAAAAAAAAAAAACACTAGCTAGACTAATAAAGAAGAAAAGAGAGGTAAATCAAATAGACACAATATATAATGATAAAGGGAATATCACCACTGACCCCCCCAAAAAATAAAACCACCAGAGAATACTATAAACACCTCCATGCAAATAAACTAGAAAATCCAGAAGAAATTGATAAATTTCTGGACACATAAACCCTCCCAAAACTGAACCAGGAGGAAGTTAAACCCCTGAATAGACTAGTAACAAGTTCTGAAATTGAGGTAGTAATAAATAGCCTGTCAACCAAAAAAAAAAAAACAAAAAAGCCCAGGACCAGATGGATTTACAGCTGAATTCTACCAGAGGTACAAAGATGAGCTGGTTCCATTTCTTCTGAAAATATTCAAAAAAAATTGAAAAGGAAGGACTTCTCTCTAACTCATTTTATGAGGCCAGCATTATCCTGACATTAGAACCTTGTGGAGATAGAATAGTAAAAGAAAACTTCAGGCCAATATTTCTTGTGAACATCAATGCAAAAATTCTCAATAAAATACTGGCAAACTGAATCCAGCAGCCCATCAAAAAGCTAATCCACCATGATTAAGTCAGCTTCATCCTTGGAATGTAAGGCTGGTTTCACATATACAAATCAATAAGCATAATTCATCACATAAACAGAACTAAATACAAAAAACACATGATTATCTCAATAGATGCAGAAAAGGCCTTTAATCAAATTCAATATCACTTCATGTTAAAAACTCTTGATAAATTAGGTATTGAAGAGGAACCTCAAAATTATGAGCCATTTATGACAAACCCACAGCAAATATCATACTAAATGGGCAATAGCTGGAAACATTCCCCATGATAACTGGCATGAAACAAGGGTGCCCTCTCTTACCACTCCTATTAAACCTAGTATTGGAAGTTCTGTCCAGGGCTATCAGGCAAGAGAAAGAAATAAATGGTATTCATATAGGAACAGAGGAAGTGAAATTGTCCATTTTTGCAGATGACATATCCTATGTCTAGAAAACCCCATCAACTCAGCCCAAAAGCTTCTTAAGCT
The DNA here is from genome assembly GCF_000001405.40 of Homo sapiens. Taxonomy (NCBI): domain Eukaryota; kingdom Metazoa; phylum Chordata; class Mammalia; order Primates; family Hominidae; genus Homo; species Homo sapiens. The sequence goes on from NC_000023.11 coordinate 143,565,207, forward strand.
GATAAGCTACTGCAGGACAGTATCAGGATACAAAATCAATGTGCAAAAATCACAAGCATTTCTATACACAACAACAGACAATCAGAGAGCAAATAATGAATGAACTCATTCACAATTGCTGCAAAGAGAATAGAATACCTAGGAATACAGCTAACAAGGAAAGTGAAGGACCTCTTCCAGGAGAACTGCAAACCACTACTAAAGGAAATCAGAGAGGACACAAACAAGTGGAAAAACATTCCATGCTCATGGATAGAAAGAATCAATATCATGAAAATGGCCATACTGCCTGAAGTAATTTATAGAGTCAATGTTATTGCCATTAAACTACCATTGACATTTTTCATAGCATGAGAAGAAACTATTTTAAAATTCATGTGAAACCAAAAAATAACTTGTATACCCAAGACAATCCTAAACAAAAGGAACAAAGCTGGAGGCAGGCATCTCACTACCCGACTTGATACAATACTACAAGGCTACAATAATCAAAACAGCATGGTACTGGTATAAAAACAGACACATAGATTAATGGAACAGAATAGAAAAACTCAGAAATAAAATTGTGCACTTACAACCATCTCATCTTTGGCAAGCCTGACAAAAAACAAGCAATGGGAAAATAATTTCCTATTTGATAAATGGTGCTGGGAGAATTGGATAGCCATATGCAGAAAATTGAAACCGGACTCCTTCCTTACACCTTATACAAAAATAAACTCAAGGTTGGTTAAAGACTTCAATATAAAACTCAACACTATGAAAACCGTAAAAGAAAATCTAGGCGATACCATTCAGGGCATAGACACAGGCAAAGATTTCATGACAAAATTGCCAAAAGCAATTGCAACAAAAGCAAAAATTAACAAATACGATCTAATTAAATGAAGAGTTCTGCACAGTAAAATAAACTATCATCAGAGCCAACAGGCAACCTAGAGAGTGGGAGAAAACTTTCACAATTTATGCATCTAACAAAGTCTAATATTCAGAATCTACAAGGAACTTAAACAAATTTACAGGAAAAACCCCATCGTATTAGTCCATTCTCGTGTTGCTAATAAAGACATATCTGAAATATCTGAAATTGGATGATTTATAAAGAAAAGAGGTTTAACTGACTCACACTTTTGCATGGCTGAGAGGCCACAGGAAACATACAATCAGGGCAGAACGGGGGAAGTAAACACATCCTTCTTCACATGGCAGCACGAGAGAGAAGAATGAGAGCTGAGCGATGGGTAAAGCCACTTGTAATATCATTAGATTTCATGAGAACTGATTCACTATCACAAGAATAGCATAGGGGAAACCATCCCCATGATTCAATTACCTCCCACTGGATTCCTTCCATGTCACATGGGGATTATGGGAACTACAACTGAAGATGAGATTTGGGTGGGGACACAGCCATACCATATCATCCATTGAAAAGTGGGCAAAAGACATGACCAGACACTTCTCAAAAGTCAGGAAACAACAGATGCTGGCAAGGTGGTAGAGAAATAGAAACACTTTTCCACTGTTGTTGGGAACGTAAATTAGTTCAACCATTGTGGAAGACAGTGTGGCAATTCCTCAAACACCTAGAACAAGAAATGCCATTTGACCCAGCAATCCCATTACTAGGTATATACCCAAAAGGATATAAATCATTCTATTATAATGATATATGCACATGTATGTTTATTGCAGCACTATTCACAATAGCAAAGACATGGAATCAATCCAAATGCCCATCAATGATACACAAGATAAAGAAAATGTGGTACATATACACCATGGAATACTATGCATCCATAAAAAGGAATTAGATCATGTGCTTTGCAGGGACGTGGATGGAGCTGGAAGCCATTATCCTCAGCAAACTAATGCAAACCAAACACCTCATGTTCTCACTTATAAGCGGGAGCTGAACAATGAGAATACATGGACACAGCAGTGAGGGGAACAATACACACTGGGGCCTGTTGGGGGTGGGGGTGTGGAGGGAGAGAAGGCATTAGGAAAAATAACTGATGCATGCTAGGCTTAATATCTAGGTGATAGGCTGATAGTTGCAGCAAACCACCATGGCACACATTTGCCTATGTAACAAACCTGCATATCCTGCACATGTACCCTGGAACTTAAAAATAAAATAAATTTTATATTACTAAACTACAGTGTACTTTATAACAGTCTTCTCATCTTTGATATTATTTAAGTGTGACCACACTTGCCAAGAAACAACACTATTATTTTAATGAGTCCTATTTAAAGATACCATTGTAACACCGATATCCCAGACTTCACCAGCCTGAAAGATTACATTTACTATTCATGACCAAAGCATGGAAGCTCAAACCTCTATCAGCCTGACTGCTGGCAATTAAGCTACAATTTCCAAAATGTTCTCTTTGTATATCTTGGGGCGCTTTTCTAGTGCTCCCCACAAAACTTTTAGTTGTAGGCTTCAAGCAAGGTCCACTACATTCTTCCCAGTTTTATCTTCCCCAGGTTGCCACCCTCGAAGCCAGAGGCAAGAGGTTTCACTGTCATCAATGGCCCATCTTACAAGGCCCTAGGTCCAAACCAAAAACCAAGAACCAAGGGTATTACATCTAGATGCTTTATCATCTTCAGAGTGCTAGGGCATTGCTGGGTTAAAGATTCCAATTCAGAGTCCCAGCTTGGCTGTGAAGCAGCCCAGCTCACAGCCAGAGTCTCATTGCACCCAAAGAAATGCGAAGGCTTTGGGCTAGAATCTCAACCTCTACCCAGGATCTCACGGATTGTCTCATAAGCGTACGGTTCTGTAGATTTCTGGTGCTCAGGCCTCTAAACAGAGAAGTTCAAACCTGGTTCATACTGCCGGATGGCAGAGAGTTCTCAGAGTGGGTTACCTGAAAACAGACTCTGGGGTCGAGAGTTGCTTGCAGGAGGTTGATTAGGGAAAGCTCTTGAGAGTGGCAGTGTGGAACTGCACCTGAGCCATGAGTTTCAGATGGCGATGGAAGATAGAAAGTCTACCACAACCACCACAACCACAGCCACCATCACCCACCACCTCTACCACTGACACGATCACCACCCTTTTCTGTTCTGGAAATGGCTAACCACTTAGGACCACCCCACCCTCACATGTTTACGTATTGGAAGACAAGACCCACCTCTATCTTTCACTTGCCCCTACAGGACTCCTCAATGATGTAGATGATTCCCTTGTCTCCTACCTCCATAAAACACCAGTCCTCCTTCTTTGGCTTTGAGAACTTTTTTATTAATACACAGTCCCTTGTTAACTTGAACTAAGATTTGCCTAAAAGCTGCCTCCATCGTATTTTAAGTTTGATCTAAAAGTTTTACAATGTATAGTGAAATGTAACCTAACTTGATGTGTAAACAGATTGTAGCCTAATCTGCACCCTCTTGCAACAAGTAGCCAAGTCTCAGTCAATCATAGCAGCTGAATGGCCAGCCAATGAGGCTGAGAGCTGCCAGAATATGACCATATAAGGCAACTGCAGAGGGCAGCCAATCAGGTTATTTTTGTATGTCACTTCATTTACTCTGAGTATAAATATGACCTGCACGTGTGGTAGGGTGGAGGATTTTGAACCATTTTCAGTAGAGTCTGATTATGCACTCACAATTAAAGCCAATTAAGGTCTGCAAAACTATGCTTTTTTTTGTAATTTTGTCTTTTAACATTTACTATTTTAATAGCCTGAACAAAGGCATCTTCTTAATTGCCGAGTGCATTATGTCACTGACAAAAGACAGGCCTGTAAAGGGTGAGAAAGGCAGGGTTAGCAGTGAGAGATTCTGACCTGCAATCAGGTTGCAAATAGTGCCTCATCTGATTCACTGGGAGATCTAGGGCTGAGATGGCCCTTTAAAGTTGTTCCAAATTGAAGCAAAAATACCCATCCTTTGTATCAGGCTGACCGGCCTTTGTATCTCAGATGTAGTCCGTCATCCAGTCCCTAAAAAGGAAGTATCCCAGGGCAAAACATGTCTGGGAGGCCTATGGCAATTTCCAGCTGAGAAAAGCATCTGGGAGCTGCCAGCAGCCAAAATTCCCAGGAGCTGGGGTGGCACCGGCACAGGGGATCTGAGCCTAGGTATCCTCTCCATGAATAGATGGATGAACACTCACGAATGTCAATGAGTAAAAAGGAAGCAAGCAAATCTGAGAAGGGGGCAAGGGAGAGAAGATAGGAATAATTGGTGAAAGGGGATGGCGCATCCCCCACAAAATTTTAGAGCTTTCAAGGAGTGTGTCTTCAGCTGTGGTTCACAAAGTTTCCTGGGCATCCCTCTTAATGCATTCAACTTGATTACAAGCCACTCTCTATACTTCTGTTTCTAAAGAAATTAGCATTTTACTCGCGAATATATAATGAAAATAACGTTAAAAAGCCAACTGCCACCATTTGTTGTTGCTACCTAATAAAAGTCAGCTCCAGCCTCCCCATTTTTTCCAGTGAGAGGTTTTTTTCTTCCTGAATTTCATATGCCAACTCGGGCCCAAGACAAATAACATTGCAAGTCATTTTTGTTTTAATAAGTTGGACTGTGCATCTTCTTTCCTACTAAGAAGCATTTACTGAGCTTCTACTTCATGCCAGGTGTTGTTATACTGTACCCTATGGGGGAGATTAAACATTTTTCCATATCGATCTACCCTTGATACCATCATAAGGCACAGGTGACTTTGCCATGACAACGTCAGAAAAAACGAAAGGCAAAATGCACACCACTGTTAACTGAGGAACTAATGCTAATGAGAATGTGAATACAACATTGTGTAACTTGCTCTTTTTAGATTCTAGAAATGTGAAATCTAGAAGTATTGCTGTCCTAGGTTGGTAGCTAGAGAGAGACACATGGTAGTGGGGAGGGTGTTTTGCACTTTGTTCCATAGCAGGAGAAACTAAGCCATTGTAAATTCTGATGAGAAAGAAATAGAAAATTAGTAAACAAGTTGAAGATACAGAAGGTGGGATCACTTGTGAATTAAATTATTTGAAGAGGGATAAGAACTGGGATCTGCCTCAGAGTGAAGACCTCTTTGACTATGATTGAGGAAGTAAGGGCATGGAACAGGAGGCCAGACAATTGTGAACAGCTGGATTGATCCAGGGTTATAATTTTGCCGTATGATACGCAGGACAGTGAAGGATCCAAGGAGGTGAAGGGTTTAGACAGTAACTAATTGAGAAGATAAATCTAGTACCTAGATTAAAATAGAAGATGGGGTGAAATCTGAAGAAAACTGATGGTTTGGGAGAAAATGAAAAAGTCTAAAGTTGGGAGGTATCAAATGGGTTATAAAAAGCAGGTGTTGAAGGAGAGAGAGAACAATAGTAGCAAGAGCTAGTACTCACTATAATCCAGCCACTGTTCTATGCAAACATCTAAAAATAACCCTAAGAGTATATATTGTTATTTTTTATATTTTATATGGGATGAAACTAAGATACTCAATGGTCAAATTGTGTGTGCAAGGTCAAAGAGCTGAGCAGTGGCACAGCTGTGATCAGTCTGATTTCAGTCTCTGCTTCTCTCTACTTTCTGACACAGGCCATAGAGGAGGGTTTGAAGTTATTATTTCAAGTTGGCAATTGCGGACGATTATGAGGTTTAGGGTGTGGCATGATAGTGGGTGGATAAAGTGGAATGAAGTCTGTACCCAGTTCACCACAGCTCTTCTGCCCTCTCCTTCTGCAGCTTCCCAGTGACTTTCTGCTTGTCATTGTGATTGCATCCTTGTAGACCTTTGCCACTAGAAGGCTGTGACTGGGTACCCAATGGAGACAGTGACTGGAGTAAACTGGGAAGGAACTGCATGAGGAAGTTCAAATAGAAAGATCCATCCACATTAAGGAAGCAGGAGTGCATATAAATGGGTAAAACACAGCTGTTTCCTGACTCTGTGCCTCATTTTTGCAAAATCTTTACTATGAGTTTTTTTTTTTTTTTTTTTTTCCCTGACTGTTCTCTGTGATTCCAACTAAACGTTTGGCAGTGTTTCAAACATTGTCAGTTTGGGGCACCATAACTAAAGTAGCACTGTCTTTCAATCACATCATTAGAGGGAATCTGAAAAGTTTTAGTCATCCCAGCAAATGTGTAGAACCCTGGGTTCAAAGCCCCAGCCTTGAAATGCAGCTATTTGAGTTAGAAGGTTACTTTTTTATGTGTTTTCTCCTTGCCCTGGTGCTAAGAAAACTAAAATACACAGTTTCTCCTAATCTGTGGAAGCTGTTAAATAAATGTCTCAAAGCTTTCTAGCATTTCACTATGCTAGCATGGAGGTGTGAAAAGAAGTTGTGTTTGTAATCCAGTTATGGCACCTGCTAACTGCAACACTGCCCATGTTACTTAAGCCTCCTGAGCCTCAGTTTTCTCATCTGTAAGATGTAGAAATAGTGTGAATGGCATCATTCCTGAGGAATGCTTAAGGAAGTCTGACTCATAGTAAGACCTCATATATGGTAGTGGTAGTAGTCGTTGTTGTTGTTGCTATACTTACGGTTTGCACTTCCTTTCTGCCAACTCATTCATTCTCCCCGCTGTGCCTGCCCCTTCACTGAAAAAGTTTCCTCCAAAGTCATCAACATCATCCTTGATGCTAAAGCTAATGGATACTTCACAGTTCATATTCAACTGGGCCTCTTGACGCCACGGCCCATTTTTTCCTTCTAAAGCACATTCTCTTGGCTCTGTACTAACATCTAATAAGTCCTAAGTATGTGTCCGGTGCTATTCTAAGTACATTACGTTAAGTATCGTATGTACCTGTGTAATCAATACTGTTCTTAGCCCCATTTTACAGCTAGGAGAAAGAGGCTCAGATAATTTAATTATTTTTACCATAGGTCACAGAGCTAGTGAGTGATAAGCTGAGTCAAGGTTACGCTTCAAGTTACTGTCCTGGACCTTCCTTCTTCTGGTCCACAAGATTACACTTAGCCTATGTAGTCACAGTTCATTCTTTTTTTTTTTTTTTTGACAAAGTCTTGCTCTGTAGCCCAGACGGGAGTGCAGTGGTGTGATCTCAGCTCACTGCAACTTCCACCTCCTGGATTCAAGTGATTCTCCTGCCTCAGCCTCCAGAGTAGCTGGGATTACAGGCACATGTCACTGCACCCAGCTCATTTTTTGTATTTTTAGTAGAGATGGGGTTTCACCATGTCGGCCAGGCAGGTGTTGACCTCCCAGCCTCATGTAATATGCCCACCTCGGCCTCCCAAAGTGTTGGGATTACAGGCGTGAGCCACCACACCAGGCCATAGTTCATTCTTCAGTGCTTATAGCGTGCCAAGTACTATGTGAAGCACTATATGTGTGTGTGTTATATGTGTATATGGACAGATGGATAGATTCCTTAAGAGAGAAGACAGATCCTTAATTGCAGTAATAGCTTTATTAGATAGATATTATGATTCTATCATCACTTATATTTACACAAAGAAAAGGAGGCTCAGAGAGATTAAGTAAATTTTTCAAGGTTACCTCGTTCGTAAATGACAGAACCATGACTTGAGCCCAAGCCTTTTTAATTTAAAAGTATTTGCTCTTGATTATTACATTTTACTACAGTGCAGTTCCTAGATAGTGCCCTCTCCAACTTCACGTAAGATTCAAATAAACTAGAACCAAATGGAACTCAGCTATAAAATTTACTGAAATATTTACATTTGTATTCAGGTGTATCTTTGCAAGAGTGGAAATGGGCAAACAGACCTGATAGCCTCAAATGCTGACTCGGAAATAATCAGGCCATCCCAAAACCCCTTCAAAATTATCAGGCTGTTAGAAGCCAAGTGGAAATGCTAAGGCCTCAATTTGTAAGAGGCAGGACCAGGCAGAAAACTGGGGTTTTAGCTTGTGCTACAAATAAACTCTGGCCTCAGTCTTCTGCAAATCAGGATGCCCAATCATTCACCCTCTTCAGAAAAGATGAAGAGTGGCCCCTCCACACCCCCAATGTGGCCTCGGTTGTACCAACAAACCACCTGTATCTACTAAGGCAGAAAATAGAACCATTCGAGGTAACTTGATTGTCACTACCATAAGAAGTCATGAGTACCATTTGATGACTTAGCATTTCTCTATGTGTGATTCTTCTAAAGACTAAATAATTCACGCTAAATTATAATTACTAGAAGGATATTTTAAGCCTAAAGTTAGAATTAATACAATTAATGTGTAAAACCACCTTGAAGTGTGAAAAGCAAATATTTTGATTATCCAAGTAATTTATAAAGCTCTTAGATAGCTTACTTAACAGTCCTTAAATTAATAGTGATTTCTGAATGAAAGTGAAATATTATGGATAATTTTTACACTAAAATGAAATATTATAAAATATAATTAAGAGGCTTATCAGCAGTCTCACATTTTGGGGATGGAATGCAAAGCTACAAATTGAGAAGCTTATTAAACTGGATGAGTGATTACTGTATCTGTTTCTGAATTATGAAATATTTATACTCCTGATGTCACAGACCATACAATATTTATGCTATGTGTGAAGTAAAATCTGTATTCAATATTTGGGCAATGTGACGGGGAAAGAACCTATTCCCTAAATTGATTCTAAAATTATCTTTAATTTAAAGCATTATCTCAGAATTACACATAAAGCTCTAAATTCAAAAGAAAGAAATATTTTTTTACTTGAATTGCCAAAGAATGTGATTCACGTCTCTAGTCACTTTGCCAATAGAGATAGCTAGTTTTATTAAACTTCTCTCCACCTGAATGATGATTTTGCTATAGACGCTTGCTCTCCCCTACCCCTACATGACTATTTTTAGAAAGAAATCCTTTTGTTTTTAAACATCGAAATACAAATGAATATTTTATCATCAATGTCAGATTTAGAGGTCTTCCATCAGAGACCAAATTAAAAAGTAGTGAAAATGCTTCTGTCTATAACCACCTTTAATTTGTTCTCTTTTAATTAATTAATTTATTTATTTATTTATTTTAGTGTCTTTTTTTATTATAGTTTAAGTTTTAGGGTACATTTGCACAACATGCAGGTTTGTTACATATGTATACATGTGCCATGTTGGTGTGCTGCACACATCAACTCATGATTTAACATTAGGTATATCTCCTAATACTATCCCTCCCCCTTCTCCCCACCCCACAACAGGCCCTGGTGTGTGATTTTCCCCTTCCTGTGTCCATGTGTTCTCATTGTTCAATTCCCACCTATGAGTGAGAACATGCAGTGTTTGGTTTTTTGTCCTTGCGATAGTTTGCTGAGAATGATGGTTTCCAGCTTCATCCATGTCCCTACAAAGGACATGAACTCATCTTTTTTTATGGCTGCATAGTATTCCATGGTGTATATGTGCCACATTTTCTTAATCCAGTCTATCATTGTTGGACATTTGGGTTGCTTCCAAGTCTTTGCTATTGTGAATAGTGCCACAATAAACATACGTGTGCATGTGTCTTTATAGCAGCATGTTTTATATTCCTTTGGGTATATACCCAGTAATGGGATGGCTGGGTCAAATGGTATTTCTAGTTCTAGATCCCTGAGGAATCACCACACTGACTTCCACGATGGTTGAACTAGTTTACAGTCCCACCAACAGTGTAAAAGTGTTCCTATTTCTCCACATCCTCTCCAGCACCTGTTGTTTCCTGACTTTTTAATGATCGCCATTCTAACTGGTGTGAGATGGTATCTCATTGTGGTTTTGATTTGCATTTCTCTGATGGCCAGTGATGATGAGCATTTTTTCATGTGTTTTTTGGCTGCATAAATGTCTTCTTTGGAGAAGTGTCTGTTCATATCCTTTGCCCACTTTTTGATGGGGTTGTTTGTTTTTTTCTTGTAAATTTGTTTGAGTTCTTTGTAGATTCTGGATATTAGCCCTTTGTCAGATGAGTAGGTTGCAAAAATTTTCTCCCATTCTGTAGGTTGCATGTTCACTCTGATGGTAGTTTCTTTTGCTGTGCAGAAGCTCTTTAGTTTAATTAGATCCCATTTGTCAATTTTGGCTTCTGTTGCCAATGCTTTTGGTGTTTTAGACATGAAGTCCTTGCCCATGCCTATGTCCTGAATGGTATTGCCTAGGTTTTCTTCTAGGGTTTTTATGGTTTTAGGTCGAACATTTAAGTCTTTAATCCATCTTGAATTAATTTTTGTGTAAGGTGTAAGGAAGGGATCCAGTTTCAGCTTTCTACATATGGCTAGCCAGTTTTCCCAGCACCATTTATTAAATAAGGAATTGTTTCCCCATTTCTTGTTTTTTTCAGGTTTGTCAAAGATCAGATAGTTGTACATATGTGGCATTATTTCTGAGGGCTCTGTTCTGTTCCATTGGTCTATATCTCTGTTTTGGTACCAGTACCATGCTGTTTTGGTTACTGTAGCCTTGTAGTATAGTTTGAAGTCAGGTAGCGTGATGCCTCCAGCTTTGTTCTTTTGGCTTAGGATTGACTGGGCAATGCAGGCTCTTTTTTGGCTCCATATGAATTTGTTCTCTTTTAAATATACAGGTGAAAAATCATATAAAGTCTTAAGGCAGCGAGGTCTCAAACTGTATCAAGTATATAAGAATCATCTGCAGATTCTCCAGCCGACCCTTCTAGATGCTGAATCAGTGATTAGGTATAAATTGGAACGAGGGAATCTGCATTCTTACAACACCTTAAAATATTTCTGATGTAAGTCATCCCCAAATTTCACTTTGATATAATTCCTCTGACATGCAGGCATTATATTTTAGTATAACCTATAGGTCATGTTGTATAAGAGGAGTTTGAGTACTAGAGCAGACAGACTGAGTTTGACCATAGATTCTGCCATTTGCCAGCTGTGTGGCTTTGGGCAAATGACTTCACCAATATGATCCTAGTGCCTCATCTATTAACAGAGGATATAAATTATTGCCATGTACCTCCCAGAGTTCTTAGGAGGATAAAATAAGAGAGGCGGCCAGGTGCCATGGCTCACGCCTGTAATCCCAACACTTTGGGAGGCCAAGGTGGGCAGATCACTTGAGGTCAGGAGTTCAAGACTAGCCTGGGAAACATGGTGAAACCCCATCTCTACTAAAAATACAAAACTTAGCTGGGCATGGTGGTGCACGCCTGTAATCCCAGCTATTCAGGAGACTGAGGCAGAAGAATCGCTTGAGTCCTGGAGGTGGAGGTTGCAGTGAGCCAAGATCCCACCACTGAACTCCAGTCTGGGTGACAGAGCAAGACTCTGTCTCAAAACACACACACACACACACACACACACACACACATACACACACACACAAAACATGGTAGTGGCCATGCGTGGCAGAGTTGATATGTGTTAACATCTTTTCACTTTCCCCTTGAGCACACAGCTAGGCTGCCTTTCCTAGCCTCCCCACTGCAATTAGAAAGGCCACATAGTTGTGTTCTGGCCAGTGAAATGGGATGTGTTTTAGTTCCTGCCAGACTTTCCTTGCTACTGACTCTCTTCCCTGTTTGCCATCTCAATGTCAATTCCCAGAGCAGTCTTGGGAGCCATGTGTGGAACGTGGTCAGACTTGCACCCAAATGATGCTTGGAGCTGAGCCCCCTCTCTGCCTACCTGCATCGGACGGAAGCATGAGCAAAATGCTAATCTTTATTGGGTTAACACACTGAGATTTGGGATTTATTTGTGACTGTAGTTAGTCTACTACTCCGTGAGCCATAAAGTCCTATACAGACATAAGAGATCAACACCTGGGGCAGTGCAAAAGCAGAACTGATAGGTCAGGCTGGCTTTTTAAGAATAGGCTTTGGATCTGAGAGAGGTCTTCTGCTCATACATACCTCTTCCCTCTATGTTCACTTGTACCACTGGGCCATTTGTTGGCAGTGCATCATAGAGCCAACATAGGAGTTAGAATGGGAGACCAAAGACTTTGTTAGCAATGAAAAGTAGGAACTAGATATGAGGGCATTGATGCATAGATGGAGGGTGGCAGACTAGGATAGCACAGAGGCCTGAGGTTGCTAAAGAGCTGGATTCAGAAGACAGGCAAGCAGGCGGAATTCAAGGAACACATGGATAATGTCAAGAAAAGAAATGAGGCACTTTGTCCCAAGGCAACAAACGTGCAAAAGCAAGTGGTCAGTATGAGCCAGGAGACTGGAAAAGATGGGTTCTGTATTAGTCAGGGTTCTTTAGAGGGACAGGACTAATAAGATAGATGGCTATATGAAAGGGAGTTTATTAAGGAATATTGACTCACGCGATCGTAAGGTGAAGTCCCACAATAGGTAGTCTGCAAGCTGAGGAGCAAGGAAGCCAGTCTGAGTTCCAAACCTCAAAAGTAGGGAAGCCGACAGTGCAGCATTCAGTCTGTGGCCAAAGGCCCGAGAGCCCCTGGCAAACCACTGGTATAGGTCCAAGAGTCCAAAAGTTGAAGAACTTGGAAGTCCAATGTTCGAGGGCAGGAAGCATCCAGCACAGGAGAAAGATGGAGGCCAGAAGACGTAGCTAGTCTAGTCTTTCCACGTATTGTTGCTTTTATCCTAGCCATGTTGGCAACTGATTAGAAGGTGCCCACCCAGATTGAGGGTGGGTCCACCTCTAGCAGTTCACTGACTCAAATGTTAATCTCCTTTGGCACCACCCTCACAGACACACCCAGGAACAATACTTTGCATCCTTTAATACAATCAAGTTGACACTTAATAATAACCATCACAGGTTCAAAGTCCAAGAACACTGTTCTTTGCTCCCATCTGAAATTCGAACCATTTTTCAGGACTTTATTCAAATGCTACCTTTTTAAATAAAACCCCCAACTAAATTAGGAGGTTTGAATCTGGAGTCCATGTGCCTGGGGGATGTAAGAATAAATTTCCAAAGAGTTCTTGAACTCTTTACACTTAAATGCAAAATCATGTGCCCATATTTTTAGGGATAGAATCTTTTCTTTTCATCAGCTTTTTAACGGGAGTCAATGAATAAAAACGTTTCAAAATATCTTCATTGGTTTTGTGAAGAAAGGCAAGTGTTTCTTCTTATCCATCACTTTACCCCTGCTTAGCACAATGCAGTTCAGTAAATGATCACTGAAAGAATATATGTGTCTTCCTCTGAGTCTCCAAGTTGAAATTTCTCTCTTGGTCATTGTGATTCTCAAATCACTTGGTTTAGAAACGTACAAAACGTTCTTCATAGTTGTTATACTAATTTACATTACCACCTACAGTGTCCAAGAGTTCCCTTTTCTCCACATACTTGCTAGCATTTATTATTGCCTGTTTTATGGATATAAGCCATATCCAAGACATTTGGGGTGAAATGATATCTCATTGTAGTTTATATTTGCATTTCTCTGATGCTAATGTTGAGCACATTTTCATATGTCTGTTTGCCATTTGTATGACTTCTTTTGAGAAATATCTATTCAAATATTTTGTCCATCTTTTGATCAGATTATTAGATTTTTTTCTATAGTGCTGTTTAATCTCCTTATATATTCTCGTTATTAATTCCTTGTCAGAAGGGTAGTTGCCAATATTTTCTTCCATTCTGTGGGTTGTCTCTTCACTTTGTTGATTGTAACTTTTGTGCAGAAGCTTTTTAACTTGACGTGATCCCATTTGTCCATATTTGCTTTGGTCCTTCCCACTCTTCCCTCCCTTTTCCAAAGGCAGAGGAGCCACCCCTGGCCACAAGGAGTACTGCCAGACTACCACTGATTTTCCCTTAAGTCTCAAGGTCTCTTAAGTCAGCTTGTGGTGAGTGCTGTCTGTCCTGGGACTCATCCTTCAGGGCAGTGCACTCCCCTCTGTCACAGGGCAGGTCCAGAAATGTCATTCAAGAGTAAACAGTCTTGACTTGCTGCTCTACACCCCTGTGGTGATGTTGGTACTTGAAGCCAGCAAGTCTCAGAGGCTCACCAAAACCCTTGATGTAGCATAGCACCTGGATATTACTGCTGGTTATTCAGAGCCCATGCTAGCAGGACTGGATCCCTTTCTTCAAATAGGTTCTCTTCTGGCCCAGGGTATATCTATAAATATCATCTGGCTGATAGGGCCTGGAATGGGAGCCTCTTGACTCTGACTGGTGCCATATCCTGCTGTGGCTAAGCTGGTATTTCAGGTGCAAGAAACGATCCTCCCCACTCTTCTCTCTACTCTCCTCAAGAGGAAGAAAAGGGTCTTTTTTGGAGCTGTGAGCTGTGCAGCCTGGGATTAGGGGAGGGGTGATGCCAGCACATTTTGCCTGCCAAAGCTGGTGTCACAGTATGTCATGTGGCCTTCTAATCCATTATCTCTAGGCCTAGTTAAGCCCTTGAACTCACCTAAGAGTTGCAGTGCTTATGGGCTAGAATGCCTTTCAAGTTTAGTTAGAGACTAAGAGCACTTTGGCCCTGGGTGGCAAGGTTTGCAGGCACTCAAGTTTGAACCACTGGGATTGGAAATTCCCCTCTGGCTAAGGCTGATTTGAATGCTCCCTCTGTGGGCAGGCATCAGCTGAGTTTGGTCTGGTTTTTCTTTTCTGCTCTAACAGAGCAGCACTGAGTTCAATGCTTCACAATTGCTGTGTTCTCCCTCCCCCAGTGCCCAGAGATACTCTCTGTACCAGGATTCCACTGCCAGAGATTGAGGAGGGGTGGCATCAGCAATTCAAGGCTGTTTTTTCTACCTTTTTGGTGCCTCTTTCAGTGATATGAAGCTAAAACCAGGTACTGAGTGCTCACCTTATTTTTGGTTCTTATAAAGGTGTGTTTTCTGAGTAGATAGCTGTTAATCTGATGTCCTTGCTGGGGGAACTATCAGTGAAGCTTTCTATTCCACCATATTCCTCTACCTCCCTTGAATTGGCTTCTTTATGATCATATAGATTGTAAGTTGAGTCAAATTCTTATCTGATTTTAAAAACTTTTATCATGTTCATATTATATTATATTACATTTGGCAGTATTATGTTATAATATGGTGCTGTAGTGTTGTGGGAATCAGAAGACCAGAGAGACCAATGGGTGGAACAGGAGGATTTTATTTAGGTGGCTACTGGCACAGCAGATTCACATCCAAAGGCTGAGCCCTGAACAAACACAGGGCTTGACTTTTATATACACTTCTGAAAGGGAATTGGCTAGTTTTAATGCAGTGGCAGGAAACTGAGGGCACAAAACCTGTGAGGCGGGCAGGCAGGCTTACAGAAGCAGAACAAAGGCAGTTAATCAAACTGTGACAGGTTTTGTAACCTAAGCATAGCTTGTGACCTTACAGCTGCATGGAAGGGAAAACAGGAACTTACAAAACTTGAGACACTGAGTAATGGTAAGGGGGAAGAGGAGATAGTAAAGGAATTTGTTTTTCTTATCCTTGCTCCAGGGAGGGGGAGGGGTTTGTTGGGAGAGTCTCCGGAGCTCATTCCTTTGGGCTCTGGCTTTCCAGATAGTGTTATTGAGACTTTGCCAGGGCCCTGCCTATTGCTGGCCTTGGAGTGAGTCAGCCAAGTATAGGAAAACTTGTTTTTCTCTTTTTAACTTCTGCTTCAATAGCTGTCCCTCAAGATTGTTGGATTGAACTGACTTGAACGGAACTGAATTGAATTTTCAGCATGGGCTGAATCATGGAATCAGCATGGGCTACCAGGCAGTCAGAAACCTTTGCTCAGGTCCAACCATCTCATGTTACAGGTGGGAAAATGGAAACATACAGTGGAGAGTGACTTGCCCAAATTCAGACAGCCAATAAATGGTTAAGCTGAGTTTCTTGCCTCCTGGATAAGTGTTCTTTCTTCCATTATGTTCTGTTCCCCTTTTATTTCCTTGGTTCATGCTGTACTGGAGTGAGATCAATGGGTCAACAAATACAGCTAAATCTCTATAAAAAATTATGCATGTCTTTACAGCATAATTTAGCTCATAACATTTTAAGATACATTTTGACAGCTGGTAATGATTATGGTTATTGATTAGACAATGCATTTTTATGCATCTAATTTTCTACATTTTTAATTTCAAATATTCTTTTAAAAACAGAAGTAGAAATGTGCCAGATCTTATGATAAGTGTAGGCTACTTAATTTGAAGCAATTGCAGTCCCTCATTAGTAATAAATTAAGTATTGAAGAGAGCAGATCACTTTAATGTGTCAAAAAGAGCCTTGTCACTTGACATAATTTGAGAAGTCAACATGTGCATTTTATAATGATCGTCCATATCCAGTATTTCTGATCTAGCTTACTCTCAGTTTCTATTACTCATGGGACTTACCCAAGACACTTGTTGAGTTACAAACAGAGCCAAATATAAAGAACAAAACAGTATCATAACTTGAATCTAAGAATAGTTGGAATGATATTTAGAACTGATCCACATCATGGAACGAAGTGTACCACCAGAAGAAGCTGCATTTGGTTGTGACTGTTTCTGTTACTCCAACATGTCTCTTCAAACCAGACAATTAAAAAATCAATTGTTTTTGTACTGATTTTTACCAAAGCAGTTTCAGTGAAAAACAAATTTTTAAAAATCCTCAACCCTCAAAATACTAATTAAAAGTATCAGTTTAGTTGATTTTTCTTTTGAACATTTTTGACCTAAATGCTTATAAACAGTATCATTTTGTATCTTTTAGTAACTATGGGCAACTGTTGAGTGAGTTCAGTCAATGATTAAATTAGTCATAAAAAATGAGTTTTGATAACGAGAAACAAAAAAGATGGTGAATGGTGAATTTAAGATTAAACCAATATTGACTTGATATAAATACAACAAATCAAGTCTCTCACATCATAAAAGTGTTTGGCTTTCTGTGAGAAATTTACCAAATGCTTTTTTATGATATTTTTACCAAATTTAGAAAAACAGGGAGCGCCAAGCAATTATTTAGCAGAAAGGCTAATAGACATAAATATCATAACAGCATCTTGTAAATGATGAAACTATATCATCAAAAGGAAAAGACAGAAATGCAATATGAGTACAAATATTTATAGGCACAATCTGCCCATTTGACAAGTACTGACTGAGTACCTACTACTCTGAGCAAACCACCAGGACCAGTGGTACACAGGTTGGAAACCTGACTATGGCAGGAGGCACACAGTCCTGCCCTCCAGGAGCTTTCAGTCTGTAGTGGGGAGAGCAGTACAGCACTAGCTGGAATAAAAGGTGTTAAGAGAAAGGAGGGAAAACACAGAATGAGGTCAGGGAAGGGAGAGAACACAATTTCAGCAGAGGAGGTATTTGAAATTGCATAGTGAGTATCTAGAGCTGACACTCCAGTTGAAAAGACTGCCAGTCTCCTGGGCACACTACTCATTCTAATGTAGTGTGATCAGGTTGTGCCAGTGGTGTAAATGGAATAGAAGAAGATCTGGGAAGATGCTTAAAGACAGTCATATGTGAGCTGGACTTAAAAACTAATAAAATATAGTGCTAGAGAAGTAAGTAGGTGCCTAATCATTTAAGGTCTTAAACACCATTTTAAGATATTTGAATTTTGTCCTGTGAGCAATGGAGAACCATCAAAGGGTAGTTAGCAGAGGAGAGACTGGTCGTATTTGCATTTGAGAAAGAGCACCCTGGCTGGAATGTAGAAAATAGATTGGAGGGAAGGGGAACAGGCAAGAAGGCAGGAAAATTTATTGAACTAGTTTTTAAGTAGAAGATTATTATGAGAGCCTAAGAAGGTCGTGGTGAGACTGGAGAAAGTGGAATCTATTTGCCAGTAGAAGTGAAATGGAAATGATAAATCTTAGAGATATACTAGGTAGAACTGATTGGACAGGGTAAGTGACTGGATTTGAAGGTATAGGGAAAAAGGAGATAAAATTACCCACTCTGGTTTTAACTTGGCTGGCCACATAATGAGTAATAGCATTGTATTAACGTGTATAACACAGAAGGACTGCATTTCAGTGTGAGTGGTGGCAAGGGGAGGAAACCGGGAAGAAGAAAGTGAGAAACTGATCTAACTCTATGAGAGCAAGAAATACCTTATTTTTTCTTATTGCAGCTTCAGCGCCTAGCTCAACAAATACTAAAATGGTTTAACGAGAAAAATGAATTGTTTTCAAAGTGCCGTCGAAGGTATTTGAATCTATGAACAGAGCTGTAGACTGAAAAGAAAGTCCGTTTCATGCATTGACCTAGTACTTAGTGAGCATCTCCTATATGCCAGGGAGAATTCTAGGTATTGAGGATATATCAGTAAGCAAAACAGTGGCAATCCTATCTCCATAAACTTATATTCTAGTTAGGCGGGAAAGACAATAAACAAATAAACATGTAATATTTCAGTTGATGATAAATGCTACGAAGAATATAAAGCAGCATAATAGGGTTAGAAAGTGACAGGATGCTTTTAATATAAAGTCATCAGCGAAGGTCTCTCTGAGAAGGTGATATTTGAATTAAGACCTGAAAGAAAGGGAGTGGGACATGTGACTATTTGTGGGAACAATATTCCAGGTAGAGAAAATAGCAAAAATAACAATATCGTAAGGTAGTAGCATGCCTAATACCTTCAAGTTCAACGAATAACAAGGAGGTGAGTGTGACTTGAAGAAAGAGAGCAAGAGAAGGAGGTATAGAAGATGAGGTCAGAGAAACAAAGGACTGGATTAGGTAAATCTTTAAAAGCTGGTATAAAGACTTTGTTTTCTTTCTCTGAATGAGGGCGGTTCCCTTGGATGGTTTGGAACAGAGGAGTGACATAGTCTGACTTACTTTTTAACAGAATCACTTTGCTATATAGAGAGTAGTTTGTAGAAAGGCAAGAGTAGAAGCCAGTTAGCAGACTAGTTACACTAGTTAGAAGCCAGTTAGAAGACTCTGGAAGTCATCCAAGCAAGAGGTCATGATTGCACCAAGGTGGAAGCAATGGAGATGGTACGGTGAGAAGTGGCCAGATTAGATTCTGCTGTAGTTTTCTTGTTATTTTGATTTGATTTTTATTTCTTAAAGGTAGAAACTGACAGGAATTACTGAAGTATTGGTATGTGGTGTGGAATAAAAAGGGAGGCAAAGCTGACTCCCAAGCATTTGGCTTGAACAACTGAACAAAAATAAAGGAGCAGCCATTTGCTAAAATGGAGAAGAATGTAGATGGAGCGAGTTTTTGAGTAAAGTATTAGCAGTTTGGTATGGACATACTACATTTGAAATGCCTATTAGTGCATATGTGTAGTTGGCAGTTAAATATATGAATTTGTATTTCTGGTAAGAAGTCCAGAGAGGAGATAAAAATCTGGAAGTCTTCAGCATATAGATGATATTTATAGCCATGTGACTGGGTAAGATCACCCAGGAAATGAGTATAAATAGAGAAGAAAATAGATCCAGGACTAATCTTAGGAATTTCAATGTTTAGTGGTCTGGAAGATGGGGAAGGTGTAAGCAAAAGATACAGAACGAGAGAGACCAGTAAGGTAAGAAAAGAAAAAAGAATGAGTGGTGTCCTAGAACCACGTGAATCAGTATTTTACAAAGAAGAGAGTGATCAACTTTTCAAATGCTCCAGACAGGTCGGATGAGAGGAGGACCGAAGATCAAGCTTTATATTGGCAACTAGGTAGTAACTTGTGACCTTGACAACAGCTGTTCAGTGGTGTGGCGTGCTTCAGATGAAAACATGATCATGGTGGGTTCTAGAGAAAATGGAAAGAAAGAAAATGGAGATGGTAAGTGGAGACAAGTATTTCTGAGTATTGATATCCAGGAGAGTACTGATGTACCTAGAAATGTATCTACCTGGTCAGAAAGGGAGTGGGGTGCAGATCGCATAGAGTCTTGCAGGCCTTTGTGTTTTACTCTTAGAGATATAAGGAATCATAATTCTGGAACAGAATGCTGAGAAACTCCCATATTTAGAGGCCTGGAAAAGATGACAGAGAGTGAGTAAGATGCTTTTAATGAGGTAGAAAGAAAAATAAGAAAACATGCAAGCAGAAGCCAGGACAGGAGAGAAGCGAATGGTCAGCGATGTCAAATGGTGCTTTGAATTCAAGCAGGATGAAGATAGGCTTGGCAAAATGTATGCTGTGATTTTCCTTATGAGAGCTGTTTCAGATGTTTCAATGTGATGGAAGGGAAAGATGTGATATTGTAGTGGGGTGAGGAGAGTTGAGAAGATCCAAGAGTAATAGTAACCAGACACATTGATCTAGGACATATACTAAAGAGGAAACTCGTGTGTGTGTGTGTGTGTGTGTCTGTGTGTGTGTGTGTGTACTGAACATAAAATGATAATAGTTCCTTTAAAAAATCACTAGCAGGGAGTGACATTTTAAACATTTAAATATTGGGCTTAAGGGAACTGAGAATGCTGATAAAAGAAGATTTGAATAAATTACCAATATAATTCTAACTTGTATAAAGGTACAAAATTGTATAAAGGATTAAAACGTAGAATAGTGACTGAGTTTGAAAAGTAAGTGCAATTCAGACCTTAATGTCTTCGGAGCTAAAATTAGTGCTTAATTACAATAATTATATCTTTCCCTTTTCCTGGTACAATTATCTTCCCCATCTCTCTTTGGTTTTTGAGGCCTTCTTGATATTTAAGCCACTCTATCAATGTATTTTTACTGTGAGCTTCCTCACAGTCAGTCTGTGGGAAATAGGCAACTACAAATAATATTTAAATGCACCTTAAGAGCTAGTATTGATGCAGAAATATTGTAGAGGAAATTACCCTAACTTGTGTCTCTACCTTATAAGAATGATTCTTGGGGTGTTTTATAGAGGAGCGTTTGATAAGGGTGAAGCTGGCCAGGAGGTAAAAAACTGAGAATTTTAACAGTGTCCTTCAACTGAGACAGACTGATGCCCTACGAGCTAGCCTGTCAAGGGTAAGAAAATCTCTGTGGGCAGTGATCAAAGCAGCCATATACCGGGCTGCTGAATAAATATGAACTATTCTTCTCTTGGGTTTTCTCTCTACATTTTCCCCTAAATTTCTTACAGACTCCTTCCCTTCTATCAACATGTTTCTCTTTGACTGAGGTTTGACTACAATACATGAGCAATTACAATGACCCAGGTATTTGGTAAAGCTAAAACAATAGCTTGTCAACAACAGGAGTCAAACTCTGTAAAATATTTGAAGAGATTTATCCTAGGCCAAATATGAGTGACCATGGCCTGTGACACAGCCCACAGGAGGTCCCAAGAATATCTGCTCAAAGGAATTGGGGTGCAGCTTGGTTTTACACATTTTAGGGAGGCATGAAACATCATTCCCTAAAGTGATTCTGAGACATCAATCAAATACATTTGAAAAATACATGGGTTTGGTCCAGAAAGGTGGGACAATTCGAGCGGAGTGGTGGGGAGGGGGTTCCAGGCAATAGGTAAATTTAAACATTTTCTGGTTTATAAATGGTTGAGTTTGTCTGGAATTAATGGAAAGGAAATGTTCAGGTTAAGATAAAAGATTGTGGAGACCAAGGTTCTTTTGAAGTCTCATAGTGGTTGCCCTTAGAGACAATAGATGACAAATGTTTTTTCTATTCAGACCTTTAAAAGGTGCTAAACTCTCAATTAATGTCTTCAGGATTGGGAGAGCCTGGAAGAAAAAGATCTAGCTATATCAATAGAGAATTTTTACAGATGCAAATTTTCCCCCACAATGGATGGTCTTGCAGGCCCATTTCAAAACACGGCAAAGAAACATGTTTTGGGTAAAATATTTTGATTTTCTTCTTTGTCAAATAATGTTATGCCAGAGTCAGATTGGAAAGTAAGTCATGATATATAGGGTTAAATAAAACCCATCTGATGATAGTTAATCATTGGTAGGGTATGACTCCCCAGACCCCTTAGATAGGAATTTGGGCAAGATAAAAAAGATAGAAATAAAAAAAAAGAATCAGAGCTTAGTCCTCAGCTTATGTTGAGTGGAATGCTCACTCAAAGTACTTTAATACTATTTAATATTCAGAGAAAACCTCTTTGGCAGTGTGAAAGGAAAATAAATCTGGGACCCCAAACTCACTAAGCCAAAGGGAAGATTCAAGCTGGAATCTGGGTCATGCAAACCTGCCTCCCATTTTTGTTCCTAAATAAGATGGCTACAAAGATGAAAGGCGACATACCTCCCTTATATTTTTTCCCACAGGGAAATTTGTTGTGGGCCCCAACATCTTTACCCTAAAGTGTGTTTCTGTTAAAGTTTACCATGGCAATGTAAACTTTAACAGAATGATAGCTTATCTTCACAGCTGTTGAGAAACAGGACAGAACTCAAAGTTATGACTCTGCCTACCTGAGACAAATACATATCTGATTGTTTCCTTTGCCGTATTGTCTACATTATCTTATGTGTTAGAAATGCTTGTTCCCCAGTGCCACAAAGAAATAGCACTTGAATATAAATTTAATTATCTCAGCAAGGCCATCTTTACTTTCTGCAGAAAGGGTGCTACACACAGATGGAACAATGGCGAGAGCACACTTGAACAAAGGAAAAGCAGACATATTTATCCTTTATGCATTTGGGTCGTCCTTACTGCTGTGTCCTGCATCCATTGGCTAGAGCTGGACCTCACAGTCTTAAACTAATAACCAATTTGCTAATAACCTAAAACTTTCCTAAATAGGTAAGTGCAAGGAAGAACAAAGAAGGAGAGGAAGTTGCTTATGAAAGGTTCAAGGAAGCAATAACATTTCCAAATAAGAAAGGGGCATAAGCTATGAGCTAAGACTTGCCTGGGCCTGTCCAGACATACCTGAGTAAGCCAAAGCCACTAACTGGGCTAAAGTGTAAGAACTAATAGTTGATAGGAGGCTTTAGAGTAAGAAGCTATTATTTCTAGTGTCTGTTATTTTATTTTTAAACCAAGATGAGCTTTGAAGAGGAACTTTTCTACTTTCTACATTATGTACAATTATGGATACTCTGAGCCAGACAATGGCATGTAAGATTATTTTCCTATACCACCCTCTCAAATTAAAATTGTGTATTTCTCAATATCTCAGCCTTTCCCCTTTAAATACTGAAACCCTCAAAAGCATCGTTGGAGAAAGGCATAGAACTGTCTCCCAGGTGCATGTCCTTAACCTTGGCAAATAAACCTCCTAAAATGATTGAGACTTGCCTTGGTCATTTTCTTTGATGGCAGGTACTATTTTTTTCCATTTTAAATGTGAAAAAAACAAAGTAAAAGTAAGCTGCAATAACTTGCCTAACATCACATAAGTAAGCAGAGGTGAAGCCAGATTTCACACCCAGTAGGTGTGGCACCAGAATCTTTGGGCTTAACCACTATGTGCTACTGCCCTCCTAAGTCTGAATAACTTACCGTGTCTGGAGTTTCTTCCTTCTGGTGGGTTCTTGGTCTCGCTGACTTTAAGAATGAAGCCACGGACCTCATAGTGAGTGTTACAGCTCTTAAAAGTGGCACATCCAGAGTTATTCGTTCCTCCCAGTGGGTTCGTTGTCTTGCTGACTTCAGGAATGAAGCCGCAGACCCCGGTGGTGAGTGTTACAGCTCTTAAAGGTGGCGCAGACCCAAAGAGTGAGCAGCAGCAAGATTTATGATGAAGAGCGAAAGAACAAAGCTCCCATAACGTGAAAGGGGACCCAATCGGGTTGCTGCTGCTGGCGTGGGTGGCCAGCTTTTATTCCCTTATTTGGCCCCGCCCATGTCCTGCTGACTGGTCCATTTTACAGAGTGCTGATTGGTCCATTTTTACAGAATGTTGATTGGTGCATTTACAATCCTCTAGCTAGGCACAGAGCGCTGATTGGTGCATTTACAATCCTCTAGCTAGACAGAAAAGTTCTCCAAGTCCCCACTCAACCCAGGAGCCCAGCTGGCTTTACCTCTCGTTACGTCACTCAGCATTTTGATTTCCATTTTATAGAAGAGGATATTGAGGCTCACAGGAAAAAATCAATAAGCTCTTAAAGATAATTCAAGTGTGAAGCAGAATTTTCATGCCAAGCCTATTTATTACTCTTTTTACACTTATGAAAGACAATTTATTTATGGCTTGCTTTTTCCTTAATTTGGTATTTGCCAAAATATGTTTCTTGGTCTGTTTCGATGAGCATTATTTTTTAAAGGGTTTATTAGCAAATACATTTGGCTAAAGCTGGGTTGAACAAAGCTAAAGAGGTGTCTTTTCTATGGGTCTTTTTATTACATTTGATATGCTAATATGCCTTTTGAAGTTTTGAGTGGGAGGTATGTTTTAGCAACTTGGCCATGGGACTTGTTTTTCTCAGACTGCCTTACCAGCAAGAGCACCAAACATACTTTGGCTAACTGTATATCTACATTCCTAAGCTCACACATACTCTGGTGACATTAATTAGATTGAAAGGCACTCTGATTTGTGTATTCAATAAAGAAATACTCTGATCTTCATGGTAGAGATGTAGGGTGTAGGCTTTCCTCAGTAATACCAGATTTTCATGCCATTCATCATGGTAGTTTATTTTGAAGATGTCTCATATTGCCCAAGAAGAATTCGTTCAGTTTTAGAGAGATATTTTCAGATTTTGTTCCAAAGACGTAGGGGTAAGTCTTTGTAGACATTCCCTGTCCTATGCACTGAAAGTCATCTTCAAGGATGCCGCCAATAATGTATGTTATAATTTTGTGGCTTCTGTTTTTTGTAAAGTGTGTTGAAATACAGTCTTTTCAAGTGTCTCTGCAATTGGATGAGTTACATAAGTAAGAGCCAATATAAGAAGTAAGAGTATTTAAAGTATAAGAGGATAAGAATGTGATAAATATGTTTCTTCATTGCCATCATATTTTGGCTCTAATGAGGTCACCCCTAAGAGCATATCTGCTTCAAAGATGACATGAAAATGATTATAGTGATGGGAAGGTCTCAAACCGGAAATCATCCCCATGTCCCCATTGTGACATGAAATGGATAAACATATTTTGGGATAGCATTAAACTTTGAGAACCAGCAGGGAGAGGCAAACCCTCAAAATTATAAATAAATCTAAGAATGTATTATGCTCCAGGAAAGAATGAGCTGAAATGCAAATGCTTTCCCCCCCGCCCCCCGCCTCAGGGAAGTCATTAGGAATAAAAGGTCATTGTGACTTGGTGCCAAATTTCATGGCTGTTAGGAAAAAAAAAAAAAAAAAAAGCAGAACTTCTCTTTTCCTAAAAAGACCAATTGAGATGGGGCTGGGAAAGGTCCACATAAAGTGAATATGCCTTAGGCCTAAAAAACAGAAAAAGGGTGACTACACACACACACACACACACACACACACACACACACACACACACACAGATTTTGTATTTGGGTTCTACAACCTGTCACAGAATCAGGAAATCATAGAATATTAGAGTTGGAAGAGACCATTCTGAAACTGCCATTGAAAATTACAACAGAGAAAATTATTACAGTGAAAGAGATATGACCTAACTGACTCTATCTTGCTTCTAACCTCCAAGCTGTCATTGTTCATTCCTGGGTGTAGGCCAAACTAACTTTGGAAGGAACTTAGTTTATAGTTTAACTTTGAAACAAAGACAATAATATCCCTTTTCCAAAACAAGCCCCCTACTTGCCTAGGGACTAGGATGCCTTTGTAAGACTAACAAATTAGCCACAAGATTAGAAACCATGGTTTAGGTGTCACGCAGCTGGAAGCTACAATATTCTGACCCTCACCAAATTGTTCCTGGGGATAACCTCACTATTGGTAAACCCTAAGATTGTTACAGTAGGTAGCTAGTCAGACATGAGCAGTGCAGGAGAGCCCCACCAAAACAGGAGTGTCAGGGGACCATCAAGTGATGGTCAGGCAGTTGATAGTCCCAGCCAGTGCCAGGGAAAGGTGGTCCCCCAATACATAGAAAAAACCTGAAGCTGGTGATCAGCAGCTTCCTAATAAGATCTCAGGAGCTGGGCGAGTTGGCTCAAGCATGCTCATTAAGAGGCAAAATGCCAGTTTAACTGGTGTATGACTTTCTAGGGACATTTGACTGGTAAGGGAAGAATGCCTCAAGTAAGCATGTATACAACTCCATTAAACACACTGTACATGGGGCCACTCCCAAGTGCTAGCAGGCCACTGTGCATGCAGGCAGCCCATCCCAAGGGAAGAATCAGGGGAGAGAAAATTCAGATGCCAGAAGAATCCCAACTAATAAAACCCCAAGTCAAAAGTCAAGGCGTGCACTTGATCTCTTAAGTCACCTATTTGGCCCTCTTCCAAGTGTACTCTACTTCCTTTCATTTCTGCTTTACAGCTTTTTAATAAATTTTCACCCCTGCTTTAAAACTTGCACTAAGGTATGTTACTGATGGTGAATTTGTACATGTCTGCAGCAACCTCAATTCTTGCCTTCTCAGAAGAAAGAATTCAACTGAGAGGCATAAGGTAGAAGGAGAGACCGAGGTAAATTTTAGAGCAGGAGTGAAAGCGTATTAAAAAGCTTTAGATCAGGAATGAAAGGAAGTAAAGTATACTTGCAAGAGGGCCAGGCAGGTGACCTGAGAGATCAAGTGCCATGTTTGACCTTTGACTTAGGGTTTTATATGTTGGTGTACTTCCAGGGTCCTGCATCCCTTCTCCCCTGATTCTTCTCTTGGAGTGGGCTGTCTGCATGCTCAGTGGCCTGCCAGCACTTGGAAATGGCTGCATGCACAGTGTGTTTACTGGAGTTGTACACGTGCCCACTAGAGGTTTTCTTCTCTTACCAGTCCAATGTCCCTAGAAGGTCATATACCAGTTAAACTCTGCCATTTTGCCTCTTAATGCGCAAGCTTAAGCCCACTGGCCCAACTCCTGAGATCCTACTGGGAAGCTGCTGATTATAAGTTTCAGATGTTTTCTATCTATTGGAGGACTGCCTTTCTCTGTCACTGGCTGTGACCAAATATTATTTTAGAGAGATGGTTTAACAACTGCTTGACCATACCCTAATGGTTGCCTGACTTTCTTGATGGGGGTGGGGCGTCACTCTCCTGCTGTGCTCATGTCTGACTAGCTATGTACTGCAACGAGATCAGTGCTTTAGATATGTTGCAGACCCTGCACCTGATGGGTCAGCTGGCACCACCCAGATGGACAAACTGGCTTGTCTAGTCTTGTGGCTTCCACCCATGAAGGGACTCAGTGTATGAGGACAGCTTCAACTCCCTATGATTTCAACTGCCACCCAACCAATCAACACTCCAAACTCACTGGCCTCCACACCCACCAAAATATTCTTAAAAACTCTGATCCCTGAATTCTTAGGGAGACTGATTTGAGCAACAATAAAACTCCAGTCTCCCGTGTAGCCAGCTCTATGTGAATTAAACTTCCTCTATTGTAATTCCCTTGTCTTGATAAATCAGCTCTGTCTAGGCAGTCGGCTAGGTAAACTCACTGGGTGGTTACAATTCAGCCATTAGATTTATCAGTCCCAACAAGTTTTTATCAAATATTTGCATGAATGAACTGTAATACTCTCTTTCATTGCTATAGAGCTTAACACTGGTTATCTGTGAGGTCTTGTATTACAATGGGAAGAGCACAGATTTGGGAAGCAGAATAAGCTAGGTTTAACTCTGACTCTTCTACTTCTGCCATTATCAGCCAGGAGGGCTGAATTATCCTACAGTAACAAATAACTCCAAATTCCCAGTGACAAACAGAAATGTATACAACCTATGACTTAGACCAAGAACATAGACTAAGAATGCATATAGTTAGCAGGCTTCTCTTGGATTTTCATGACAAGAGAAAAAAGTTTGTTTCTCACTTTTGCTATATGTCCAATCCATATTGGCCGGGAACCTCTGCTTTATCTTGGCATATGGTTTTATTATCACCACTGCAGAGGGAAGGGAATACGGTGAATCATGTAATGGCTTTACAGAATTCCACAAGCCTACCCTTAGCTTCAAACAAGGTTGGGAAGTACAATCCTACCATGTTTCTGGAAGAAGAGGAAATGGAATATTTGTGAGTAGCTTTAATGACTACCATATTATCCATATATTCATAGGAACATGGAATAATTTACCATTTCTGGGCCTATTTCCTAATTTCTAAAATGGGTCAGCTATACCTCTTTTGCATATTTTGCATGACTGTTAAATAAAATAACATGCTTAAAATATCCAGAACTATCCCTGGCCTAACAGGTGCTCAAGCATAACACTTTCCCCTCTGTCTGTTAGAGGTGTCTTCTTTTTTATAGCATCCTAAACAGCCAGCCTAATAGGTCCTCAACAGGACAACCTTTTGAATATTTAAAGATAATATTCCTATCTGCACACAATTCTTCTCTTCTCCAAGCTAAACACCCCAGTTCCTTCAATGATTCCTCATATGCCATGTGTTTGAATACCCTTATCATTTTCGTCCCTCCCCTCTGACCTTTATTCGGGTTTGTCGCTGCTTCTTTTTAGAGTGATAATCATATCTGAGCACAGGCTCTCAATTCTAGCCTCATCAGCATAGGTTACAGTTGGGACTATAAACAAACAGCCTCACGTCATGTTTCTCTTCACATAATAAGTGTATTAGGTTCTCTAGAGGGACAGAATTAATGGAATATATATATATGACTTTATTAAGTATTAACTTACATGATCACAAGGTCCCACCATAGGCCATCTGCAGGCTAAGGAGCAAGGAGAGCCAGCCCAAGTTCCAAAACGGAAGAACTTGGAGTCCAATGTTCGAGGGCCGGAAGCATCCAGCACGGGAGAAAGATGTAGGCTGGAAGGCTAGTCCAGTCTCTCTTTTCACATTTTTCTGCCCATTTATATTCTAGCCACACTGGCAGCTGATTATATTGTGCCCACTCAGGTTAAGGATGGGTCTGCCTTTCCCAGCCCACTGACTCAAATGTTAATCTCCTTTGGCAACAACCTCACAGACACACATAGGATCAATACTTTGTATCCTTCTATCCAATCGAGTTGACATTCAGTATTAACCATCACACTAAGTACATTTAGGGAAGTCATATTATACTCAGAATGTAGAAAAATATATGGTTGGAAGGAAGAAATTGGAAGTCATTTAAGCCAGTGGTCCTAATTATATATCTGTGACCCAGCAACATAAGATTCACTTGTAGATTTTTTTTTCTTAAGGAGACATCCACAGGTCCCACTCCCAGCACCATTGGATCTACTGGGTCAAGTTTCCAAGGTCTTGGGTAGAGCTCCAGGAACTGGTGCATGGACAGGATTGAGAAGAACTCTGTAGCATCCTCATAGGCTTTCTTGACTTTATATCTTAGACTTGTTCCAAATATTGACATATGGACCAAATATGGTGCAGAACCCCTGGAATGACCATTAAAAATTGTTTCTAGAGCTTTCCCTCAAATTATAGAATCAGAAATCCTGGGAATTTGTCTCAGAAATCTGCACTTACAACAAACACTTTAGATGGGTCAAATGTGCAGCTAGGTCCAGTTCAATCTTCTATTGAATGCTTGGACCTATCAACAATCTTGCCAAGACATTTTATAGAAAATATCACACTGAGGTTAATTAGGCACTTACACAGTGGACCAATCACAGATTAATCCAAGAACACAGGAGATATATATACATATATATATATATATGTATATATCTGTATTCTCCTATATCTTCATGGCCTGTAACAGAATCATGGAATTGTAAGTGTTCAGTGTTAGAAGGGACTTGAGATTCCAATTAGTCAGCATTTCCCACAGTATGATCTATGGCACACAAGACTCTTTTTGTTTTTTTGTTTGTTTGTTTGAGAAATCTTTTATTAGAAGATGTCCCAGAAGGCAATATTTTAAAATCAGGCAATCAGTAATCACAGCTAAATACAAAATTTCAGGTGAACTTGCCTGTCAAAATAAATCAGACCCTTGCAACAGGAGAATTGCCCATGAGTTTTTTCTTGTACAAAAGCAGTTAACACCACTTCCTGAAAGGCATACAAAAATACAATATATAAAAAAGAAGATTCCTCCCAGCATACTACCCAACAGCAGCTTATAAAACTCAGGTGAGACATCAGTAACCTACACCCAAACTATCCTCCACAGACAGTTCCAGAAGTCAGCTGGCTTTTGTAAACCATGCTCCAGAAGGGTAGAAAGGCTATTTCCAAACATCCCCTGGGGCCCTTTGAGGCCAAGAAACAACCTCAGAAAGAAACCATTATGGACAATAGATTTGGAAGTAGCGGCTGTTTTTCCAGAGCCACATATAGTACTTACCACCCGCTACCCACCCCAGCTTCCAAACCCAGAGCCAGGAGGCTCCTGCTGTCCTGAGCAGAGTTCTGGAGGGGCTGCTGGTCATTCTTCCAGGTCAGGCTTAGAGGTGCTTGAGGTTACCCACATGACAACTGCTAGGTTGGGTGACTTTCCCAGACTGGAGGCTGCACCTGGATTCCACGTGAAGCTGCCGAGTCCAGTTGGGGCAAAATCCATCATGGTTGGTTAAGCATATCTCCTGGAGTCTCCTTTAAAACCCACGAGAAGCAAGTCCACCTTCTGGAGCACGGGATGAGTCCCAACGGCTCTCCCCAAAACTTCAGAAAGGCCCAGATTCTGGGAAAGAGATCTGATTCATGGCAGGCTGGCGGGGGCCCAAGGGTGGCTGCAGAGCCAGCAAGCTCCTTGGAGTTGCATGAGAAGGACAGGTTTGCATGGTTGCAGAACAACTTTAAACTCGCCAGTCAAGGATTGAGATGAGAGGCAGGTGGGAAAGAGGAGGCAGTGCCGTTCTCCCTCTGAGGTGTCTTACACCTGCCTCGAGCAAAGATTGGGCCTCAAGTGCCCCCCCCCCGGAAAACACCTGGGCAGGGATCAAGTTCGTGGGCCAGGACTCCAAGCTTTCCCAAGGACCCAGGCTAGGACCCATTTCCCTGCCACACAAGACTCTTAAAAATGGAATTACTAAGTTAAATTAGATTGGGAAACGTGGAATATTATATCATATATCTTGGTGTATTAACCTGCACATTTGCACAATGACTACTTTGAGAAGTCCTACATAGATAAACCAGTTTAATTTTACTAAAATTAACACTTTTAAAAATTATGATTTTAATATGCTTTTACCAGTTTCAGCCTTCTAAGTAGGTAGGCTTCTAGGTATTCTGCAGATCGCTAGTGGTCTCGATTACCATTAATATATGTTTGTACTATATTATTTTTCAACTGAATCGCAGTTGGAAAAAAAATCTTTAATATTATGCCCTTGGGTCTGTTACTGCATCCCTAGCACTTGTGATGCAATAGGACCCTTGGCCTGTACTAAAAGGGCCAAGAGTAAATGCCTTGTTTTTTGTTGTTGTTAAAAATGTCTATAAAGTTGGCAGTCAATGCTGAATTTGTCAAATAGCCCTTCCAGAAGTATACTTGTATTTAAAAAATAAATGGATCTACCTAAAAAAATTATTAGAGCACAGAACCCTTCAAAAATATCACCCATTAGCCTAAACAATTAGTGTTCTCTGGAATAATTTTGGGAAACAATGATCTTGGGCATTGTTCATCTGATGTATGAATACCTTATCCAGTTTTCTGGCAAGAACTTACTAGAGTTGGAGGCTAATAATTCCATTTTTGCCACCTCTGTTCATATATGCATCAGCATATCTTGTTCTGTCTCTTGTATCACCTTAGTTCAGATCATATAATTTATACATAGAGGCAACACAACAGAGTGAAATGCATGTGAAATTCACTGTCAGAAGTCCTAGGTTTGAATCTTGGCTCTACCAGCTATTAACTATATTACCTTAGACATTATTTAGGCTTCCTGAACATCATTCTTTCTATATATACAAAATTAATATAATAACACTCTTCTTACAAGGAGTATTGAGAAGTAAGATAATACATGTGAAAAGCTTAGCACAGTGCCCAGAAAGGTAACACTCAAATAATGGCAGTATTCGTTTCATTCACAGATGAGAATGCAAAATGCTTATTTTCAATAAAGAATGAAGGAAATCCTGTCTTGCACTCACCACATTGCAGCCCACCCCCATATACAAACTTCCCCCTTTCCCCAGTGCTATCCCGCCAGATTCATGTCTGACTTATACAAATCCATGTTGGTCTGAAATTCACATTCTGACAAGTTTCATTTTAATAAAAACAAATCTATTGACCCTATTATTCCCTAGTATGTTATTTTGGAACAATAAATAATACAATACAATGTAAGGACACTAATCTCTCAAGAAGACATGACAAATGAAGAAGCACTAAAGCAAAATAAACTTTGTGGAGTTAGCCATAGATGTTGAAGACACTATTATAAGAACTTGTATGCTATGTGAAAAGACATTCCTTGGGAAATGGTGACTATTTCCCAAGAGGAAATAGTCAGTGGCGACTTTAGTAAATAGAAACTGCTGGTAAGATTACTGACTCATTAGCACTCTACACTTTTACACGAAAGCCAAGTTAATAGGCCATTCCACATCTAAAACATATGGCTGCTATACAGTGAAATAAAGGGTGGTAGAGAGGTGATTATGGTGATATCTATATATTAGCAAAGCCAAGCTAGAACATGTTGTCCAAAAAGCAGTGCAGCTGCTCCCATAAAAGAAAACAAAACAGAACAAAAGCAAGGGAGTTTTAAAATGCAAGCTCTGTCACTAGTTAGCTCTAACCTTATGAGGTGTTTACATTCTTTGAGAATTGGTTTTCTTCTCCATGAAATGGGTATTGCAGGTGAGGTTTTTTTTCCTATTATTTTGTTTTGTTATTTGTTTTTTATTATCTTTGAGTCAAAATTCTGAAGGCTTCCAAACAATGGGATTAGTTTAAATAGTTTTGAAATGATCATTTATTTTTAAAATCACAAAATTGTCAAATAACATAAATAGGTAGTTAAAATAGCTGGTACCCCCAGGAAAAGATTATTAGCTTTAATTATAGTTTAAAATATAAAAGTTAATATAGCAAGGAGATATTTTTTTTTACACATTGAAATGGTAAACATATAAAACAAAATTATTGGAATATAAAGTTTGTGTGGGTGTGGGTAAACTGGGACTCCCATATAACGCTAATGGAAGAATAAAATGGTATAACTTATTGGAGGTAAATTTGGCAGTACTGATCGATATTTGAGTACATAGTCCTTTTAACACAGGAATTCTGCTTGTCAAAAATTATTATATCAATATGTTCATAAGTGTGGGCAAATGCAGTTTGGGAAAGGATTTTCTTTACAGTAATGCTTCTAATAACAAAAGACTGAAAGCTTCAGTGTTTTTCAGTAGGAGACTGGTTATATAAATTATGCTACCCTGTAAAAATATAAAGCCATTACAAAGAACCGAGGTAGATATACCTTACATAAAAAGAAATAAAGAAGGTGTAGATTAATTCATATTTAATGATCACTTACTGAGTGAATGTGCTATTAATTATTTATTAATTCCCTTACTCTTTATATCAATACTTATGAGGCAGGCTGTATTATCACCCCCATATCACATATGAGGAATTTGAGATAAAAGTTTCAGTGACAAGGCCAAATTCAAACAGCAAAAGAACTAGGAGATATAACCCCGGGGAGTCTGGCTTCCAAGACTGCACTATATTAACTACTATGCTTTGCTTCCTCTTCTTAAATAGAGCCTTCTGTATTCTTCCTTTTGATTAAAACACAAATGAAAATATGTACAAATGCCTGGATATGACTACAAAAGTCCTGGAAAGATATCCAAGAAACCGAGAGCAGTGGTTGTCAGTAGGGAGCAGGGATAAGACTGTGGGTGAGAGGAAGACTTAATATGGGTGATATATCTTTGTTTTTGTTTGTTTTGTTTTGTCTTTATTTCTCACCTGTATTACTTTTGACCAAATAATAACTACAAAGGCATCTAGCTTTTTAAGGGAAGAATAAAATAAAATAATACCCACATTCAGGGGACTGAGGCCTGGAGAAATGAAGGGACACACTGAGTTCAAGGAGATAATTAATTGTTGAGTAAGAACCATCACCCTTATCTGTTTGAGTTTTCTTTCAGCTTTCTTATCCCACTTGTCTTTGACCCTCAGGGACTCTTCTTGTCACAGATAAGAGAAAGACTTCAGTTTCACTGTTATTATTTTATTTTTTTATAACAATAACATATTTTAATTAAAGAAATACTATGTTTAAAATTCCATTATAACATTAGCAGAAAAAATTCAACAGCACAGTAAAAGAATTATACACCATGACCAAGAGGAATTAACTCCTGGTATTCAAGAAGGGGTCAATATATGCAAATCTATAAATGTGATATACCACATTAACACAATGAAATATGAAAACCATAGGGTCATTTCAATAAATGCAAGAAAAGCATCTGACAAAATTCTACATCCCTTTATGATAAAACTCTCAACAAATTAGGTATAAGAAGGAACGTACCTGAACACAAAAAAGGTCATATACGACAAGCCCACAGGTCACTTCATTATCGATGATGAAAAACTAAAAGCTTTTCTCTAAGATCAGTAACAAGACAAAGATGCCCACTCTTGCCACTTCTATTCAACATAGTCCCTATGGTTTAAATGTGTTTCTCTAAAGTTCATGTGTTGGAAACTTTATCCCCAATGCAACAGTGTTAAGAAGTGGGACTTTTAAGAGATGACTGGGTCATGAAGGCTCTGCCCTGTGAATAGATTAATGGTACTATTACAGGAACTGGTTAGTTAACTTGGGAGTAGTTTCCTGATAAACAGGATAAATTCCACTCCCTTTAATTCTTGCTCTCCCTCTCACCCTCTCTTGCCTTAATATCTTCTGCCATGGGATAATGTGGAATGAAGTTCCTTACCTGATGTCTTCACAGCCTCCAGAACTGTGAGCCAAATAAACTTTTGTTCTTTGTAAATTACCCAATCTGTGATATTCTGGTATAGCAATATGAAATGGACTAAGAAAATAGTAGTAGAAGTCCTAGCTAGAGCAATTAGGTAAGAGAAAAAAAATGCATCCAAATCAGAAAGGAAGAAGTGAAATTATCTCTGTTTGCAGATGACGTGTTCTTATACATAGAAATCCTAAAGACCCCACCCCAAATCTCTTAATACTGACTTAAAATCTCAGTGAAGTTGCAGGATACACAATGAACAAAAAAAAGTTCTGTTCTTATATATTAAAAGCAAATAATCTGAAAAGAAAATTAGGAAGACAACTCTATTTACTATAGTGTCAAAAAATAAGATACTTAAGAATACGATACTTAGGAATAAACTAAAGAAGTAAAAAGACTTGTACACTGAACACTACAAAACATTGGTGAATGAAATTAAAGAAGACACAATCAAAAGGGAAAATATTCTGTGTTCACGGTTTAGAAGACTTAATATTGTCAAATTGACCATACTACCTAAAGTGATCTACAGATTCAATTTAATCCCTATGAAAATCCCAATGGCAATATTTACAGAAATAGAAAAAAAAACAATTCTAAAATTCATGCACATATGCAAAGAAATCTGAATAGCCAAAACAGTCTTGAGAAAGCAGAAAAAAGCTGAAAGCATCACACTTTCTGATTTGCAAATATATTACAAAGCTGCTGTAATCAAAACAATATGGTGCTGGCATAATAAAGACAGATATACAAGACCAATGGAGCAAAATAGAAAGTCTGGAAATAAACCCCCACATATATAGTCAACTTATTTATGTTCGTTTGTTTCACTGCTCCAGTCAAGAGAGAAGTCAACTGATTTTTGATAAAGGTACAAATAATAAATTATAGGGAAAGGATAATCTCTTTAAAAAATGGTGTTGGAAAAACTGGATATCCACATGCAAAAGAATGAAATCAGACCCTTATCTTACACCATACACACACAAAAAAACTCAAAATGGACTAAAGACTTAAATCCAAGACTTGAAACTGTAAACTCCCAGAAGACGACATGAGGGAAAGCTTTGTGACAGTAGTCTCGGCAATGATTTAAGAGACATGACATTAAAAGCACAGGCAACAAAAGAAAAAATGGACAAGTAGGACTACATCACACCAAAAACCTGCTACAAAGCAAAGGAAACAATATAGTTGAAGAGGCAACCTATGAATGGGAAAAATATTTGCAAACCATATAGTTGAAAAGAGGTTAATATCCAAAATATATTAGAAACTCACATAACACAACAGCTAAAACTGATAGCCCAATTAAAATATGGTCTAAAGACTTGAATAGACATTTCCCCAAAGAAGACATACAAATGACCAACAGGTACATTAAAAGATGCTCAATGTCACTAATAATCATAACAATGCAAATCAAAACCAGAAGGAGATACCACCTCGCAACTGTTAGGATGGCTATTATTAAGAAAAAAGGAAAAAGACAAAAAGCGCTGGAAAGGATGGTGAGGAACTGGGACCCTTGTACACCGTTGTGGTAATGCACAATGGTGCAGCTGCTATTAAAAACAGTTTGGAGATTCCTTTAAAAAATTAAAAATAGAACCACTATGTGATCCTGTAATCTCACCTCTGTTTATTTGTACAAAAGAATTAAAATCATGATTTCAAAGAGATATTTGCACTTCCATGTTCACTGCAGCCTTATTCACAGTAGCCAAAATGTAGAAACAACCTAAATGTCTATCAACAGATGAATGGATAAATAAATTTTAATATATACATACAAGGGAGTATTATTTGGTTTCAAAAATATGGAAATTTTGCCATATGCAACAACATGAATGAACCTGGAGGACATTATGCTAAGTGAAATAAATCAGTCACAGAAAAACTAATACTGCATGATTCCACTTATATGAAGTATCTAAAATAGTCAAATTTATAGAAGCAGAGTAGAATGGTAGCTGTCAGGGGCTGAAGGTAGAGGAAAATGGGGAGTTTCTATTCAAGTGGTTTCAGTTTTGTCGCATGAATAAGTTCTAGAGATCTGATGTCCAGAATTGTTTCTGTACTTAAGAATAGTGAAATGTAAATGCAAAAAATCTGTTTTAGAAGAACTTTTGAGGGATGGGATTTTTACAGGCAGAAAACATGTGAGTCAAGGATGATGGAATGTTAGACACACACACACAAACACACACTCAATATGAATATACTTAGTGTCTTTGAGAAGCAATGAGTTGTCATGTGTAAAATGAGATTCAGTAGGAGGTTAAGTTGGAAAATTAGGTGAAAACTCACTCATAGTTTTTCTCTGTTTCTCTTTCTCTCTGCCTCTCTAGCAGGTAATGCAAGCAAATGGCAAAATAAATTCAAACAGTACAATAGAGTTTATAATGAAAAATAAATTTCATTCCATTGCTATAAAAATCTGTTTAGGGGATACATCTCATGTTAAGTGTTCTTAAGACAATAAAACAAAACTTTCATAATAATAATTGAAAAAATAATTTGTTCTGGGAGCAAATGGGATGTTGTTATCTTCCAGGATACAAATATCACAGGAGGCCCAGTCTGTACAATTGAGACCTGATGGGGAGTATTGTAACAAGTAGTCCCAATGACAATCATTACAGTCTAATAGTAATGCATGAGGTATGATAGTGCTTTGTCCTTTATTTACTTGTTCAGTTATATAAAAAGTGAAGTAAAATTTTGGTATTATAATACTCATCATATGAGGATACAAACTCTAGAAAAAGCCATTCCGAAAATTCTAGGTAAAATGTCTAATTGAGATCATGCTAATGAACTTATTTGTCCAGGAACTAGTCCATAGTAGGACTCAGTAACTGCCAAAACTTGGATCATTATTAGACAGGAGTTAGGTGGTAGACAAGAAGGGGACTACCTGAATCAATCAGTTGTTTAATCTGCAGAAAACCAACCAATCAACTTGGCTACTAGTGCCACTGCATATATAGAATCCTTGGTGCCGGAGCTATAGAGCGTTTGTAAAGTATTCCAGTAGATTAGATTTTCTAAAGTTGCTGAAATTTTTTTCCAGCTCAAACTCTCAAACCAGATAAAATTGTGCATTTTGCTGAGGCATATAAATTTTCCAAGAAGTTATTAGCTCTTTGATATGCTGGAATTTCCTTAAGTTGGACAATTTAGTATATTTAATCACTCTTGGTTTTTTATCAGCAGTCTTATGGACAGACAACAAAAAGGAAGAAAAAGATCTATCACCAGATGGAGAAAGGCATTAGCCACACATGACCTTTCAAGTGTTATGATATCTTTTAGATCCATATAGGGGATGTCTCTGTTGGATAAATGACAGAGCTCAAGATGTAGCCAGACTGCGTGCAGCATGTACAACAGTAAAATCTGAAAGAAAATGCAAACAAGCAAGCAACAGTGTCTGAACACATTAAGTCACAGAAAAATGTCTGAAGTGTTTATTTGTGAATTTATCTAGAAGTTGAGGGTAGATGTAAGGAAGGTGAAAAGAGAAAAAGAAATCCAGTTCCATCTTCTAATAAAAAGATAATTTTTTTCTAATATTCTATTATTCTATTATAATGAGTCATTTGAATTTGTTTATTCAAGTCATTTATAGTCAGTTTCTTTCCAAATTAATTTTGCCCCTTGAAATTTCTCATTTTTTGCTGTATAAAGTGGGTAATGATATTTAATGCCAAAAAATGCTATTATCATTTTTCTTTCTTTCTATCCCCAAAAGTTTACCCCTATCCTGGGCTGCCACATAGAAGACCATGACTATAAAACAATTTTCAGTCCTGCCAGTAGTGACAGGTAAATCTACATACACAAGGAAGTAAGAAGAAAAGAACAACCATTGCTGATCATAACATGACAAATGATAGAGCACTTTAAAACTTTATTGATAATTCAGCAACTTGTTTAAAATCCACACAGAAAAGCATACATATTATTTCTTCCCCTCCCTTGCAAAATAGCAAAATATAGAGAGAACACTTCAGAGGAGTGAAACAGCAAGGGTGGGTAACACCATCTAGCCTCAACAAATGTATTCAGAGACTTTTTTTCACTTGTCATTTCAGGCTGAGATTCTAAGCCAGGCTCCTCCTCACCATTTTGCACTGAAGACTGGGTTTTCTGCCTTTCTCTGCTGCATCTTTGTGGGGATCGAGCATCATTTGCAGGGGAACCTTCTGCCCAAGTCCGCTTCCC
The DNA here is from genome assembly GCF_000001405.40 of Homo sapiens. Lineage (NCBI taxonomy): Eukaryota > Metazoa > Chordata > Mammalia > Primates > Hominidae > Homo > Homo sapiens. The sequence continues at coordinate 143,604,216 of NC_000023.11, forward strand.
ATGAGACATGACTGACTCCATCTCTGTCAACAGAAACTCCATGGGAAGAGGGATGGTGTAGACAGTGAGTCTTTCATAGTGAAGATGGCATTTTTTTAACCAGTTTTATTTTGGACCCCATAGAGATGGAAATACAGCCTCGATTTAGAAAGTTGGCTCATTCTCTTCACTATTAATATTTGACTTACATGGACGTAGTATTTGAGACCGAAGTGCGACTGATTAGAACACCCTGCTTGCTGCTTTATTTCTAAGATAAAAAGTGAAGCCACACTCAAAATATAAGCTCTGTTCACAGAAAGGTGACAACTCATCAAGACCCTCCTTCCTCAAACAGTAGAGCAGATAGCACAGAAAAGAAAACAAAAACAGACTCTTTCTTACAGAGTAAGAGGAAAAACAGAAAATGAAGGCAAAAAACACATGAAAAGATGCCCTTTCTATTTTCTGAAGCCAGAGGCTAGGGCAAACTGGTAAACATACTGATATGGTTTGGTTCTGTGTCCCCACCAAAATCTCATCTGGAATTGTAATCCCCATAATCCCCACATGTAGAGGGAGGGACCTAGTGGGAGTTGATTGAATCATGGGGGCAGTGTCCCCCATGCTGTTCTCATGATAGTGAGTGAGATCTCATGAGATCTGATGGGTTTATGTGTTTGACAGTTCCTCCTTCACACACTCTCTCTCGACTGCTGCCATGTAAGGCATTCCTGCTTCCGCTCACACCATGACTGTAAGATTCCTGAGGCTTCCCCAGCCATGCAGAACTATAAGTCAATTAAACCTCTTTCCTTTATAAGTTACCCAGTCTCAGGGAAGTTCTTTATAGCAGTGTGAAAACGGACTAATTCAAAAAACTGGTACTGAGGGTAGTGGGGCATTGCTATGAGATACCTGAGAATGTGGAAGGTACTTTGGAACTGGGTAATGGGCAGAAGTTGGAACACTTTGGAAGGCTTGGAAGACAGGAAGATGTGGGAAAGTTTGGAACTTCCTAGACAGTTGTCGAATGGTTTTGACCAAAATGCTGAGAGTGATACGGATAATGAAGTCCAGGATGAGGTGGTCTCAGATGGAGATGAGGAACTTCTTGGCAACTGAAGCAAAGGTCACTCTCGCTACAGTTTAGCAAAAAGATTGGAGGCATTTTGCCCTTGCCCTAGAGATCTGTGGAACTTTAAACTTGAGAGAGATGATTATGGGTTTCTGGTGGAAGAAATTTCTAAAAAGCGATGTATTCAAGACATGACCTGGATTATTCTGAAAGTGTTCAGTTATATGCATTCACAAAGAGAATATTTGAAATTGGAACTTACAATTAAAAGAGAAGAACAGCATAAAAGTTTGGAAAATTGGCAGCCTTACTATGTAGTTGAAAAGAAAAACCCATTTTCTGGGGAGAAATTCAAGCCAGCTGAAGAAATCTGCATAAGTAATGAGGAGCACATGGTAATAGCCAAGACAATGGGGAAAACGTCTCAGCACCATGTCAGAGATCTTCATGGCAGCCCCTGCCATTATAAGCCCAGAGGCCTAGGAGGGAAAAATGGTTTCCTGGGCTGGGCCAAGGGTCCCCCTGCTCTGTGCAGCCTTGGGACATGGTGCCATGTGTCCCAGCTTCTCCAGCTCCATTAGTGCTACAAGGGCCCAAGTTGCAGCTTGGGCTGTTGCTTCAGAGGGTGCAAGCCCCAAGCCCAGGCGGGTTCCATGTAGTGCTGGGTTTGAGGGTGCACAGAAGTAAAAAATTGAAGTTTGGGAACCTCCACCTAGATTTCAGAGGATATGTGGAAATGTCTGGATGTCCAGGAAGAAGCTTGCTGCAGAAGTGGAAACTTCATGCAGAACCTCTGCTAGGGCAGTGCGGAAGAAAAATGTGGGGTTGGAGCCCCCACACAGAGTCCCCACTGGGGCACTGGTTAGTGGAGCTGTGAGAAGAGGGAAACCATCATCACACCCTAGATTGGTAGATCCATTGACAGCTTGCATTGTGCACTTTGAAGAGCAACAGGCACTAAACGTCAGCCAATGGAGGAACTGCCAAAAGCTGTGGGAGCCAACCCCTTGCATCAGCGTGCCCTGGATGTGAGATGTGGAGTCAAAGGAGATCATTTTGGACTTTTAAGATTTAATGACTGTCCCACTGGGTTTTGGACTTGCATGGGGCCTGTAGCCCCTGTGTTTTGGCCAATCTCTCCCATTTGAAATGGATGTATTTACCGTACCCCCATTGTATCTTGGAAGAAGCGAACTTATTTTTGATTTTACAGGTTCATAAGTGGAAGGGTCTTGCCTTGTCTCAGATGAGATTTGGACCATGGACTTTTGAGTTAATGCTGAAACGAGTTAAGACTTTGGGGGACTGTTGGGAAGGCACGACTAGTTTTGAAATGTAAAAAGGATGTGAAATTTGGGAGGGGCCGGGGTGGAATGATACGGTTTGGCTCTTTGCCTGCACCCAAATCTTATCTTGAATTGTAATCTCCATAATCCCCACATGTCAGGAGACGGATCTAGTGGGAGGTGATTGGATCATGGGGGCAGATTTCCCCACGTTGTTCTCATGGTAGTGAGTTTTCACAAGATCTGATTGTTTTATAAGTGTTTGACAGTTCCTCCAACACGCTCTCTCTTACCTGCTGCCATGTAAGATGTAGCTGCTTTCCCTTCCACCATTATTCTAAGTTTCCTGAGGCCTCCCCAGCCACGCAGAACTGTTAGTCAATTAAACCTTTTTCCTTTATAGATTACCCAGTCTCAAGGAAGTTCTTTATAGTAGTGTGAAAATGGACTAATACACATACAGACAATATATAGAATTCACAGAGGAAGGTGCAGGGACTTTGCCTTGAATGGAATTGTTCAGAGCTGTTAAAAAAGTCTGCAATGCTCAGGTTTTTCATCACAGAGATGCCTGCAAAGAATTAGAACAACACAAATACCTGCAACAAATGCTTAACTTGAGCTTAGTGAAGTACACCCACCAATAGAAGTAGGAGTAATGCACCACCATCCCAGCTTTCAAAGTTTTAAAAACAGTAACCTCAAACTCACTCCAGGGTCTTGCTGAAGTAGAAGGAAATACAAGCTTTTGCACTAGATTGAGAAAACACTTTAACTTTATTCCTAATTAAGATTGGGAATTAATTGCCAAAAATACAGGCAGATGCATGATTTAGGCTAATTCTGTAGCATAGCTGCATAGTGAGATTTTTGTCTAAACAATGCTAAATATCTGTGTTAAGAGAAAAGCTACTGAAATGAACTGAGGTACAGAATCTTTGAAGGAGGGGAAGAGGCCCAGTTTTTTCTTTTGTCTTTCCAAGCTACTGACACAGTATTTATTCATTCATATATGTGTGTGGGTGAGTTCATTCAGCTAATATATAACAAGTACTATACTGGCAGGCCTGGTGCGAAGTTCTGAGATCCTGTGCTGAATCCTACATGGCAACTGTCCTTAAGAAAAACAAAATAATCAAGCCAAGCATGTCCAATAAAAACAAAAATCTGAGCTTAGGTAAGGAGATAATTTACTTGAAAGAACTGCCGGAAGAGAGGGAAAAGAGAAAACTGCAGTGGAGAGGGAGGCCTGTTGTAATAGGGAGAAGGCTCCAAGCATGACATCTGCTAGTGTCTCAATGGTCAGGCCTGGAAAGACTTTTCTTTTCTTTTTTTTCTTTCTTTCTTTTTTCTTTTTTTTAGATGGAGTCTTGCTCTATCACCCAGGCTGGAGTGCAGTGGCGTGACCTCAGCTCACTGCAACCTTCGCCTCCTGGGTTCAAGCGATTCTCCTGTCTCAGCCTCCTGGGTAGCTGGGACTACAGGCGCGTGCCACCACATCCAGCTATTTTTTTTTTTTTTTTGTATTTTTAGTAGAGACGAGATTTCGCCATGTGGGCCAGGCTGCTCTCAAACTCTTGACCATAGGTGATCCACCCGCCTTAGCCTCCCAAAGTGCTGGGATTACAGGCGTGAGCCACCCTGCCTGGCCGAAAGATTTTTCTTTTACATGGAGAAATAAACACACCTAGAAAGGTCTGGTTGTAGAGAAGTGGGATGAGGGCCAGTCACAGTGGCTCACGCCCGTAATCCCAGCACTTTGGGAGGCTGAGGCAGGCAGATCACAAGGTCAGGAGTTCAAGACCACCCTGGCCAGTATGGTGAAACCCCATCTCTACTAAAAATACAAAAATTAGCTGGGCATGGGGGTGCACGCCTGTAGTCCCAGCTACTCGGGAGGCTGAGGCAGAAGAATAGCTTGAACTCAGGAGGTGGAGGTTGCAGTGAGCTGAGATCACGCCACCGCACTCCAGCCTGGGTGGCAGAGCAAGACCGCGTCTCAAAAAAAAAAAAAAAAAAAAAAAAAGTGGGATGAATCAGTGAGTCAGGGTGACATGACTGGATGTAAGGTTTTGCTCTGAATCCAGCCTATTCTCAATGGAAGCCTTTAAGGACGGCTGGCTCAGGCTGAGGGTGAAAGATCAGCAGCCCATGGAAAAAACAAAAGCCTGACAACATTTGGTCAAGTTAGTGGGCATTTTGTTTTGATTTGTCAGTGGAGACAAACATTTCAGCTAATCACTTATGGGACAAAAGGTGGAACTGTGGAGGGTCTTTATCTGGCCTTGTCATAGGTATTCAGGGGTACATTCACCAGAGTCTTAGTCATATGGGGAGAGTGGTTTATGACAGTAAAACATTTTAGGGAATACAAAAGGGTAGGAGAAGTATTTCTTAACTGTCATTCGTTTCCAAGAGCACAGGGCTCAGGTAAAGTTCAGCACTGTTAAGGGAAAAGACTTGTAAATCACCAATTAAGCAAGCATGCAAATCCGTGCTCTTGTGCAGGATTGTTCAAAGACCTTTGAGAGTAAACAGGGGAGCACCCCTAACTGAGGGTCAGGTAGGTGTCACAGGAAATTCACATTGTAGCTGGGCCTAGTGGAATAATCGTTTTCTCTGCCAGGACCACACCACCTTTCTTCTAGCTGTTTGTCTATCCCCTACCCTATGGCCTTCACCAATGTATCCTCTAACTATGATGTAAAAGTTAGAACTATCACTTTGCAATTTCATTAACTCATTCAACAAAATTATTAAGCCCCTACTTCTGGCCAGACATCAGTCTAGGTACTAGGAATATAAAGTACAGAAAACATGTGAACATTCCAGCTCTTGTGGACTTTATATTTTAGAGAAAAAGAGATGGAGAATAAAAAGCATAGTAAGTTAATCATATAACACTATAGAGAAGGGTAAAGATAGGATTTGGAGTGTGGGGGTCGGGTTGTAATTTTACTTTATTTTATTATTATTATTTTTTAGACGGAGTCTTGCTCTGTTGCCCAGGCTGGAGTGCAGTGGTGCGACCTCGGCTCAGTGCAACCTCCACCTCCCAGGTTCGAGCGATTCTCCTGCGTCAGCCTCCCGAGTAGCTGGGACTACAGGTGCCCACCACCACTCCCAGCTAATTTTTGTATTTTTAGTAGAGATGGGGTTTCACCATGTTGGCCAGGATGGTCTCAATCTTCTGACCTCGTGATCCGCCCACCTCGGCCTTCCAAAGTGCTGGGATTACAGATGTCAGCCACTGCACCTGGCCCAGTTTTAAATTAAGCAGTCATGGTAGGTTCTGTTGAGAAGGTAACCTTTGAACAAAGACTCAATGAAGGAAATGAAGGAGTGAATTATTAGGCTTCCTGGAGGAAGAGTGTTCCATGAAGAGGAAACTTATAAAGATCAGAAAATGAAAATCTGTATGGCATTTTCAAAGAACAGCATGGCTAGAACAAAGTGAATGAGGAAAAAGTAAGAGGTGGTAAGGTCAGAACAGTAGTGGAGGTTAGGTTACATAGGAACTTATAGCCCATTATAAAAACTTTAGCTTTTAATTTTGAGAGAAATGGGGTTTAGAAGAGAGAGGTGACATGACCTCATTTTAAAATATCATTTTACATCATTTTAAAATATCCCTTTGCCTACCATGTTAAGAACAGACTGAAGAAATACAAGGGTAGAGGCAGGGAGACCAGTGTGAAGGCCAGTGCATTATACAGGAAACAGAAAATGAAGCTTTTGACCTAGGTGCTAGCTGTGGAATAGTGGGAAGTGGGAAGTTTCTGGATACATGTTCAAGTTATAATTAACAGAATTTGTGGATGGATTGGTGCTATAGTTTGAATATCCCCTCTGGAACAAATGCTGAAATTTAATTGCTATTATAGTGGTGTTAAGGAGTAAGATCTTTAAGAGGTGATTAGGTTATAAGAGCTTCACCCTCATGAAAGGACTAATGTCTTTATCTTGGGAATTGGTTAGTTTATCAAAGGAATGGGTTCCTCATAATGAGGATGTGATCAGCCCAATTCCTCTCTCTGTCTTGCACACAGATTTCATCATGCGATGTCTTCCATCATGGCATGACCCTCACCCGATGTGGGCACCATGCGCTTGGACTTCTCAGCCTCCAGAATGATGAACCAAATATATTTATATGGTTTATAAATTACCCAGTTTGTGGTATTCTGTTATAGCTGCAAAAAATGAACTAAGACAGTTGGTTTGGCACAAAAGAGTGGCAGAAAAGGAAAAAAATAGAGACAAGTAGAGATGTCAGCTGAAGAGAAATACTCAGTAGCTTCCTGTCATTACATCATAGCCAACTTTACACTTTCCCTGTCTGTGGTGTTTAATGCTGAGTGAGTGTCAACTTGATTGGATTGAAGGATGCAAAGTGTTGATCCTATGTGTGTCTGTGAGGTTGTTGCCAAAGGAGATTAACATTTGAGTCAGTGGGCTGGGAAAGGCAGACCCACCATTTATCTGGGTGGGCACCATCTAATCAGCTGCCAGTGTGGCTAGAATATAAAGCAGGCAGAAAAACATGAAAAGACTACACTGGCCTAGCTTCCCAGCCTACATCTTGCTCCTGTGCTGGATGCTTCCTGCCCTCAAACATCAGACTCCAAGTTCTTCAGTTTAGGGACTCGGTCTGACTCTCCTTGCTCCTCAGCTAGCGGACGGCCTATTGTGGGATCTTGTGATCGTGTGAGCTAATACTTAATGAATATATATGTATATGTTCTGTTCCTCTACTGAACTCTGACTAATACACTGTCCTTCACATGGGTTCCTGAGATTCTTTAGCACTTCCTAGAAAATTCCCTTTTTGTCTAACCTAATCCAGTTTGGACTTTTTTTCTCTTGCCATCACAAGAGGCCTGAAGAATGCCAACATGCCTAGCACCATTTCTCACCATCCCTTCATATATACTGCCTTGCATGCATCCCAGACACTTGTTTCTCTGTACCTTTGCTTAGGCTATCTCCCTGACCTTCTCTGCTACTTTTCCAAATTCACCTATACATTAGCACTAAGATTTATTGTCATCTTCCCCACTACTGATTTCTACAGGTGGAATTAAGCTCTCGCAATTTCTTCTTCTCCCTATGGCATTCACCTCTTTCAAGAACATCTAATATTTACCTGTGTATATGTCTTACTTGCACAAGTCTTGTGTTCACTGGACTGTAAGACGTGTGGACAGGTACCACATCTTATCCACGTCTGTGAATAAGGGGCTTGTACATAATCAATGCATCCTGATTCTTCAATTAATAAACGCCTTTCTCCCTCACTATCTTCATTCAAACCATCTCTATGTTACTGATCACTTGGTCTCTAACACTTCAGGTCGTCACTGACTTTTCTTGTTCCCTATCCGCTGAATCCAATTATTTGCCTTTTTATGTGTTTCTCCTCTCATCTTCTAGGCCTGTTTCAGTTATCCTCTGCAGTAATATTTTCCAAACTTTTATTCCATCCCACCAGATTTCATGGATTTGATACTCTAATTAGTAAAAATCATACTAGAAACGATTCTGAAAGGCAGGGGTGAAGGTACGATTTAAAAGACACATACGTGGTTACCCCTTCCCTAAAATTTTGTTTCACCTTTCAAGGTGGAGCATGCCTTTGTACTCCCCAGTTGACAACTACTGATCTGTACTATATCAATAGCATCTGTGGTGATTATTGTTCATCAAACAGTCACTCCTTTCCCTTTAACTTCCATGGGAAGAGTCTTTTTTTTCCTGCCTCGTTGATGTTGGGCTTCCTTTTGTACCTGCTTTGGTCAATGATAAGACACAAGCAGGGGCTTGATATATACTTGTGTAGTTGGGCTTGTCCTCTTGTACTGGTGACAATGCTAGGTGAAGAGCTTCCCCTGAATGTCCAGTTTCCCCTAAATATCCCAGAAGAATAAGGGACAAATCAAAAAGATAGAACTGAACCTTCAATTCGATAATAAAACCGCCCAGATCAGTCTAGATCAGCCAACCCACGCACCTGCAGTCTAAAGCAGAGCCTATGCAATTGACCTACAGACCCATCGGCTGAAGTAGCCAACCTGCAGTGTATGCAGCTGAGTTTGAAGGCAGTATTTTAGGCAGCAAAAGTTGACTGATATTTTAATTTTCTAATTATCTTTATAATATCCTAATTATCTTCTTGCCTTCATAATTCTCTCTCCAATCTCCACAAATTAGCAGACTCATCTTCCCAAAATAAAAATGTCAGATAATGTCTCTCCTTTCTCAAAAATCTTCAATGGCTCCCCATTGCCTGCAGAAAAAAAAAGTCAAACATCTTAACATGTCCTCCAAAGTTTTCAATAATTTGACTCTAAACTAACCCTCTCACATTTCATTTGCTGTCATAACCATTAATATATTTATTGATTCAACAAATATCTGTTTACCACATACTACCTTCTAGGTACTATGCTACGCATTGGTGATAAAAGATAAACAGAATATAGATCCTGTGCTCCAGAAGCTCTTATTTTAGTTGTAGGTTACAGATAAGAAAACATGCCTTTTTGATTCAAGGTGCCAAGGGCTGAAATGCATTAGCACAGTGTACTATGGGGATATATAGGTGGGGCTTCTTAGGGGAGGTGGTGAATAAGCTGATATCTAAGATAAGAACAGAAGTCAACATGACAAAGAGAGGAATAAAGAGTGTTTTAGACAGAGGAATGCAAACTGCCTTGTCCATTTAGTTCACCATGTCACATAAAATATTAAGAAAGAAAGGGAGTCTATGGTGTGAGTTAAGGCTAGAGAGTCTGGCAAAGGCCCAGCCATACTGGTTATGCAGACCATGGTAAAGAGTTTACATTTTGTAGGAGCCATACACCATGATACAGGAAAGTGTGGGATATATAGTCAAAATGCCTGGGTGTGTTTTCCAGCTTTGTCACTGGAACCAGTGTACAAGTGTACCAGTGTACAAGTTTGGGCAAATTTTAAAAATCTCCTTTTGCTTCCATTTTTAGTCTGTAAATTAGGGACAATTGTAGTGCCTACAACATAAAGTTGCCAGAAGAAAAGATTGGGGAAAAGTTTTATGATACTGATCTTGCCAACATTTGTTTGATATCATGCCAAAATCTCAGGCAACCAAAGCAAAAATAAACAAGTAGGACTATATCAAACCAAAAAAGCTTCTGCACATCAAAGGAAACAACCAACAAAGTGAAAAAGGTAGCCTACAAACTGGGAGAAAATGTTTGCACACCATATATCAGATAAATGGTAAATATCTAGAATGTAATTTTTAAAACTCACATAGCTCAATAGCAGAACAAAAAGAAAACCTGATTAAAAATGGACATAGGACCTGAATAGACATTTTTTCAAAGAAGACATAAAAATGGCCAACAGATGTATGGAAAGGTGCTCAACATCACTAAGCATCAGGAAAATACAAATAGAAACAACAACCTATCACCTCACACCTGCTAGGATTGTTATTATCAAAAAGACAAGAGATAAGTGTTGGTAAGGATATAGAGAAAAGGGAATTCTTATACACTATTGGTGGCAATGTAAATTGGTACAGCCGTTATAAAAAACATAATGGAGCTTCCTAAAAAAATTGAAACTAGAACTGCCATATGATCTAGCAATTCCTGTGCTGGGTGTATACTCAAAGGAAACAATCAGCACCTATAGACATATCTGCAGTCCTGTGTTCACTGCTGCATTACTTACAATGTCCAAGACATGGAAATAATATAAATGCTTGTGTATATATAAATAGATAAAGGAAATGTGGTATATACATACAATGGAATATTGCTCAGCCTTTAAAATGGAAATACTGCCAATGAGCCCAGGGGACATTATGCTAAATGAAATAAGTCAAGCATAGAAAGAAATACTAAATTATCTCACTTATATGGAGAATCTAAAAAAAAAAAAAAAAAAGCTAATGCATAGAAACAGATAGAATCCTGGTTACCAGGAGCAGGAAGAGGGAGGAACTAGGAATAAGTAGGTAAATGGTTAGATAGAAACTTGCGTTTATTAGAAGGAATAATTCTGAAGATCTAATGTACAGCATGACAACTATAGTTAATGATATTGTATTATATACTGAGTATTTGCTAAGAGAGTAGACTTTAGGTACTCTTAACACACACGCACAAACGGTAACTATAGTAGGTGATGGATAGGTGAATTTGCTTGACTACAGTAATAATTTCACTATGTATATGTATATCAAAACATCATGTCGTACATCTTACAAATATATACTACAAAACATTAATCTGGGGTTCAATAAATAGTATAAATGGCAAAAAAAGAGTTAATTTAAATGGCACCTGCTAAGTGCTTAGAACAATGACTGGTAGGTAAGAAGCACTCAGAAACCCCAGGTCTTGCTTCTGTGGGGTGAAGGATATAGAGGGGCTCAGGATGATGCCCAGGATTCTAGCTGGAGTATCCAGGTAGCTGAGGGGCTGGCCACTAGGATAGCAAAGACTAGAAGAATATTCTGTGCAGAGAGAATGATGAATTCAGTATGTCATATTTTGAGCTTGGGGTCCCTTTGAGTCAGAGGGACATGGCAGGTAAGCAGTGGAGACAGCCCTCAGGAGGTACATGCTCCAGCCACACTGAACCACCTAATATCCCGAGAACACCAAACTTCCCCACCCCTCTCTGCTTTTACACACACTATTCTCTCAGCTGGAACATCCCTCTTCTATCAAAATCCAATCCATCCTTCAAAGGTTAGGTCATAATGTACCTCTACCATGAAGCCTTCCTTGTGCCCTATAGCTCAGCGCCTGCTCAAGCAGCACATTCCCTTTATGTTACAGCATTAAGGATGTGATATTCTAGTTAGTCACTTTCATACCTGCCTCCTCCACTAGATTGTAAGCTCCGTGGGAACTGGGTGGGACTTGGTATAACTCTCCTGTCTCTTCCATCATCCAGCCCAGAGAAAACACGTAGTAGGCATTCAGTGCATATGCATTAACTTGAATTTAAAAAGCATTCTCTATTAAGGAAAAATTTCCATGACAGAGTAGGGGTGGTAGTCGGGTTTTCCTGGCCGAATTTGTTTCCGTCCAAAGACCACAGAAAACAGCTAAAGCTCCAAGATTCCTCTCTGTGTTCCTCATCTCTGTTGGGGCAGGACTGTGGGACATAAAGTCATTTATAAAGTGCTAGAGTTTGGTGAGCTTCCACCACAGCCCACCCCTGTTGCCCTCTGGTGCTGACTCTAGGTGCTCACTTTGACCTCCTACTCTGGGTATAATCCTGCTGCTGGCTTTGCTGTTTCCATGTCTCACCACTGGAATCCTAAAGTCTTTCTTGCACTGATCTTTTGCTTTCACTTTGCCCACTACTGTGGTCCTGATTATTCTCTCCCATTTCTCATCCACCATCCCTTCTCTCTGTGGAGTTTCTTTCCAAGAGTCTGTCTCTTGTTAGGGAATGGAATCCCACAGCTGTTCTGACATCAGTCTTTCATGCAATCTCAGTGAGGCCAATACCAGAAAAGCATGCTTAAATAGCACTGCTGTCGCTCAGCAACACTGGACATAGTCAGTCACGGCGTCCTTTGCGGAATGCTCTTTTTTTCTTTGCTCCCAGGACCCCACAGCTTCCTAGTTTTCTGTCATGCTGTCTGCTCACCATTTCCCTTTTTTGCAGGTATTTTATCTTCTAAGTTACCTAAACAGTAGACACTCTCACAGTTTAATGTAAATAAGAATAACCTAAGAACTTCAAAATGGATATTCCTTGAGTCCTGACCACAAAAATTTTGACTCAGAAGGTCTGGGATGGGGCCTAAGAGTCTGAATGTTAACAAGCACCTCAGGAGATTCTGATGCAGAATGCGCACAGTACAGATGACACTGAAAAGGAAAGCTCTGAAGCACCTGCAGTCATTGCAGGGTCTTGTTTTTTTTTCATTCTGTGACCTTCCTCCATGACCTTCAGTTTCAAAACGATAGTAATTCTCAATCCTGTCTGTGGCCTAAGCTTCTCCTCAGAGATCCTGTTGAACAAAGTCAACAATCTGACAATTTGAAGATTCTCAGCCATTTCAAATTTAACACGTCCAAAATGGAACTTTATTTTATTTATTTATGTATTTATTTATTTATTTATTTATTTACTTTTTGAGACAGAGTCTCACTCTTGTCTCCCAAGCTGGAGTGCAGTGGCACAATCTTGGCTCACTGCAATCTCTGTCCCCCGAGCTCGAGCGATTCTCCCGCCTCAGCCTCCTGAGTAGCTAGGATTACAGGCGCATGCCACCACACCCGGCTAATTTTTTATTTTAGAAGAGATGGTGTTTCACCATGTTGCCCAGGGTGGTTTTGAACTCCTGAGCTCAGGCAATCCGCCCACCTCAGCTTCCTAAAGTGTTAGGATTACAGGCGTGAGCCACCATGCCCGGCCACCAAAATGAAACTCTTTGTCTCGTAATGTCTACCCTCCACAGCCACTGCTAACCTAGAGGTCCTCATCTCAGAGAATGGCATCTTTATCAGCGCAGGTGCTCATGGCACAGAACTCAGGGTTTTCCTTGATTCCACTGTCACCCTCGACCTTCATATCCAGTATATTGGCAAGTGCTATGGAGTCGACATTCAAAATATAGCTCACAACCCTATTCTTCCTTCATCTTAGCTGGGATTAGGTTTATAATTGGTCGGCACTATTGCAAGAGCTTCCTGACTTCTTTCCCCACTTATACTCTGCTCCTCACCACCTCTAGTCCAGCCTCCAGAAGCAGAAGGAAGTCTGTTGGAAACAAACCTAATCATGCCACTGCACTGCTTTTAAAAAATCTTCATTGACTTCCCAAAGCACCTGAAAGTAAAACTCCTTCAAGACCCTTCAGAATCTAGCCAAGGGGTTGACACCTCTGGCCTGTAGGTCAAATCCATCCCCTAGTTTATTTTGGACAACAAAATTTTATTGGCACACAGTCACATCCATTTGTGTACCTGTCGTCTGTGTTTGCTTCTGTGCTACAACAGCAGTTAACTAGTCGAAGCACGGACAATGTGGTCTGTAAAACCTCAAATATTTGCTATTTCAGAAAATTATTTCTGAAAAAGTTTGCCAACCCTTGATCTAGGCACTGCCTACCTGACCAGTACCACATAGTGAGTTAATTCCCACACTGCAGTCAAAGCCCATGTTGTTCTCTCAACCTCACAGGCCCTCCTCAACCCTACTGCTCAGCCGCTCATGAACTTCACCCCTCAAGACTTTCATTTAAATGTGATTTCCACAAGAGAGCCTTACCTAACTGGCTCCCACTCCTTCCACTCTAATATGAATAATATGGAATGAATGAAAGCCACTAAGGAGACACCAGACGGGACTTCCTGAGAGAAGGTTAAAGTCAGCCTCTCTCCTTATTGGTCTGAACTGTACCAGATTTACCCATGGTTAAGACTGAAGGATACCAAGGAGGTCCCCTAGTCCACTGCTTGTCCCAGGCCTGAAACACCATTATTTGACTAACGTGGTCTCCTCTTCCACTCCTCGATGTCCTCTCTTTTTTTTTTTTTTTTTTTTTTTTGAGACAGAGTTCGCACTGTCGCCCAGGCTGGAGTGCAGTGGCCCCATCTCGGCTCACTGCAAGCTCCGCCTCCTGGGTTCACACCATTCTCCCACCTCAGCCTCCCGAGTAGCTGTGACTACAGGTGCCCGCCACCGCGCCCGGCTAATTTTTTGTATTTTTAGTAGAGACGGGGTTTCACCGCGTTAGCCAGGATGGTCCCGATCTCCTGACCTCGTGATCCGCCCGCCTCGGCCTCCCAAAGTGCTGGGATTACAGGCGTGAGCCACCGCACCCGGCCGATGTCCTCTCTTGAAAATGTCTCAGAGTACTGACATATTTGACGGGCTTGTGAATTAGCAGCATGTGAATCTGGTATCTGAATTTGAATTATCAGAAAAAAAAAACATTGTTAAACAGAAACAGTTTTAGTGAGGGTGGGGGCATATGGCCACTGTCACAAGAGGTAATGTTTGAATGAGGAGCTATGAGACTGCACAGGGAGCAGACAGATAAAGTGGTATCATCCATAGGCATGTGAGATGAAGAGAGAGGGAAGGCCGGAGGGTCAACAGGCCTTGGACATCAGTGTTAAGTCAAAGTAAATATTTTTATTCCCTTCTATTCTTCTCTACTAAAACATAAAATCACTTGGGCAGAGGTTATGTATATGTTTAACACTGTGACTATTTAAAAGTGAAGTACGACTCCAAAGTATAAAACTGCTAATTTTGAATGAGTTGCTGGTACCTGAGGGAATACTCTTTGTGATTAAAGGGACCAGGAATTGCATGGTAGCCACATTCGCTGGAGCTCTAGTTAATGATATGGATGGAATAAAGAAAACCTAGAAATTGCATTTCAGAGTCATCCTGGGTGTACCCAGAATCTTTAAAAATTAATAGCATCCCAAATAAATAGAACAAACAGTCCTTGAGGTCGGAATGGTTTTATTTTCCCTTTACTTTTTTTTTTTTTTTTAAAAGAAAACTATCTTTATGGAATAAAATTCAAATAAATATTTCTAATAATTTTTACAGGTCAGATAATTTGCAGTTTCTATTCTGAATATAGTCTGTTGAGCTGCAACCTGAACTGCAATTCTTTGGAATAAAGTTCAGTTCTATCTTATTGAGAGTAAATTATAAAAAAAATGCACCCAACTCCAATTAGCAAAGATGATGTTACAAGATATTAACCTTTGTGTTCCGTTTTCCAAGCTCAAGAAATATTCTCAAAATTGAAATTGAGGATTGAAATAACATATACCGGCATGTCTCAGCATTTCTAGTGTGGGGTTGTCACTACAGTGCCATCTTCAGTGTAATGTACAAAAGAATTTGTTTTTCCTTTGTAAAAAGATTAAACATCAGAGACTATTCTTTTTGAAATGCTGACACTTAAAAACACAAACATTATATAGTGGGGGAGATTTCACTCTATGTCCCTTTTATCATGATGCCTAATACCTAACTGGTATTTTTGGAGTTATTAATATGTTATTCTACTAGTAGAGATCATCTGCTAGTCATTAAACTACAAAGATCAATTAATTAAATATTCCAGATGAAAAATATTTGATAGTTTTGACTTGCTTGGTAAATGATTATAGTGTATACACTACAGAATCCTTGGTGTCTTAAGAGTTTCAAGTGTCCTCCAAGATCACCTAGTCCAAGCTCGCATTCAAATAAATTTTCTTGAATGACATCCATCCTCCTTGTTAGAACCATCCTCAGCTTGAACACTTCTAAGGACTAAGAGCTCTGCATTTTGTATCTAGTTCATTCCAGTTATAGAGCATTCTAAAACCTTACAGAAAATGTCCTTATGCTGCATTGGAATGTCTGCCTGAAGCTTCACCCACAGATGCTCATTTTCCTCCCTGGAACTTGCAAACAAAGCAGTGTAATGAAAATAACTTGATCCTGCGAGTGAGGAGAATCAGGTCCTAGACCAGACTAGCTGTAATAATTTTTTGACCTTGGGCAAGTCACTTGCCCTCTCTAGCCCTAGTTACTCTTTCAAAAGAGAAGAAATTGGGACCAAATAATCTGACTTGGAAATTCGGAGTACATATACTCAATCTTCCTGTGATGGTCTTTAAACATTGAAACTGACCAACAGCCTCTTAGTTTACCCCTGCTCTGATAACCTTTAAGATGAAATAAAGGTCATTCAGTGAAGTCTCAATTGGCTGTAGTAAAAATATTATGTTAGAAACTGGCCATGTCCAATGTGTTAATATTCAAATGAGCAACTGAAATCATATATGCATTTGGGATTTAAAAACAAAGTTACTGTTCACACATTCTCCACTGCAGCCCAGCCTAGGCAACCAAGAAGAATGAGCAGAGAGTGAAAATGCTGCGTATAAACAGAGTCCTATTCCCCTTATAATGCATACACTGGAGTCTTCAAAAAGTCGACAAGTTCAAAGGGAGGTGGTAGATGTAATTTTTAATAAAATGCCTGCATTTCACTTCCTTAAAACCCTCTTTTCTTATGAACACACTAGTTATCTTCTTTATCCTGATGTTTTTATCCAGTTTCCAATACACATTTTTGTGTAACTGCTCAGTTACATATAGAAAAAAAATTCTTTTTGAATTTTCATGGTGAGAATTGATACAGCAGCATTTCAGCAGCTGTGCCAAATCTGAGAGAATGAATATTTTCTGAAGTAGAAAGTGCAAGGAGAAAATAGCAGCCATGTTTATGGCAACACATGGCAAAGCTGCCCACATGTCAGCAATAATATCATTTCTAGTTATTGCGCGGCCCCAGAGTGAAAACTGATTTCATTGGGTCCAGCTCACAAGCGAAGGCACTGAAGTCTAATTGCAAAGCAAGGAAACCTAAAACTTAAGAAATGACTTCCTAAAGTTGTTTTTTTCTGGTAAGTCACTCTGTCTTCATATCATGATTTTTTTGTGTGTCAGTAGGACTTCCTTTTAAATCCATCACTTACTGTACTAAATTTTCTATATTTCTAGAAGTTATAGAAGGAAATGGACACATAGAAGTGTGATGATTATTTCTATAAATAACTGAGATTTCAGGATGGTGATCAGCTTCTACTTTGAAAGAGAGGGATGAATAAAATAACTAGTAGCTTCTGTGGGATGGAGGACAACTGATGAATAAAAACAAAGATGCAATGTGTAAAATATACAGGCCCAAATGCTCTCCAGTATGGTAATATTACAAAGGTAAATATATGCCGGTATTGAGACTCCTAGATTTTTTGTCCATATTACCACCAACTACCAAAAAACAGTGAAAAAATTCTCCCTAAGCTAGCCAATGCCATAGACAGTGTTGGTTGCTTGTAACAGCAGAAGAGAAAAATTTCCAGCAGGGAGGACTTGGCAAATGTGACACATCTTGCTATGGAGCAAGGGGATCCATGGCAGATACATGGCTTCCTGGGGATTCGTACAGGAAATAGCTTCTGAAATAGGCACTTGATATATTTTTTTTAAAAATAAGATTTCTGAAAACAGCCCAAAAGGTCTGGCAGCTTTTTGACCACAAGTGTTTGTATCTGGGAACCCAAATGTTTGTACTAATTTATTTTGCTCCCTATCATGATGGTTTTCTGTGATATGCATTTTTCACCTCTTATTCTCATTAAACACAAATGCTACTTATCATTTTTTGACAGCTAAAACTGTATTGGGAGGCTTTGAGAATCAGTCAGTCCTTGATGTTAGTCAACTAAGAAAAAAATCCATAGGGGTTGCAAAGGTAATTAAATGTTTTAATTGACCAGTGGATTCTATAAAAGCTATAAATTACTATTGTGTTGACAAAGCCTAGATTTCATATCTGTTTAAAAGAAATAAAGCCGAGGTAAATAATAAGGAGAAAGAAATCTATAATTTGACTTATTTTATGATACATTTGTTCAGTATTTAAGTTCTGAATTCCATCTGATAAGTAAATATTTTTTCTCTTAATACTCCTTTGTTCTCCTGCTGCTCTTTAGTCATAATTTTCAACCAACTTTTCCTTCTTTAAGGGGAAAAAAACATACCTGTTCCAATAATTTCTAATTAAATCCTCATCCTGGGATTATTTTGGATTTAAATGCTCCTGCACAGTTCTCTGAATAACGTTTGTGAAAGGTAGTAGCAGCACTGATTTGCACCTGGGCTGGTTGCCTGAAAATTGTACACAGCACTATACATTTATTAAGCATATAATTTGGAGATGATAGTGATGAAAAATGTTAACAAAGAAAATCAAAATAAAATCTCAAGACAACAAATAACTGAAACCCAGAGAAGTCTTGGGAGATAAGCTGGGCATAATTTCTACTATATATGACAAAGTGGTCAGGTTTTAATTTCAAGTGTAGGCGAAAAAAAAAAAAAGGACAATTAATATTTAGGTCCCAATCTACTTGGATTTGAAACATCTAGGTGGTCAAGTAGGTAGTCAAGATAGAAATATTTTGTTTACATTAACTAGATAATTCCCTTTGTGTATAATTCACTATTTGCACACATTACTCTCTATCTTTCTTATGTGTATGCATGTGTATGTGTGTAGGTAGACCTGGCCTAGCCATGTAAACTAATATATTGATTGCATCAGCTAAAAACCAGACTATTTGCATTTCTTTTTGAGCTTGAGCTTTACTAATTCCACACTAATAAACACACTGAATGGCTACAAATGTGACCTATAAGAAAAAACTTTTATTTGTGAAAACAGCATTAAAGTGATTCCATATCAACTCCAAAAGTTTACCACAATGGTTCAGTTTACATGAAACAATGATGGAAATATACATAGCAAGTCTTAGCAGGGAGAACAAAGCTTACTATGATTTTCACACACTTCCATGAGCAATATCCACTGCACAACATGCCTTCCTGCAGCTATTAACCAGCAGCGTCTGACATGATCTAGTATTTGTGAGGTGCCAACTAAGAGAAATATATTGTTCAGAAACTTGAAAAGACTATTTCCTTCCTATAGCTAATTTAAAGGCACTGCTCTATGGTTATTCATTATATTATTAATATTATTTCTCTGAAGGCCTCATTCATGACCTTTTTAAGTTAAACAGGTAATTTGTCATTTTTGATGTTATTGAAATCACCAGAATTTCTATTTCTATTTAGGCAGTGTCTACAAAAGTAAACTGAAGTGGAGGGTTGAGTAATTCTCTCCTGGTTCTGGGTCCTACAGTCAGTGGAAATGTCAATTATGGATTAATGAGAAGCTTGAATCTTTATTCTCAATAGCAATTATTTGGTCTAAAATATTCAAATGCCTCAGAGCCCTACTTTATTTTCCCCTTGTAGACATAAGAACAACAGGTTAAAATAATTTTTAAAAATTAAAAAAAACCATCATTTCCTATAAGATAAACAACACAATTTCCCTTCCTCGATTTTCCCTTTTAAAACACAATCCTATCAACCAGTAGAAACTAAAAAGACATTAAATAAATAAATAAATAAATAAATAAAACAAAATAAAATTCCAAATTAGATTAAGGGCAGTTTTGTACAAAGTAAGTTATTAAAATTCATTTGAGTTCCCATTAGCTTTTAAATTAACAAAGAATAGATCCTTAGGAAATCTGAAATTGAGAGTTAACAATTATCAGGTGAACTTGATATATGTCACCAGTTATTCTAGGTAAGTGAAGCCACAAACAGGATATTTTATTTTAGTTCAGCCCATCTGACCACAGTGACTAATGGGATGAGCACTAGAAATGATGCCAAACCTTGATTTGATGCCACTTGTCTACATAACAGAAGTGGCTGGAACCCAAAGCTCTGTGCTCAGTACTCATAAATAAATAAAATAACACAATCCTACGGTGTATCTCCTCAGATGCATAAGGCATTTAGTCTAAAAGTACTTGCATATGCTATCTATACTGTTCACACCTTCAGCATACCTATGTATACGTGTAAAGCAACAACAATCTTAATTTATATTCTCTCTCTCTCTCTGTTTCTGTGTTTACTTTTCTTACCATAAATATATGAACCTTAAACCCACTGTATTGGTCAATATAGTCAGTTACATTCATTTCTGCCCTCAAGTTAACCGTAATGCAATTAGTTCATTTTCCACAACAGTAATAATTTGGGTAAAGTCATGGATTGATAATTTTGGTCATCTTTAAAAGAACCAAATACAAATCACAATTCACTCCATAAGTGGGTAACTAACCTGTAACCAGGCAAACTGGCAATGGAATACAGAGGTACTGAAGGGTTTCTAAAAGTATTTGAGCAGATAGTTAAGACTGAATATTAGTATTTGCTTATCTGAAGTTATGTCAGAATCCAACTGATTCAAAAGAATGGGCAAGAATCAAAGCATGTTGATCTTGGCACTGTCAGACTCTTCTCCAAAGGGGCTGCCAGTGGGAAGGAACACAGATTGAAAATATGTTTCTAAAGAAAGCGTTTTTTTTAACAGAGATTTAGCAGTTAAGTTGAATATAAACAGTAGGCTAAAGCTATATCTTACCCTCAAATCTGGGTGAAATGATCAGTTTGGTTACTGCTTTATATTTTTCTGAAAAATAATGGAAAGACAAATATATTTAACAAACTGTGGCTTCAGAAATATCATTGTAGCAAACAATTTTATTAATACTTTCATAAAAATGGCAATTAATAAATTCTAATACCTTGATGTTATTAAAAGCAAACAAAAGTCATTAAAACAGTTCTTTTCTGTGATTTACATGAGCTTTTACAGCATTACTTGATTTTTCTCTTACAAATTAACCTAAAATACTGATAATCAAATCAGGGTAAAAACAATACAATATTTTTTTTACTTTATTTTAAAATAGTGATTATAAATACATTCTTAATATAGTTTCTCCCCAACTCTTTGGATGCGACAGTAACAACAAAAAAACCTCAGTGTGCTCATTTCATACAATGTCAATGTACAAATCATGCAAAAAATGTTATAGATTAATATTACCACCATACATTTCTAGACGTGTTCTGTTATTTCTGAAATACCTGTTGATGTTACTCATAAGGTCATGCCCTGTATAATTTATGCATCCTTATGGCTTAAAGAAAAGTAAATGTTTAAAAAAAGCAACAAAAGAAAGATGGTCTTAAATAAATTTCTAATTCATATATTTTTTCAGTCTATTCAGAATGAAAAACTAAATATAGAATATAAATTGCCTTATAGACTTGAATCACTCTACTTTAATAGCTGCTTTCTCATAAAATTACACAAAGTCTTACTTTTAAAGAATTGAATCATCTTTATTGATTTCATAAAAAAATAATTTAAAACTTGATTTATATTACATGGACACAATATATTATCTCAACCCCTTCACTGATTTCATAAGATCTAAATTTGTTTGCAATCATTCTAACGTAGTCCATACCCATGACTATAGTGCCAAGAAGCCCATGATGTGTCAGCCCACATTAGAAATGAGCACTTCTTGGATTTTATAGGTTTGCATCCAAGTTCCACTAAAAATGCTGTACTGATGTACATATCATACCTCCAGGGGTTAAACTAACATCAAGGTTATAGTTGAAGCCAACAAAATGTAGATACAGTATTTTAACTGTTCTTGTACTCAACTCAAAACTTATACCTAACTACATTATCATAAAATGTACAACTAGAACTAATGAGAGACAGGTGCAAAATTGTATACACTATATAATGTAGGCACAATGACTTTAGTTAAGGAAAATATATTAGCCTTAACCAAGAATTTGTTACTTTCATTTACAATTTGAACCTCCAAATAACCACATATGTTAAATTACTTTTTAAAAAAAGTTGAACATTTATACCTTTTAGCAGAAGAGTATGAGATAGCCAATATGCTACAGCAAGCTTTTGAGATGGTGGCAGGTACTCTTGCCATTGAGAATTCTGCAGAAACCTTGAAACATCTTCAGAACATCACCACACTGAATAAAAGTATCATTCAAATGACCTATTATCCCCAGACCATGAATGGAACTTTCTGATTCCTCCTATAAGTGTCTATTTAAGATCCTTCAAGCCATACTTTATTGACAGACTAAACTAAAACACTTTCTTTGAAGCCTTTGCATCTTTATCCTGTCAGTATACATTAGGAGCCCTTTAATCCATGGATGTGTGCATGCATGGTAATGGCATATCAAAAGTCCTTATGAAATTGTAGATGAAAAAAGCTGTTGGGCACACATCTTGTCTTTTCTTTCAAGATCAGAAAGCAATTATTTGTTTGAATTATTTTATATTCATATAAAGTTTTCACAGATGTCATAAAAATTAAAATTACACACTAAAGTTTTAAGAGCACCAGCACATACACATGGAGACGGTTTTTGCTATTTAAAAAAGATTTCCAAATTATCTATATGTATGAATATATACCCACATATATATATATACACACACTCAGACACACACACACATACACACACACCCAAGAAAGCCAAGCTTCTTTTTTTTGTCTTGCAACAAACACATAAAGCCCTGAAATTAGTGATTAATAAAGGAACAGCTACTGCAACTATAAACATAGTATCATTTTGGAAGCTGCAACAGAAAAAATATGCCACTTGCAATCATGAGGAATGGCTATGTTTACCTTCTTGGTTATCTTACTGATTCATAAGGTAATTATAAGAGATAGGACACACACTCTCACACATGCACACACACACACTATATATATATGTATACACACACACATACATATATGTATATATATACACACACATATATATACACACGCATATATATATACACACACACATATATATATATGTATATCTATATATATCTATATATCTATATATATATATGCAGGCAGGCCAAGAAGACAATGTGTTTCTGAATATCACTTTGTTAATCGGGAGCTCCTACAAAAGTTCCGACATCACCCATTATCAGTTACTTTATTCCTTTAACAAATTTTGACTTAGATCTTAGCAAAAGCAAACACAGGGGCATATCATTTGTAGTTGCAGACTGTGAACTCATCTGAAACCAATGCAAGCATTTTTACAGTGTGGCTTTCATAGCCAAGATTACCATGATGTTTACAGTTCTACTAGATTATCTGATAGTAGTCTGAATGATGAAAGAACAGGATACTGATGCATACAAGATATAACTATTAACCTTATTCATTATTTTTTAAATACTTGTAGCGAAAACTATTTGAATTAAGCTCATAGAATCCTGAAAAGCAAGACAACCGATGGCAAATAACAACTGCCCCAGACACAATACTAGAAAACTAAGGAACTTATTTTTGAATGCACAATTGGTAACAAATCTGAAGATAATACGCTAAATTCACAAGAATAGCACAGAATTGACTGTTCTTTTGTATTTTTTTCTTTTCTGTTTGTTTTAAATTTTTTTTGTTTTTAAGTTACACCTGATCACAAAGTCCAGAATATTTCTGTTCACACCAGCTTGTTTCAGTTTAGTATATTTCTTTCTGTCTACATTTATACTTACTGATAAATTCACTGTGATCAGGAAAACAAGTCAGGCATATTAAATACATATTAAGGAGTACATATTTTCCTATTTAGTATACAAAGTACTTCATAAATATGAATTATGTTACAAAAATAGCTTTGGGTGCGCTCACACAGTAAGCACTCTGCTTATTTTGGACAACCTTGAAGGATTGTGGGTGTTTCACGTAACTGAGAACAAACTCTAGTGTTAGTTTAATTTGAGCCATGTTTAATTCTGATAAACGTCACATATTTCTTCAGATCATCACAAATGCTATCTAACTCACGTTGATTTTTTCTTTTAGATTTTTATGTATAGACAGGTAATGCTTAAAGTGTTCAAATTTATTTTATAGTTATGTAATGTATGTTATATTTTAAACAAGTATTTGCACAAATTAACATTATAAATCCAGCGGTTTCAAGATGCAGGCCATAAAGGTTACCAATTTACAAATACTATCGAGTGTTCTCTCTTTGCATGCTTTTTTTTTTTTTTTTTTTTTTTTTTTTTTTTTTTTACTTTTCAGATAATCTTTACACGGAGTTGTTACAATGCCACAAATCAAAAGGATTATTCCAGTTCCACCAACTTAATCTACGTGCAAGATAAAGGACCCAGCTGGTACAGGTGTACCAGTTTTCTTGAGTTTGCTTTACAAAGCACAAAGAGACGAAGGTTTTGCATTGGGGTACAAAACAGATTTGCCTCTTGAGGTTAAATTCAGTATTATGTGTATAAAGCATCCCTTTGGCAATAGAGTTTGCAGTATCCCCACAGGACTCCACAGTATAGGTTTTATGTAGTAAAATCTATTAAACAAATTCTCTTCTACTTGACACATCTTTGCAGCTACAGTTAATGAGACACCCTTGGAAACACCTGCCTCCATGCCTATTGATAATATAGTATTTGGAAGTTAGAAGTCAACAAAAGGCACTTTCATCATTAAATAAATGTCCTCTGTATGAAGTAAGATTACATGACCTAGATCTTGTTCAAAGCTGTTTGCTCCTCAAGGACCTGTAGGTAGTCAGGGGAACTCTGCAGTTTCGCCTTCAGTTCAAAATACTCACTCTTCCTTTGTTCCACAACAATTTTACTGTGGTTGCCACCTATCAGTGACTTCTTACTTTTTTTGTCTGGTTGTTTTTCTGGATAGCGGATCTCAAAGCCACTGACACCTATGCTATTATACTCCTTTTTGCTTTCAAGAAAATTCTGAATAAACACATTGGAATCCCTGCTAGGGAATAATTCATCCAGCTCATCAATTGTGCTCAGTCTCTTCCTGGTATCTACATGTAATAAATCTTTCTCCTTGTCGGCCACATTTCTCATAACAACTTTCTGTCCTGGAGGATCTGAAAACATGAACCCAGTTTCTGACTCTTTCAAGCCACAAGTGTGGCTCTTGCTCATCTGTTCTATAGTTTGTGGAATGAAAGCTTCTGTGCTCAGTCCATCTTTTTTATTGGTTTTGTGGTCATGCTTCCTTAGCTGCAGCTGCATGGAGCCACAGTCAGGATTCCCCAGGCCTTCGTGCTTCACTGTGGGTTTCTTGTTGCGTCGCAGGACAAAAACAAGAAGGCAAAAAGCAACAAACACCGTTAAAATGAGGACCACTAAGATACTTAAGATTAAAATAGACAGAGGCACTGGCCCACCAGGAGGACTTCGAATGGGACCCAAAGGAGTGGTGAATGTAATGGCAGGTGCAGGGCTTGTGAATGGTGCAGACGGCTTATTTAAAAGTTTGGGACATAAGATTTCATTTTTGAGGGACTTCAGTTCAATGTTGGCAAACTGAACAGGCGTCTCACATTTCAGTTCTTTCACAACAATCCCGTCGCTCAACTTCTCCACCCACAGCTTTAATGCCACCAAGTCACAAGTACAGTCCCATGGGTTGCCCTCCAAGTCAATCTGTGTAAGAGATTGCAACTGATCAAGGACCCCGCTGACAGGCAGGTACATGAATTTGTTGTTCCTCAGGTTCAGTCTAGCTAAGGGTGCTCCGGAAAAGATGTAAACAGGCAGGCTCTTTAGGAGATTATTGTTTAAGTACAGTAACTGCAAATTTGGCATGGAGTCAAAGGTGCCTGCTGAGATTTCCTTAATCAAATTGTATTCCAAATACAGATACTGCAGGTTATGAAGACCTGAAAATATTTCAGGATAGAGTCTCTCAATTTGATTGCCATTGAGATATAGCCTGCGTAAATTAGTGAGATTGTGAAATACGTCTCCCTTAATCACTGTAATTTGATTGCTGCCTAAATGAAGCAAATCCAGTCCTTCAAAGTCAGTGAAGTCTGATACGTCCACATCCTTGATGCTATTGCCATTGACGTGCAGCTTCTTCGCATTTAAAGGTTTCGGTATCAGTTCAGACATAGACTGTATATTTTTCTCTTGGCAGTTCACACTTAGTCCCAAATCTGAAGGGTGTGTTTTGCAGAAGCAAGGTGCCGGGCAAGGTGTTAGAGGAGGCACCCTTGTTTGGTAAGACACAATCTGACTGAGATTGCGGTTGGAGAGGGCTTTGCCTGCAACGATTCCAGAGATCTTGGAAGGATTTGTTGTTTTTGGTGGTTTAGTTACTAATCTGTGTAAAGATGTTTGGGTAGTGTGACCATTGGGAGTGGTGTAGCCATTTTCCAGCTGAGATGGAGGCAGGATGCGCACGTCAAAATCACTGCCGGTGCCCATGGGACATAGCTCTTGTTTGTTGGTTTCTTTTAAAAGCCTTCCATATAAGTCACTGGGAGTTTCACAGATAGCTTCTCCTATGTAAATGTTATATGGCATGTTCTCCAGCCAAGCTTTTAAGGGCAATAAATCACAGCTACAGTTCCAAGGGTTATCTTCCAGTTGCAATTCAACGACACGGCCAATGTGTTCCAGAACCCCGATATAAGGGAGCTTCTGGATTCTGTTCCCTCGTATATCCAGATGGGTCAAAGATGCGAATCGGAAAATATTATCAGGAAGGAATGAAATCAGATTGTCATTAAGAATGAGAACTTTCAGTTTGTGGAGCTTATTGAAGGCTCCTCGTTCAATATACTTGATTAAATTGTAGTCAGCCTGGAGATACTCCAAGTTCTCTATGCCAAGGAAAGTGTCAGCTCGGAGAATCTTTAATTCATTGTTGTTCAAGTGCAACTGCTTTAATGCACTGAGCCCAAGAAAGGCTCCTCCCTCAATGTTCTGCAGTTTATTATTCCCCAGATGCAGGGAGACTGCATGTGAAAAATTCAAGAATGTATTTGGATACAGAATATTTAAAAAATTATTTTGGAAATTGAGGTGATAAAAATTAGACCAAGGTGGTTTCAGCTGATTTGGTCTGTAGACTGAAACCTTCTCACAGTTGACATAGAGCACATTCTCAACTGACACGCAGGAACACACATTGCAAATTTCCACCGATATGTCAGAATCTGCATTTGTCGAAGAAATCAGGGCTGACAAAATCAGAAACAGCCACAGAAACATCTTCTTGCAATCAGCAAACAACTGTATGCTTCTGAATAAAGAGAAATAATCTAAAAAATAAAAAGAAAACATTTTTTCAATGGTCATTACTTGAAAAATTACTTGTATGTAAATCATACCATAGTGAACACATGGCTATAATTACCAGAGTTGTATTTGTAAGGCAATCAAACCTCCAAATAGTCTCACTCAGTCGAACAATAATAACCACTAAAACTGCCATACATTTTATTTTCCATACCTGTGGTTTATACCAAATTCACATGTGCAGAACACACAACTAACAGTAGGAAAATATATTATCAATCATGCTTAAATCTTGCAATCTGAAAATATTTTTTCCACGTGGACCGTCAAACTCTGCCCTTGAACACAGGCCTTAAGCTTCCTACTTGCACTTCAAATGACCGAGACCATCAAGTATGCCATCGAGTTTGTACCACAAAGCCATTTTGATTAGTGGATATCTATTCTCTAAGCTTCAGCTAGATAGAGAGGCTGAATTAAAAAAACAAAAACAAAAACATTAGAGCCCAGAGTTCACTGGAGGATGGAAATGGGAGGATTGGGCTGCTGTAGCAGGGACTGTTAAAAGACTAAGGAACAGTGACCTGGGAAGAGATTTGCTTGTGCTGTAGCCCCATAGGTAAGTTCATTGCTGTCAATCGGTTTACTCCTGTACACTGCTGCCTTCAAAGACACAGACGACGCTGTGCGGTTCTAGAAAAACAACTGAGTAAGGGATGGCCAAATTTTATTTTCTGGTAAATAAACAGTCTCTAATTTCCTGTCAGTCATCTCCCAAAGAGGGAGCAAAAAGCCTTTTGTCTTGGAGCCTCTGAAAGCAGCAGAGTAACCTGCTTACTCCTGCATTGCTTAGCTAATCTCCAGGCAGTCTTTCCACTTTGAGAACTGGCTCTCTTGCCTCCCTGGCCCTCTCCCACATCTTTATTTACCATTTTGAACCCAGGTCCGACTGATCCTCGGCTTAACTGCTTTATCTCTTTCACTTTGACCACAGACTGCAACTGCTGAGGAAGGGGAGTTCACACAACACAATCTTTGAGTAGCTTTTGCTACAGCACCAAATATGTTCAGTACAGCACATTTTTCGTCCTAAAATCATCAGTTCCAAACACCCACCCGCCCTTCCTAATATTACCACCCCATGTCCCTGACTGTAAACGCATAAAGAATCACTTGTTGGTAGAGTTTAATGCTTAGCAAAATAACTCATCGTTTTCAGGTCCTTAAATACTGCATATATACACAAACATACACGATGCTTCCTGGAAAAGATTAAACAACACAAGCAGAGTGCATTTTATTGATACTATTTTAGCAATATTAGTCTTTTCCATTGTGAATGGGAAGCTGGGTGCAATTTCAATATCGTTATCTCCAAATATTAATTAAATACATAAAATACCCAGGAACACACAACAAGGAAATGATGCAAAGAAAGAAGTGTCGCACAGAAACTCCTTTGTTTATTTTACCCACGAGGAATCAGCTAGTGGTAAAACCGAACATGTCTCAAGGTAGACAACCCATTAGCCATGACCCAGGAGGATTTGCATTTTAAGTAGTTTGGTTCAGAATACAGCCAGCACTGCTGAGATGCTATTTGGCTGCCATATAGACGTGCATTTCCCCTATTCACCATGAGAGCATGATTGGCATTGCAAAAAGAAGTCATAATTCTTAACTATGACATCACCTAAAGCAACTTTCATTGTAAAATCAAAATTTCACTTGATATTTTTTGCCTTGTTATGAATGTGGTTTTCAACAGCTATTTTGGTTCAGTTGAGTCATTTCTTGTTACTAAACCACCACCCCACCCACCTCAAAACAAAGAAACCCAAAAGCAACCAAACTAAAAACCAAACGCAGAAAAAAAAAAATCCTTATAATCCGAATTCAGTACAAAAACAAGAACCAGGAATCTCAACACATCTGAAAATGCATAAGGAGCTGCCCTCCTCCTGGTGATTGCTACTTTAAGTAGCAAGGGGGGGAAAAGGCACTAGTAAGAGCCAGGAAGTTCCCAAATGCAGCTCTTGTGAAACAGAGGAAGCCACAAGCAGCTGGAGGGGCAGGCAAGAGAGAGAAAGAGTCCAGTTGGTCCACCAAGGAGAGAGGAAAAGAGGTACTGAAAGGGCAAGAGACCATGGAAATGTGGAGAAAGGAAGAAAAAGAACTCGGAGAAGGGAGCTACAAAGAGGGTAAAGGGAGCACTGAATGTATGCGAATAAAGCCTCACACTCCGGTGGTACCACTGAAACATGCACATTTAAACATCAAGGGAAAAACGCAAAAAAGAAAAGAAAAAGCCCACAAAGTACCAGCTGGGTACCAAGAGCCTTCTCTGTGGCTGCTGGGAGCTGTCCGTCTTCCTCTCGGTGCCCTGAAAGACCCTTGGCTCTCACGACCAGCCAGGACTGAACAAACCTAGCCCGACCAAAAACAAATCCTGCATCCACCGGAGTGCAGCGCCTGGCACTCCGCGACTGGGAGGAGAGAAGCGGCCTGAGGGGGGCAGAACACTGATGGGCTTCAGGGCGGTGGGCCGAGGTGGCTCCCCGAGAGCTCCCTCGGGAAACCCCGCTGGCCCGCCTAAGGCTCGGATGGAGGTGGAAGAGGTTCGCGGAGAGACCCGGCCATTGCCGCCCGGGTGCGCTACCTCGGGCGGGCGGCGAGGAGGCTGGAGGGGCTGCTAGCGCGTACCGCAATGTTTTGCCGCATCCCTGTTCCCGGAGCCGGCCGCTCAGCCCCCTCCGCGTCAGGGGCCCAAGCAGCAGCCTGGCGGTCCGTGTAGCGGAGGCGGGGTACCGCGCGGGATGTCGCGGGGGCCTTCAGTCCCGCCGCTCACACATTTCTCCGCGCGCTCCCGTCCCACAAGGGGCAGCTGCCGGAGTTTCAGTGGACCTCTCTAGACCCAGGCGTGCGGTGGGTGAGGAGGAAGAGAGGCCAGATCAGGCCGCCTCGAAGACGTTGGCACTAGGGAGTCACTGACCTGCTTGCCACGGGCAGAGTGACCCTGTGGTTTTGTGGCTGCGAGCGGCGGCCCAGGCTCCCCCTTGCCTGTTCTCCCTCCCTGGCCAGCTACAAAAATCCTGCTCTCACCATGCCAGAAATCAGCTCAACATTTAGGCCCCTTGCAAAGTCGCGCTGGCAGCGCTCGCCTGGCTTTGCAGAGCTTTTAGAGTTACCCACCGGCTCTTCCTCTGGTATTCCTAGTCTTGCCGAGCGCTAGCAATCTCCGACCAACCCGCGGGCCACTGCCCCGAGCCTCAGATCCACGTCTGCGGAAAGTGGCTGCGAGTGGGGTGCAAAAATAAAGCCCAACCCAGCCCAGCGGCCCGACAGCCGGAGCCACCCGAGACCTGTACAACTTGCCCCGCCGCCCTGGCCGCTTGGGGTATGGTGGGGGGGGGGGCGGGCAGCGATGCCAAGGACACCCGGATCCTTTCCGGTCCTCAGCGGCATGAGACCGCGTCGTAGGCAGGCAAGTGGGAGGTGGAGGGCAGGATTAGCCACCTCGGCCACTTTGGCCACTCAACCGGCCCCAAACCAACAGGACCCAAACTAAAAATAATAAGCTACCTGCCCCCTCGGCTCGCGTGCGCGCGCGCGAGATCTCTCTCTCTCTCTCTGTCTCTCTCTCACACACACACACGCACGCACACGCGCTACTGAGCTGAGCGGGGAAGAGGCAGCACGCGTGTCGGTGCAGCTTGTGCAGCCCCCGCTGAAAATTCACCCACCTCTAGAGCCCAGCGTCTGGTGCAGGGCCCGCGGCGCCGTGACCTGCGCTGCTGTTTCCACGATGGTATCTATGTGATTCCGGACAGAGCTCCTCCGCGCCCGCTCGCCCGTCAAACCCACGGAGCAGCCCCAGCAGGCGAGCAGGCGGGCCGGCGGGCAGGCGGGCAGCGGCGCGCGCGCGCACCCGAGCAGACACCGCGCGCGCACCCAGCGCCTAGCACACGGGCTGCACCTTTACATACACGCGCTGAATCCCCGCCCCCGCTCTCCACCACCCCCCCCCACCCCGCACACAAGCAGTCCTTCCTCCCGACACTCGACCACTTTGACCCCCTCACATTCCTGAGCTCCTACCCCCGTCCCCCATCCAGACATGCCCATTTGATTCCTCTTCTACCCACACACCCAGAAAGACAGCGCGCTTTCCTCCCGGCATCCGCCCCCTCTTTTTGCCTAAAACATTCCCTAGGGAGGAGCGACCCCTTTCCTCAGGCGTGGAGACCCCAGTCCTCTAACAAGGGCGCACTCGCCTCCATCCCCCCCACCACATACACACACACTCGAGCCCTTTTCTTCTCTTCCAGTCCCCTAATAACGAAGGAACACACACACACACACACACACACACACACACACACACACACACACACGGGGCATTCCTTTGAGAGAGCAACCAAGAAGCCAGGAAAAGCCAAAGAAACACTGGAGAGCCTGGGGGAGGGGGGCCGAGGGAGATCGATAGGGTCGTCGAGTCTACGCGGAATTGAATAATTACAGGATGGAGGGGAATGAGTCAACAACAATGACATTCAAATGCAACAATCATACTTGGATTTTGTATCACGGGTACGGTACCTTTGGCTAATTGTCACCCCGCAGAACGGAGGGCTCCTGGAATACTTCTCCGTGGCGGTCGATCCTGGAAGGAGCCTTCTTGGGAACCAATTTCCTAGGATCCAGTAGTATTCGCACTCCCCCTACCTGTCTGCGCGTAAGGGGCCAGGGGCTTTAAGGCGAAAGTGTGAGGCTTTAGCCTAAAGTGAGACTATTTAGCCGGGTTAGAAGGAGACGGGTTAATTATCCGCACCTTAGAACTCCGTGGGCCTTTGGTGCAGAATGGGTTAAGCCGGATGATCTTGGAGCTGGGGGTGGGGATAGGGGATAGGGGATAGGGGTTGAGGAAAGAGAGGCGTGGGACTGGGAGAGATGCCGCACTTGCGACCAAAAGAAAAAAAAAAAAAAAAACTACTTTGGCTACTGAGCATGCCCAGTTCCCAGCTCAAGCCCTATAAGGGAGGCATTGTGTGCATTCCACTTCTCCGGGCTTTGGTGGTGACCGGGAGGGGAGTTTGACTGGGGAAGGGGGTGGTAGTTGGGAGACATTAGGGAAAGGGGGTTGGAGAACAAGGTTTGAAGCTTTGGGACTGCTCAGGAGGGACTGTGAAGAGAGAAAGGGAAGGGACCCACGGAGTACCTTCGGGAGACGGGGAGAAGGAGAGGAAATGGACTAAGAAAAGTCACTTCAGTCGCCCCTCATTGTGTATACCAAAGAGGCTTTAGCAGCTGAATCTGAAATATCCAGTGGCTGCAAATCCAACGTGTGGATTGTCTAGGCCCCTTCTTCTACCCTTTTTGTTAGTGCTTCCACAAGAGATAAGAAATATTCTGAGGAAGGGCCAATGTTCAAACCAGTTTCATGCAAATTGATAATTTCGTTAATAAGCTTGTTAAGAAAATAAATAAACCTGGGGGAGGGGAGCAGAGAGGAGTTGGCTATCATGTATGTATTTCAGATACCTGGCTTTCCTAAACAAAAGGCATAAACATTGGATGTGCTCCCATCCCCCAACCTTGCTGTTTTTTGTAGGAGCTTGGCTAAGAAAAACAACTCTCTCTCTCTTCGTGTCTGTGGGAATAAACTAGCTTTAGGTAAGTAGAGCTAAGTTATAAATGGGAAGTATTTCCCTAGGACTCTTGGTAGCCTATTATTTGCCACATTCAGGTAATACTGCCAGGCCCATTTCTTCAGGACCAGTGTGTTGCCCAATTTACTTATTCAAATCCCAGCGGCTCTAGCCACAATAGAGCACAACCGGTATCCAGAAATGTTCTTGCTTAAAAATGAAAAAAAAAATCTTTAAGCTAAAACTAGCAACAGCTTTGAAACCAGAATTTGGCTGTCTGCCTGAACTCCTACAGTTAAACATTTACCATAATTGGTTGATGTTTAAAGGCCCCAAATCTAGGTAGAAACATCTGATGGGCAAAGGATTTATTACATTATTTGTGAATAATGGTCTACCTTCTGTATCATCTATAGTAGTCATTCATATACATGTTTCATTGTTTTTCATTTTTTGTCATTTTATGGGACTTCCGTCAGGTTATATTCACACAAATGTTCACCGGGCACAACATGTATACAGAGATGCACGTACAATATGTAAATGAATACTTAAATAGATATGCGTGTATGGGCATATTTCTTTATGACCTTGCTAAATATTGTGTCGTTCATGAAGAACTCTTTCTCTACCTTCACTCCACATTGCCTTGAAAACTGTAATCATCCTCTCTTTTACAAACAACCTAGAGACAGAAATTGGGCAGCATTGGTAAAATTTATCTTATTCAATGTGAAATCCATTATGAAATAGCATTAAGGAAACACTAAAATATTTGTCTATAACAGCGTATGTAATTGTGCAGCTCCTTTTAGCAAAGTGAATGATGTTTCCTTCATAGGTAACAGCTGCAGAATGTTGAAAAATCCCTCTACTCTTGCACACTTGGACAAAACAGATCCTGCTAATTAATAACTCACATTTGCATTTTATTGTGTAATGCAGTTTGAAAGTAGTAATGGGTATCAAAACAAGTTGGCATTTATTCTAAATGCTAACAATTCAGGAAGCTGAATATATTTTATCCAGATAGGTGAAATGTTTGTCTTTTACTACAAATGTTAACAAGAGTCAATAGAATGAGCAAAAAAAGTTTACCTGAAAATTCTAAGTAATGTGATAACTGAAAAGGCCAGATTTGGACAGTAAATATCAGATGATTTAAATGCCTATCTTTATTCAACTTTAGAAACTGTTCTGAGACTTGGCTATATTTAACTGCAATAACTGTGAAATGTTATTTTTCATATGGATATGGAGACAAATCTGAAAGCCACTGTAGCTAGATCATCGATAAATTACAATTCATAATATTCCTAAGAACTTATCTGTGATTAATATTCAACTTTTTTAAATGAATGCTTTAAAATAAAATGTTTTGCTACTTAAAAAGATAAAGTGGACACTCATAAAATAAAACAGAAGTAACAACTTCCATGTTTTATGCTTATTTTGCTTTCAAAGTAATTAACCCAATCCTTTAGTCCCACAGTCCCTTTTCCGTCCCCTAGAACTACAGGTGACATCCCAATAGAACAGTAGGAAATGACACAGAATTGCTAGCTTAACAAAGGAAGTGAATATATACATAAATAAAAGTGTTAAGAAAACTCCAGCACTATTTATGGCCATTGAAAGAAAAACAAAATTGATGTTCTTCCTAAAATGTAAGCATGCAAATATTGTGAGTTTTGCAATACTCTCACGGTCTTCCTCCAAATGTTTTACCTTATTTCATCTTGACTTTTTAGGAGTACAACCAGAATCGTAGGTCTACACTGATATACTGTGTCTCCCTCCATCAGGGAAAAAAACAACTGCACTAAGAATTTCAACAAGATCCTGTATACCCTCCGTTCCGAAGGCAGTTTGGAATTAAGTCATTAAAACACTACCAACCGAAAGTGATTATAATGCCAAGTCTTGGCCCTAGTCAGCGGTCTTTCACTTTCACTGTATTCCTCATTTATCTTGCCTTGTCTTAGGCTGCTGCTCAAAATCAAATCAGCCTTAATTTTCGTATCCAGGTATCACAGATGATTCAGTGTATTTTAATATTGAAGATTTATTTATATTCTGGCATTTTAACAGTTACAAACTTGCTATTTCTCTTTCATTTTTATTTATTTATTTTTGAGACAGAGTCTCACTCTGTCACCCAGGCTGGAGTGCGTTAGTGTGATCTCGGCTCACTGCAACCTCTGCCTCCTGGGTTCAAGCAATTCTCCTCCCTCAGCCACCTGAGTGGCTGGGATTACAGGCATGTGCCACCATGCCCGGTTAATTTTTGTATTTTTAGTAGAGATGGAGTTTCACCATGTTGTCCAGGCTGTTCTCAATCTTCTGACCTCAGGTGATCCGCCCATCTCGGCCTCCTAAAGTTCTGGGATTACAGGCGTGTGCCACCGTGTCCGGTCACACACTTGCTATTTCTCTAAGTGGAATACAAGAAAGTTCTTAGGATGTTAATATATCTTCTGGGAAGAAATGTTTCCATGATCAAATAAGTTTAAAAGACCCTTGGTTCCGTAAAGCTAAACATTTTATTTTTACTTTGGGATTTTTCAACACAATTAATTATGTTTAAATGAGCTTTTATTTACCAAGGGAAAAGGGATATGGCATGTGGCATTTCACAGACTTACTTAACAATGGAACCCTTTTTTCTATCTATATAATTTGAAAAACATACTAATAGCCCATTTTTACAAATTTTCTGGAATTTAGAACATGAAAGGAAGTTTTCAGATCATAATTAACCCATTCAATAGTAGCTACTGTCTGTTGAGTGCCTCTTCTTTGCTGTGCTGCCTACAAATATTATTTCATTTAGTTCTATGAACAAGGAAGGGATTATCATACTTATTTTAAAAATGAGGTTAAGTGACCAGGCATGGTGGCCCATTCCTGTAATCCCAGCACTTTGGGAGGCTGAGGTGGGGAGATCACTTGAGCCCAGGATTTCAAAACCAGCCTGGGCAACATGGGAAAAATCGTCTCTACAACAAATACAAAAATCAGTGGTGCATGGTGGCACATGCTTGTAGCCCCAGCTGCTTGGAAGGCTGAGGCGGGAGGATCACTTGAGCCCAGGAGGTCAAGGCTGCCATCAGCTGTGGCCATGCCACTGCGCTGCAGCCCAGCCAACAGACTGAGACTCTCTCAAAATAAAATAAAATAAAATAAAATAAAATAAAATAAAATAAAATTCAGGGAAGGTAAACAGTTTGCCCGAGGTCACATGGTGAGTAAGTGATGGTCAAGATTTGACCCCAGATCTTTGAGGTTTTTCCAGTACACCACATTTTCGTTTTCACAGGGGGATTAGGGAATTTTTAACTTTGAAAGCAGAATAGACTTGAAAGCTGGGCAGGGTGACTTAACGCCTGTATTCTCAGCACATTGGGATGCCAAGACAAACAGTCTGGGCAGCAAGGTGAAAAGCCATCTCTTTAAAAAATAAATTTAAAAAAATAGCCAGGCATCGTGGGGTGCACCTGTAGTCCCAGGTACTAGGGAGGCTGAGGTGGGAGGATCGCTCAAGCTTAGGAGGTCAAGGCTGCAGTGAGCCATCATCAAGCCACTGCACTCTAGCCTGAGCGACAGAGTGACCCTGTCTCAAAAAAAGAGAAAGGGATAGATTTGAAAGCAGAATAAATTTTCCAAAGATGAATACTTGAGACATAAATGTTTTCAAGTATTAAAGTATGAATACTCAGCACAGGAATAAACAAATAAATGACATTAAAAACAGTTCACATCAATTATGCATGACAAGGTCTCTTGAATCAACTGATTTTACCTTTTGCCAGTAGTAGCCTTGTTCTATCCATTCTGCTCTTTCAACTCTCATACCTGAGTTGATTCTGAATCTGTGATGATGTCTCAAATGTTCCTTATTAGGGATAATCACTTTCACTATCACCAAATGAAGCCATGTGTATTAGTCAGTGTTCTCTAGAGGGACAGAACTAATATATATACACACACACACACACACACACACACACACACATATATATATACACACACTTATATATTTTATATATACATATATATATATATATATATATATATATATATATATATATATATGGGAGTTTATTAAGTAGTATTAACTCACATGATCGCAAGGTCCCCCATTAGGCTGTCTGCAAGCTGAGGAGCAAGGAATCCAGTCTGAGTCGCAAGGCTAAAGAACTTGGAGTCTGATGTTCAAGGGCAGGAAGCATCCAGCATGGGAGGAAGATGTAGGCTGGGAGGCTAAGCCAGTCTCACCTTTTTACATTTTCCTGCCTACTTTACATTCCCTGGCAGCTGATTAGATGGTGCCCACCCACATTAAGGGTGGGTCTGCCTTTCCCAGCCCCCTGACTCAAATGTTAATCTCCTTTGGCAACACCCTCACAGACACATCCAGGATCGATACTTTGCATCCTTTAATCCAATCAAGTTGACGCTCATTATTAACCACCACACCAAGCAAAGCAGTAGTGTTCATCCCTAGACTTATTCCAGTTAAGACAAAAGGATTGTTATAAAATAGGATACCAAATGAATTGGAAAATGTGAGACTAGTTGATTATTTGATTAGGTTATATCAATTAACCTGACCTTCCATTTTGCTCAGACTTCTTTATAGTACAGCTGGTAACCTGGTGTCCTTTTCAGAAACTCAGGCATCAGGTGTGAATGTATTACAGTCTGTGTAGCAAGGCATTGGCTAATTTTTCAAATAACACTTCACTCAGAAATTATTATTTCTAGAATAATAATAAAGAGGGGTATGTTGTTTTGCAGGGTCTTTGTAACTTTGGCCCCTAATGGGTACTTGTCCCTATGGCTAACTAGAACTACCTATGTGGTTTAGAATATTGCTAAGCCAGGGATGCTGACAAAATAGTGTCTCTTTTCTATATATTCTCTAACTTGGAGAAATCTCACTGTCAAAGATTAGGGCCCAGCCACAAGCTCAACAGCCCTCAGACAACTCAAAGATAATAAAGATCATAAAATAAAAAATAGGAAGTTAATAGCTAAACAGTCTAGTGTGAGAATTACTCTTATGGGCTGTAAAAGTTCCATAACACCAACTGAAGCTTTATCAGAGAGATAGTAAGTTGATAAAAATCTTTCTGTTTTTATCGTGTTCCACTCTATCTCGGGAACCACAGTGTTGTCCCTAGCTAGCAAAACATTATTGTTTTGCAAAAGCATTGAGGGTCTTTTTTTCAATGCTTTTATAACAATATTACTTTTCCTTAGAAATATAAACTTAAATCTTTCTTTCAAAAGTGATCTTAACTGGAGTGAGATAATATCGAAAAATAACTTGAAAGAATGGATGAGACTCACTACTTGATAGCACAACAGGGTGGCTATAGTCAATAATAACTTAATTGTACATTTAAATAATTTAAAGAGTAATTGGATTGTTTGTAACTCAAAGGACAAATGCTTGAGGGGATACATATCCCATTCTCCATGATGCGCTTATTTCACATTGCATGCCTGTATCAAAACATCTCATGTACCCCATAAATATATATACCTACTATGTACCCACAAAAATTAAAAATAAAAAAAATAAAAAGTTGATCTTGTTCTCAGCTCC
Source organism: Homo sapiens (assembly GCF_000001405.40). NCBI lineage: Eukaryota > Metazoa > Chordata > Mammalia > Primates > Hominidae > Homo > Homo sapiens. The sequence goes on from NC_000023.11 coordinate 143,642,398, forward strand.
TCCTCCTTTGTTTTAGAGGCTCTTGAACAATTCAAAAGTTGGGTCAAAACCGGAGGCATAAAACAAGGCAGAAAAGGCATAATATAAAAATATGAGTTATGGTATGACTGTATTGCAATTGCTATATTAAAATAAAGTTTATCCCTTTCCAAGCCTCAAAGAGTGAGTCAGAGGAAAGCAGAACATCTGTGTAAGCTAGTGTCATGCATCTGTGATTGACTACCTTCTTTTTCAGTTTGAATTTGGAGCTGCTAATTCCCAACTCTGACTCAAATTGAGTAATGTCTACCCACGTAAGGTTGCCGTGAGTAAACAGTCCTCAGGTCCCATGTAAAGGGATCAGGGTATAGGAAAAATTGTCATCACAGAGAATTTCTTCTCTTTCAGGTGCACAGTTTGGTTATCAATTAGAAACAGGGTTTGAAGGAACCTCAAAGTTCTTCTAGTTTAAGCACTCACAAAACTGATATCTTATCAAATGAACACTCAGTGCTTGAATACACCCAGTCATGGGGAGCTCACTGAGGGTAAGCTCTCCAGTGAATTATTCAGAAAATTAATTACAGAATTTTTGAAATTGTTGCTGTTTTGTAAATATTCAGGAAACATAAAATTAGATCTATCAGGGTTTCAGGAGTGTGAAATTTGGAACCAGATGAACTTGGTGTTAATTTCTTGCTTCACTATTTAATAGTTCTGTGAGTTAGGGCAGTTAACTTCTCTGCGCTTTCATTGCCTTTTCTGTAAAGTGGGCAGGACAAACTCAATAGTCCTGAGTTTATGAGGATTAACAAGTATAATGTTTGACAAACACCTAGCACTGTGTCTTTCTGGCAGAATATTTTTATTTCCTTCTGTTTATAAACAGAAAAGACTTCCACATATACAAAAAAACAAATAATTCAGACCATGTATTATTTCCCTTCTCGAGTCTAAGGATGGCGAGTAGAAGAGAGTGGTTGGATTAATTCAGTGTATCTTTTGTTTATTTCAAAAGCTAGAACTATTATTTAAAAATAAATCCACCTGTTCTTACCCCACCTGGTATCCTTTACTTACTTTTCTATTCTCATTTCACATATTATTAGTTTTTTTAAAAGTTAATTTTAACAACAATCTCTGTAGAATTGAGGATTGCAGACTCCATTACTATTTTTTAAAATAATCGTACGTGCCTTGCTTGCCAGACTAACCTAGAATCTCATCCTCTACATGTCAGACCCACGAAAAGTGGGTATTATCATTATTGCAACAAAGTTCCTCATAATGGCCCTGGAAAGAATGTTAAAAATATATTTTTCTGAATCTTATCACTGGTTTTTTTTTAGGGAAGCAAACAGGAAAAGAGAAAGGAAAGGAAAAAAATGAACCAACGTGTATATAGCTTTATTGTTTGTAATATATGTGCAAAAAAAGTTCAAGTGAGTTGGGGGCACTAATTTTATCATTTTGCCAGTGGAAATGTATATTTTTAGAAACTTAATGACTTAAAGAACTAGTATTCTTTTTTTCTATTTATTTATTTTATTATTATTATACTTTAAGTTCTAGGGTACATGTGCACAACGTGCAGGTTTGTTACATATGTATCCATGTGCCATGTTGGTGTGCTGCACCCATTAACTCGTCATTTAGCATTAGGTATATCTCTTAATGCTATCCCTCCCCACTCCCCCCACCCCACAACAGTCCCCAGAGTGTGATGTTCCTCTTCCCGTGTCCATGTGTTCTCATTGAAGAACTAGTATTGTTCTATCTAAGATTATTTTGTCATAAGAGTAGCATATGCTGTTTTTAGAGAAAAGCAAGTCAGATCTGACAAGGTGTGATGCAATTATACCTAAGATCACATTCGTGTGATAAATTATGTGTAAATTAATTCAATCTCAATCATCTAATAACTATTCAGACAGATATAGTGCCTATTGTATCCATTGTTAATTGACTTTTCTTACAATATTCATTGTTGGAAATGTTGACATCTAACTTACATCATCTCGATTCTATTTATACCTTCTCTAGTAAAACAATTCTAAGGTTAAAAAAAAATATTCTAAGGATGGCCTCTAGACAACTTTTTTTTTTCCCCATATAGTTCAAGTTTTTGGGCATTTTACTTCCATTTATAGCTGAAGCTATTCTATGAAATTTCATTTTTATTATCTTTATGGATGAAGAAATATCCAGAAAGCCAAACTACAGGATTCAGCCACTCAGGGCAATGAAAAAAAATCACAAATGGACCATATAATGATTATTCCTTTCATTTCTTTGCCTGTGTTTTGAGATGTGAGTTTCCTGAGCCTTGAAAGGAGAGGAATTTTGTTGACAGTCATCCAGATTTTCTCCTTGAGAATCTGTCCTCTGTGACATATGGCAGGCTATCCCTGTGAGGGGACCATGGTTCTGGGACTCTTATCTTCCATTCCTACCCCTCCTTGTATACTTTAAGAGGATATCTGGACAAAGGTCAAAGAAACGCCATTTTCCAATATAAAATTTAGTGAGTGGCCAGAGTTGTGCTGATCTTTTCTCCAATTATGTCTTGCGAACAGAAAGATTTACATGATAGTTTGACGGTCTCAAAGTTACTACCAAAATTTAAACACGAAATTAAATATATTGACAAATTCTCTTTGGTTTAAAAGCATTTGTAAAAAGTTGTCAGATTTTGTAAAAGAGAAATTTCCGAGGTAAGGGTGTCTTACTGTAAAACAAGTTGAGTTTGGTAAGCAGTGGAAACTCTGTAAGGAGATAGTTTCATACAGTATTTTTGTAGTAACAAAGGACGGTCAAGGACTGATGGTTAACTGGATTGTGGCTCAAAAAGTGAATAGTGAATGTGTTTGGGTCTCTTTTTCAGCTCATTATTAAATATTATATAAGGTATCTCCAATTCATTTGAGATTCTGATTTTATCATTTATTAAGACTAGTGGCAAGAACAGACCAGCCTACAGGGGAAAATGGATAAAGGAGAAACAAATGGCATTTCAGCATACTCGTGCACACAATATCTAAATTACACATAACTCTCAAGCAGGTTTTTGTTCTTAGTCAACTCATTAACCACTTCAAGTAATTACCTTTTTTTAAAAAACGAAGCATATTGTCCTCTTTATCACTGATTGAAAATTCTGAATTAAACACATTTGTACTCAGAGCTTTTCTGGGAAAGGGCAAATTTAATCCTGAGACTTCCTAGTCTTCCTAGTGAGCCATATCACATTGTGAACCACATAGACATAAGCTCTCCAGAATTGAAACAAACCAGTACCACTCGCCCTTGCCATCCCCATCCTAATGGTTGATTTGATAGCTGCACATTGGAAGAATCAAAATGTACACCTAAAACAAATGAGCATGTTTTATTCTGTCCTAGTAATAGAAAATTATCTTTCCTTTTGTTCTCCAAGAACTCCAAGAATTTCAAGAACATATGGAGTTTTAGTAGAGGTGACTGACTACAAATAATCTGCTCAACCATAAAGTACAGTTTATTAAATCTTTATTGAATGCCTATAATTCATCAGACTTTGGGTGCCAAGGTGAAGGAAACTGCCTCTGTCCTCCAAGATCACTTAGTTTAGTGATAAAGCAGATGAGACTATGTTATACTAAACAATACTATATCATGTATTGTGTTATAATAAACAATACTATATAATGTATTGATTGAACATGTCCTTTAACTACTGACCGCTCATTCTCAAACTTTACTAAATTTCTCGGTTTTATAAAATGTTGTGAAATACTATAGTTAAAGGCAATAATGGTAAGCTTCCATGGCACATATTCAAGGAAATTAAGAAAATCAGAACACTGCCTTCCATCACATGGCAAGGTCAACAACTTGTATGTCCTTCTGGAGATGACACAGTCCAAATTTTTGATATTCCTCCAGAATATAGAGTCAAAATTTACCATGTGCCAGGCATATTTGGAAAGTACATTAACAGGAAATGTTCTATAAAATAAGAAATGGAATCATTTGGAAGGGCCAGAAATTGAAGTAGTTCACATATGCAAAAGAAATAAAATGGAAGAAGATACCAAAACAATAAGGGTCTTCTCAAATTTGATTTGCAAATCATGAAAAAGGAAGAGATCCTCATGTTGTTTTCAGGGGTGTGAACATTACAGTCCTCTCTTGGTATCTGTGGGGAGTTGGTTTCAGAACCCCCAGGATACCAAAATTCGAAGATGCTCAATTCCCTTACATAAAATGGCATAGTACTTGTATATAACCTATGCCCATTCTCCTGTATATTTTAAATTATCTCTAGATTACTTGTAATATCTAATACAATGTAAATGCTATGTAAATAGTTGTTATACTGTATTATTTTTATTGTTCTATTGTTATTTTTATGAAGATCTTTTGAAATTCATATTTTAAGCTCTGGGGTACATGTGCAGGTTTGTTACATAGGTATACGTGTGCCATGGTGGTTTGCTGCACGTATCAACCCATCACCTAAGTGTTAAGCCCAGCATGCATTAGCTATTTTTCCTGATGCGTTCCATACCCCACCCCCCAACATGCTCCAATGTGTGTTGTTCCCCTCCCTGTGTCCATGTGTTCTCATTGTTCAGCTCCCACTTACAAGTAAGAACACGTGGTGTTTGGTTTTCTGTTCCTGCATTAGTTTTCTGAGGATAATAGCTTCCAGCTCCATCCATGTCCCTGCAAAAGACATGATCTCGTTTGTTTTTATGGCTGCATAGTATTCCATGGTGTATATGGACCACATTTTCTTCATCCAGTCTATCACTGGTGGGTATTTGGGTTGGTTCCATGATTTTGCTGTTGTGAATAGTGCTTCAGTGAACATATGCGTGCATATATCTTTATAATAGAATGATTTATATTCCTTTGGGTATATACCCAGTAATGGGATTACTGGATCGAATGATATTTCTGGTTCTAGGTCTTTGAGGAATCTCCACACTGTCTTCCACAATGCTTGAACTAATTTACATTCCCACCAACAGGGTAAAAGTGTTCCTATTTCTCCACAACCTTGCCAGCATCTGTTGTTTATTGACTTTTTAATAATTGCCATTCTGACTGGCGTGAGATGCAATCTCATTGTGTCCACAGTTGGTTGAATGCACTGATACTGAGCGCCAGCTGTATACAGTGTATATAGTGTTAGGGACTTGGCTTCCCGAGTGGAACTGAGAGCCAAATACAATAAAAACTGTCTTCTCTACTTTATACATACATATATGTATGTATGTATCTAGTGATTGAGAAATAACAAGCAGGAAACTGCAACTGGTTCTCAGGAAACAAGAGCAGCTGGCAATAGTATCTTAAATATAAGCAGGTCTAGTTTTACATTATTACTTTTTATTTTTAACCAGTATACACAGATGTGCCTCAATATTTAAATGGGCCAATTGATAAATACTTCAAGAAAGAGAGAAATCCTACTAAAATTATTTTAACAAGGCTAAAATGTGGATTTCTTTATATTTTGATTGTTTTAATAGGTCAAAACAGACTTTAAATATACTTCTTATAGCCATTTAGCCTTGGGACTTCTACCTGAGCCTGACAGTGATGTCTACTAATTGTTATTTATGGATGTCAAGAGATTTTACCCTTTTTAAAAAATTTTCTGTTTTTTTTTTTCTAACATAGTACTTAACTCGTGATTTTCCTCATCCCAGCACCGATAAACAGTTCTTATGGGATTGTTGCACTGGAGTTTGAGCAAAGATTACATTAGAAATTTAGTAGTCAAGATTTGTCATTACTCTTCTCAGTTTCATAGCTTTACTATATAAACAAACTCCTCCCACCTCCTCTTGTACTCTCTTCCATAAACAAAGAAAGATAGATGAAAGCCAAAAAAATAGCCATTCCAAAATATTTGGTGTTTAGCATCTTATACTGAAATTCCCTTTTGCTATTCAATCTACTTGAAGTTTAATTTTTCTTTAAATAAATTATTTGGGAAGAAAAAAAAACATATTTTCCCTGCTACTACTGCTGTACTTTTATTTGACTGATTTTCTGTTTATTAGTCATTCATCTGGATTGGTGCCTGTATATTTTCCAAAAGGCTTAATATTAACAATTATTTCTTTGGCCATATTGAATCTTAGCACAAAATTTTATTCTTTTCTGAATCTAAGGCTTTTCACAGGTATTTTCTTATTTATGCTTACAACACTCTTGTAGATTATAAAAAACACATCACTATTTATAAAATAAGAAATGCACAAAGCTAACTTGATTAAGGTTACATTAGCTTGTAAGTTAGGAACAAGAAAAAGACAAAAATAAACAACAATTAAAAAAACCCGTGTCTCCTGGTTCTCAGTATGATGCACAAAATTTTTCCTTGATGACTCTATAAGGCAGGTAACTAGTATAGTCATCATGGATGAACAAAAAAACGCTTTTGGGAAGGAAAATTGAGACTGGAACTAACTGCTACTGGCAGGGTAAAGGGCAGTGGTTGGGCAAGGCTGACAGGATTAGCAAGTAATCAGGAAGGATCAGATGTCTTCTTTCTCTTTCAATTTTGTAGCCTCCCTCTAGTGCCCCTATTGGCAAAACCAGGTAGCAAAGGAGACATGTGTTATGCAGAGTCCCATCCTGGTGCCAGCACCACAAAACAATGTATAGAATTGTTTATTTGTAGCTGAGAGACAACAGCTTAATAACAATCACCACAGCTTACTCTGATTACTTACGATCTGTAGCCTTCCTACAAATATTTAACTTCTATAAAACAAAACTCTATGCTTTCTATCCTTCCTCCAAATAAAGATGTTTTCCCCTTTCTCCTAACACAAAGTTCCAACATTTATGATGTCCATCTCTAGCTGATATTAAATAGCCTTAAATTCCGCCTGAACATTTTATAATCTAAAGCTTACATTGTAAACTTAACTGCTAGCAAAAATGTTCATATAAAATAACAAGGGGGAAAATTGCAGAGAGGAAAAAAGAAATTGTGTGCACTTGCACACACCCACACACCGTGTATATATACATATGTATGAATTATTATATATGTTTGTGTGTTTGTGTGTGTGTGTACACACACAAAAATCAAGGGAAGAAATAGGCATAGCTGATACAGCCCTTTTTCTTTCATGAGGTTACAAATAATTCTTATGAATACCTTCTTCCAATACTCCTTCCATGTTTCTTTGCTGTAACCAGGACTCAGTTAGTAGGTATTCTTTCCTATACAGTGACATTCTCAAAGGGTCTGAATCCTTAGTCCTGCCTTCCTCCTTTTTGAGTTAGTTTTCCGTTACTCTTTTCTCTTGATGATGAAAAGATTAAGAGGCAGCGTGGAAGTACTAAGAAGGCAGTTCCGAACATATTCGATTTTATTTACATTGTGTAGCAGCAACAAAAATTCTTCTTGGTAATCAGGATTCATCTTCTGAGATGACAAAACTGTCAATGGCAGGTGACTTTCATAGGCATATTGTTCCATAATATAGTTTATTAAATTACGACATTTATTGATGCCAACCTTCCGAATCTCTTGGCCTGTTCTTACATAGGATGTGACGTGGTCACACTGGCAAGGACCATAGGTAGTGGCACACGTCTGTGTGCCTGGTGGAAAATCTGGAGAACTCAGCAGGTTGATTTTGCTTAGATATTTAAATTTAATTTTAAAGTGGTTATAATAATTTCCAAGATTACATTCACCTTTTATTTGCAGTAGTAAGAAACTAAGGCTATGTCTAGTTGATTACAGTATAACAGGTAAATATGAAAATTTTAATAATGGTTAAATCTAGGGGAGCTACACTGCCCTTCCACAAGTTAAATGCCTTTGGTCCAGACAAGATCTTTGGACCTTCATCTTTTTTCCTCTATACAGGCTTCCATATATTACCCTGTGTTTCTCTCATCTTTATCATTTCTGCAATACTTTGTAGCCCTTGAGGGTCCTTTTCACTGTAAGACTGGTTATAAAATAGGACTTAGCAGTTGCTCTTTTTGTTGTCCTCCCAAATACCCTTCTTGATTAAAGTGTTTTTCTCATAATCACTATGGAGAAAATATTGAGGTTAATAGGTTAATACAAATGTCTTTGCTTCATTCACTCAACAGGTCATCACTGAACACTTACTTCATACCAGGAATTGTGCTAACCCCTATGGTTTCGGTAGTTGAACCAAACAGTACTTGCTCTTATGGAGATTCTAGTTCTAGGAAATCACATGATATTGGTTATATAGAGCTCAACCATCTTTCAAAGTTATTACACTCATTGTCTTTCTCTATAATTTCTTATGCTTGCTAGAATAAGATAGTGTCTCTGTTTTCGAAACAAAAATTGCCCCCAGTCTGATATTAAGAGAGACAATTTGATATCAGAAATATTTCAGAGGGCCGGGCATGGTGGCTCACGCCTGTAATCCTAGCACTTTGGGAGGCCGAGGCGGGAAGATCACCTGAGGTAAGGCAGTCAAGACCAGCCTGGCCAACATGGCGAAACCCCATCTCTACTAAAAATATAAAAATTAGCCAGCCGTGGTGGCACATGCCTGTAATCCCAGCTACTCAGGAGGCTGAGGCAAGAGAATCACTTGAACCCAGGAGGCAGAGGTTTCAGTGAGCCAACATCGCACCACTGCACTCCAGCCTGGGCCACAGAGCAAGACTTCATCTCAAAATAAATAAATAAATAAATAGTTTCAGAAAAACTGCAACTTATAGTCATATAATATTCAATGTTAAGTTTACCTGCTTAGACTCTGGTGCAAAGTAGATTCAGGCTCGCACCATCATTATATTAATATTTGGGAAGTTCAGTTGTAATTTTGGAATTGTGGAAATTTCAATCTCTTTCAGGGTCACTTTCATAATCTCTGTATGTCCCTCTCTCCCACCTAAACTTTACTTTTATGATCTCCTTGCTTAAAGCAAGTGGCTTCCTGCGTGCCTTCATTTCTCTCGTCTCTCCTGGGAAATCTCCAGATCCAAGAAGGCTTACTTTCTTCTCTGTTTCTGGCCTCTGCACTGAATGTTTTTTCTCAAAACATTACTAGACGTATTTAAATACTGATTCCGTATTCAAGTAAATTGTGATTCTTTTACCTATTGTTCTAGGTTAATGAACCTTCATCTATGGACGTGATCTCTCTCTGTCCCTGGTTCTTTATAACTCTTGAATTTGCCTTCTGCCAGACCTTGTTTGAGGAGATTTCCATGTATAATTCTACCTACTCCTCACAGCAACCCTATGAAAAAGCAATTTTATTATCTCCATTTTATAGACGAGGACATTGAGGTCCAAAGAGGGTGAGGTGATTTGCTCAAGGTCACATGGAGGCTGTGTGATCCTAGTGGCTGGTCTTTTACCTAACACCTTGTAAGATAACTTATGTCTGTAATATATAGATTCATGTTCAGAATTAACTGAGTACAAGCGCAATGTGACTCAGTGGTGGGTGTCATTGCCACAAATGAAAACAGGCTTTATTCATACAAATGGCTTTATAATAATGAATAAGTGTTAATAATTTTCTTCTGTTTTGTGTTGGACATAGCATATCTGGAGTTGTGTATTCAGTTCCAGCTACCATATTTCAAGAGAGATATTAAACTAGAAAGTACCCAGGAGGAAACTTTGAGTTTCTGAAAACCATGTCAGATGACAAACCACTGAAGGGAATGATGCAAAAGTAGAAGTTTAACTGTCCTCAGTCATTTAGAAGACTATCCTGTAGAAAAGAGATTAAACTTCTACACATTTTGCAATCTAGCTAATCATGTAGAGCACTTTGCTAAAAGGCTGTTAAATGGTGTTTCATGTTACTTTACTCTGTACATGTCTTGGTTTTATGTTTGGTTCCCATTTTTTGTGTGTTTTTAGTTCTTTTTTTAAACTGTCTGATATAGGTTGCTAGGTTCCAAGAAGCAATTTATGTTATTCATTTGGTACAAGACCATACAAAATTAGACTTCCAATTATTTTAAATGGCAAATATGCCTTTTTAAAAAGAAAACAGTATCTATGCTTCTGTCAATTTAATATCTGTTGGTGAATAGAAGAGGTCTGCTTCGTCATGCTTTAATGATGATTTGACTGAATTATTATTTGTCCTAGTGTTACAACTTGTTGTTGTGTGTTTTTTTCTTAATGGACTATTTTTTAGAACAGTTTTCAATTCACAGGAAAGTTTAGTAGAAGGTACAGAGATTTTCCATATCCCTCTACCCCTAAACATGCATACCTTCCCCTTTATCAACATCCTCCACCAGAGCTGTACATTTATTACAACTGATTCACACACCATTATGGAGCCCAGTCCATAGTTTACAAAAGGGTTCACTCTTGGTGTTGTACATTCTGTGGGTTTTGTATATGACACTATAATGGTGTCCACTGTTATAGTATCATGTAGAGTAGTTTCACTACCCAAAACATCCTCCGTTCTCACATGGATACAAGGAGGGAAACATCATACGCCAGGGCCTGTCAGGGGGTGGCGGGCAAGGGGAGGGAGAGCATTAGGACAAATACCTAATGCATGTGGGGCTTAAAACCTAGATGACAGGTTGATAGGTGCAGCAAACCACCATGGCACATGTGTACCTATGTGACAAGCCTGCATATGTACCCCAGAACTTAAAGTAAAATAAAATAAAATAAAGAGTGAAGATGTGAGAGCCAAATCGATTGGATTCAAATCTGGTCTCCACTACTTACTAGCTATGTGATATTTGATAAGTCACACATCCTCCCTGCCTCATTACTCTATAAAATGGGCATGGTAAGATACTTTATAGTATTATTTTGAGGACTTAAGGAGATACTATTTGTTAAAGCACCTAATATCTTGCTTGGCACACGGCCCTCAATAAATATTAGATACTATTTTTAAAAATCCCCTGTTCTCTGCCACTCTGCGTTTCCAAAAGAAAAAGAAAAAAAATTCATATGATTCTTGCATTTTTATTCTATGCCTGCCTTAATATGAGGAAGCTTGCACTCTTACTTGTATAGATTTCTTAGTAATGCTATAATGTACTTAAAAACGGCCTTACAGTTTCCTGTAGTGAAACACAGATTCTGGCCCAAAGATATATATATACACACACATATACATATAATATACATACATTATATATTATATATGATATGTATACATTATATATTATATATGATATGTATACATTATATATTATATATGATATGTATACATTATATATTATATATGATATGTATACATTATATATTATATATGATATGTATACATTATATATTATATATGATATGTATACATTATGTATTATAAAATATGTATACATTATGTCTTTTAAAATATGTATACATTATGTATTATAAAATATGTATACATTATGTATTATAAATAATAAATATACATATTGTGTTATAAATAATATATATACATATTGTGTTATAAATAATATATATACATATTGTGTCATAAATAATATATATACATATTGTGTCATAAATAATATATACACATATTGTGTGTTATATAATATATACACATAGTGTGTGTTATATATAATATATACACACTGTATATTATATATAATATATACAGTATATATATTATATAATATATATACAGTATATATTATATAATATGTGTACAATTATATATTATATAATTGTATACATATATGCATGTATATATACATGTATATATAAATATATAATATATATAATATATGTATACATATAATATATAGTATATATAATGTATACATGTATACGTATGTATCTATGTATACATATAATATATAATATATTATATTGTTTTTATGTATATTATATATAATATATGTATATATAATATATAATGTTTATATAATATGCGATGAATCTCTATGTTCTTCATTTATAATTAATTATATATGATTATGTTATACCATTATTAATAATTTATATATGATTATGTTATTACCATTTATTATTATTATATATGATATGTTATACCTATTTATGTTATTTATAAAAAATTATGTTATTACCATTTATGTTATTTATAAAAAATTATGTTATTACCATTTATGTTATTTATAAAATTAAATAAAAATATTACCATTATGTTATTATAAAATTAAATTAAAATATTACCATTATGTTATTATTAAAATTAAATATTATATACCATTAATGTTATTATTAAAATTAAATAATAATATACCATTTATGTTATTTATTAAAATTAATATATACCACCATTAATGTTATTATTAAAATTAATATATACACTATTTATGTGTTATTATTATTAATATATACACCATTATGTGTTATATATTAATATATACCCTAGTTATTATGTTATATATAATATATATACCAGTATATATTATATAATATGTGTACCAATTATATATTATATAATTGTATACATATATGCGATGTATATATACCATGTATATATAAATATATAATATATATAATATATGTATACGATATAATATATAGTATATATAATGTATACGATGTATACATATGTATCTATGTATACATATATATATAATATATTATATAGTATATATGTATATTATATATAATATATGTATATATAATATATAATGTTTATATAATATGCGTATGCGATATAATATATGTATATGTATTATATACACACGAAATATGTGTGTACCATATATATTCTTATTTATATATTAATATAATATAAATATGTAATATATACATATAATATACATACATTATATATTATATATGATATGTATACAGCAATATATTATATATGATATGTATACATTATATATTATATATGATATGTATACATTATATATTATATATGATATGTATACATTATATATTATATATGATATGTATACATTATATATTATATATGATATGTATACATTATGTATTATAAAATATGTATACATTATGTATTATAAAATATGTATACATTATGTATTATAAATAATAAATATACATTATGTATTATAAATAATAAATATACATTATGTATTATAAATAATATATATACATTATGTATTATAAATAATATATATACATTATGTATTATAAATAATATATACACATTATGTATTATAAATAATATATACACATTATGTGTTATATATAATATATACACATTATGTGTTATATATAATATATACACAGTATATGTTATATATAATATATATACAGTATATATTATATAATATGTGTACAATTATATATTATATAATTGTATACATATATGCATGTATATATACATGTATATATAAATATATAATATATATAATATATGTATACATATAATATATAGTATATATAATGTATACATGTATACATATGTATCTATGTATACATATAATATATAATATATTATATAGTATATATGTATATTATATATAATATATGTATATATAATATATAATGTTTTATATAATATGCGTATGCATATAATATATGTATATGTATTATATACACACAAATATGTGTGTACATATATATCTTATTTATATATATATATATAATATGTAATATATATGTATAATGTAATTAGTGCATAAAGCATGTTAGCTTTGAATAACTATGGCACACCTTTAGTAAAACCTTGTTCACGTGTACTCTAATATGTACACTAATTTATGACCCTTATGCTAATAGTATCTGGCCCAGTGGGTAAAGGGATACTTTATAGTATTATTTTGAGGACTTAAGAGATACTATTGTAAAGCACTAATATCTGCTGCACACGGCCCTCAATAAAATATTAGATACTATTTTTAAAAATCCCCTGTTCTCTGCCACTCTGCGTTTCCAAAAGAAAAAGAAAAAAAATTCATATGATTCTTGCATTTTTATTCTATGCCTGCCTTAATATGAGGAAGCTTGCACTCTTACTTGTATAGATTTCTTAGTAATGCTATAATGTACTTAAAAACGGCCTTACAGTTTCCTGTAGTGAAACACAGATTCTGGCCCAAAGATATATATATACACACACATATACATATAATATACATACATTATATATTATATATGATATGTATACATTATATATTATATATGATATGTATACATTATATATTATATATGATATGTATACATTATATATTATATATGATATGTATACATTATATATTATATATGATATGTATACATTATATATTATATATGATATGTATACATTATGTATTATAAAATATGTATACATTATGTATTATAAAATATGTATACATTATGTATTATAAATAATAAATATACATTATGTATTATAAATAATAAATATACATTATGTATTATAAATAATATATATACATTATGTATTATAAATAATATATATACATTATGTATTATAAATAATATATACACATTATGTATTATAAATAATATATACACATTATGTGTTATATATAATATATACACATTATGTGTTATATATAATATATACACAGTATATGTTATATATAATATATATACAGTATATATTATATATAATATATATACAGTATATATTATATAATATATATACAGTATATATATTATATAATATATATACTGTATATATTATATTATAATATATACTGTATATATATTATATAATATATAATTCGTTTTCTTAGTAAGCTATAAGGTACTTAAAAACGGCCTTACAGTTTCCTGTAGTGAAACACAGATTCTGACCTACCTATATATATACACACACATATACATATAATATACATACATTATATATTATATATGATATGTATACATTATATATTATATATGATATGTATACATTATATATTATATATGATATGTATACATTATATATTATATATGATATGTATACATTATATATTATATATGATATGTATACATTATATATTATATATGATATGTATACATTATGTATTATAAAATATGTATACATTATGTATTATAAAATATGTATACATTATGTATTATAAATAATAAATATACATTATGTATTATAAATAATAAATATACATTATGTATTATAAATAATATATATACATTATGTATTATAAATAATATATATACATTATGTATTATAAATAATATATACACATTATGTATTATAAATAATATATACACATTATGTGTTATATATAATATATACACATTATGTGTTATATATAATATATACACAGTATATGTTATATATAATATATATACAGTATATATTATATATAATATATATACAGTATATATTATATAATATATATACAGTATATATTACATAATATATACAGTATATATTATATAATATATACTGTATATATATTATATAATATATATACAGTATATATTATATAATATGTGTACAATTATATATTATATAATTGTATACATAGATGCATGTATATATACGTGTATATATAAATATATAAAAATATATAATATATGTATACGTTATAATATGTAGTAATATATAGTTGTAAGGCCATTGTAATACTATAGGCGTAGCTGCAGGAGGATGGAAGATGCGCAGGTTTGTCTCGGTATTGATATCTTAGAATGAGGATAGAGGAGGAATAAAGCGGGAGTATCGGGTCATGTAGGGAAGCGCGCGATTATGGGGGCAAGGATATCTATATACACACTCATATACTTATAATATCGATACATTGTAGATGATATAGGATATGTATACATGGTATGTGATATACGGCATGTATACAAAAGATATAAAGAAGGATACGCATACATATATATTACCTTTCATATGTACACATAATATGTGGTGTAACATAGGTTATTATTTATTATAATGTATGATAAGTGTTCATTTAGGATTTTTAAACATGTATTCTTTATTTAGTATAAAATACGTCTTCTTTATGTTTTGTAAATAATACATATTCAATAAGTATTATAAATAATACATATTCAATAAGTATATAAAATTACATATATACATTTTGTATTAGAAATCATATAGTTTCATTAATTATAATAAATCATATATACGCATTATGTATAATAAATCATATATACACATAATGTGTTTATTATCATATATACACATAATGTATAATTTTACATAAAGACACATTATATGTTATATCTCATATATATACAGTATTTATAATTTCTCATTTAGATTCAGTAATTATTTAAAAATATTTATGCAGTATATTTTACATAACACATTATGTATATATTATATTATATATACTGTATATATTTTATATAATATTTTTACAGGATATATTATATAATATGTGTACAATTATATATTATATAATTGTATAGTTATATATAATATATACACATTATGTGTTATATATAATATATACACAGTATATGTTATATATAATATATATACAGTATATATTATATATAATATATATACAGTATATATTATATAATATGTGTACAATTATATATTATATAATTGTATACATATATGCATGTATATATACATGTATATATAAATATATAATATATATAATATATGTATACATATAATATATAGTATATATAATGTATACATGTATACATATGTATCTATGTATACATATAATATATAATATATTATATAGTATATATGTATATTATATATAATATATGTATATATAATATATAATGTTTATATAATATGCGTATGCATATAATATATGTATATGTATTATATACACACAAATATGTGTGTACATATATATCTTATTTATATATAATATATATAATATGTAATATATATGTATATGTAATAGTGCATAAAGCATGTTAGCTTTGAATAACTATGGCCACACCTTAGGTAAAACCTTGTTCACGGTGTACTCTAATATGTACACTAATTTAGTGACCACTTATGCTAATAGTATCTGGCACAGGTGAACAGGTTGACAAGTACTTTCAGTGAATATTATCAGACAGTTATGCATTTAGAAAGTAGTACATCATGTAATGTTTAAATGTACTTAGATGGTTAAAATAAACCTCACACCTCAATTTCAGTGTGTTGTAATAATCCGTGCCAAGAAGGAAAACAAAGTTTATAAAAAGTTCCCTTTCACGTGTTCTGTTTGAAATCTGCTGGCACCTTCAATTTTGACTATTTAAATACAGCTTCCTCCATCACAGCTGGGTGCCTGTGAATAAGAAATATTTAAATACACTGCTAAATTTTCTAAATGGAATTTTTAGAAATTCCACATTATACATCTGCATGTGCAATTTCAGCTAAGTCATAATACAGCATAATAGTAATATATTCCTTACTTTGCTAATTACATTATTATCGAATTAGTTTTAAAACAGATTGCCAGAATATTTGATATGATTTTCTAACTGCTGCTTAGTGTTAAAAAGTAAAGCTGCTACCACTGGTGATTCACTGAGAGATTTTAAAATGTTCTTGTCACAGCAATAATAATTTAAATGGGTTGAAGTTAGAGTCCCATGCTCTTACAGCATGGTTGAAGTTTGGAGCCCACAAGCTTTATGAGAATGAATGAATATAATACTTAACCACTCTGACAAGGTACTTGTGATACATTTGATAAACCAAAGACAGCTGGGACATTTTCAGGCAGATTGGTGGATCTGATAATATAAATTCAAGAGGCCATTTTTTGTCTTATTTTTCATCTTTGCATGCCTCCCATTGTGCCTAGCACAGTTCATTGCATGTAACAGGTAGTCAAACAACATTGGCTGAATGAGTGAATGGGGTTGTAGAGTCCAAGATCTGTCCAGAGCTGGGGTGGGGTACATAGACGGTAAGTGCTTACCTTTTTCTCTATCCCCTCGGGAAACATGAGCATTTGAGGGACTTGCACACATTTCTACACAAGCCAGAAGCCAAGTCAATTGTGTATCAAGGATGGACCTTATCTTTAAGAAGTTATATTAAGCTAGAGTGACAAAATATATAGAATGTTTAAAAAATGTACAGTCACTTATGTAAAAGACCCATACATGCGTATTCATGCTGCTGTAAGATATATAACGTATATATGTATTTATACTGAAAATATTAATGTTAGAAATCTTTAGCATATAAGCTTCGAGAAACAAATATTCAAAATGTTCAATATCAGCTTTATTTTCAACCCTCACATACTGAATTCCTCAGTCATCTTTGAGCTACAGAGGTATCCTTCTTCCTTCAAAGCTGTCACGTAACCCTCGGTATAGTAGAAAACGAATTAATTTTGCTGTCATACAGACCCGGGTGTTAGTGTTGGCCCTTCTATTAGCTCTGCGACCTTAGACACTTAACCTCTTTAAGGTTTAAAAGCTTCACATATGAAATGGGACAATAATGCCATCTACACCACAGGCTTATTGTGATAATTAAGTAAACTCACATGTACAAACACCTACCACATTATAATGTTTCAATGCATGCTAGTTTCCTTGGATCTGCTTACTACAATACATCTATATATGTGATTGATTTCATAGTCAAGTCCATGAATATTTCTCTTAGTAGTATTTTTGTGTGTCTTTAAAAATCATTTAAAATCTGTGTACATCCTTAAACACTGATGCAGTTCTGCTGCTTAAAATCTCTTCATTGTTTATTAGCACACTATTTGTCAGTTAGTGATCTTATCACCAAACAGTAGCTATCATCACAATTCATTTACACTTTTAAGCACATTTTCACATTCAAATCGTGGATCTATTTTATGAAACTACTTGAATATAACAGAACAATCAATGAATAGTTAACTAAGGTAAATTTTTAGATAATATGGACTAAGATGCTATTTCCACTGCTCGTGGGTTGGTTGCATAAGCCACAAAAAATTGAACTTTCTAAACCTCTTGATCGCATTTGTAAGTCATTTCATTACCACTTTTAGTGAATGCATCCTCTTAGGTAACCTCAAGTCATTTACTATTGAAGATAACAGAATAATAAGGCTTAGTCAGCCTTTGCATCTTGCTGCCGGCAGATGTAGCACAGACTTCACTGAGTCCTGAGGAAAGGTCCAAAGTTTCTTAAGTTCAGCTGACTATAAATGTAAAGATTGCACTGTGCAGCTCAGTGACTCTCTCAGTCACTATATTTGGTGGGGCATACTTTGTGACAGTCTCAGGGAAGGAAAGTATCTGGTGTCCTGGGGCTGGGGATAAGATGATGAGCTTAAGACCCATGCAGGAAGCTGCAGCAGGTTAGTGGTTGGTTACCTAATTAGTGAAAGATTAGTGCTTGGCTAAGGGCCTAGAAGATAATGCACAAGGCAAGCCCAAGGAGGAAGAGACAGCTGGCTAAACAGAATAAAAGTCACAAACAAAATAAAGTGGGACAAGGATTGTAGGGTGTAATTCACAGCAGGGAGATTCAATGGCTAAAAATGGATGATTTGGTAAGTTCCTATAATAGGCTCAGGATGGTATGAATAATGAATGGTGGAGATATTTTGAAAATGAGAGGTGAATCTGCTCTGATCATCATGGAAGAGTAGGTGAAGAATAAATGTTCTTATAGGAGTGAAGGGAAGTTGAATCATTAGATACAGTGGCCAGCTTTTCGTGCTAGAGTGAACCAAGAGGTTAAGAAAACACTGACTGCTACACTTTACAACCTAAATATTTAGTTAAATTATTCTAAGCCCTTTTCAGAAACAGGAAAAAAATTCTAAAATTTGTATAGAATCTCAAGGGTCCCTGAATTACCAAAACAATCTTGATAAACAAGAATGAATTGGAGACCTCATTCTTGCTGATTTCTATACATATTACAACACTATAGTAATCAAAACAGTATGGTGCTGGCATAAAGACAGGCATATAGACCAATAGAACAGAATAGAGAGCCCCAAAATAAATTCTCATGTATATGGTCAAATAATATAACAAGATGCGAAGATCCCACAATGGGGAAAGGATAGTCATTTCAAAACATGGTGCTGGGATAGGCACATGCAAAAAATGAAGTTAGACTCTCACTTTATACTTTATAAAAATTAACTCAAAATAGATTAAAGATATAAATATAAGCCCTAAACTAAAACACTCCTAGAGGGAAACATACGAGAAAAGCTTCATGACATTAGATTTTGCAGTAATCTATTAGATATGACACCAAAATCACATGCAACAAAAGCAAAAATACACTAATGAAACAAACATCAAACTTAAAAACTGCTACACATTAAAGAAAAGAATCAACAGAATAAAAAACAGAATCCATGTACAGAATAAGAAAAATAATTGTAAATTACACATCTGACAAGGGGTTAATATGCAAACTATATAAGTAACTCCTACAAATAAACAACAAAGGTGTTAACCTGATTACAAAATAGGCAAAGAATTTGAATAGACATTTCTCCAAAAGCGATATAGAAATGGCTATCAAGTTAGGCCGGGTACAGTGGCTCATGCCTGTAATCCCAGCACTTTGGGAGGCAAAGGCGGGCAGATTACCTGAGGTCGGGAATTCAAGACCAGCCTGACCAACATGGAGAAACCCCGTCTCTACTAAAAATACAAAATTAGCCAGGCATGGTGGCACATACCTGTAATCCCAGCTACTCAGGAGGCTGAGGCAGGAGAATCACTTGAACCCAGGAGGCGGAGGTTGGAGTGAGCCAAGATTGCGCCATTGCACTCCAGCATGGGCAACAAGTGCAAAACTAGGTCTCAAAAAAAAAAAAAAAAAAAAAAGGCTATCAGGTGTATTACAGGAGACCCTACATCACTAATCATTACAGAAATGCAAATCAAAATGACAATGAGATATCACCTGACACCCGTTAGTAAAACAAACAAAAACAAAAATTAATGAGCGTTGGCAAGAACGGGGAGAAATTGGAACCCTTGTGCCTTGCTGGTGGGAATGTAAAATGATGCAGCCATTATGGAAGACAAAGTGAAGATCCCTCAAAAACACCTAAACACACCATTACCGTATGACCCAGCAATCCCACTTCTGGATATATTTCCAAAATAATTGAAAAAAGGATCTTGAAGAGATATATGTACATCTATGTTCATTGCAGCATTATTCCCAATAGCCAAGAGGTAGAAGCAATCGAAATGTCCATTGACAGATAAATGGATGAATAAAATGTGGTATGTACAATGGCATATCGTATTATTTCATTTTTAAAAAGAAAATTCTGTCACATGCTAAAACATGGATGAGCCTAGAGGACTTTATGCTAAGTGAAATAAACCATTCACTGACAGATAAATATTATATGATTCCATTTAAGTTAGATATCTGGAGTAGTCAAAAGCATAGAAAAAGAAAGTAGAATGATGATTATGAGGGGCTGCGGTAGGGGGAAATGAAAAGTTGTTCAATTCAGTAGGTATAGCTTCAGTTTTGCAAGTGAGAAATTCTAGAGATCTGTTATACAATAATATGAATATAGTTAACACTACTGAATATATGCTTAAAATGGCTAAGAGGATATGTTTTATATTACGTGTTTTTACTATAATTAAAAACGAAAAATAAAAGAAACTTCCACTGTAGCCACATACACACACACACACACACACACAAAATCAATCCACTTAAAGCCTTAAAACGTAGGACTTGCATATGTAACTTATCTGTGCATCAGGTGGCTTAAGGCTTGCCAGAGCTTACACAACCAGCTGGCTGTGAGCCGGAAGCCAGATTTTCTGAATTTCAATACAATGAGAGTTCCTCCAGAGATTCCTCTCTATCACCTTACCCTCTGTTAGCATGGAATCTAACACATAGGGCCTACTCCAGTAAAAATTTTGGAAGAAAAAAATGCCTCCCACATTGGCTAATCACCTCCCTTCTTAGTTAGTTGAAGGAAAAAATAGATATTTACCTCCGTTTTCTAGGTGTGTACCAGGACAAGCAATTCTGCATGTAAACAATTTTACTTCTGTTAGTAAAATGGACATGACATAAAGAAGCAAACATATTTCAAAATGCAAAACAATTCTGGAAAGATTTTAAAAAATACTTAAAATGGAGTATTGCTGTTTCGTGTCTCCATTTGACACAGACTCCACTGGGTGTTAACTTTTGAAGGTGTAAGATTTGCCACTGTGGTGCGTCTTGCCCCAAAATACACGTTTGCTACTGGTTTAGAAACGGATTCAAAATGATATTGTGGAACCTTTGGTTTTCCACAGTATTTTGGAAACCTATTATGTTACATACTTCTTTCAGCCACCAGGTGGCATGTGCTTTGCTGAGAAAATATACAATGAAACTGTAACTAAAGATGTATTCTAGTGAGATGAATTCTATCTAATTTTACATATCTAACAAAAAATAATAATGTTTTTATCATGAATTCAATCAGTGAAAAGCTATATTGTAATAGATTTCATAGTTATGAATATGTCATTTAAAGTCGGGAGCTGCAGGGTAGACAGTGATCCTAGCAAAGAACTCATAAATAAAATTTATAATTGATTTAAAGTAGTTGAGCATAGTTTCATTAATGTATATTTTCTTAACTTAAAGCATTATTATTTTTTTAATGAGCTGGTCTTTTAAAATGAAGGTAAAAAACCCACATACGCAATTTTATTATAATTTATAACCCAGGTTGTCAGTGATAAATCCACACACGATTACCTAAGTATCAGACCAAATAAAGGTAAAAATAGGCTGTAGTTTAGAAAACTTCCAGATATTAAGAACAATTAGAGGATAATTATTTATTTTACCAAAAATTATTCTACAAAAGTATTCTCTGCCGTATTGCTTAAAAGAGTGAATTTTGTTAGACCATTTAACTTTTCATCTGACTTATCACAAAAACGGGAAGAAAGGGCAACCAGATGCTTATAAAGTTGTGCCAACCTTGTGGGGGTGAAGAAGTCTTTGAAAAAGTGACAAGATAGTATTTACTATTTTCTTCTTTCTCAATAATTTACTTTTCTTTCTATCTCTAACCCCAAATCCAAGTAGATAACCATTTTTATGCTCACTATTCAGAAGAATAATAAAGCAGAAAGCAGAGAATATGAAATGTTCTTAGCTAGGGTTTTCAAAAAAAATTAAGCTTTTAGGAAATTGACATGCCTATTTTAAAAATATTTATTCTGTTAATCAAACCCTAAATGATATGCCCTATTTCTAAACTTATTTTTAATTGACAAAAAAATTGTATATATTTATGGTGTACAACATGATGTTTTGAAATTATACACTGCAGAATGGCTGAATCATGCTAATTAACATATGCACTACCTCATACACTTATTATTCTTTGTTGTGATAACACATAAAGTCTATTTTCTTAGCAATTTGGGGATACACAATAAGTTGTTATTAACTATAGTCACCATGTTGTACAACAGGCCCTTTGAAATTATTCCATCTAGCTAATCGCAATTTTGTATCCTTTGACTAGCATGTCCCCAGTCACTGCCTCCACCCCAGCCCCTGATAACCACCATTCTGCTTTATGCTTCTATGAGTTTGATGTTTTAAGATTCCACGTATAAGTAAGATCATGTGGTATTTGTCTTTCTGTGCCAGGCTTATTTTACTTAACATGATGTTCTCCAGGTTCATCCTTGTTATCACGATTGACAGAATTTCCATGTTCCAAAAGGCTGAATAGTATTCCATTGTGTATATATACACTCCATTTTATTTGTCTATTCACCCCTTGATAGACACTTAGGTTGACTCAATATCTTGGCTATTGTGAATAATCTGCCGTGAACATTGCACTGCAGATATCTCTTCCACATAATAATTTTATTTTCATTGGATATGCACACAGTAGTAGAATTGCTGGATCATATATTAGTTTAGTTTTTAATCTGAGGAAGTTCCATACTGTTTTCCACAATGGCTGTACTAAATTACTTTCCTACCAACGGTGTGTAAAGATTCCCTTTTCTCCATATCCTTGCCAAAGCTTGTTATATTTTGTCTTTTTGATAATAACCGTTCTAACGGATGGGAGATGATATCTCATTGTGGTATTAATTTTCATTTCCCTGATAATTAGTGATGTTGAGAATATTTTCATATACCTATTGGCCACCTGTATTTCCTCTTTTTAGAAATGTCTATTCAGATCCTTTCCTCATTTTATAAATCAGATTATTTGTTTTCTTACTATTGAGTTGCTTGGATTCCTTATATATTTTGGGTATTAACCCTTGATTAAATGTGCAGTTTGCAAATATTTTCTCTCATTCTGTAGGTTGTCTCTTCACACTGTCATTCGTTTCTTTTACTGTGCAGGAGCTTTTTAGTTGGATACAATCACATTTTTCTATTTTTGCTTTTGTTTCCCATGTTTTTGGGTTTATATACAAAACATCATTGCCAAGGCCAATGTCATGGAGTCTTTCCACAATGCTTCCTATAGTAGTGTCACAGTGTAAAGTCTTATATTTCTTATATTTAAAACTTTATTTTGACTTGCTTTTTGTATGTGATGTAACATGCAGTCTAATTCCCTTCTTCTGCATGTGGATATCCAGTTGTTGTTAACATTACTTAATAAAGAGAGTGTCCTTCCCCCACTGTGTGTTCTTGGCATCTTTGTGAAAAACCAATTGACTGTAAATGCTCATATTGATTTTGCAGCTCTCTATTGCGTTCCATTGGTCTATGTGTCTGTCTTTATGCCAGTACCATGTTATGTTGGCAACTATAGCGAGAGTGAGCATCCTTGCCTTGTTCCTGATATTAGAGGAAATGCTTTCAACTTTCCCCCATTGAATATGATGTCAGCTGTGGGTTTTTGTTATATAGCCTTTATTGTATTGAGGTACATTCCTTCTATACATAATTTGTTGAGAGTTTTTAAAATGAAAGCATGTAGAATTTTGTCAAATGATTTTTTCTGCATCTATTGAGATGATCATATAGATTTTGTCCTCCATTCTGTTAATGTGGTATATCACAATTTTTTAATTTGTATATATTGAACCTTCCTTGCATCCCAGAGGTAAATCCCACTTGATCATAGTGAATGATTCTTTTAATGTGCTGTTGAACGTGGTTTGCTAGTATTGTGTTGGGGATTTTTGCATATATTTTCATTAGGGATATGGCCTGTAATGTTCTTTTCTTGTAACGTCTTTGTTTGGCTTTGTTGAATATGACTGTTGACATAGTAAAAAAAAAAAAAAAAAATACAAGGGGAAAACAGAACAATATGAGCTGAGGATTTGAGGAAACAGGTTTCTCCTAGAGGCTAGATTAGATATCCCTGTGTGGGGAGGAAGGAGGCATTGTCGTATTCCAGAGCCAGAGTTTCAATACTCTACTTCCCAGGTGAAGCTGTGGGGAGGCACAAAACCCAAGAGAATAAGTGGCTGTGTAGTCAGTCTAGACACGTGGGGCCTTAGAGAGAGCCTCATAGGGACTTATCCAACTCAAAGTAGTAGAAAGGCATCAGAAAGAGTCCTGTGTGCCAACACTAGACCTAAAGGGGTTTTATGGGTGGAGCAAAGGTCATCTCATAAGCACCTTATCTGTACTGATGAGGCCACAATTGTCTCAAGGAGTGTCTTCATGGACAAAGGAGCGTCTGCAAGGACAAATGCCATCAAGGTTAATATGTGCCCTCTACCCTGCAATGTCTTGAGTAGATTTTAGCATTCTAAAACTTAGTTGTCACTCAATGGCAAAGGGAACCCCGACATTTTCAAGATGGTTTATTTAAGGCAAAGGGACTGACAGCTGAAAATTGAAACTGTGTTCAATCATAGAAAAAACAAGTAAGGTTGAATATACATATATATATACACATATATATGTATATATATATGTGTATATATATATACACACACATATGCACAACTGAACATGTGGAATGAGATTATACTAGCTTCAGAAATCTGTTGCTGTTAGCATTTTCTGAGCTTATTGAGCTTATTTTCCTTTTCTTCTTCTCTGGTATTTGGTAAATTTCTTTTTGGAATATTGGCCTTTGTCAACCCTTCAGTGGGGCTGAAGGATAGAACAAGGTACTTAAGGTGTCAACCTTGTAATTGATCAGTTTCTTAAGAGAACTCTCAGGGAAGATGAATCTCAGGATAAATGTCTTCCAACCAACTGATTCTCTGTCTTCCATTTCACCCTCATTGTGTGAATGGCTATAGTAATAGACAAGGCTATATTTGATAGAGTTATACAAGACAAACAATACTTTACCCTTATGTAAAATACCCACATTCTTAAAGAGGATGCAAAGATGTCAATTAACATGTACAGAACTTATTACAATGGAGTCTGAGAAGTGCCTCGATAGATATAGCACAAGATGTTACTGAAGTATGTGAAGGAACAATAAAAGCTATGCAACACACCCAGTCATAAAGAAGCCTCGTCTAGATAGGCTTTTATTTTCTCTTGTTGTCAATGTATATGTATATATCCATGTGTAACTGGGGTATTTTACATGTTTTTTGCTTTCTTACATATTTTTGCTACAGATCTTGGATGTAACCAGTAAGATCTCCTCAACCCGAATATCTATAATAATAATTTGAGGGTTTCTTAATGTGAAGCTTTATGATAATGACAAGAAGGTCTGTTGAGAATAACTGTTCCCCCACTCTGGACTGATGATCTCAGTACCTTAGTCTATATAATTATCTATAATCACCTCTGTCGGGGCTGCAGAGGGCCCTGATTTCAGTCTACAGCATGGTGAGAGGAATATTTCCCATCTTTTCTGAATCAATTCGCCTGTTCCATGAGGTTTTGTTTGCATGGGAATATTTACATCTTCTTTGTCTTCATTAATTACTAATCTTGGAGAGTTCTTAACCCTTGCTGACCAGCCCTGGTGATGACTACATGATACCATGACTCTCCCCATACTTAACCTGAATGCTACAAGGTTGATGTCCATTTTCTCTGAAATTTGCAATAGTAGAAAGCGTTGTCTAACATTTGTTGAGCACATACTATGTGTGAGAATCTCTTCTACGCATACAGATACATTAATTCTTTTACTATTCATCACACACTATGTGTGGTTCTCTTATGTGAGAAATTCCCTTTAACTTCAATTGAAACTGAAAATAGATCCCTGGTTTTGCTGTCATGACGTTTCATAGTTAATATCATTAAACACTCCCATAAGCAAGCATAGTTCAGGACTTGAGTGTACTCACTTCACGTGCAATATTATGCAGAAGATACCAGGAATAGCCATCCCTGGAGGTGTCAGAGTATGTTTCATAAAGAAAGTCATGCTTCAACTTTGACTTCAGTGGTGACTAGCAATTTGATATGAAGGTGAGGATAAGAACAGCCCAGTAGAGGGAGCAGTATGTATAAAAAAAAGTTCCCAGATCATGAATGGTTGGCACGTTTTAAGAATGGCAAACGTTTGTTCCATCGCATGCAGCAAAGAAGGTTTTGTTGGAGATGCATGCGTTTGAAGCATGCACACTCTGAGGCTGATTAATCAAAGCAAGCCACTTACCAGTGAGTGAGCCTAGGTTGCTGCCCAATCATGTGCTTCTCTATTCACTCTTACTCACACAGTAGCTATCAAAGAGTTACGAAAATGAAGTTTCTCTGTGAAAAAAAAAAAGGCTCTAAAATAAAGCCAAATTCTAGAGCTGGTGATGGAAATGAGGAGTTTAATAAAGTCATGTTCTTTAGTTCTAAAATCGAAATTTTGAGCAAAATAAATGATTGTGTGAATTCAGTGGCAATTTGAACTTCTGGCATGAACAAGTCTACTAAATGCTTAGTATGGAAACAAGAAAAAGTAATTCATAAAGCTATTCATCATGCACCCCAGTAACAATTCGGAGAAATTGGAAAAAATGGTATTTAATTTTGGGTTAGATGTTTTAGTTATTTTTATTGCATTTTAAAAGGGAAATTATTTGCTTTAGTGGCTTGCAAGGTAAATATTTTTAGTCTTAGACTCGATTCCTCAAAAATGTATAGTATCTACTTTAATCCAATTTTATGTCT
The DNA here is from genome assembly GCF_000001405.40 of Homo sapiens. Taxonomy (NCBI): domain Eukaryota; kingdom Metazoa; phylum Chordata; class Mammalia; order Primates; family Hominidae; genus Homo; species Homo sapiens. The sequence continues at coordinate 143,670,246 of NC_000023.11, forward strand.
CACAAAATATTAACTCCAAACTGTTTTCCAAGCTTTTACAGGATCCCAAGATGTATTATTTATGATAAATGCTTAATATTATGTTGTAGCAATTTAATTCTTGCAATTTACTGAACAAGTCTTTGGCTAAGAATTTAAATTTTTACAGTTTTTTGGCCACAATAAATAACATGACCATGGATGACTTTTTTATTAATGCAAAATATTTTGTGTATTTACGGGGTATATGTGGGCATTTGTTTTATGAATAGAATCTGAAATGATCAAGTCGGGGTATTCACAGTATCCTTCACCTTGAGTTTTTGTAAATTCTATGTGTTTGTAACATTTCTTTCTCTTTTTTTTTTTTTTTTTTTTTGAGACGGAGTCTCGCTCTGTTGCCCAGGCTGGAACGCAGTGGCGCAATCTCAGCTCACTGCAACCTCCGTCTCCTGGGTTCATGCGATTCTCCTGCCTCAGCCTCCCAAGTAGCTGGGACTACAGGTGCATGCCACCATGCCAACCTAATTTTTTGTATTTTTTAGTAGAGATGGGGTTTCACTGCATTAGCCAGGATGGTGTCGATCTCCTGACCTCGTGATCTGCCTGCCTTGGCCTCCCAAAGTGCTGGGATTACAGGCGTGAGCCACCACACCTGGCCGTGTGTTTGTAACATTTCATGACCTCTCTTTTATCTACTTTGAACTATGGGAGCTGGAAATGAAGACAATTGAACTCATAGAGTTAGAGAGTAGAATGATGGTTGCCAGAAATATATAATACATCGTTGCTAACTATAGTGGTCCTGTTTTGTTATAGAATATTGGAGTTTATTTCTTCTATCTAACTGTGTGTTTTTACCCACTAGCCAGGATCTCTTCATCCTCTACTCTCACCCTCCCACCCTTCCCACTTTCTAGTGTCTATCATTCTATTCTCTATGCCTATGAGATTAACTCTTTTTTAGCTCCCACATATGAGTGAGAACGTGTGGTATTTTTCTGTGCCTGGCTTATTTCACTTAGCATAATGTCCTACAGGCTCATCCATGTTGCAGCAAATTGCTAGGCTTCATTCTTTTTTATGGCTGAATAGTATTCCAGTGTGTATGTAGACCACATTTTCATCATCAATATTTCTGTTGATGGACACTTACGTTGCTTCCAAATCTATGGGAATACTGCTGCCACAAACATGAGAGTGCAAGTATCCTTTTGATATACTGATTTAGTGGGATTGCTGGATAGAATGGTAGTTCTATTTTTAGTTCTTTAAGAAATCTCCATACTGTTTTCCATAGTGATTTTACTCAATTACATTCCCACCAGCAGTATATAAGTGGTCCCTTTTCTCCATATCTTCTCCAGCATCAGTCCCACAGCAGCCTCTTTCCAGAAGAGGTAAGGGTGCATGAAAATGCCCACCCTCCTCTCTCCACCATCCTTGGCCTGGTGGTGGCAGCCACAGCATCAGCCCCAGGGCAGGATGCAGTTCTTCGGGGGTTTGGCTCTGAGACTGGTGCCCACTTTGGGTCTGCTACTGAGGAAGAGGGTGGGGTCACTCTCAGTGGGTGCAGTGCTGTGGGGGGCACAGTTTACTTGTGTCTGAGACCCACAGCAAGCTACAGTGGTGGTGGTGGAATTTGTTCTCGGGATATGTGAATGTGCCTGGTCTCCTTCTGCCTTTTTTTTTGTTTGTTTGTTTAACTCAGCAGTGGCAGGAGCAATGTGGGCCCCAGAATAGGACACCGTCCTTTGGAGACCAAGATCTTCCAATGATACCGTGCTGTAGCTGCTCAGGGCTCAGAAGCCTGTGGGGCTCAGCATGAGTACACTCTCTGGAACAATGCCTGCACAATCTCTAGACAACTTCTTGTGTTTTCATCTCCACGCCCATGACAGTGGAAGGGCTCTCCCCATAGCTAGGATTGCAAGACGCCATGGTCGAAATGTGCAGCCTTGGTGGGCTCTCACTTACCATTTCCCCAAACAGGACCTTGTCCCAGCTCCCAGCGCATCTCTGCCAAGCAGGCTGCCTTGCTTCTTTTTTCTTCTTTGCTTTCAGTGCTTTCCCACCACTGCTCTGTTGCATTCCAGTGTTCTCTCTTTCACAATCTATTTTAAGTGTCAATCTACATGCTATTTTGGTTCCATTCTGTGGAAGAGAGCTGCATTGATGTCAGCCATCTTGCTCTGCCATCCACCATGGACATGTTAATAAAGCAATCTTACATAGCTTCGCTGCTTTGATTAGTCACTTAGGGTAAATTTCCATGTGGGGAATTGTTGGGCCAGAGGGTATAATTATTTTATCTACCCTGATATACATCACCAAATTATTCATTGAAAGGATTATGCTAGTCATAAATAAGCATATTTCTTTTCAGTCTTTCCAGGATTGGGACTTATTTTTCATTTATTTTTTTCTTCTCTTCTGTACAAAAATTTGCATCTCATGTTTGTTAAATATTGCATTTCTTTAACCCCTTAACCAAGTTGAACTTATTTGTTATGTATATTTACTATTTGTATTTCTTGTGAGAACTGACACTTCAAGTCAATTGCTAATTTATTGCCTGGGAAGTTGGTGTTATTACTTACATTTCTTCATTCATGTGATTCTCATCTAGGCAGTTACCAGAATTACATATCATATTTTGCATTCATAGACACAGTTTTAATGAATAACTCTTGTCCACTGGCTATTTTACACATTAGTTTGTCTCTGAAATGGAAAAGTATGTAGAAGGTTGAGGACAAACAGTATATAAACCAAAAAATGCTATCATTAAAGAAGCTAATAACTGATGAAGAGTAATCCGTAGTCTGTGATTCAAGAAAATATAAGAAAATTATGGCAAGTTTGATGGGTTACTTTAGAGTTGAATATTCAGATTCAGTTCCCATAAGTATTCAAATATGAAATTACCTATTTGAAGCTTAGTTAAAATGAAGATTTCTTTGGACAATTTCAAAGCATGCTGTTTTTATAAGTGGTCTTAGAGTCACCTAGGTATAGTTGAAAACTTAGCTGTTTTCTATAAATATTTCATGAACAGACTTTTCTAGGCTATTCTGGCAACTGTGGTTAAATAGGATCAACGTTTCAAACAATGTTAGTATTTATGAATTTTGTAACTGATTTCAGTTTGTTTTATAAAATAAGCAAGAGTTAGGGGTTCTTTTATATAATATTCTATATTATTACTAATTGTAACAATGTGTTGGAGGCATTGGACCATAATTGTGTTAAGTAAATTTTTTTTTTTTTTTTTGAGATGGAGTCTTGCTCTGTCGCCCAGGCTGAAGTGCAGTGGCGCAATCTCAGCTCACTGCAATCTCTGCCTCCCAGGTTCAAGTAATTCTCCTGCCTCAGCCTCCCGAGTAGCTGGAACTACAGGTGTGCACCACCATGCCCGACTAATTTTTGTATTTTTAGTAGAGACGGGGTTTCACTATGTTGGCCAGGCTGGTGTTGAACTCCTGACCTCGTGATCCACCTGCCTCGGCCTCCCAAATATGTTATAAGTAAAATTTTTAATTACATAAGGAATATTTGTTATTATGATATAATGATAACAAAACAAGTTAAGGCACTAAAAGATAATATTCAGTATGAGGAGTACTATTTAACATTTGTTGAGCATGTACTCTGTAAAAATCTCCTTTAGGAGGGGAAGAGCAGACTCTGGGGTCTATTTGGGGGTGGAGGGTAGGAGAAGGGAGAGTATCAGAAAAAATAACTATTGGGTATTAGGCTTAGTATCTGGATGATAAAATAATCTGTACAACAAACCCCCATGACCCGAATTTCCCTATATAACAAACATGCACATGTACCCCTGAACCTAAAATACAAGTTTTTCAAATAAAGAAAAAATATCTTTTAGGCATTATGCATGTATTAATTATTCTAAGACTCATTACAACACTTTAAGGAAGGTATTGTTGTTTATAGATTTATAAATGAATTTATAGATGAAAAACCTGAGGCACATAAAGCTTAAACTTGAGAAAAATATTACAACAGATATATTTAGATGGTGAGTATATACAAAATCTATTCCCCTACTTTCCATTTTTCTATCGTTTTCAAATTTTCTAGAATGAATATGCATTCCTTTTATACTGGTAAAAATAGAGTATACTTTTAAAAGCATTTGCGTCTTTCATGCTTACAAGGGCACATTTAGCTTCACACATGTTCAAATAGAAGACAAGTGTCAGTTTCAGCCATCCAGATAGGCTTTTGAGTAGTCACTACCTGTGTATTTAGTTTTACCCACAGGGCACAGAGACAGAATAGTCAACATAAGAAAAAGCTGTCCTTTTCCTTTATGAAATAATAAGGAAAGAAAGATATAAGACCTGATCGATCTCATAAGAAGAGTGTGCAATCTCCTTGTGAAACCAACAAGAAAATTGTCGTTAGGCAGAGTTTTTCTTGGAGAAAAGGAAAACAATAGTTTGCTGCAAATCCCAGCTGAAAATATAGGATGTCACAAAGATTTTTTTTAGACCTTATGTTGATGTCAACTGCAGTGAATATACGCCCCCTTTCATTCTCAAAAGTGAAGGCTTTGAATTCAGAGTCTTTTTTACAACACAGTTAACTCTAGCAAAAAGACAAGTGACCACCTAAAAAGGCACACACATAATGTTATAAAAACAGTTTAGTTCCATTCATCTGACAAGCAATTATTGAGTGTATAACATGCGCAAGGTGCAGGGAGTGCTAGGAACTAAGAATATAAAGATAAATAAAACATACTCCTTGGCTTATGAGAGGTTTTTACCTAGTGGGGATACAGACATGCAAGCAGTGCATTTTAGAATGATGGCGTAGGTGTAAGAGAAGCTTTCAAACAGCTGCTCTTTTTGTGACATGCAAGAGAAATGGGATAAACATATACCCTCAAGGGATTACAGTTGCTACTAGATACGAAGACCTCCTTTATGGACTAGCTGTGTGCCTGCTCTGTAAACTCTGTGAAGGCAAGGACCGTGCCTATTTTGCTCTTTGTTATATCTGACCTTAAATACTAGGAATAACAACTTTGCTGCTTCCCTCTCTGATCCTCAGATGTTTCTACTAGAACAAGTGTTGGCAAATTATTGGACAAATCTGGCCCTGTTTTCATATGGTTTACAAGCTAAGAATTGTTTCTACATTTTAAATGGTTATATGTACCTATGTAATGCCCTAGACTTTTATCCCACAAAGCCTAAAATATTTACTATCTGGCCCTTTTACACTAAAAGTTTGCCAACCTCCATGTTGGAAATCGGAAAGCAGAGATGGTGAACAGGTGGTGAACAGCTCCACTCCACACTGTCAGTTCTTGCTACATAAAAGGAGTTGAATCTGTAATATATTTAGAGGAAATCTTAACCAACAGTAAGGAGAAATAAAGAGAACAATATTGTCCCAGACAGCCAGTGAGTCTCTTAGAAGTCATTGACTCTACGTAAAGGCCTTGGTTAGACTGAGCTTTTGAAGTACAAGAAAAGGCATGAGTTATTTCTTTTCTGTATCTTTCACACCCAGCATATAGGGTCTGGCAAATTTTAGGCACTCAGTAAATCTTTGGCGGATGAATGAATAAATGAATTTATGAATCAAAGAGGAGAAAATTACTTTACATTTTAATTTAGCCTGCACTGAAATTTACTATTCAGCTTTACTGATTTTCAAGGCTTACAAAATGTGATAGCCCTGACGATCTATTCTAACCTGATATCACTAGTTGTGCCAAGTCTTAATACCTCCCTCCTTTCCCTCCTCCTTCTTGTCGTTGTTGTTGTTGTTGTTGTTCTTCTTCTTCTTCTTCCTTTTTCTTCTTTCAGTTTTTAAAAGGAAGATTGGCCGGGTGCAGTGGCTCACGCCTGTAATCCCAGCACTTTTGGAGGTTGAGACAGGCAGATCACCTGAGGTCAGGAGTTCGAGACCAGCCTGGCCAACATGGGGAAACCCCATCGCTACTAAAAATACAAAACTTAGCCGGGCGTGGTGGCATGCTCCCATAATCCCAGCTACCCAGGAGGCTGAGGCAGGAGAATCACTGGAACCCAGTGGGCAGAGGCTGCCTTGAGCCGAGATTGTGCCACTGCACTTCAGGCTGGGCGACAGAGCAAGACTCCATCTCAAAAAAAAAAATTAAAAAAAAGAAAGATTTATTTGACAAGTTTCTTATGGTATAATATACCTAGAAGAAAATCACAATACAATGAAAGATTAAAATCGAGGCCTAAGAATTTCATATAAACACCAAGACCACAATCCTAAAGTATTGGTATTGGATCTCTAATTTTTTCCCATTAACTTAAATAAAGCTTAAACAAACATGCCCTACAGGTTATTAAATGAAACTAGAATTAAAAAACGTGCCAAAAATTTTTACTTTAATTCCAGACACAGCCCTTATATTGAGTTTTATGAAAAAAAAAAAAGCATGTATTTCAACATGCATCCAAACTGTGTTCAATGTAACGTGGTATAAGGGCAACAACTAACTTAATTCAACTGCTTTAACCTAAATACATTTACTGCTTCAGTACATTGTACAATATAACTAACTTGAGAAAAACGAAAACTTTTTTAACAGTTATAGTTTACTCGACTTCACTGTTACATCCTAGAGGAGTACTGTGTTCAAAAACATTGAGCCTTAATTAAGTCTGCAGAACAATCCTGATTTCCACTTAGAGAGTAAGCATAAACCACAAGCTTGTACTTCAAAAACTGTTAAACTGAAGTTTTTTTCTTAGAAAAAAGTTGGCCAAGAGTCCGTGATGAGGATCAATTACATTCTTCATCCACCACTCATATCAGACATGTTAGACATCCCTCCCATGCTGTTCACGCCCATAGATGCATGGCTTCCTCTACTGTAGTAGCTGCTGTTTATCGCTCCTTGGCTACTTATGTAATGTTTGATTGAAGATTACTGGAGTTTTCCTGCAAAACTTGATCGTATCCACTCATGCTGCTCTAGCCACCATAGCTGCCTGCATAACCATCACTCAACTGTTGGCTGGCTGGGCCACTGTAACTGAACTGGTTTGACAAGCCTATAACTCCCATCATTTGGCTACCATAACCACCACCACTTGGTGGTACTGTAGAATCCAAGAAGAGTTCTACATATCTGTGATGCATATTTGCTTTGTCTTTTGACGTAGCTGCCACAGCATCTTCTGAGTTACAAACTCGACATTTGCTTCACCAGTTACTCTGCCATCAGGACCAATTACAATGTGTACTCTCCATGACTGAGCAGTGAAAAAAATTATAAATATCATTCTCAGTAGCTCTGTAAGGTAATCCACACATGTGTACACAGTGTCCCATTGTGCTCTGGAAGGTAGAGCCACCATCTTCATATCTATGATCAGGCATTCCTAAAAAACTATAATTGAAGTTTCTTCCAAATCTATCTGACCCACATTCATAGCCATCATTATAACCATTATAATCATTATAGCCTCCATAGCTTCCACCATAAGCACCACACCGCATCCTCTCAAAGCCATCTCCTCTGCTAATGCTGTTATGCTCTTTGCCAGCCCCAGGTCTGTCATAGGGACCTGGCTGCTGCATGGCCATAAGCCCATACATGTGCCTTATTCTTTCCTTGTGTTTCTCTAGAGCATTTTCAGCTATTTCCTGTGAAGCCTACTGCACAAAGGCCTCCCCTGTACTCCTTCCCTGGAAATCCACCATCAGTGTTATGCCATTTGGCACGATTTCCAACCATGAGAAGAACTGAACAATTTCTTCCTTGCTACATTCAAAGGGGAGTACAAAGCCATCATTGGCCATGTCAGAACTATCTGGACCACTATGCTTCAGCACCCAATCCATTTCAACATTGTTTGACTTGAATACTGAAACATATCTGTGTCCTATAGTTTCTTTGTCTTTTTTTCAGGGCCAATTTGACCTCATACTCTCAAGTTCAGCAAAAGTCTCACCACTTGGTCTGCCTTCTCTGCTGTAGATGAAATGAATACGTTGAGCCTTATTTTAAATTTTGCACTCAGAAAAAAATCCACTGCACTTTATTGGCTGAGCAAGACTAGGGCAATCTCTGGACCTTCGTTATGAATCCTGCTCCACCGTCAGCACCCAACATCATCATCTCTTACAGGATCTGACATTGAAACAGACTAGACCCCTGACTTTGCCGTGACTGAGCAGAAAATCTTCTCCTTTATTTTTTTTTCCTACATGTTCATGTCTATTGCTTCCATGGTAACCCAACTTTCATCTACTGTTTGTTTCATTCACCTTTAACAGAAACTGCTTTAGTTCATGTGTTTCTTTAATTTTAATTTTATTTTAGATTCCGGGAGACATGTGCAGAATGTGCAGGTTTGTTACATAGGTAAATGTGTGCCATGGCAGTTTGCTGCACAGGCTAACAGCAGACCTCTCAGCAGAAAACCTACAAGCCAGGAGAGAGTGGGTGCCAACATTCAACATTCTTAAAGAAAATAATTTTTAACCTGTGTGGTTTTAATTCTGATTTTCTCAGCTTGTCTTTGAGCTTTGGAATACCTATTTCAGCGTCTATGATTTTCTTTTATTATGTATATTTAAAACCTAAGAAAGACAATTTAAAAACTAAATGAATGAGAATATATCACCTATTCATTTAGACCCTGTTGAAATGTTATGTCTTGTAGGATCTGGATGTGAGGTGAATGTACATTTTATTGGCTTTAATTTAAATTGACAAAAAATGCTCATTATTTTTAAGAAGTCAAACAATTCGCAAGTAAAGGTAACAGTTAAAGTGCCCTTTGACTCTCTTGGATTATCAGCCCCAAACTCTCCTCCCTTATTTACGAAGGAAACATTTTTGCTAATCAGGCATACCTTGTAAATTTTTGGAGACATTTACACACACACATATACACATAAAGGGTGTTTTAATCTTTTATTTCGAATAAGTGACATAAAAAGTCATAGTATATATATTTTTTCAACCTACTTCTTTTCCATGAACCTTTTTCCATATTAATACTTCATCTTGGCCGGGCACAGTGGCTCATGCCTGTAATCCCAGCACTTTGGGTGGTCAAGGTGGGTGGATCACCTGAGGTCAGGAGATAAGAGACCAGCCTGGCCAACATGGTGAAACTCCAACTTACTAAAAATACAAAAATTAGCTGGGCGTGGTGGCACTTGCCTGTAATCCCAGCTACTCAGGAGGCTGAGGCAGGAGAATCGCTTAAACCCGGGAGGCGGATGTTGCGGTGAACCGAGATCCTGCCACTGCACTCCAACCTGGGCAACAAGAGCTAGACTCCATCTCAAAAAAAAACCAAAAACACAAAAACAAAACAAAACAAAACAAAACAAAACAAACAAAACAAAACTTCATCTTATTGACCATTTTCATAAAATTAAATAGCATATGTACAGTATAACTAATTTTATTTTTGAGTTCATCTTTATAAATGAGTGATCATGTTATTTAGAGCCCTTTAATCATGTCGGTACTGCAGGTAGGAGACTTCCTAACATAGCATCAATTTTCTTGGAATGGAGTGCCTCATATATCTATAAAATGAAAACTTATTCTTTCCCAAGAATATCTTTAAGATGTCTTCACTTTGCAGGTAAGGGTTTGATTCTTTCTCAAACCATTTTCTAGGCCTGCACTATATTCTTTTCAACTGTCTGACAATTCATCTAATTTGGGACTGTTGGTCTATCTTTTTTGTTTTCCCAAATTAAGTAAACAGTAAATAGAAGCAGAAGTAAATTCAAACCTAGGACTGCTTTTAGGCTGTCCGCGGGATATAAACAGCTAGATGGAAATGATAAACCTTTCAGTCCCCAACTGAGAGTGGTGGCTCAGAGAGTAATATATTAAGTGAACTAAGAGAAGGCATAACGAAATGCTGTGGATGTGCAGAGGAGATCTTAATTCAGCTCGGGGCACTCAGAGAATGCTTCAGAGAAGTGGCAATTTAGCTGAGCCTTTAAGGAAGAGTTTTCCAAGAGGGCCAGAGGAAAAGTGTATTCCAGGGAGAGGAGAGAATGTTAAAACAGGGCAGGCACAGTGGAATGAAAGTTTATGTTATGTTCACAAAAGAGCAAGTAATTCAGGCTCTGTGAATAGGCAGTGTATGTTGGGGCCAAGTTGACAGGGACTAAGTGATAGTTAGGGTCAGATGATCGAGCATAGACTATGTTAAGGAATGTAGAGCTTATCCTGAGAGTGATGGAAAGCCATGGGAGCATTTCATGCAAGGGCTTGAAAGGACAAAGTTTGTGGTTTAGAACAGGGGTCAGGAAACATTTTTTTCTGTAAAGAGCCAGATGGTAAACATTTTAGGATTTGGTAGGCCACATGTGGTCTTCACTGCATATGCCTCATTTTCTTCTTTGCTTCACCTCCTCCTCCACCTTTGCCTTCTCTTCTTCCTCCTTTCTGTCCTCCTCCTCCTTTTTCCTTTACGATCCTTTAAATAGGGAAAAACTAATCTTATCTCAACGGCCATATGAAAACAGGAAAAGGGCTGGATTTTGACATTGGGCTGCAGTTTGCGGGCCTCCACTTTATAAGATAGTGGTTCAAAAGTTTGAAGTAATCGTAGACATTGTTCGATTTATGTCTCCTTGGACCTTTAGGGCTTGGGGTGGGGAAGAGTGTGATTCTAGATCTGCCTGGCAGTGCTTTCCCTGCATAAGCCTGGACAGAGAGTAGGTTAGGGCACTGCATCCCTAACCCTGTCCCCATTCTTTGGGGACATGGGTAACTGAGATAACTCTTAGAGCAAAGGCAGCATCCTTAAGGTTTGCAGCCAACTCCAGAGTCAATACAAAGGTAGGCTGAGACTACACAAAATGGTTTAAAGACTGCAGAAGGAAAGAAAAAATGAGGCTCCGGGCTTGGGTTTACGGGAACTCCATGAGTTATGAAGTTTTTTATATGAAACCCATGGCCTAGGTGTGGGTAAGCTGGAAGCAGTTAACAGGATAGATGCAGAACAAACAGTTGCAGACTGTTCAATGTCCAGTTGCCTAGAATCACATATAAAACCATGTTTAAGAAAAGTTTTGTTTTTTTTTTTTTTGAGGCGGAGTCTTGCTCTGTCGCCCCGGCTGGAGTGCAGTGGCGCGATCTCGGCTCACTGCAAGCTCCGCCTCCCGGGTTCACGCCATTCTCCTGCCTCAGCCTGCGGAGTAGCTGGGACTACAGGCGCCCGCTACCACGCCCGACTAATTTTGTTTTTGTATTTTTAGTAGAGATGGGGTTTCACCGTGTTAGCCAGGATGGTCTCGATCTCCTGACCTTGTGATCCGCCTGCCTCGGCCTCCCAAAGTGCTGGGATTACAGGCGTGAGCCACAAGAAAAGTATTTTAAAACTCTTTCTTGTTTTTTTTTAATTTTAATTTTAGGTTTGTGGGTAAATGTGAAGGTTTGTTACACAGATAAACACGGCACAGGGGTTTGTTGTACATATTATTACATCACCCAGGTAGTAAGCTCAGTACCCAATAGTTATCTTTGCTGCTCCTTTCCCTCCTCCCATCCTCCTCCCTCAAGTAGACATCAGTGTCTGGAGTTTCCTTCTCTATATTCCTTAGTTCTTATTGTTTAGCTCCCCGCTTATAATTGAGAACACACAGTGTCTGGTTTTCTGTTCCTACATTACTTCTCTTAGAATGATAGCCTCCAGCTCCATCCGTGTTCCCGCAAAAGACATGATCATGTTCATTTTTATGGCTGCATAATATTCCACAATACACATGTACCACGTTTTCTTTGTCCAGTCTGTCATTGATGGGCATTTAGTTTGATCCCATGTCTTTGCTGTTGTGAACAGTGCTGCAATGAACATTCACATGCATGTGTCTTTACATAGAATGATTTATATTTATCTGGGTATATAACCAGTAAGGGATTGCTGGGTCAAGGGGTAGTTCTGCTTTTAGCTGTTCGAGGAATCATGCTACTGAATTCCACAATGGCTGAACTAATTTACAATCCCACCAATAGTGTATAAGTGTTCCCTTTTCTCTGAGACCTTGCCAGCATCTGTTATTTTTTGACTTTTAATAGTAGCCATTCTGACTGGTGTGAGATGGTATCTCATTGTGATTTTGATTTGCATTTCTCTAACGATCAGTGATATTGATCTTTTTTCATAGACTTGTTGGCTGCATGTATGTCTTCTTTATAAAAGTGTCTGTTCATGTCCTTTGCCCACTTTTGAATGGGGTTGTTTTTTTCTCTTATAAACTTGTTTAAATTTCTTGTAGACGCTGGATATTAGACCTCTGTCAGATGCATAGTTTGAAAATATTTTCTCCCATTCTGTAGATTGACAGTTTACTCTGTTTATAGTTTCTTTTGCTGTGCAGAATCTCTTAAGTTTTATTAGATTCTATTTGTCAATTTTTGCTTTTGTTGTGATTGCTTTTGGTGTCTTTGTCATGAAATATTTGCCCATACCTAGGACCAAGATGGTATTGCCTAGGTTGTCTTCCAGGGTTTTTATAATTTTGGGTTTTACATTTAAGTCTTTAATCCATTTTGAGTTGATTTTTGTATATGGTGTAAGGAAGGGGTCCAGCTTCAGTCTTCTGCATATGGCTAGCCAGTTATCCCAGCACTATTTATTACACAGGGAGTCTTTTCATCATTGCTTGTTTTTGTCAGCTTTGTCAAAGATCAGATGACTGTAGATGTGTCGCCTTATTTCTGGGCTCTCTATTCTGTTCCATTAGTCTATGTGCCTGTTTTTGTACCATTACCATGCTGTTTTGGTCACAGTAGCCCTCATCCCCGGGAAACATATATCTTTTAAGGTTCGATTGCCAAATTAAACATTTACGATTTACCTTTCATACTTCCTCCTCTGAACTTAAATTTCTCAACTAGTCTTCTGCTATGACTTTTGAGGTTTTATATGCAATTGATCGCATTATCACTTTCTGGGAGTTTTTGAGAACTCAGAAACCATGACAAATTCTCTGAGGGGAAAAATGCAAGTTTATAAATTCATGGATTAAGCAATTTAGTCCCTTTTATGACAAAGAGACCTTTGGTTTTCATGCATGATGTGATAGAAAAAGATAACAGAAGAATGTCATTCAATGTTAATCTGCACATTTCATTTTTACCCTAATTGTGTGCAAATGAAAAGGGCCTCTAAACATTCCAAAGGGCTTTTCACTACTCATTAACCACATATAAATGCATGGACAGTGGTTTGCCCCAGAAAATTGCCTTGAAGGTGATTTGAATGTATAGCTTCTGATTAAAGGGCAGACCTCTTCTCCTGGCCTCATCAGTTCTTTGACTCTCTGTTGTTACAATTGCTGATAATTTTGGAATTTATTACAAGCTACGATGAGGTTTAGATCATAGTCTGGGCACCAGGGTCAAAGTAAAAAGAGTACTGCCATGTGGTTCAGTGTGTGTGACCTCAAACCACATTTAAGTGGTACAGCCCGAGCCCTTCAGAGATCAGATTACAGAGAGCTCCGCTTTGTCCCCACACATGTGCCCTTTTCTTCAGCTTCATCAAACTAATGGGGACCTTCAAATGTTTTAGCTTTTTATTTTTTGTTTTGCCTCTAATCATTGTGTCTTCTCTCATTCTGAAACTTTTTTTTCCTTAAAATTTATATAAACAATTTTTGGGTATTCTTATAGTTTGTAAAATCTATATTGATATTCAAAAGTAAATTACATATATGATACATAGAAAATGTGTATTCTTTGTGTAATATGTTTAAACAACACAGAAATATACAGAGCCAAAGGTGAAATTGCCTCTTTATCAATGCTACTCTGTCTCATACATACATTTTTTTGAGATCTTCAGTTATTTTATAGTACTATGTAGCACATTTAAAAAAATGCGTAAGTACTAAAAATAAATAGGTATCTATACTTTTTGGATTTTCTTTGCGGTCTAACCTTCTAGGTTTGCACTCCTAAATATATACTTTAGTTTAAACAGATTTTGCACTTTTTTTAAATAGAACAGTGTATAATGTGTCTTGCTTTATTCGCCCTCCATTTGGTTTGTGAAATGATTCATTAATGTTTATATGTGGCTATAGATTGTGTAGTATTCTACTGTGTGCATAAAGAAAAAGAAGGAAAGGAGAGTAGGAGAGGGAAAAGGAAGAAGGGCAAGGGAAGGAAAGGGTGCAATTAATATTTGAATATTGATTTTTTCCCACAAATTTGCTACACTCTCATTAATCCTAATAATTTATCTGTAGATTTGTTAGGATTCTCTAAACACAAAAATGTTACACATTTTTTTTTCTACACTCTTCATTCCTCATTTCCTTTTGATTGCTTTCCGAACTGGCTAGAACATCCAGTATAATGTTGAGTATAGCTGATAACACCAGGCATCTTTGTCTTAATCCTGTTCTCAAAGGGGAAGCAGTTCAACCTTTCACGGATAAGTGTATATTTACTTTGGTTGTTTGCACATCCGTTTGTCAGACTATGAGGATTTTTCTTACACTCTCAATTTCTTAACATCGTTACTGTTTTTTAAAATAACAAATTGATGTTGAATTCTACCAAATGTTAAAAGGCGATTGAAATCATGGTTTTTAAATCTGTTTATCTGGTAATATTTTGATTTACATTATTTGAGCCTCTAATGATAGAATAACTGTGCATTTATGTGATAAAGTCAATTCAGTTACAGTGTATTTTCCTTTGTATATATTGCTTTATTCACTTTGGTAATACTTTGCTTATGATTTTTATATTGTGTTGAGTGAAACTGACGATGGATCCTCCTACCTCAGCCTTCCGATTAGCTGAGATTACAGGGGTGTGTCACAACAACTGGCCAAGTTTTAAATGTTTTGTACAGAAGTGGTTTCACTATGTTGCCCAGGCTGGTCTCAAATTCCTGACCTCAAGTGATCTCACCTTGGCCTCCCAAAGTGCTGGGATTACAGGCATGAAGCACCATGCCCAGAGTGATCCTTAATTTAATTTTTATATTTTACTTACTTCTGCTGTTAACTTTATTATTATTATATTTTTATGTCCACATTCTTTGAGCTTATTTTGCTGTTCTTTTTCTTATACACTGTTTCCCAAAGTAGTTGTACCATTTTAAATTTCAACTAACAACGCACAATGTTTCAATTTTCTCACATCCCCACCAATACTTAAGATCTGTATTTTTGTTATAGCCATCCTAGTGGATAGGAAGTTTGTGGTATTGATTTGCATTTCGCTGATGGCAAATGATGTCAAGCACTTTTTGTGTGCTTTATGGACCATTTTTATATCATTTTAGAGACATGTCTCTTCAAATCATTTGCCCATTTAAAAAATGGGTTATTTGTCTTTTGACTATTGAGTTGCAAAATTTTAGAATATATTCTAGATACTAGTCTCTTATAAGGTATATGATTAGAATTATTTTTCATATCCTGCGGGTTTTCTTTTCTTTCTTGATGGTATCTTTTAATGTACAAAACCTTTTTATTTTGATGAAGTTTCACTTATGTATTTGTTCTTTGGTTGCTTGTACTTTAGTCGTCATATCTAATAAGTCATTGCCTAATCAGCATCATGAACATTTACACTAATATTTTCTTCAAAGTGTTTTATACTTTTGGCTATTACATATAGGTCCCTTCTATCCGTTTCAAGTTAATTTTGTTTATACTGTGAAGTAGGGGTTTAAATTTGTTCTTTTCCTTGGTCATTACAAAGGTGTTCCCAGAATTAAAAAGAGTCAACATAGCCCCCACCTCTCAACGGCAGAGTGTGAACCTCATGTTGTAAGAGGAACATGCAGGATGAGGTCATTATTGGTGCTGTCATTTTTGTAAAATACAATCTATCCTACCTGGCCTCTTTGAATAGTCCGAGAGCTGGTCCAGGAATAGCAACTGTAATCAAAATTGTATCTATGTTCATTCTTTTGAAAATAATGTGTATACTTTTAATGAGACTCATAATGGAGTCCATTGGCCAATTTTTTTAAAACTTAAAATGTAAAAGCTTTAAGATTTAAATGACTGGTAATTCTATGGCAACTCTTTGAATAGTGAGGATTGCATAATGAAGGTGATTCCAATACTGATCTGTAAGAATAAAGGCTTTCAAGTGGATTTTCAGGCCTCAGCTATTTGGGTATAGATTGCTGGTAAAACAGAGCAGGTGAGCCCCTTGCTCTCTCCCCCTCATATCAACAACAGGTAGGTTATTATTAACAACGTGGTATGCACACGTCATAGCTCAGATTTTGCCTAATTCACACTTTAACACATTTTACTGTTAAATCCCTAAACTGTCTATCATCCATCAAATTTTGAATGGATGTAAAACATCCAGAAAATCAGTACTGTATTATATATTTTGAGTCCTTTCCTAGTGGTGCTTCCAGTCAAACATCAGCTCAACTTGAGTAGTGTTGCAATTCTTAGTGAATATCAAGTTTTATTGTATAGTTATTTGAATTTTTATATTTATTTTATACTGTCTGTATAGCTAATACCATGAGAGGAAACATGTAGCTAATAACATGAGAGGAAAACAGAAAATCATACATGCTGTTGCACAGGTCTCATAACCTTAATACAGGCATAACTTGGAGATATTGCAGGTTCAGTCCCAGACCACCACAATAAATATCAAAATTAAATGAGTAACACAAAAATTTCATTTTCCCGGTGGATATAAAAATTGTGTTTGCAGGGCCGGACACGGTGGCTCAAACCTGTAACTCCAGCACTTTGGGAGGCCAAAGCGGGTGGATCACCTGAGGTCGGGAGTTTGAGACCAGCCTGACCAACATGGAGAAACTCCGTCCCTACTGAAAATACAAAATTAGCTGGGCATGGTGGCTCATGCCTGTAATCCCAGCTACTTGAGAGGCTGAGGCAGGAGAATCGCTTGAACCCAGGAGGTGGAGGTTGAGGTGAGCCAAGATCACACCACTGCACTCCAGCCTGGGCAACAAGAGTGAAACTCTGTCTCAAAAAAAAAAAATTATGTTTGCATTACACTGTAGTCTGTTAGGTGTGCAAACGCATTATGTTTGTTCCATGTAGAGAGCACAGGCAGAATGGATTTAGCATAATTCTTAAGTGCCCTAAGATTTTTGGAATGATAAATAAGCCTTGGCTTCCGTTTAAAGTCAGAAGCTGTATTAACTCCTATCAGGAAAGTCATCCTGTCCTTTGAAGTGGTGAAGGCAGGTATTGACTTCTCCTGTTTAACTATTAAAGTCCCAGATGGCATCTTCTTCTAATAGAAGGCTGTTTTGTTTCTATTGAGAATATTTTGTTTCGTGTAGTCACATTCATCATTTATCTTAGCGAGATTTTTAGGATAACTTACTGCCCAACTTTTATCAGAACTTGCTGCTTTTTCGTTATGGAGACAGCTTCTTTTCTTACACCTCATGCTGGCTTCAGACTTTTCCTCTGCACCTTTCTCACCTATCTCAGCCTTCATAGACTTGAAGAGAGTAAGGGCTTTGCTCTGCATTAGGCTTTGGCTTAAGGGAGTCATGTGGCTGGTTTGATTTTCTGTACAGACCACTAAAACTTTCTCCATATCAGCGAAACTGGAATAGTGCTTTTAGTGTCTTTCAAGAACTTTTCCTTTGCATTCACAACTTGGATAATTGTTTGGCACAGGAGGCCTAACTTTCAGCCTATCTAAGCTTTTGGTAAGCCTTGCCCACTAAACTTAATCATTTCTAGCTTTTGATTTAAAATGGGAGACATGTGACTCCTCCTTTTACCTGAACACTTAGAGGCCATTGTGGAGTTATTAGCTGGCCTAATTTCAATATTGTTATGTCTCAGGGAATGGGGAGGTCAGAGGAGGGGGAAAGAGATGAAGTGGAGCAGTGAGAACACTCAGAAAATGTATCTATTAAGTTTGCCATCTTATATGGCCATGGTTTGTGGTACCCTGAAACAATTACAATGGTAAAATTAAGGATCATTGATCACATATCACCCTAACTGTTATAACACTAATGAAAAAGTTTAAAATATTGCAAGGATTACCAAAATGTGACACAGCGACACAAAGTGAGCACATGCTGTTGGAAAAATGGTGCCGATAGACTTTCTCAACGCAGGATTGCCACAAACTTTTAATTTGTAAAATAAAAAATGCAATATCTTCAAAGCTAAATAAAAGTAAAAAGCAATAAAATCAGATTTGCCTGTATAATTGAGGGAGAAAAAGTTAGTCTCTCAAATGATACGAATTGTTAGCTTTATTTAGATGTTGTTCTAATAGCTTTATATTCAAATCTGAAGGAAAAGAGCTGAATTAAGGGAATTCATGAGACGATAAAGGTGCATTACAATCAGTATTTTGTGGCATCTGGACTTGTTGAGATAATAAACATAAAATAATTTTTAATTTTTTCTCTAGGCATTGCCTTCAACCACACTTATTGAATCTCCGTTTCTCGTCATTTAATGAAGTCCTGGACAGATTACATAACTCTCTGGTCACTTTTTGTTATTAAAATTAAATCTATTGTATGATTTTTGTGTCTCAATTTCCCTCACTTCAGCTCCAAATTTTTTTTTTTTTTTTGTCTTTTACTAGCTTGCAGTTAGCTCTTGTTGCTCTAGTTCCTCTAGGTGGGATGTTAGGTTGTTAATTTGAGATCTTCCTAACTTTTTGATGTGGGCATTTAGTGCTGTAAAATTCCCTCTTAACACTGCTTTGGCTATGTCCTAGAGATTATGGTATGTTGTATATTTTTTCTCATTAATTTCAAAGAATTTATTGATTTCTGCCTTAATTTTATTATTTACCCCAAAGTCATTCAGGAGCAGGTTGTTTAATTTCCATTAAGTTGTATGCTTTTGAGCAATTTCCTTAGCATTGATTTCTATTTTTATTGCAATACGGTCCAAGAGTATGGCTAGTATGATTTCTGGTTTTTGAATTTGCTGAGGACTGTTTCATGCCCAATTGTGTGGTGGATTTTAGAGTCCATGCCATTTGGTGATGAGAACAATGTATATCCTGTTGTTTTGGGGTGGAAAGTTCTGTAGATGTCTATTAGGTCCATTTGGTCAAGTGTTGAGTTAAGGTCCCAAATATCTTTGTTAATTTTCTGCCTCAATGATCTATCTAATATTGTCACTGGGGTGTTAAAGTCTCCCACTATTACTGTGTGGTTCTAAGTCTTTTTGTAGGTCTCTAAGAACTTGCTTTATGAACCTGGGTGCTCCTGTCTTGAGTGAGTATGTAAGTAAGGTAGTTAGGTCTTCATGTTGAACTGAGCCCTTTACTGTCTTTTTGGATCTTTGGTAGTTTAAAGTCTGTTTTGGTTTTCCACCTATCGCTAACTACTATTTTAATAGTTTCCTCTTAACAAACCTCTTAAATGAAGCATATTCTTTAGGCGTAGTTCTTATATCTCTATTTTTATCCTTAAATTTCTGTCCCTGAAACCTCTTCTACTTCCGTATTGTTTATAACATCCTGATGAACATTTCTCAAGTCATGATTTTGTTATGCCTGACCATCTTTACACTGTCCGATGGCTGGTTACCAAGACGTTAGATTACCAGTTACTAGTAGAACATGAAATCTTGCACATCATCATCTTTTCCCATATTTGCTCTAACTTCTCATTTCCTTAACTATCTGTTAGTGCTAATATTATTGTTTGTATGAAATTTATCTTTGACTTTTTCCTTGCTTCTCACACCCAGATCTGTCAGTTTCTCTTTCTTGCTGCAGTACACCAGACACCCTTACCATTACCAAATAAGAGATCTCCTCATATCCAGATGTACCCAGTCCCACCATTCAATTAATGAATTCTGGATTTCTGAAAGAAATCTATTTTCGTCTTTATTTTTCCCAATTATATATGTAATAAATATTCATTATTGTAAACTTATTCATTATTTTTTACTACGACAGTGAAATGTAAAAATAGTAAGAATTGCATCCCCACTGTTAATATTCTGATGTGTAACACACACACACACACACACACACACACTTACTTTAAAGCAAATCTAGGATAATACTGTATATTCTGGTTTACATTTTGCTTTTTTTTTCCTGCTTAATCTTATGAATATCTCCCAATGTCTTTAAATGATTCTCCATAAAAAACCTTTTAACAGCCATATCACACTTACTTTTTGGTCAAACTCTATTTGTATATTCACCCCAATCATTCTTTGTGCCATTTCAGATGTTTCTAAATTTCTTCACTCGTGAATAACTCTTGGATCAATGTTTAAACAATATTTCAACAATGCTTATGCTCATCTCTGATCATTTCTTTGGGGTAAATGCCTACGGATAGAAATCATCTCAACTACCTTGTACCTTTCAGGTTTGTTGAAATATGATGTCAAATTTACCTTAAGAATGATTGAATCTCTTTTTCAATCTTTTAATGCTCCCGTGAGAATAACAAAAATATACCCAGTTTCCTATAACCTCACTAATAAAAATTAAAACTGATACAAACAAAAAACATCCCTCACTAAAAAATTAAAACTGATAGCAGCTTCTGCTTTTTTTTCCTGTTTTTGTTTGTTCGTTTGTTTGCTTCATAGATTTTTTCCATCTCTTTACTTTGAGTCTATGGGTATCATTGCATGTGAGATGGGTGTCTTGAAGACAGCGTACTGTCAGGTTTTGGTTTTTTATCCAACTTGCCACTTTGTGCCTTTTAATTGGGGCATTTAGCTCATTTACACTCAAGGTGAGTATTGATGTGAATTTGATCCTGTTACCATGTTATTAGCTGATTATTATGCAGACATGTTTGTGTGGCTGCTGTATAGCATAACAGGTCTGTGTACTTGATTGTGTTTTTGTAGTAACCAGTAACAGTTTTTCCTTTTGGTATTCAGCACTCCCTTCAGGATCTCTTGTGAGGCACTGTAAGGCAGGTCTGGTAGTAATGAATTCCCTTAGCATTTGCTTGTATGTATGAAAAGAATCTTTTTTTTTTTTTTGAGATGGAGTTTCACTCTTGTTGCCCAGGCTGGAGTGCAGTGGTATGATCTTGGCTCACTGAAACCTCTGCCTCCCAGGTTCAAGCGATTCTCCTGCCTCAGCCTCCCAAGTAGCTGGGATTACAGGCATGCACCACCACGCCCAGCTAATTTTGTATTTTTAGTAGAGGCAGGGTTTCTCCATGTTGGTCAGGCTGGTCTGGAACTCCTGACCCCGGGTGATCCACTTGCCTTGGCCTCCCAAAGTGCCAGGATTACATGCATTAGCCAATGTGCCCCACTAGGATTTTATTTGTTATTTGCTTATGTAGCTTAGTTTGGCCGAATATGAAAATCTTCGTTGAAAATTGTTTTCTTGGCCGGGCGCGGTGGCTCACGCCTGTAATCCCAGCACTTTGGGAGGCCAAGGTGGGAGGATCATGAGGTCAGGAGATCGAGACCATTCTGGCTAACACAGTGAAACCCCATCTCTACTAAAAATACAAAAAATTAGCCTGGCATGTTGGTGGGCACCTGTAGTCCCAGCTACTCGGGAGGCTGAGGCAGGAGAATGGCAAGAACCCGGGAGGTGGAGCTTGCAGTGAGCCAAATCCAGCCACTGCACTCCAACCTGGGTGACAGAGTGAGACTCTGTCTCAGGAAAAAAAAAAAAAAAAAGAAAAAAAAGAAAAGAAAATTGTTCTTTTTTTTTTTTTTAAAGAATGTTGAATATAGGCACCCAATCTCTTCTGGCTTGTAGGGTTTCTGCTGACAGGTATCTTGTTAGCCTGATGAGATTCTCTTAGTAGGTGATCTGTCCCTTCTCTCTTGCTGCATTTAACTTTTTTTTTTTTTTCACTTCGGTCTTGGAGAATCTGATGATCATGTGTCTGTTTTTTATATATTTTTTTTGTTTCTATAGGTTATTGGGAAACAGGTGGTGTTTGGTTACATGACAAATTTCTTTAGTGGTGATTTGTGAGATTTTGGTGCCCCCATCACTCAAGCAGTATACTTCCCCCTGAATCCCCAAAGTTTTCTTTCTTTTCCTTTCCCTTCATCACAAGCTTAAACTGGAATGCTGTTAGTTTAGATGTGGCAGGGCAGGATCTGAGGTAGATACTTCTTCTGTCCTAATTTTTCAAGACCTAATTCTTTCAGGGTGTTGAGGAGGACAGACAGTGGAGCAAATGAACGTATTAACAGGTCTCTCTTTACTTCTTGGCTGTGATGATTTTTGTTGCTGTTTGTATTGCTTCTTTTCTGTTAACTCGTCTTGGCCATCAGGTTTCTCTGCAAAAAAGGAATCAAAGTGCTGCCTCCCTTTTTGGCTCATGTTTTAGATTTTCAGAAGCTCCCTGGATTTATTTAGTTGTATAGTTCCCTAGTGTGGTGGATGTGGAAGTGGGTCACAAGGTGTGCAGTACTGCCCTGCCACTCAGGGAGCCTATTAAAATGTGTGAAGGGATATTGATTGTCTTGGAGTGACTGAAACAGCATTTAATTTCCAGGAGTAAGAGATATTAAACGTCCTGCAGTGCATGGGCAGTCCCTGGGGAATAGTGATATCCCAATGCCAGTATCTTCCCTTCACTGAGAAACATTGTTGAAATACTGAAATACGTCTTTATTCATTGGCAAATAGCCAATAACTTTATATCACCTCTCTCCCTCCGTCTCTCACATCAGTGCTCCTCTGAAGCCTCCCACTCAGCCTCTCAACTCTAAGATCCAGCAAATATGAAGGTCCTATCTGGCATAGCGAGAGGCCCCTAGTATCCTGATTCAGCACCAAGGCAAGAGTACACTCTGGTTGGGTGATACCTGCACACAAGTCCGCCTGCAACAATTGTTCTTGACTTTGATTATTTTGCTCTCTCTTCTGCAGTTTTTAAAAATATACTGATAAGTTAGAGGAAGGGAAAATGTGGGGATGATTGTTGGAGGTACTAGTACAATATGTGCTACCACTTGGTAATTTTAGTGAGTCCTTAGGAAAGTGTTGGGCCAAAATTTTCGACAGGTATCTTAAGAATATAGGTTTCTTAGAGCCTCTTTATCCTCAGCTGTAGACTGGAGGTTATCATTCTGGAGAATTAGGAAAAGTCTCACTCAGTATCCCATAACATTATAATAAAAAATTAAGTTTCAAAGTGAAAGGTGATTAAGAACTTTTAACATTTTTAAATTAGCTCTCTGGGAATATTGCCCAGTTTTCACAATTCTTCTTTAGTATGTGTCCCCTTACCCTCCCCCTGGGAATGCATTATGAACAAATACTGGTGACTAAATATAGAGAAAATAGGTCTGATGAGATTAAATCTATTAAATGTTTGCCTGTTAGACTCTGGGGTCCTTATTACTCTGTGGAATAGTGAGGTTGTACTAAACTGAAAGTTACTATATTGGTTTAAATTGTGCTTCTGCCACTAATGAATGGCATGTGGGATATGAATGAATTAGGAATATCAAGGATGAGTCTTGGGTTTCTGACTTTCACAGATAAATGAATGGTGGTGCCATTTTGAGATGGGGTTGCCAGAAGAGCATGTTGGGGAAAGAAGATCATGAGTTTAGTTTCAGACACGCTGAATTTGATATGCCTTTCAGGTACCCATGTAGACACGTTCAGGAGACAAATGGAGACTTGTTCTAGAATTCAGAAGAAATGTCTTAGCTGGAGTTATACATGTGGAAGCTATGTATATGTGGAATAGATAATAATTGAAGCCGTAGGACTAAATGGAATCATCAAGAAGAAGGTATAGTAAAGTATAAATGTATGTAGGACTGGATAACAAGAGACTAGCATTTTATGCTTAGGTAGAAAGAAACAATTCATTGCAGGAGCAGCAAAAGATATAAGAGAAAAAAGCAGGAGAGGAGATGGTTAGTTAACTTCCTATTTTTACGTACTCTTCTTTTTTTCTCACATATGTTGATGCATTACTTGACATCCTTATCTGTCTTATTGCCCACACTTAACAGCAAGCTTATTCTCTTCTTTAGATGGATATCAGTGCACTCGTTGCTGTTTTTTTATCTGTACTTTTCTCATGTGAAAAATCTGTAATAATTTTTCTACAATAACAAAAATATGTTTTCTCAAGCATGTGGTTCAATTGACTTGCTCAGAGAAAAAAAGAACCCTGCAAATTGTTGAAACTGCATCTTCCATCCTATACAACAGAAGGTTTTGTTACTGTTATTATTATTATTTGAGTTCTGCAGTTGTTGTACACTTTCTCAGCAAGATGGTCCAAACTTGAGAATACTCTTGCATTTACTTTATGGGGAAGGCAATTTGCATTTTCTTTTATGCGATTTAATGAACAGCTGTGGCAATGTGCAAAGTAAAAGAATGTTACCATTTATGATTCAAGCAGCAAAGCAGCAAACACCATCATCATTTGACCAGTTTGTTTTAGATCTATGACTACACATGTTCATCCTTGACCCTCTTACAGTAAGAATGCCATATTACTGATGGTAATATCAGATTGATTTCTTCCTCCAACACCTCCTCCTCCACCACCACACAGACACAGAGAGATATATATGGTTTTACTATTTAAAGGGTTTTCATATTCTTATTCAATTTGTTTAGAAAATTAAAATTGCCGATATACGTTAAATTGAAATGCCTAATAAATAGACTATCACTAAGTAGCAAGTCACTAGTATTCTTCTGTGATAAGTTCTCTTAATTCCATAATTCACAGCAGCCTTCTCTAGTTCCATACATTGAGTTTAATGGTCACGGTGCCAAACTGAACAACTTGTTAACTTTTATTTGTCTTTTATTTTAAGTTCATTGCAACTTCATTTAGCCCTGTAAGAACACATGCCAAAACACTGCCAGAGATTGACTAGTTAGATACCATGAAGATTAGTATTGCTGACTCAGGAAAACTCTTAGAAAAAATGTTCTTGAGTTTAAGCCTAAATTTAGCTTTTCAATAAGGTTAATAACCTAGGGTCAACAACTCAGGGAGTCCAGTCTGTTTCTTAAGAGGTAGAAAAATAGTCCTGCTCAAAGTATTAGGCAAGAATCTTACAGTTAAATTGCAAAATAAAAACTTTCATGAATATTCTTAGCAGTGTTGTATTTTACTCAAGAAAATAGTCAGTTGCCACTTGGCAGGTGAAGATACCTATAATGGTGTTCTCAGATCCAATCAGACATAAGCTGAGATAACATGTTCTAGTTCAATCATGCCATACATTCATCTTCATGTATCTGGGGTGGAAATGTGAGTGGTAGTGGGGATGCTTTTGAGGAAGAAAACACTATATTACTCCTATCAGTAGGATGATATTCTAACTGCAAGGGAGTAACGGCTGGAGAGCTATATGTTAGAGTCCTCTGCTTGCAAGCAAGCAAACAACAATAACAATAAAACAAAACAGAATTTTAGACAAACCCAAACTCTAAAAGGAAATTGTTGAAAGGATTCACAAATCACAGGAATAAAATTTTTACTTATGTTTCTTCTAAGAGTTTCACTTCCTTTATTTAGGTATTTTAACATTTTGAATTAATTTTTGTATAGACTGTGAGGTACCGGTCAAAATTCATTCTTTTGCATGTGGACATCTAGTTGTCTCAACACCGTATTTTAAAAATATTACCTTTTCATCATTGAATTTTCTTGGCACCCTTGTCTAAAATCTGTAGGAACAGAATGTAGATTAATGATTGTCAGGCACTAGAGAGAGGTGGTTGAAGGGAATGAGGGGTGAGTACCAAAGAAGGTAAGGTGTTTCTTTTGGGAGTGGTGAAAGTGTTCCAAAATTAGATTTTGGCAATGGTTGTGCAACTCTATGAAGGTACTAAAAACATTAAATTGTATGCCTTTAATGGGTGAACTGTAGTATATGAGAATTATATCTCCATAAAGTTGTTTAAAATATCAAAAGTAAAAAATTTGTTTAAACATCAAAGGAATAAGTGACCAATCTGGAAGTATAAAACCAGGATAATTCCAGGGATTGAATAGTGAGAAATAATTGGCAGTTTCTTAAGGGCCTTGCTGTCAGAGTGACTTCGGCATCAACAGTTTGTTTTAACCTTGTATCATTCAGTGCATAATTCAGCTTCTCAGGAGAAAAAGTCAGATTGGCCCAGCCAGAGACACATACCTATCCAAAGGGAGGTTCAATCATAAAGGCAGTGGGTGGATTACCTGATTGTCAATATTAACAAGACCACATGGAATAATAATAGGCAAGTCTTGCATACAGACTCATCTATTTTTTATAGTCACTATATAATGTACTTATATATATACATATATATATTGATTTATTTAATTTTCAAAATCACCCTGTTGAGTCACTATTAGTATTACGCTCCATTTATACAGAAATGAGAACTGAGGCTCAGCAAGCTCCTAAAACTTACCCAAGGTCACAGCTAGTAAGTGAACTGTGATTCAGATCCAGGCACTTTCATTCTAAATCCCTTGGTTTAAACCACTATGCTACAGAATCTCTCCCTAAAAGTAAAAGTTTCAAGCACTGACATATTTTTACATGTAACCCTCTTACTATCCTGGGATTAGTGTGTTTATTAAAGGAAAGGTGATTTTACTGAAAGAAGAGGATGCAATGCAGAGCTGGCAGAAACAAAAAATGACCACTATAGGAAAAAAGTAAATTAATAATTCTTAAGCCCATGCTGCATTACAGCATTTTCTCATGTAATGTTCATCTTATAGTGTTATCAGTGTGTGTCCTGTGGATCCTTTCTTCACCCTTGTTTTCCTGGTACCCCAGGGGGCTGATTTGTATAGGCTGCAACAGCTTGGTTCTCTTTCCCTTTGGCTTCTGCTGGATTCAGAAAAAGTCTCAGGAGATTGTAGCAAGGGAGGAGAGAAAGGGCAGGAAACTGTTCTCCTGGCTTCCTCCCATATGGTCACCAAGAACTTGTGGGTGCCCATCAACTAAAGCTTCCAGCTCCACTTCGGCAGCCTTATCCTATCCACAGTGAAAGACAATTTCTTTGGGTTCTTGTAACTCCTTTTCTTTGATCCTTCCAGCTGAGGAGTGATAATGGTTCCTCATTATTGATCAGAAGCCATGCTGGTTTCCCATGTCTTATAAATAATATCTTCACTGAAACTTCCCGATCACTCCTTTTTAGTGTGAATCATACTAGGACTCTGAATGGCATGCATAGAAATCCTAAAGCCAATAAAATTATATTGGTTTGGTTGCTGAAGAACTGAGGCTAAGACAATTAAATAAATTGCTCAGTAAGTGAGAGAGCTAGAAATCAAATAAAAGTCTTTTTTAACTTTCATGTCTTGACTCTTTCTTCTAAGGGGAGCTTGTTCCACAAGCTACATCCTATTAACAATATTAATTATATCCATAGGAAACCTGGAAACCTGAATGAAAAGGGGATGTATTTCAGAATAGATGTAAATGGGTATAACTGATTTTAAAATTGAGTTGAACCTCCCTTCAAACATACCATAGATATATCAGAAGGTTTCAGGTGTAGTGTGATGGCTAGGAATGCAAAATCTAAAGTCCCTGACTGGCTCTCCATCTCTTATCACTGTATAGCTTTGGGCAAGTTACTTAAATTGCCTTCACCTTAGTTTCCTCAATTATAACATTAGCATAATAATTATGTTAGCTTCATAGAATCATGATGAAGATTTTAAAAAGTAATATATGTAAAGACCTTAGAACAGTGTGTGGTTCGTGGTAAGAGTCAATAAATGTCTTATTTGTTTATGACACTGATCTCACAAAAAAATCTTCCTACTTTTTAGAGATTGGATTATGATGAGCAGTTTCTCTGGGAGATTCTGTAGGTAACCTGTTAGAAGAAAGTTAACCATTTTTTAGCGGCTAGTTTCATTCCACCTTTGGGATCCTTGATAAGAGATTACTTTTAGTAAAATTGTTAGGTGGGTAGGGGTGGTTTGACGGTAAAGATAGCTTCATTGACATATGCTTAGCAGATTGTGAATATAGAAATTCTTTTTACATTATGTATTTGTTTGGTTGTACTTTCCAACATTGCCCCCATGGTGAGCAGAGGCACTTCTATATATATATATTTGCAAGAGGAGCAGCTCTATGGGTGTATTAGAGTCAAGTTTATCTCCTTGGTCTGATGAGCATTTTGTTGAGTGGTCCTAGATTTCCAATGACAGAAATAGAAAAGAAAGTAACTGATTGGGAGTTACTGGATCTAGGTTCTAAGTGAGCTGTTTCAACATGTGCCCCTATAACCTTGGCCAAGTTGCTAACACACTTTCAAATTTAAGTACCTCATCTGTAAAAAACAGAAGTTAGACTAAATAATTGATAAAGTCTTTTTATCTCCTGAAATACTCTGGTAGTACTGTGGGAATTTTTATAAAAGTACCCAGCCTTCTCTTAGCCTCGTGTGAACACTCAAGGGCAAGGTAGAAGGAGCTCAAGCGGAGGTGTCAAATACATATGGCTTCAGCACTTAGTCTCTGTATAGCCATCCAAAAGTTATTTAATATTTAATAGCCTCAATTTATTCATTTGTTAAGGTAAGATATACTTCAAAGCTAATTGAAGATGATTGTAAGATGATCCAATTATCAGTTGTAAGATGATTAAATCATGTATTGTAAGATGATTATGCGAATGTATAAACGTTAGATTATGTTACATATTTACTACATGTCCTTAGTTAAAATAATTAAAAGTGTATAATACTGAGAGTGTACTGGGAATCGTTTGGTGGCCACACATAACCGCCAGAGTCAAATTGCAAACATTTTCCCTGTGCTTCTCAGATACTATGACTCTATCTGACCATTCTGTCGGCCCTGTCAACTGCTTCTAAAATGTTTTTTACCAGGAATCAATGGCACTACATAAGAAGTTACTGTGACTACCTAAACCACAGTCCAGGGTATTCTTCCAGACTCCTTTCTGCTATCTCTACATCCCATAAAAGTTTATCCATTTAGAGTCCAATCTTTACTTTCCTTACTCTTTGTTCTGGATTATTTCTTTCCTAAAAGTCAGGCTTATTAAGGCATAGTTTACCTTCAGTAAAATTCACCTATTGTTGGTGTATATAATTTGATGACCTTTGACAAATATCATGTAGCCACCACAGTTATGATAGAGAATATTTTCATCAGCCCCCAAATTTCCTTCATGTCTGTTAATTTCCTGCTATTCCCCTACTGGACTGTGACAACACTGAAAACTAGTTCCTATCACTATTGTTTTGACTTTTAAAAATATTATTAATATTATGTTTAACTGGCAAATCATAATTATTAATATATGCATCTAGGGGGCACAATGTGATGTTTGATATATGTATACAATGTGTCATGATTAAACAAGCTAGCACACCCATCACATCTCTTACCTATTATTTTTATGGTGAGATATTTTATGTTTACTTTGTTATTTTTCAAATATATAATACATTATTATTGACTATAATCACAGTGCTGTGCAATAGATTTCAAAACCTTTTCCTCCCGTCTACCTGAAACTTTGTACTCATTGGTCAAAAACTCCCCATTCTTTCCCTCCTGAAGCCCTCCCAAGCCTCTGATAACCATTGTTCCACACTCTATTTCTGTGAGTACAAATTTATTAGATTTCACATAGAAGTGAGATCATGTGATATTTATATTTCCGTGCCTGGATTATTTCACTTACTGTAATGCCCACTATATTCATCCATGTTGTCACAAATTACAGAAAAAAGGCTTACCATCGTTAATCATCAGAGAAATGCAAATTAAAACCACAATGAAATATGCTCTTACACCAGTCAGAGTGGTTATTATTGAAAAGTCAAAAAATAGCAGATGTTGGTGAGATCGTGGAGAAAAGGGAATGCTTATACACTGTTCATTGGACTGTGAATTGGCACAAGCTCTGTGGAAAACAGTATGCAGACTTTTCAATGAACTCATAATTGGACTACCCATTTGATTCAGTGATTTCACTATGGGGTACCTACCCAAAGGAAAATAAATCATTATTTAAAAAGATACCTGCACTCATCGGTTTATTGCAGCAGTATTCATGATAACATATTGAATCAACCTAAGTGTCCATCAGTGGATAATTGAATAAAGAAAATGTGGTGTATGTATACCTTGGAATACTATTCAGCCATAAAAAATAATGAAATCATGTCTTTTACAACAACATGGATGAAACTAGAAGCCTTTCTCCTAAATGAAATAACTCAGAAACAGAAAGTCAGATACCGTATCATCTAATTCATAAATAGTAGCTAAATAATGTGTGCACATGGACATAGAGAGTGAAATAATAAACATCAAAGACTTGGAAGGGTGGGATGGTGGGAGGGATGTTGATACAGTTTGGATATTTGTTCCTGACCAAATCTCATGTTGAAATGTAATCACTAGTGTTTGAGGTGTGGCCTGTTGAGATGTGTTTGGTCATGAGGACAGACCCCTTATGGCTTGACACTGTCCTTGCAATAGTGAGTGAGTACTCATGAGATCTGGTTGTTTAAGTGTGGGGCATCTTCCATCCCACTCTGTCTTGCTCCTGCTCCCAACACATGAGATGCCTGCTCCCCCTTTGCCTTCCACCATGAAAGAAAGCTTGCTGAGACCTCTTGAGAAGCAGATGCCAACACAATGCTTCCTGTACAACCTGTAGAAACATCGGCCAATTAAACTAATTTTCTTATAAACTATATAGTCTCAGGTATTTCTTTATGGCAATGCAAGAATGGCCAAATATGGAAAACTTATACTGAGGAGATGGGTGAGGCTATAAAGATACCTGAAAATGTGAAAGTGGCCTTGGAACTAGGTAACAGGCAGAAGTTGGAAGAGTTTGGAGGTCTCAGAAGAAAGTTTGGAATTTCATAGACACTGGTTAAATGGTTGTGACCAAAATTCTGATATTGATATGGACAGTGAAGTCCAGGCTGATGAGGTCTCAGATGTAAATGAGGAATTCATTGGGAATTGGAGCAAAAGTGACACATATTATGCCTTAGCAAAGAGCTTACCTGCTTTCTGTTCATGCTGTATGGATATGTGGAAGTTTGAACATCGGAGTGATGATTTAAGATATCTGACAGAAGAAATTTCTAAGCAGCAATGCATTCAAGATGTGGCCTGGCTGCTTTGAATGACCTAACTCACATGTGGAAGCAAAGGAATGAGTTAAAGTTGGAGCTTATATTTTAAAAGAAAGCAGAGCATAAAAGTTTGGAAAATTTGCAGCCTGTCCACATGTTGGAGAAAGAAAAAGTTTATTTAGGAGAGGAATTTAATCACTTTGTGGAGCAACCACTTGCTAGAGGAATTCACATAACTAAAAGGGAGCCAAGTGCTAATACCCAACAAAATGGGAAAAAGGCCTAGAAGTCATTTCAGAGACCTTTGCAGCATCCCCTCCCATCACAGGCCCTGAGGCCTAGGAGGAAAAAATGGTTTCAGGGACCAGACCTAGGGTAACACTGCCCTGTATAGCCTTAGGACACTGCTTCCCACATTCCAGCCACTCTGGCTTTAGTCTTCGCTCAAAGGGGCCCAGGTACTTCTCAGGCCACTGCTTCAGAGGGTGCGAACCATAAGCTTTTGTGTCTTCCACATGGTGCTAAGCCTGCAGGTGCACCGAGTGCAAGAGTGAATGAGGCTTGGTCGCCTCCTTCTAGATTTCAGAGGATGTATGAAAAAGCCTGGGTGTCCTGGGAAAGCGCTGCTGCAGGGGTAGAGCCCTCACAGAGAACTTCTACCAGGAGAGTGTGGAGGGGAAATGTGGGGTTGGAGGCCCCACATAGAGTCTCCGCTGGAGAACTGCCTAGTGGAGCTGTGAGAAGAAAACTACCATCCTTCAGACTCTAGAATGGGTAGATCCACTAGCAGCTTGCACCTTGGGCCTGGAAAAGCCACAGCCACTCTGCTCCAGCCCATAAGAGGAGCCTTGGGGGCTGTACTCTGCAGATACACAGGGGCTGAAACGGAGCTGCCTAAGACTTTGGGAGCCAGCCCCTTGCAGTAGTATGCCCTGGGTGTGAGACATGGACTCAAGGATTATTTTGGAGCTGTAAGATTTAATGGGTTTTGAATTGTCATAGTGTCTCTAGTCTCTTTCTTTAGGTTGATTTATCCCTTTGGGAATGTCAGTGGTTACCCAATGCCAGCACCTCCATTCTATCTTGGAAGTAAATAACTTGTTTTGATTTTACCGGCTTATAGGTGGAAGAAATTTGTCTCATCTCCAATGAAACTTTGGACTTTGGAGTTAATGAGAGAATGAGTTAAAATTTGGGGGAAAGTTGAAAAGTCATAATTATGTTTTGCAATGTAAGAAGGATGTGACATTTGGGAGGGGCCGGGGCAGAATGATATAGTTTGGACATATGTTCCCACCCCAATCTCATGATGAAATGTTATCCCCAATGTTGAATATCGGGCCTGGTGGGAGGGGTTTGGATCATGGGAGCAGATTACTTATGGTTTGATGTTGCCATTGCAATACCGAGTGAGTACTCATGAGATATGGCTGTTTTAATGTGTGGTACACTCCCTGCACTCTCTCTTGCTCTTGCTCTCACTATATGAGAAAGCTGCTCACCCTTCACCTTCTGTCATGATTGAAAGTTTCCTGACATGTCCCTAGAAGCAGATGTTGACACTATGCTTACTGTTCAGCCTGCAGAACCGTCAGCCAATTAAACCTATTTTCTTATAAGTTACCCAGTCTCAGGCATTTTTTATGGCAATGCAAGAATGGCCTAATACAGGGGTGATGGATGAGTAATTGTGTAATGGATACCACGTACGCTACTCAAGTGATGGCTACACTAAAAGCCCAGACTTCACCACTATTCAATACATCCATGCAACAAAACTGCATCCTAAATATATACAAATAAAAAGTAATTCCCTCCTGTTTTAAGGCTGAATAGTATTTTGTTGTGTATGTATATCACATTTTCTTTATTCATTCATCCATTGATGTACACTTAGGTTGTTTCCATATCTTGACTACTGCGAATAATGCTGCACTGGACATGGGAGTGCAGATATTACTGTGATGTATTGCTTTCCGTTTCTTTGAGTACATATCCAGAAGTGGAAGAACTGGGTCATAGGGTAGTTCTATTTTTAGGTGTTAGAGGAACTTCAATACCGTTTTCCATACTGAGTGTACTAATTTACAATCCACCAACAGTGTATGAGTTCCCTTTTCTCTGCATTCTTTCCAAAACATGTTATCTTTCATCTTTTGTATTAAAGCCGTTGTAACAGTGTGAAGAGATATTTCACTTTAGTTGTAATTTGCATTTCCCTAATGATTGGTAATTCTATGTATTTTAATGTGCTGATTTTCCATTTGTATGTCTTTTACAAAATATCCGTTTAGGTTCTTTGCCCACTTTTTAATGACATTATTTGTTTTCTTACTATTGAGTTTTTTGAGTTTCATATATATTTTGGGTATTAACCCCTTATCAGATGTATGGTCTGCAAATATTTCTCCCATTCTGTGGGTTGTCCTTCCATTTGGTTAATTGTCTTTTTGCTGTGCAGAAGCATTTCAGTTTGATGCCATTCTATTGGTCTACTTTTGTTTTCATTGCTTGTTTTCAGGATTATATCCAAACAATCATGGCTAAGAGCAAGGTCATGGAGCTATGTCTTTTTTTTCCCCCCTGAGACAGAGTTTCACTCTTATTGCCCAGGCTGGAGTGCAATGGCACGATCTTGGCTCACTGTAACCTCCGCCTCCTGGGTTCAAGCAGTTCTCCTGCCTCAGCCTCCCAAGTAGCTGAGATTACAGGCACCCGCCACCAAGCCCAGCTAATTTTTTGTGTTTTTAGTAGAGACGGGGTTTCATCCCGTTGGCCAGGCTGGTCTTGAACTCCTGACCTCAGGCGATACACCTGCCTCAGCCTCGAAAAGTGCTGGGATTACAGACATGAGCCACCATCCCCGGCCAGAGCTATTTCTTTACGCTTTTTAAGAAGCAGTTTTAGAGTTTCAGGTATTCTATTTAAGTATTTATTTTTTATGGCTGCATAGTATTTCATGGTGTGTATGTACTTTCTTTATTCAGTGTATCATTGATGGGTATTTACATTGATTCCATGTCTTTGATATTGTGAATAGTGTTGCAATGAACATGCACATTTGTATCTTTATAATAGAGTGATTTATATTGCTTTGGGTGTATACCCAATAATAAGATTGCTGGATTGAATGGTATTTCTGTCTTTATGTCTTTGATCATGTACTTTTCAGGGACATGGATAGAGCTGGAGGCAATTACTCTTAGCAAACTAAAGCAGGAACAGTAAACCAAATACAGCATGTTCTCACCTGTAAGTAGGAGCTAAATGATGAGAATACATGGACACATAGAGGGGAACAAAGAACACTGGGGTCTACCGGGGCATGGAAGATAAGAGAAGGGAAAGGATCAGGAAAGCTAACTAACTAATGGATACTAGACTTAATACCTGGGTGATAAAATAATCTGTATAACTATCCCCTATCACAAATGTTTACTATGTAACAAACATGCACAGTCTGCAAATACACCCCTGAATTTATATGTTTAAAAAGTCTTCAATTCATTTTTTATTTAATTTTATATATGGTGTGAGAAAAGGGTCTAATTTCATTACACTGCATGTGTATATCCAGTTTTCTCAGTACCATTTATTGAAGAGGCTCTTCTTTCCCCATTGTATGTTCCTGGTACCTTTGTCAAAATCAGTTGACCATAAATAGTTTAGTTTATTTTGGGGGTTTTCTATTTTGTTCCATTTGTCTGTCTATCTGTCTGTCTGTCTGTCTTTGTGCCAGTACCATGCTGCATTGTTTATTGTAGGTTTGTAATATATATTAAAATCAGGGAGTGTGTTGCCTTTGGCATTGTTCTTTTTGCCCAAGATTGTTTTGGCTATGTAGAGTCTCTTGTGGTTCCATAGTAATTGAAGTATTTTTGACGGTAGCAGTGGCCCATCTAGAGTGGCCATTGCCAAGATGCCACTGCAGCAGGGAGGTGCAGCCAGAGCTATACACTCCATTAAGCAGGCAGGAGCCCTGTCCCCATGGAGCTGGGGCCTCCTCCTCCACAGAGCAGGCAGGAGCTTCACTGCAGCTCTAGATTTGGGTGTCTTTGTGCTATTGGGGTCCTGGGATGGTCTCCTACCCCTCACACTCAGAAGTGCCTTCTCCCGCTGCCTGGCTTCTCCCCGTTGCTGACACCTGCTCCAATAACAGAGGTATGGCTGAGGATGCACACTCCACAGAGCCTGCAGGAGCTGGGTACAAGTGGGAGCCCCACCCCTTTCAAGTTGTATTGGTGGGAGGTCCCTGGGTGCAGCTGTAGCCATCCAAATCTGGCTGCAGACCCAGGATTCTCTGTACTCTTGGGGACCTGGGTAGGTCCCCGTACCTCTCGAGGCTCAGAAGTGCCTGTTCCTGTTGCTTGGCCTCTCCCCACTACCAGAGCCCACTCTGATCTTGGAACAAAGTTGGGGCTGAGCTCTGGTGCTACTGCAGCCCAGCTGGGTGAGAGCACGCTTGAGGCAGTGCTGACACTAGGCCCCTGCCACCTTGGCCCCCTCTGAATTTTGGGCACTGATGTATATAGGAGGGAAGCCGAGGCAGCTGGGGAGTGGGCAGCACAGTGTTGGCCTGCAGGTGCCAGTTGGCACAGTCTGGGCACCATGAATGGCAGTGGGAGGCAGACAGACTCTGGGCAGAAGACGGCAGGTCCCCGGTGAAGCCCCACCTTCAGGCCAGAAAGTCCTGAAGCCTGTGGGCTCCTCTGCCAGTACTGTAGACCAGAGAGGGAACTGGTGGTGCTTTTTCCCAGGCCCGCCCATGGTTGTCCATGAACCAATCAGCATGCACTTTCTCCCTCTGAAGACCATAAAAACCCCAGACTTAGCCAAGGCAGAGCAGACATGAAGGTGACCAGCTGGAGAGAAGAGCTACCCTCTCCAGGGTTTTCTCTCTGCTAATTGCTGCAGATGTTGGGATGGCATACTTGCGGAGAGGAGCACCCTCTCCAAGGCCTCTTCTCTGCTGGGAGCAGCAGACACTGGGACAGTCAGTTGCCAAGAAGTGCTACCCTCTCCAGCGCCTCCTCTCTGCTGAGAGCTGAACACTCTTCAAGATGCCCTGCTGGCAGAGAGGATCCATTCACTTCAGGCCCCCACTCTGCTGAGAGCTGCAGAGATGACAGGATGACCTGCCTACAGAGAGGAGCTACTCACTGCAGGTCTTCTCTGAGCTGTTCTAACACAGAATAAAGCTCCTCTTCATCTTGCTCACCTTCTACTTGTGTGCATACCTCATTCTTCCTGGACACAGGACAAGAACTTGAGCATAGGCACCCCTGGCCACAGAGGATTCCAACCAGAAAAGGAATACCCAAAAAATTTCATAACATTTCTTTTTCATTCATGTTACAAACAGCATTGGAATTTTGATACAGATTTCAATAAGACTTTAGATTGCTTTGAGTAATATGGACATTTTCATAGTATTTATGAACAGGGAAAATCTTTCCATTTATTTGTGTCTTTTAAATTTCTTTTATCAGTGTTTTACAGTTTTCAGTACCCAGGTATTTTACCTCTTTAGTGGAGTTTATACCTAGGTATTTAATTTTTTGTTACTACCCTAAATCATATTGTTTTCATAATTTTCTTTTCAGATTATTTGTTACTAATACATAGAAATGCTACTAATTTTTAATGTTGATTTTGTATCCTGCAACTTTTCGCAATTCACTTATTAATTCTAACAGTTTTCCGGTAAAGTCTCTAGGTTTTTTTTATGTAACATTATGTCATCAGCAAATTTGTAATTATGTAAGATTATGTCATCAGAAAATTTCACTTCCACCATGTGAGGGTAGAGCAAGAAGACCTTCATCACATCCTCATGACCTGCTCTTGAACTTCCTAGCCTCCAGAACTGTGGGAGAAACATTTTTGTATTTATAAATTACACAGTCTTAGATATTCAGTTGTATCAGCACAAAACAGACCAAGGCAGTTCATGACAGGTATATATTGATTAATTACTATTAATATTATTATTATTGTGTATCTATAATGTGAAGTACTATAATAGGTGAGCGTATAAAAGGAGTAAGAATCTTAGCAGATGAAAAATTTAGACAATTCATTCAACAAAATTTTTAGTTACATGTGTGTGTACTTGATACTATCCTAGGCACTGGGGATCTGATAGATGGAAAAAAGATAAAATTCCTGCCATAAGGAAACTTCCATTTATCAGCTGTAGAACATCTTCCCTGTCTATCACTCCAATGGGGAAATCCTAAGAACAATTGACAACTACGTTATAGTGTGATGAATATAACGAGAAGCCAGAGCACACGGAGGAGGAATTTAAGGGGAAGGGGCATGTAACCTGGTTTTGTGAGAGCAAAATTATGCAAAGATTCTTGGAGGTGGCAATGTCTGTGCTAAGCCTAGAGAGACTTATTTGTTGATTTTAAAACTTTCTGTGTAATACCTGTTATGTGCCTGAAATTGTTCTAAGTGCTTTACAAAAAAGTTATCATTAATTTAATTTAATTATCCTGATAACTCTATGAGGTGGGGAAAGTGAAGCATATACAGGGCTATATTACTTGCCCCAAATCACAAACTAGACAGTGGTTCCAAAGTGCATGCCATTAACTGCAATGTACTATGCTTCTTCTCCCTCTTATAATGTTTCTGTAAGCTGTGTTGGGGTGAGCTGGAGGTCAAAGAAATGGAGCATAGGAGAAGTCTGTACTCCATGAAAGTCTTTAAAACTTTTTACTTTACGGGAGCAATGGAAAGAACCTGGTAGAAAGATCAAGAAAGAAAATGGAGGGTGATTATGAATATTCTAGAAAGCCAGGTGAGAGATTTTGGTATTTCTGAAAGTGTGTTCGCAGTTGACACTCATCCAGTGCTATATGACTACACAAAACAATGCATTATTTTTAAGGTAGAAGTATTAATATATTTTACAGACTCTAAGATACAGATCAAAGAACACAGTTACGTTTATTAAGAATATGCATTGCCTGTTTAATCCAGCAATAGCAATATTTAGATTCCCTCTCATGTATTTCATAATGAATTTAGTTACAATTTTAATCATGGATATGTATGCTTAAGTTATCTCTTTTGTAAGTAGCTATACATGATCTCTTGCTAGGAATGCATAGCATACTACAGTAAAGTGAGATGGCCAAAGGGTAATCCAAATGATAAAAATAGAGCTATACATCCAGGAAAAAGATCTAATTCTAGTTATTTTATGCTTTGAGTAGTTTTATGTTTTCTCACTATATCCCAACTCACCTGAACTAGGTTCCCAGTTAAGTATTTGTATTAGTGTGTTTTCACACGGCTATAAAGATACTACCTGAGCCTGTGTAATTTATAAACAAAGGAGGTTTTATTGACACACAGTTCTGCATGGCTGGCAAGGCCTCAGAAATTTTGTAATTTTATAAAGAAGGCAGCCGACTTCTGGCTGGACATCCGGGCATTTTCATACATCCTCTAAAATCTAGGCGGAGGTTCCCAAACCTCAATTCTTGACTTTTGTTCACTGCAGGCCCAACAACATATGGAAGCCACCCTTTTAGCCACGACTGGCGCTGAAGCAGCTGGAATGCAGGGTGCCATGTCCAGAGGCTGCAGAGAGCAGCGGGGGCCCTGGGCCCAGAGAAACCATTTTTTCTCCTAGGCTTCCTGGCCTGTTATGGGAGGGACGGCAGCCAAGATCTCTGACATGCCCTGAAGACATTTTGCCCATTATCTTGGTGATTAACATTTGGCTCCTCATTACTTATGCAAATTTCTGTAGTGTGCTAAATTCCTCCCCAGAAAATGATGTTTTCTCTTTTATCACATCATCGGGCTGCTAATTTTTCAAACTTTTATGCTCTGCTTCCCTTTCAAATGTATGTTCCAGTAGCAAACCATCTCTTTGTGAATGCATATAACTGAATATGCATAATCTTCAGAAATCTTTAGAAATTTCCCCTACCAGATATCCTAAATCATATTTCTCAAGTTCAAATCATTCCATTTCTATAAGATTCTCAAAATAACAAAATTGTATAGGCTGAGAATAGTGGTCACTAGGGATTATGAACTTGAGAGGAAAGTTGGGTGTGGCTATTACAGGAAAAATGAGAGATCCTTGTGTTGATGAAACTCTTCTGTATTATTATGGTGGTTGTCCCTTAAATGTAGGCATATGATAAAACTGAATATAACTAAACACACACACACACACACACACACACACACACACACAAATGAGCACATGTAAAATTGGTGATCTGAACAGATGGACTATACTAATGCCAGTTTTCTGGTTGTGACGTACTATACTTTTGCAAGATCTTATAATTGGAGGAAATTGAGTAAAAGATACAGTATGGTATCTCTTCATATTATTTCTTACAGTGGCATGCTAACAGATAACACTAAAAGATGTTCAACATC
Organism: Homo sapiens; assembly: GCF_000001405.40. Lineage (NCBI taxonomy): Eukaryota > Metazoa > Chordata > Mammalia > Primates > Hominidae > Homo > Homo sapiens. The sequence continues at coordinate 143,709,697 of NC_000023.11, forward strand.
ATTAATCAAAAGAGAAATGCCTACTAAAACCAGAATATCACTTCACACTTGTTAAGATGGCTATTATCAATTAAACAATGCATAACAAATTTTGATGAGAGTGTGAAGAAAAAACAAACCTAGTACACTCTTGGTGGAAATGTAGATTGGTATAACCATTATGTGAAACAGTGTGGAGGTTTCTAAAGAAATTAAAACGTAACTACCATATGACCCAGCAATCCTTCTTCTGGGTAGATACCCAAAGGAGATGAAATCACGGCCTCATGTAGATACATGCACTCTCACGTTCATTACAGCATTATTCACAATAGCCAAGATATGGAAACAACTTAAATGCCCATCAATGGATGAATGGATTTTAAAATGTGGTGTGTGTGTGTGTGTGTGTGTGTGTGTGTGTGTGTGTGTGTGTAGTTATTTATAGTTGTACAGAACTAAATATTATTCAGACTTAAAGAAAAGAGATCTTGGCATTTGCCACAATACGGATGAACAAGTATAGAGATCTAATGTACAGGGGGACTAAAGCTGATGAAATTGCATCATGAATTTTTGTTAAATAAGTAGATTTTAGCTGCTATTGTCACACACTTAAAAACTAAGAAGAGAGGTATGCTAATCTGCTTCACCATAGTAACCATTTTACTTTATGTATCCCATAATATCATGTTGTAAACCTCAAATATACACAATAAAATTTCTTTAAAATAGAAATAAAAAATCCATCACACTTCTATATACTAACATTGAACATGTGGAAATCAAAATTAAACACATGATACTATTTACAGTCACTTGAAAGAAAATATAATACTAGGTATAAATTAAACAAAACATGGACCAGAAGGTGGGTACAGATATTAAATATCAAAATATCTTTCTAAAAGTTACAAAATACAAAAATGTACCCGATATATCCATTTACAAGGGAAGAACAGATTATATATAAATAGATGCATCTTAAAAACAGGTCTGAGTGAAACATTAAATATTGACAATGGCTACATAAATTGAAAACAAATGTCCACAAACAATAAAAAACATGTAATAACACTCATACAGAGAAAAGAATACACATCAAACGCATTACAATGATTGCCAATGTAGACAAGAGAAATAAAACTGGGTCATGGAAATAAAGGAGAGTGAATGAGTAAATAAATAGGAGAGGGTCTTGAGCAATTAACTCAAAGAATATATAACTCAGCCCTCTACATTGATGCCAAACCACTCTATTGTATTCCCTTCAATAAAAGCAATATTTTTTTCAAGGGAAGAATTCTTAATCATTGACATTCTATAGAAATGCTGGTGTATGGAAGTGGTAATAAAAATACCAACTTTTACTTGTATCATTATATTCAAATTCTCTGTAGACTATGCTTTCATTTATTGCCTGCAGTAGACAATGGCCACTAGTTTCTTAACAAGGAAATGCCCTAGTATTGGGACCATGGCCTCCAAACACCATTATTTTGGTGTGTGTGACATGCTGTCTTACTCTATGTAGGGTGAGGTTTTTTGTCCATTTGAGGGGCTTCAGTTGCTTACAGTATTGGTTGAGTTGCAACCCAAATCACTATGAGGTATGTGGCCTGGAGGTGGTGATTTTGATGTCTTCATTTTGGAAAGAGTGTCACTGTCACCTACATACAATACAGATCTTTGTATTTTATTTTATTTATTTATTTTTGAAGACAGAGTCTCGCTCTATCCCCCAGACTGGAGTGCAGTGGCCAGATCTCAGCTCACTACAACTTCCGCCTCCTGTGTTCAAGTGATTCTCCTGCCTCAGCCTCGCATGTAGCTGGGATTACAGGCACCTGCCACCACTCCCAGCTAATTTTTGTATTTTTTTTTTTTAGTAGAGACTGGGGTTTGCCATGTTGGACAGGCTGGTCTCGAACTCCTGACCTCAGGAGATCGTCTGCTTCGGCCTCCCAAAGTGCTGGGATTATAGGCATGAGCCACCGTGCCCGGCCAATACAGATCTTTTTAAATGCCCTTCTACATATTCACATGCTCCAAACACCAAGTCCTTTTCTTCCTCTCCTGTTAGATAAAATTTTAAGAAGAAAATTTGTCTCTAGGAATAAGTCCTCCCCCAGGCCTTATTTACAATGTCTGGGAAACTGTCAACCTGTGGGTCTGTCCGCCAACCCTACAGGATCTCATATCCTTCCCTTCTCAAATGCCTACCTCTTCCCTTCCCTTCCTTCCCACCATCAGACAACAGGCAGAGATATACACGGTCATCAGCTCCTCAAACTTGATTTTATTGTAATCATCGCCATTGGTAGTGAGGATTTGTCCAATTTGGTTTCTCCATGTTTGACTAGTCCTCCCCACCCTCCTGTGAAGATCCTTCAGATGAGTCTAGGTCTTCGTCCTCCTGTGAAGATCCTTCAGGTGGGTCCAGGTCTTCGTCCTCCTGTGAAGATCCTTCAGATGAGTCCAGGTCTTCGTCCTCCTGTGAAGATCCTTCAGATGAGTCCAGGTCTTCGTCCTCCTGTGAAGATCCTTCAGATGAGTCCAGGTCTTCGTCCTCCTGTGAAGATCCTTCAGATGAGTCCAGGTCTTCGTCCTCCTGTGAAGATCCTTCAGCTGAGTCTAGGCCTTCGTCCTCCTCCTCTTGGACTGGATTGATGGAGTTCTCTCGGGACTGGTCCTTCTCCAGTTGATTTGAATTTATTTTCGTATGCTTCCTGTAGTAATACACTATTATTGTTAGATATTCTATTGTTTTTGTCTTTTGCAAGCTCTGTTTGGGGGCTAAGACCCTGTTCGGTGCCTCCTGCATCTGATAAGAAAACAGGGAGAGGCCAGAAAGTCATTATTTTGGGTGAATAGGGTAGAGACTGGATAGCAAGGGGGGCTTTATGAGAAGGAATGCAGGTTGAGGAAGGGGTTTGTGCCAGAGAAGAACAAGGTGGAATCATAGGGTAGTGATCTATGGGGAAGAAGAAGAGGAGCATGGGTAGGGTCATCTGTTAGTCCAAACTGCACGATTTCGCAAGTTCTTTGCTATTTTGCAGACCTTGGTCAAAGTGAGACACTCCATGGGGGCTCAGGCCGTGAGAAACATCCTGCCTAACCACCTGACCACAGGGCGGACAAAGGCCCAACTAAAGAAACATTCCTATCATATCTTGCTTGGCAAAGTTCTAAGGAACGCCACAATGATATTCCACTGGAAAAAGGGCCAAACCACCTGATCATAAGAACATCTTATCAATATCCTGCCGGATAGCATCCCACATTGCCCAGATCCCTCCTGCCCATCCCTGTAAGTACCCCAGCCTGTAAGCGGCGGTGGGCTCTGGCATTAAGCTTGTCCTCCACTTCCATAGGTGTCTGCCATATTCCTGTGTTGCTGTTTGAGCTGCCCCCTGTGTGTCTTTCTTTCATCCTTGCCTTCCCTTCAAAACCTAACATTTTGGTGCCAAAACCTGGAGTGGTGATTGGGTTCTAATGGGTAAGTTTTCTCTTGCAACCTGGAAAGCAGCAAGCAGCACAAACTAGACCAGGGCCTGCTTCCAGATCCTGAGTGTACTCCCTGTTCCCAGTCCCATTCTCCTTATTCTCTAGTCTTCTCCAGACCTGGGCTAACCTCCAGATAGTGATCAAACAAGCCACCTTATTTTTTGTTCCTTCCTGTTTCCGGGCAGCTGCAACAAGGATCACCCCCATTTCTGGACATCACATCCAACACTGGGCTTCAATTAGTGGGTGAGTCTCCCTCTTCCTCCTTTCCAGATTCCTCTCTATTTCTGCCCGTTCTCCAAAAAATTCCAGTGCTGGGTGAGAGGTCTCCCCAGTCACCAGGTGACTGCAGCCTCCCTTCTTAGGGTACACCTTCAAAACGTTTGCCACTCTGGCTGCTCTGGCCTCTGGGGAGCATGAATAGTACGGGGCTGCCCCAACTCTCCAGGTCCCTTCTCCCAGGAGGAATCAAGTACTCACTTCCCTATGGGGTATTCACTTCTCTCTGGAGTACTCGCTCACCCCTGGGGTACTCACTCCCTTCCAGGGTACTCACTTTCCTCAGGGGTAGTCACTCCCATCCAGAGTATTCACTCCCCTCTTCCAAAAAACAAAACATTCAACTTCCAAATTCAACATAATCTAAAAAACTTTCTTCAATGCAATGGTAAATAATCTGAAGTGCTTTGCTTATCTCCTTTCATGCCTCACTCTCTCTCTCTCTCTCTCTCTCTCTCTCTCTCTCTGCCAATCTTGTTCACCTTTTCAAATCTTCCTCCTCAAGGAGAAACCCCCCAAAATGCCTCTTCCTCCGGACAAGTCTTCTTCCTCTGAATTTCAACCTGGCCAACACACCCGTTCTTCAGCCTCCTGCCCTCTCCCATTCCCTCCACCTTCTCCTTCGGATCCGGCTCCTCCACCCCCTTACTGTCGCCCTCCATCCCCCTTCCTTCTCCACCTCAAACCAGGTCTCACACCCAACCCCCTTTCGCTAGGAACCAGGCACATGCCCAAAGGCCTTCCAAAGTCCTTCCCTTGCAGGAGGTTGCGAGGGCTAAAGGCATAATCTGAATTCAAGTTCCCTTCTCTCTAGCTGAGTTTTCCCATATTGAAAGGAGACTTGACTCCTTTTCAATGGATCCAACCTCCTTCCACAAGGAATTCTTGTACTTCCCTAAATCTTATGACCTTACCTGGCATGACATATATGTCATCCTCTCCTCTACCCTCACCCTGGAGGACAGGGAACACATCTTTATGGGTGCCCAGGTCCATGAGAACACCCTCCACCAACAAGATGCTGCTCATAATCCAATAGGGACCCTAGCTGTCCCCAGAACTGGCCCCAGTTGGAATTATCAGGCAACTTCAGTAGACAGACAGAAATCAGGCCATATGATATCATGCCTTCTAGCTGGCATAAATAAAGCTGTCCCTGCTCGTTTCCTCTCCTGCCTTTCAAAAGTCACAACTAAATATGCCACCTTAAGCCCTAATACCAATAAGGGCAAAAACTACCTCCATTTATACTTTATCTCCCAGTCAGACCCAGACATTTGAAAAAAACTTAAAAAACTGGAGGGTGGCCCTCAAACCTTCCAAAGAGACTTAATCAAAGTGGCCTTCAAGATCTATAAGATTAGAGAGGAAGAACTAAAAAATCCAAACCTAAAGAAGGACCAGGCTAAATACCAAATGCTGGTAGCTGCCACTCAACAGGGTTCCCAAGGCCTACAGAATTCCTCAACTTGGCAACAGTCAACTCCAGGAGCCTGTTACAAGTTCGTCTAACAGGGACACTGGGCAAAAGCCTAGCCTAATCCCAGGACACTCTGGAAATCTTGCCCCATCTGTGGTATCAAGCAACACTGGAAGTCAGACTGTGCTCACTGAAACTCTTCATCCTGCTTCACCACCTGTACCTGAAGACAGGTGGGGCCTGGAGTCCACCGCCCCTACTGCCATCACCACCTCGGAACCCAGGGTAATTCTGTCAGTCTCTAGTAAGCCCATGTCTTTCCTATTGGATACTCAATAGGACAACTAGTTACTCAGTTTGACCAGAATATTCTAGACCCTTTTTCTGTTCTTCGATCTCTATTGTGAGAATCAATAAAATCCCCTCTAGGCACAGACTGGTCCTTTATTATACAACCTATTCAGCAGCCCCCTTCACCCACTCTTTCCTGGTTATCCCTCAGTCCCCTACCCCTATCTTGGGATGGGACATATTAAGTAAATTCCAGAACTCCATGCAATGTGGCTCCTACAATTCTACCCCTTTTATTTTACTCTGACACCCAAACGCTTCCCTCTCCCCCCACTCATCCTCATTATCCACCCTGTTACCTTCTGTTAATTCTAAAGCTTGGAATGTTTCTAAACCCACAATAGCCACACATCACATCCCAGTTAAAATAACCCTTCAAAACCCCTCCATTTTCCTTCATCAGTCTCAATATCCCCTTAATCCAGCCTTGCTTAGGGGGTCTCAAACCTATTATCTGTAAACTTTTACAAGCTCATATTCTCAAGCCTGTTAACTCTCCCCACAACACCCCTATTCTGGCTTTCCAAAAGACAGACGGGACTTACCCCTTTGTCTAGGATCTCCAAGTCGTTAACCAGGCCGTGGTACCAATCCATCTAGTGGTCCTCAACCAATATACTCTACTCTACCGTATTGCCCCATCTACCACACACTCCTTTGTATTGAACTAAAAGACAACTATTTCACTATTCCCTTAAATCTGGCTTACCAAAGTCTTTTTGCTTTGACTTGGTCAAATCCTAATACTCACATGTCCTGTACTCTTACAGGACTTACACATGGACTTACACCTAGACTGTACTCTTAGAGGGGTTCCGGGATAGGCCCCACCTGTTCAGACAGGCCCTCATCAAGGACCTAGCTGAACTTCCCCTTGCTCCTAGTACCCTCCTCCAGTATGTCAATGACCTCCTTCTCTGTAGCCCCTTTCTTAACCTGTCCATTCAACACACCACTCAGGTTTTAAACTTCCTTCATAATCAAGTATATTGGGCCTAACCCACAAAATCTCAGGTACCCAAATCAAAGTTACTTACCTTGGGTTTGTTCTAACCCCTAATTCTCGAGCCATCCCAACCCAATGAAAGGAGCCAATTTGGGACATGCCCCTTCCCCACATAAAAAAAAAGGACCTCCCCTCCTTCTTGGGCCTTGTGGGATACTTCTGGCTGTGAATTCCTAACTTTGACTTGCTGGCCAAGCCACTATACGTAGCCTCACATGGGCCCATCCTAAAACCCCTGAACCCAGCTTGCCCCATCAACTCCAACTTAAAAACTTAAAAATGCCCTTTTAATGGCCCTGGCACTGGGACTGCCAAACCTCACCAAGCCTGTTACTTTCTATGTACATTCTGACCAGCGCCTTGCCCTTGGACTACTCTGCCAAACATATGGCAACGCCCCAGAAGCCATTGCACGCCTCTCAAAACAACTGGACTCTGTCATCCGAGGCTGGTCACTCTGACTAAAAATCTTGGGTATGGCCACATTGCTGGCCTTAGATGCACGGAAACTCCCTCTCTACCAACACATTACTATTGCATCTTCCCATTATCTACAGGACCTCATAAACCACCAATCCCTTCTATCCCTCCCACCATCCTGCTTACAGCAGGTGCATGCCTTATTCATAGGTAACCCTCTAATCACCTTCCAGAGACATAAAATTCTCTACCCAGCCACCCTTCTCCCTGTAAACACTTCCGACTCTAAGCTCTCTCACTCCTGTCTGGACCTCTTAGACTCCCTCTCCTCCCCCTTCCAACACATTTCAGATGCCCCTTTGCAGGGAACACATACACGGTTAGTTAATGGAACCTCTTTTAGGCAGCCATGTCCAGCAGCTGGCTATTCCATCAGTGCTGAAGATAAACTCCTAGAATCGAATGCTCTCACACCCCATGCTACCTCTCAACAGGCAAAGCTAGTTGCCCTAACCAGGGCCCTCACCCTAGCAAAGGGAAAGAGGGTCAACATTTACACCCATTCCAAATATGCATACCATGTCCTACAGTCTCATGCCTTCATCTGGCAGGAACAGGGTTTCCTAACTACAAAAGGAACCCCCATAAGAAATGGCAAACTTACACATAAGCTGTTGGGGGTGGATAAACCACCACCAAAGGCCACCATTATCCATTGCAAGGGACACCGAAAGGCTACAGATGCCAAAACCGAGAAAAACCTTTCAACAAATTCGGCAGCCTGGCAGGCAGCCCTTAAAACCCCATCGTTATTGCTCATTTTTTTTCCCAGCATACACCCTGTATATACCCAGCAGGAAAAAAACCCACTTGCCCAGGCTGGTGCCATTCAGGAAAAAATAGTTCGATCTCACTGATAAAGTGTCTTGCCCAAGTTTAAAAAACCTTCTGTACTTTCATATGTGCACAACCATTTCCATGCCGGTTACTGCCCCTACTCCAGCTTTTAAAAACTTCTAGACATTCTTCCACCATGGTTGCCCATCTCAGAGATATTACTAAGGCATGTTCCCTTTGCACTCAAACTTCCCCTCAGGAAGCTATCAAACCATCTCCTTTCCCACACACCAGACCTGAGGACACTTACTAGGGCAGGACTAGCAAATCAACATCACTCACATGCTCCCCAGAAAGTGATTCCTATACATTCTAACAATAGTAGATACATTCTCTGGATGAATAAAAGCTTTTCCTACCACCACCAAAAAGGCACACACCATCGCTTCTATTCTCTCCACCCATATTATCCACCGGTTTAAACTCCCCTCTTGCATCCAGTCAGACAATGGGCCAATTTGTTTCAGTTTAACCAACAGCTGGTAAAGGCTCTAAACATTAAATGGGCTTTCCATATTCCTTACCACTCCGAATCTTCAGGAAAAATTTTATAAAAAACAACAACTAACCAAACTCTCCTTAAAGGTTAAAATGGCCTGGACTTCACTTCTCCCATTGTTCCTCATGCGATTATGAGTCATTTCCTAAAAGCGCTCAGCCTAAGCCCATTTAAATTCATGTACAAATGCTCCATTTATCCTCCAGAATCTCCCTGTATTTTCCCCCCATTCTATATGGAATACTTGGCCGGCGTTACACCTCACCCAACATCTAATAAGACAGTACGCAAATGCTTACTTGACCCAGCCTAAAAGTCCATCCTCAAAACACTCCTCCCTGTCCCTACAACCAGCGGGCTGGGTCTGAATCACAGACTCCTCCTCCCCCGCTCTCCAACCTAAGTGGAGGAATTCTCACCAGGTGATGCTAACTACTCCCACAGCGCCAAAGCTAACATCCTTTGCACACTGAATGCACATTTCAAACTAAAAAGAGCACCAGATCCACATCTAGAAATTTGTTCACCCCCAAATTATTCTCCTTCCCTGACAAGACCAACCTCACTGTACTTAACAAGAATTCCAGAAGTTGCCAATCCAGAACACCTTAGTCCATAACACTCTCTGTCTCCAGTTTCCAATCTTTTGTCTCCTACTTTATTTCAGATCTTTCCTGGTTTCCCTTCCCCATGACCCTGAATAGTCCAGGCCAATTTGTCACACTAATCAAGGAGATATGACTTCAGGGCACCTTCCAAAATTTCACTCCTACTCAAATCTCCTCTTTCTCCTTTTGTCCTCTCTATCTGTGGGATATTCTAAGTCCCCACCCCGAACGTCTAACAGATGAGCCCCCTTCATCAGCCTCACTGCCTCTTAAATCAGTCACACTCCCCTCTTCCTTCCAACTGTTAAATTTGTTTGTCCACACAAATCCAGTAGTTCACAGCCCTTCCTGTTAACCTGGCCACATGAACCCTGTCCAAAATAAACCTGCATTTCACCTAATTGACCAATTCATTCGCAAAACCTGCTTATAATCTTGCTCGGCTAATCACCTTTCCCCCCCCACCAATCCATCAAATCCACCCACACCGTCACACACAGGGCTGTCACCCTCCTTCACCTCATAGCCTCTTAACTAAACATGTTACCAGTCGGATTCCAGAAAATACCTCTTATCAACCCCTCCCCTTTCTGCCGGAGCCGCTCTCCATGTATCCAAGTCAAGGGCGCTCCCTGGAAAATATCCACAAACAATTCCCTCAACTGCAACCTGTATCCTTCTGCGCTGTCAGGACCGCAATGGCTATTAGTTACAAAAACCCATTTCCTGCTCTCTCTCCAAAACCAAACAGCCTTCACCTCCTCCACTACCAACATTTCCTATCAGGCCTTCAGAGGGGCTACCCTTGCTGGCAGGTATTCAACTTGGAAAAACATAAAAGTTAAAACAAAGGGTTTGTGCAGAATTCAACCCCCACCTTCTCATGACTTGCCACCATAACCTACAACTTTTGTCTGTCCACCCCTAGTGTCTTCTTCCTTTGCGGCACAAACTCTTATCTCTGCCTACTGGCCAATTGGTCAGGAACATGCACCCTTGTGTTTCAATCTAAACATTAACACTTTGCCTAACAAGCAGACCATCCAGGTTCCTTTAGTAGCTTCTGTCTCATCTTCCTCCACACACACTAAGCAGGCTGTACATCTCATTCTAGTGTTAGCAGAACTAAACATCTCTGATGCACTCAGCACTGGGATAGCAGGTGGTCCCTTTCTTAGGGCCGTTAATCTTCCTCCTCCTGATAGTACATTTGGCCGATGTATACTCACCTTCATATCCTGCTTTATCTCCCGAAGGCTAAACTCCCCTCTCCAGGCAGCCACCCAGCAACACATTGATACCATCCTTCTCCTCTGCCAAGTCCGGTACCAGTGCCTCCAGGAAAACAACTCTGAAGTCCGTCACCCCCTGCTTCAAAACCCAAACCCTGATTACAGCTCCCCTATTCGGCAGCAAGCAGCCAGATAATCAACAATGCCCCTCTTCCTTTTATACTAAAGTAGAAGGCAAGAATGTGAGTCCAAACCACCATTTAGTAAGCACCCTGCTATTTTGCAGACCTTGATCAAAGTGAAACATTCCACGGGGGTTCGGGCCATGAGAAAAATCTTGCCTAATCGTCGTAACACAAGGCGGACACAGGTCCAACTAAAGAAACTTTCCTATGGTATCTTGCTGGGCAAAGTTCCAAGAAACACCACAATGACATCCCACTGGAAAAAGGACCAAACAGCCTGATCATAAAAACATCTTATCAATATCCTGCCGGGCAGCAAGCCATACTGCCCCGGCCCCTCCCACCCATACCTATAAGCACCCCAGCCTGTAAGCGGCGGTGGGTTCTGGCATTAAGCGGGTCCCCCACTTCCACAGGTGTCTGCAGTATTCCTGTGTTGCTGTTTGAGCCGTCCCTTCTCTGTGTGTCTTTCTTTCACCCTCACCTTCCCTTCAAAACCTAACAATCTTACCTCATCATTTTTTTTGTTATTGGATTCACAGGGGCTCTTCCTCTTCTCCCCATTGGTGCTTGAAGTCGGCTGTTCCATGATTCTGCTTGGTTGTAGAATGTCTATAGTAGGCTCTTGTAGACTGCAGACTTCCACAGCTATATTGAAGCTTGCCAGGAGGATGTCCCAGAGCTCTGGCCCTCCCTATGTATACCTTCCTGGTGGCAAGGCAAAGCCACACTCTTGAGCTTTGTTTGATCATACAGGCAGTGTCCCAGCCAATGGCAGTCCTAGGGTGGCTTAGACATCACAAAGCACCACTGCTGACCACTCCCTGGGCTTGTGGGGGACGGATGACAGGGGTGTAGAGGAAACCAAATGCTGTTGTTGTTTCAGCATCCCCTGAAGATGCATCCCAAACTAATCTGCTGCTGCTCATTTCTCCATGTTTAATGTTCATGGTTCACATGGAAGTGAGAGGATGATTCCTTCAAGCCCTTCCCCACAGTCATTCCTATGAAGTCATTCATTCTTTTGTCTTCCAGCCCTCACCATGACTTAGTATTTTAGATGTCTCACCTCAAATCCCTCCAAGCTAGTGTGGCTACATTTAATTATTGGTGGAGATGTGAATTATCCCATTTCCCTCCTACAGTTCCTTCACATGCACCTTGAAGACCATTTACTTTTAGGCTACTGCCAGGCAAATTTCAACCCATGTTCTTTTACCCAATGTCCATGTAGTTCTTTTAAGTTTCCTATCTCCAATCTGAAATAATGGCCTTCAGTCTGTCAAAACTTTGGTGAATAAACTTTCTTTACCATGTATCCTAGTCTTGTTTCAAATCAGGGGTCTATGTTCATAGTAAATGTAGTATCCCAACATGAATTCTGCCAGTATGTGGGTGGGGGAAGGAGTGGATATTCAAGTGCTGGAAGTTGTTCTGAGTATTTACCTGCAGGATGCTACAATCTAAGACCCACATGTGCACCAGTATGGGCACAGTTATACTTTGTACTGGAGATTGTGTCCAGTGTAAAAGAAAAAAAAATGCATTCAGATTGGAAAGGGAGAAGTAAAAGTATCTTTTGTCAAAGACTACCTGAGAGTATATGTAGAAAAGTCAATCTAAAAAAATGGTTCTACATTAATTGAGGTTAGCAAAATTGCAAAGTAAGAGATCAACACACAAATCAATTGTATGTTTATATATTAGCAGTTACATATGAGAAGTTTCTATATTAGAAGAGACAATGTTTTAGCCAATGGTAGTCCTAGGGTGGACTGGAAGTTAATTTCAACAACTGAAAGTTGAAACTAAGAACAGTGCAATTTAAAATATCACTAAAAATATTAAAGGCTTAGGGATAAATCTGACCAAAGATGTAAATGACTTGTACACTTAAAACTACAAAAATTTACAATGATAAATTAATGACATAAGAAAAAAATTGAGATCTATACTTTGATTTTCGGTTGGAAGATTCAATATTGTAAAATGGCAGTTATTTCCAATTTCATCTGTGGATTCAACTAAATTCTAATCAAAATTCTAAAAAGCCTTTTTAATAGAAATTGACAAGATAATTATAATATTCCTATGGAAATATAAAGTGCCTAGAATAGTCAAAAGAAAAGTGTTGAATCTTAAAAAGCTCTGGATTGCATCACTGTCAATGTTCTAGTTTTGATAGTGTAATGTGGTAGTGTATTGAAGATTTTACTATTGGGAGAGACTGGTTGAAGGGTACAAAAGGCCTCCATGTACGTATCTTTGAAACTTCTTGTGAATTTATAATTGTTTCAAAATAAAAATCTAAAAATATTTTAAAAGACAGTAAGAAAGAGGACTGAAAATAGAGAAGGCATGGCCCAGGATTTCTCCCACAGGTTGACTGACACTTGTCTCATTCTCTATAAGAAGTCACAAAACCTGATAATGAAAAAAAAAATCTAAAAATAAGACAAACGAGAAGTAGACCCTGGAATTTTGTTCCAGTGTTCATCAAGCTCACATAACTTTATTTTATACACCATAAAAACAAGAAAGGCCTAGAAAGATACCCCGCTGACCTCCAGACACAAGGCATTTATTGCATTCTCATGACTGTCATCTAAACATTAACAAATCAAAAGAAGATTCTTATTAAGGTATACATTTTTAGTGAACCCCAGACATTGTCTATAGTTCAACAATTCCATTTATTAAATGCTCACAAGCTAACTTCTAATAATTTTTTGTACTCTTGCCTGCAATCAACAGTGAGAATAACACCCTGTCATATCATGTTATGGAAAACAAAACAAACAGAAAACCAAAAGGCATATGCCACATCAAACACAGTAAGTCAGAAACTGATTACAATTTTTGAAAATAACAGCTTTCAATCATCTTACTACCTTTTAAAATTGTTTTCTAAATTTGTTTACCAAAAATGTTTCAATGGGTATATCACTATCCAAGGAAAATTAATCCAAATGTTAAGAAAACATTTAGTGCATATTTCTATTGAAAGATTACAACGTACTTTATAGAATAACTCCTATTGAAAACTTCAGTAATTATATTTTCAACCCAAATGAATAATAAACAATTAAAGGGAGTGGCTGGCAAGATGGCCAAATAGGAACAGCTCCGGTCTGCAGCTCCCAGCGAGATCAATGCAGAAGGCAGGTGATTTCTGCATTTCCAAGTGAGGTACCTGGCTCATCTCACTGAGACTGGTTAGGCAGTGGGTGCAGGCTACAGAGGGCAAGCCAAAGGAGGGTGGGGTGTCACCTCAGCTGGGAAGTACAAGCGGTCAGGGAACTCCCACCCCTAGCCAATGGAAGCTGTGAGGGACTGTGCTGTGAGGAACAGTGCACTCTGGCTCAGATACTATGCTTTTCACATGGTCTTTGCAATCTGCAGACCAGGAAATTCCCTCGGGTGCCTATGCCACCAGGGCCCTGGGTTTCAAGCACAAAACTGGGCAGCCGTTTGGGCAGACACCAAGCTAGCTGCAGGAGTTTTTTTTTTCATACCCCAGTGGCGCCTGGAATGCTAGCGAGACAGAACCGTTCACTCCCCTGGAAAGGTGGCTGAAGCCAGGGAGCCAAGTAGTCTAGCTCAGCAGATCCCACCTCCATGGAGCTCAGCAAGCGAAGATCCACTGGCTTGAAATTCTCACTGCCAGCACAGCAGTTTGAAGTCGACCTGGGATGCTCCAGCTTGGTGGGCAGAAGGGTGTCCACCATTAAGAGGGTTGAGTAGGTGGCTTTCCCCTCACAGTGTCAACAAAGCTGCAGGGAAGTTTCAACTGGGCGGACCCTACCCCAGCTCGGTAAAGCTGCTGTAGCCAGACTGCCTCTTTAGATTCCTCCTCTCTGAGCAGGGCATCTCTGAAAGAAAGGCAGCAGCCCCAGTCAGGGGCTTATAGATAAAACTCCATGTACCTGGGACCGAGCACTTGGGGGAAGGGGTGGCTGTGGGCGCAGATACAGCGGACTTAAACGTTCCTGCCTACTGGATCTGAAGAGAGCAATGGATCTCCCAGCACAATGCTCGAGCTCTGCTAAGGGACAGACTGCCTCCTCAAGTGGGTCCCTGACCACCATGCCTCCTGACTGGGAGACACCTCCAAGGAGGGATTTATAGACACTTCATACAGGAGAGCTCCGGCTGGCATGTGGTGGGTGCCCCTCTGGAACGAAGCTTCCAGAAGAAGGAAGAGGCGGCAATATTTGCTGTTCTGCAGCCTCTGCTGGTGATACCCAGGCAAACAGGGTCTGGAGTGGACCTCCAGCAAACTCCAGCAGACCTGCAGCACAGGGGCCTGACTGTTAGAAGAAAACAAACAGAAAGGAATAGCATCAACATCAACAAAAAGGACATCCACACAAAAACCCCATCTGAAGGTCACCAACATCAAAGACCAATAATAGATAAATCCATGAAGATGAGGAAAAGCCAGGGCAAAAAAGCTGAAACTTCCAAAAACCAGAACACCTTTTCTTCTCCAAAGGATCACAACTCCCCAGCAAGAGAACAAAACTGGATGGAGAATGAGTTTGACAAATTGACAGAAGTAGGCTTCAGAAGGTGGGTCATAATAAACTCCTCCGAGCTAAAAAAGCATGTTCTAACCCAATGCAAGGAAGCTAAGAACCTTGAAAAAAGGTTAGAGGAATTGACAACTAGAATAATCAGTTTAGAGAAGAACATAAATGACCTGATGGACCTGAAAAACACAGAGCAAGAACTTTGTGAATCATACACAAATATCAATAGCCGAATTGATCAAGCAGAAGAAAGCATATCAGACATTGAAGATTAACTTAATGAAATAAAGTGTGAAGACAAGATTAGAGAAAAAAGAATGAAAAGGAATGAACAAAGCCTCCAAGAAATATGGGACTATGTGAAAAGACCAAACCTACATTTGATTGGTGTACCTAAAAGTGACAGGGAGAATGGAACCAAGTTGGAAAACACTCTCAGGATATTATCCAGCAGAACTTCCACAGCCTAGCAATGTGTCCAGAATTAGTGGGTTCTTGGTCTCGCTGACTTCAAGAATGAAGCTGCAGACCCTCGCGGTGAGTGTTACAGTTTTTAAAGATGGTGTGTCCGGAGTTTGTGCCTTCAGATGTTCAGATGCGTCTGGAGTTTCTTCCTTCTGGTGGGTTCGTGGTCTCGCTGACTTCAGGAGTGAAGCTGCAGACGTTGGTGGCGAGTGTTACAGCTCTTAAAGGCAGCACGTCTGGAGTTGTTCGTTCCTCCCGTCCGGAGTTGTTCATCCCTCCTGGTGGGTTCGTGGTCTCCCTGGCTTTAGGAGTGAAGCTGCAGACCTTCGCAGTGAGTGTTACAGCTCATAAAGGCAGGGTGGACCCAAAGAGTGAGCAGCAGCAAGATTTATTGTGAAGAGCGAAATAACAAAGCTTCCACAGCGTGGAAGGGGACCTGAGTGGGTTGCCACTGCTGACTGGGGCAGCCTGCTTTTATTCCCTTATCTGGCCCCACCCACATCCTGCTGATTGGTCCATTTTACAGAGAGCTGATTGGTCCGTTTTGACAGGGTGCTGATTGGTGCATTTACAAACCTTTAGCTAGACACAAAAGTTCTCCAAGTCCCCACTAGATTAGCTAGACACAGAGCACTGATTGGTGCATTTACAATCACCACAAAAGTCCCCACTAGATGAGCTAGACACAGAGCACTGATTTGTGCGTTTACAAACCTTGAGCTAGACACAGGGTGCTGATTGGTGTGTTTACAAACCTTGAGCTAGACACAGAGTGCTGATTGGTGCATTTACAATCCTTCAGCTAGACATAAAAGTTCTCCAAGTCCCCACTAGATTAGCTAGACACAGAGCACTGATTGATGTGTTTACAAACCTTGAGCTAGACACAGAGTGCTGATTGGTGCTTTTACAATCCTTTAGCTAGACATAAAAGTTCTCCAAGTCCCCACCAGATTAGCTAGATACAGAGTGCTGATTGGTGCATCCACAAACCCCAAGCTAGACACAGAGTGCTGATTGGTGCATATACAATTCTCCAGCTAGACATAAAACTCCTCCAAGTCCCCACCTGACTCAGGAGCCCCGCTGGCTTCACCTAGTGGATCCCACGCTAGGGCCGTGGGCAGAGCTGCCCGCCAGTCCCACACCATGCACCCGCACTCCTCAGCCCTTGGGCAGTGGATGTGACCAGGTGCCGCGGAGCAGGGGGTGGTGCCCGTTGGGGAGGCTCTGGCCATGCGGGAGTCCATGGGGTGGGTGGGGGGAGGCTCGGGCATGGTGGGCT